>NC_000019.10:48490874-49115874 GCF_000001405.40 Homo sapiens
CTGAGGCTCGGGGGTTGGGGACGGCCGGCCTGCCTGCCTACGACCGTCTGATGGACGTCGCCTGGTCTGAGCTGGTTCCAGAGCTGGGTGGGGTGTCTGTTGACTGAGAGGGGAGAGAGAAGAGACTGGGAAGAGAGAGGCAGGGACATTGAAAGATGGTCACAAGAAGTTGGCAGTGGAACATAGGGGGACAGAGATGGGCAGAGGAGGGGGCAGGGCCGAGGATATGGTACCTGCGGGCCGGGCGTCGGGGGCCCGGGCGGGTGGCCCCGGGGTCTCCAGCGCAGGCGAGACGGAGAAGCGGGAGAAGCACAGCGGGGGGCCTGGAGGGGGGAGGAGGGGGAAATCCTCCGCCCACTCGAAACTGCCTCCTGCGGCAGAAGGAAAGACCGCGGTCAGGCTGCAGACACCTGCGGCACTCCCGCCCTCTGGTCCCGCCCCTCCCGACCAAGCCCCTCCCACCCCATAGACCCCGCCCCGTCCGCCCCATGGCTCCCGCCCCCTCCCGCCCCATAGGGCCCGTCCTCACCAAAGCCGCTGTCGTTGCTGGGAAACCCATCTCCGGGGGTGGCGGGGTGGGGAGGTGTCGGGGGCGCTGGAGGCGTTGACGGGTCCGTGTCCCCCTCGGGGGGGGCCTGGACGCTCAGCTCGTTGGTTGGCGTCTCCTGTGAAGGCAGATTAGGGGGAAGCCAGAGGGGACAAACCTTCACGTCCCATTTACCGCATCCCCCAAAAGCAACAAAACCGGCTAATATTTCTGGGGCTCTAGGAATCCCAATTTGTAATCACTGACTCGCACGCTCTGGAGAGGTGGCTGGAGCCCCTAATCTGGCTTCGAAGCCTTGGGCCAGCCTTAACCTCAACCTGGCCAGAGGCTCCTTTCCTGACAGCGGAGCCCCGCGCACAGCTAAGTAGCCCAACGCAGGGATTCTCTCCTGGCTCATTAACGTGAGGCCTCCACCGGATCCCCTAACCCAAAGCGATCTCCATAAGCCCCACCCCGTCCACGTCAGTCCCACCCACCTCTGAGATCTTGACCTGCTCCAGTGGCCCTCCCAACCCCTGCCCCATCCTGAGCGCATGCCGTGCTGGATGCTGTGACCCTGCCCCTGAGCCCTCCCTCAGAAGTAGACCTGCTCCCGCCCTCCAAGTCCCACCCCTCTGAAAACATTTCAGTGGCCCAGGCCCCAGTTCTTGGCCTTGTTTCCATTCCTTTCATAATCTCAGCCCAGTATGCCCGCCCCAGGTTCATCTAGACAAGGTCCCAGTTCCTCAGCACCACTCGCCCTCCCTTTTTCTCTTCAACACCATATCCTGTGTTTTTCTTTTTGTTTTAGACAGAGTCTCACTGTCGCCCAGGCTGGAGAGCAGTGTTGTGATCATGGCTCAATGCAGCCTCAACCTCCTGGGCTCAAGCGATCCTCCCACCTGAGCCTCCTAAGTAGCTGGGACTACAGATGCGCACCACCACACCAAGATAATTTTTTTCTTTTTAAGAGACGAGGTCTCGCCATTTTGGCTAGGCTGGTCTCGAACTCTTGACCTCAAGTGATCCTCCCGCCTCGGCCTCCCAAAGTGCTGGGATTACAGGCGTGAGCCACCCGGGACAGGCCTAACTCTTAACACATTCCTCAACCCATCTCTCTAAAGACCCGTCCCAGTCGTTAGGTTCGCTCATCCCTGACCTCACCCCAGAATACGTTAAGACTGCCTGCTCCATCTCTGAAGCCCACCTGCAGCCTAGCCATGGCCCTTCCCTAGTGGGTAAGATCTGCTCCAACCCGAACCAGCCTACAGACACTAGAACTCTAGTCAACAAACCATGCCCAAACTCTCACTAGGCCCCTTCACCATCCAGGCCTCTTCTCAACACTTCCTCCCTAGCCTCTCCAGGATCCCATACTTGACTACCCAGTACCCCCTCTTTCCTTCCAGACCCACACTCTCTCTCCAGACCTCTCCTCGCCCTCTAGACCACGCCCCCGTCACAAGCCCTGCCCTCACCCTAGGTCCCGCCCCAGCTCTAGGCTCGGCCCATACTCCTGGCCCTGCCCCATTGCCAGGCCCTGCCCTCACACTCAAAGCCTCCTCCCATCTTCCTAGTCCCGCCCCATTTCCCTGACCAGTCTCTCCCCAGACCCCGCCTTCACCCCTCAGGCCCTTCCCGCGCCCTGCTCCATCCGCCCCGCCCTAGGCTCCGCCCCCATTCCAGCCTTGGATTTTCTCCAGGCCTCCTCTTGCCGCGCCACAGACTTGGCCTCCCTCAGGCCCGGATCCAGACTCTGTCCCGATCCTAGGCGCGGTCTCCTTCCAGGCCCCGCCCCCGCTCTAGGCTCAGCCTGCCTTCAAACCCTGCTGTAGACCCCGCCCCACCCTAAGCTCAGCCTTCGTCTAGGCCCCGCCCCAGGCCCTGCACCTCTAGGCTCGACCTCCCTCCAGGCCCCGCCCTGGGCTCCGCCCCCCAGCCCGCCCTCTCCCTGGGCCCCGCCCCACTCTAGCTCGGCCCCGCCCCAGGCCCCGCCCCACTCTAGATTGGGGCTCCCCTTAGGTCCCACCCCAATTCAGCTTGCCCTCCCTCCAGGCCCCGCATCACTCCAGCTCGGCCTCCCTTCAGGCCACGCCCCACTCTAACTCGGCCTCCCTCCAGGCCCCGCCCCACCCTAGCTCGGCCTCCCTTCAGGCCCCGCCCCACTCCAGCTCCGCCTCCCTCCAGGCCCCGCCCAACTCTAAGCTCGGCCTCCCGCCAGGCCCTTCCCGGCTCTAGGCTCCTGCTCCCTCCAGGCCGCGACCCCGAAACCGCGCCCTCTCGGGTTCCGCACCTGGTCGAAGAGGTAGACGGTCACGTCCCCGTGGAAGGAGACCATCTTGCGCTTCCTCTCCAGCTCGCTGTCCTCTGGCTCGTCGGCCCCGCGCGGAGACTTGAGCAGCCCCCGCAGCGGGCGGGCCGCGTCCGCGTCGGCGCTGCTCACCACGACGGGCACCGGGGCTGCTCGCGCCCTCCCGGGGCCCCGCGGCCCCGCCGCCGCGCCCGGCGCCGCCGCCTCCTCGTCCTCCTCCTCGTCCTCGTCCTCGTCCTCCCCGTCCTCCTCCGCCGGCCCCGGCGCTCCCGCCCCGCCGGCCTCCCCGCCAGCCGCCCCGGCGTCCGCGCCCTCCCACGGGGGCCGCCGCGGGCCCGGCCCCGGGAATGGCGTGAGCGTGAGCGGCGGCAGCGCCAGCGAGAGCCGGGAGAGCCTGGCTGCGAGGGGAGAGACCTGGTGAGCCCCTGTCCCGGTGAAACTGAGGCAGGCCCTCCCACCTAGCTGTGTGGCCTCAGATAAGACCCCCGCACAATCTGGGCCTCAGCACCCACTTTGTGAACGGAAGGGCTGCACCAGGGCTTCTCCAGGCAGGGTGGGAAAGGTCCTCTCCAGTGCTCAACCTCCCCAGAGCTCCCCAGTGCCAACGGCTTTAAGCCGCAACTTCCCACAGCCCACCAGGCCCTCATGCCCTGGCCTACCTGATTTCTCTGGCCTCTGTCCCCACCTCCTCTGGCCTGACCTCCATCTAGCCACATGGGCCACCCCACCATTCCTCCCACCGAATAGCTGGGACTACAGGCGCACGTGCCACCATGCCCGGCTAATTTTTTGTATTTTTAGTAGAGACGGGGTTTCACCATGCTGGCCAGGCTGGTCTTGAACTCCTGACCTTATGATCTGCCCTCTTTGGCCTCCCAAAGTGCTGGGATTACAGGCATGAGCCACCACACCCGGCCAGATCCACCTCTCTGAGCCTCTGTTTCCTCACTGGCAAATGAACAAGGGTCACTTAGCCCTCCATTACTGCATAAGTGAACTGCCCTTTCTGAGCTGATGGCAGGGGCAAGAGGAGGGTGGAGGTGGGGCAGGGAGAAAGATGAATGCAGACGGTCCCTCTCAGGTCCTCGTTCTCTCTACTCAAGTTTTACTACCTTTTGCTATTCTCTAAACATGGTGAGCCAGTGCACATCTCAGTGCCCTCTCTAGAACACTCTCCCACCGATGTCCACCTGCCTCACTCCCTCCTTTCCTTCACATCTGCTCAAAAGTCACACTTTTGTTGACCAGACATCTCAGGGTGATGGGGTTATGGGCGATGCTTCATAGAGGGAGTGTTTTTTTTGTTTTTTTTTTTGAAATGAAGTCTTGCTCTCGTCGCCCAGGCTGGAGTGCAGTGGTACGATCTCGGCGCATTGCAACCTCCGCCTCCTGAGTTCAAGCGATTCTCCTGCCTCAGCCTCCCGAGTAGCTGGGATTACAGGTGCCTGCCCCCACGCTCAGCTAATTTTTGTATTTTTAGTAGAGACAGGGTTTCACCATGTTGGCCAGGCTGGTCTCGAACTCCTGACCTCAGGCGATCCTCCCACCTCGGCCTCCCAAAGTGCTGGGATTACAGGTGTGAGCCACCGCACCCAGCCTAGAGGGGGTTTTTCTGGAGTTATGAGTACCCAGATGAAGGTCAGGTTGACAACCTTTAAAAATTAGGGAAGGCTTCCTGGAAAGGGGAAATTTGGGGTCTTGAAGGATGAGTAGTTCACTTGGGAAAAAGCGGGCCATTCTCTGCCTCTTTTCACCCCCCAATCCTAATCCAACCCAGATCCTCTGACGCATCTTAGCTGCTCATCTCCCAACATTTTCATGCAGCCTGGGCTGTTTCCTGATACAGCTGTTCACAAACTCCCTACAACAATCTCAAGGAAGTGACAGTGTTCGAACACCACAGGCTATGAGGAAGAAACGTCCTCTGTCCAGCCCACTTCCTGACCCTTGCCCACTGAGCCACAGGCTCCTCTATGGAGATGATAACTGTTTCCTCAAGTGTGGCTGTGAGGTTGCCAATATAAAACAGGACCCAGCCACTTATAACTTTCATACCCGTATTTAAAGAAGTTGCGCCTCCCAGAGATTCTGCTGGAACTGTATTTCCTATGTCCACATCTAAACAAGGGCTATTTATTTTTACCCTTCATTTATCTTAAAGAGTTTTCTCTGTGGCAAAATACTTCCTGCATTCCTACCAAAACTTAATTTTCAGAAAGGCATATCTGTGCCTTCCAGCTCACTAGTCCTATGGTGGTGGAGTTGTCAGGGCAAGATCTGAAGCTCCCTGGGTCCCAGCCTTGGGCAGCTCAGGGCCTCGAACACAGGAGGCCTGGCACACTGGATAGATGCCTTAGCTTACTGGAAAGTTGTTGTTTGTTTGTTTCTGTTTGTTTTGTTTTGTTTTGTTTTGTTTGAGACAGAGTCTTGCTCTGTCACCCAGGCTGGAGTGCAGTGACGTGATCTCGGCTCACTGCAATCTCTGACTCACAGGATCAAGTGATTCTTGTGCCTCAGCCTCCCAAGTAGCTAGGACTACAGGTGCATGCCACCACGCTGGCTAATTTTTTCTTTTTTTCTTTTTCTTTTCTTTTTTTTTTTTTCTGAGACAGAGTCTCGCTTTATCGCCCAGGCTGGAGTGCAGTGGCACAATCTCGGCTCGGTGCAAACTCCGCCTCCTGGCTTCAAACGATTCTCCTGCCTCAGCCTTCCGAGTAGCTGGGATTATAGGCGCCTACCATAAAGCCTGGCTAATTTTTGTATTTTTAATAGAGACAGGGTTTTGCCATGTTGTCCAGGCTGGTCTTGAACTCCTGACCTCAGGTGATCCGCCCACCTCGGCCTCCCAAAGTGCTGGGATTACAGGCATGAGCCACCCACCATGCCCGGCCCATGCCTGGCTAACTTTTGTATTTTTAGTAGAGATGGGGTTTCGCCATGTTGGCCAGGCTGGTCTCAAACTCCTGACCTCAAGTGATCCTCCTGCCTCAGCCTCCCAAAGTGCTGGGATCACAGGCATGAGCCACAGAGCCCAGCCAGCTTATTAAGTTTAAATCAGCACACGCTGGCAGCCTGGGGCCCTTGAGCCATCCACAGACAGGCTTCCTTTGAACTGGCTGCAACCATAAAAACAAAAGAAATAAAAACCAGAGCTCTAGTTTAAAAGGGAAAAGTAGCAGATTCGCCAACACCAGGTGCACATTCCTGAGAAGTGGCTGCCCCTTCTACACAGGGCATTTTCTTCTGAAGCCCCACTCTGCCTCCCTAGCATGCTTCATCCGTTTCCCTATGTCGTCTGGCCCCTGTGGGCATGAGTTTGAGACCCCTGGTCTAAGTGAGTTGCAATAATAAAAGCAGGTGCTTACTGAATCCCTTGCTCTGATTAAGTGCCTTGGATGTCCTAATTCATTTAACCTTCACAGCAACCCTATGACGTAGGTTCTATCCCTGCCATCCGTTTTTGGCAGATGGGTAAACTGAGGCACCGTGCAGCAAGGACATTTGCCCAAGGCCAAAGAGCTAGAGAGGGGGCTGAGCCACGATGTGAGCCCAGGTGGTGCAGGCTTCAGGACCTGCATTCATCACTGCCAGCCCGACCCGACATGTTTACCCACACTCACCCTCCGCACGCCTCGGAAACAGCCGGACCTCAGCCCTGACTGTGCCCCGCAGCCTCCTCACCTTTGATCTGCTCGCTGTTCCCCTGAGGGGGTCCCAAGTCCAAGAATAGTCGTGGCATCTCGGGGCCCTTCCTCTCGGGCTTGGGGGGGTCCCCGTCTCCGCTGAGTGCCGTGTCTCCGCCGGCCCTGCTGTCTGGGGCCCCGGGCTCTCCCTCGGGGGCCACCTCCGGCCTGGCTCTCGGGGGCGCTGGCTCCAGCCTCCTCGGCTGTGCCTCCGGTGGCGGTGGCAGCGGTGGCGGCGGTGGCTGCGGCCTCGTGTTGTCTACCCATCCGGCCTTTGCGTCCACGCCGCTTCCGGGGCCGCCGCCGGGGGCCGTCCCCGTGCCCACTGGGGCTCGGCCCCCACTCCCGAGGTCCAGCCTCCCAGCCCCTGGGGCTCTCGGCGCCCCCCCAGTCTCGGGGGCTCTCCTCTCGGTCCCGGGTTCCAGCGTCCCGTTCTTGGGGGCTGGGCCAAGGGGGCCAGGGGCTGTCTCCCCGCCGTTCCGGGAGGAGACCACTGCGCTGGGTGCAGGGGCTCTCTCCAGAGAGGTCTCTGGGGCTGGCTCCCCGATCGTGGGGGCTGGACCCCAACTCTCGGGCGTCTTCTCCCAGGGCCCTGGGGCTCTCCAAGGCCCAGTCTCTGGTGGCCTCTCCGTGTTCCTGGGGAATCTCAGGCCCCCATTCTCTGACACCTTGTCCTCGCTCTTTGGGGGTGTCAGGCCCCCATTCACCAGCACCTTCTCCCCGGCCTCTGGGGACCTCAGCTCCCCATTCTCCAGCGCTTTCTCCTCCCTCCTTGGGGGTGTCAGCTCCCCATTCTCCAGCACTTTCTCTTCTCTCTCGGGGGACCCCAGGGCCCCATTCTCCGCCGCCTTCTCCTCGATGCCTGGGGCTCTCTGGTCCCCGTTCTCCAGCACTGTCACCCCGTTCACTGGGAGGCTCAGGCTTGGGGCTTGTTTCCCGTTGCCCAGGACTGTCGGGTCCCTGTTCAGGCCCGGGACTTTCTCTCTGTTCCCGGGGCCTCTCCCCGCCTTCCTGGGTCCTGTCTCCCGGGCTGTCGCCCCCTTCTCCCCCAGGAGGTTCCTTGTCACATCCTCCCGCAGGGACATCAGCAGCTGTTCCGTGCTCACTTGAACCACGAAGGTCGGCTTCTCCCGGGGCCCCGGGAGTGGGAGCGGACCCGGGTCTGGAGGTGGCCGGGGCGCTCCTGGGTCGGGTGGCTCGGGGGGAGCCCGCGGCCGAGGGACCCCTTCCTCCTCGGCCGCCCCCCCACCTGGGAAGGCTCCCTCTGGGGAAAAAGGGGTCTCGGTCTCGTAGCCGCTGTCCCCCGGCTTGGGGCCCGGCGACGAGAGGCCTGAACCGGGACTGGCCACGGCCGAAGGGGGGTCGGGGGACGCGGCCGGGTCCGCGGGGGCCCGAGGAGGTGGCGGCGGGGGGGGGGGAGCGGGAGGTGGCCCCCGCCCGGGGTACTGGGGCGCCGCCGCCCCCATGAGGGGGTCCAGAAACTCGGGGGGGGCCGAGGCGGGGGGGGCCATGGGCAAGTCGGCCAGGGAGCCCCGCTCTGCCCGCAGCGAGGAGTCGTCCTCGGGGGGGTGGGGGCAGCCAAGAGCAGGGTGGCCTCCCCAGCCTGCTACGGCGTCCCCCCGCTCCAGTGGCAGGCAGGAGCAGGCCCCCTCGCGGCTGCACAGGGGACAGGGTAGGGGACCCCGGCGGCTTGGGCCACCTCCAAGGCTGCTGCTGTCTTCCCCTGGGGAGCTGCCCTCCTCCTCCTCCTCTTCTTCTTCCACCCACGGGGCGGTCCCCCGCTCCCCCAAGACCTCGGCAGGGTCTCCCGCCAGGGTCTCCCCGGCGCCCCGGCCCTCGGGGTCCCAGCCGCTCAGCAGGAAGCTGCCTGACGCTGAGGACTGGGCTGGGAAGGGCCGGGGCGCAGGGAAGAGGGGGGAGGCCCAGGTCTCGGACACCAGCTGGGGGACCTCGGAGGGGGCCTGGGGGGCCTGAGGGGCGGGCACTCCTGGGTCCAGGGGGTCCCAGTCGTTGGGGAAGAGGGGCTCAGGAGGGGAGCCGTGCTCCTCCAAGCGGATGTAGTACTCGCTGCTCACGGAGGGGCTGCGGGCGCTGATGACAGGCAGCACGCTGGGCGTGGACAGCGCCTCGTAGAAAGGGTTGGAGGGGTTGGCGTGGGGGGCCGGGGGGGCCGACGCCGGCTGCCAGGCAGGTGCCCCCCCACCCCGGCCGGCCCCACGCCGGGCCTTCTCCCACAGGCACTCGAGGTTGAGGCCGCGGCTACTCTCGGTGACCGTGAGCACATCGTCGGGGTCGGCTCCAGGGAAGCCATCCAGTAGGGGGAACGGTGAGGAGAGGGTCCCCGGGCGGGGCGCACTGTGTGCAGGGGGCCAGGGCCAGGGGAAGGGACCGTCTCGGGGTGGGGGTGGCGGCGGTGGGGGCCGGGGAGGCCGCTCGGAGAGCAAGTAGGTGAGCTGCAATTGGAGATCAGAGGCTGAAGGGCGCTGGGCAGGTGGCCGCCAGCAGGACTGAAGAATGTCATACCTGGGGAGAGGTGGGGCAGAGTGAGCAGGGCAGAGACCCAGGGAGGGGAAAGAGACCCAGGGAGGGGACAGACAACCAGAGAGAGGGGGACAGAGACCCAGAGGGTAACAGAGACCCAGAGAGAGGGGGACAGAGACCCAGAGAGAGGGGGACAGAGACCCAGAGACAGAGGGACAGAGATCCAGAGACAGAGGGACAGAGACCCAGAGAGAGAGGGACAGAGATCCAGGCGTGGTGGCTCACGCCTGTAATCCCAGCACTTTGGGAGGCTGAGGCCGGTGGATCACCTGAGGTCAGGAGTTCAAGACCAGCCTGGCTAACATGGTGAAACCCCGTTTCTACTAAAAATACAAAAAATTAGCCTAGCGTGGTGGCACCTGCCTGTAATCCCAGCTACCTGGGAGGCTGAGGCAGGAGAACCGCTTGAACCCGGGAGGCGGAGGTTGCAGTGAGCCAAGATCGTGCCATCGCACTCCAGCCTGGGCAACAAAAGCAAAAATCTGCCAAAAAAAAAGAAAGAGAGAGAGGGACAGAGACCCAGAGAGAGAGGGACAGAGACCCAGAGAGAGGGGGACAGAGACCTAGAGAGAGAGGGAAACATAGACCCAAAAAGTGGGGCAGAGATCCAGGGAGAAGAGGGGACAGCAGACGGTAGAGATTCAGAGGAGGTAACTGGGCTGGGGAGCTGGGTATTGAGACCCAAAGAAGCAGGGGTGGGGGGAAGATGCCCATAGAGAGAGGCTGACGGGACCTGGAGGCAGAGGGGACACAGCAGCAGATGGGAACGGCTGGTGAGGGTAGTGGTGTCCCTGTTTGCGCTGTGAGCTCTGGAATCAGACAGGTAAGAAGCAGGGACCTCTTAGGGTGAAGTGGGTTCAAATCACAGCTCTGCCATCCCCTGCCTGTGTCCCCCTGCAAGTAGCAGATGCTGGCAGAAAGGGTGGGGACAGCCCCTCTTCACTCTTGAGGGGTATGGAGGGCAAACGGGATGTGGGTGATGTGGGAAACGAGGGGGGATGCTGGGACCATCCTGGGTGGGGTGCGGCAGGCCAGGAGCCCCGGGTGGGCTAGCCCTCACCAGTAGTCCGCGTAAGGCAGCTTGAGCCTCGGCCGGGCCAGCTTCACATGCTGCTGGCGGACCACGAAGGCGAGGACCTCCTCGTCTGACAGGTGGCGGTAGGGCTGGGCCCCAAACTCAAACAGCTCCCACAGGGTCACCCCCAGGGACCTGCAGAGAGCAGAGAGAGGTCAGAGCCCAGCCCTGACCCACCCGGGCCTCATTTTCCCCATCTGTAGAACCGGTGGCATCTAGTAACCCTTCCACCTTCCTGGCCTGCCTCGGCCCCCGCGGCCCGTGGTCCTCACCAGATGTTGCTCTCGCGGCTCTGGTCCACCACCATGAAGGTCCCGTGGAGCTCCCCGAGGAGCTCGGGCGCCGCCCAGCGCAGTGGGATCCACAGGCGCTCTGGGGTCAGGTAGTAGTCCTCCTGAGGGAACCAGGGCGGTGTCAGGCGGGTCAGGGCACCCCACAGCCCCCATCCCGACGGAAGGAAGCCCTACCTTGTAGTTGCTGTGGGCCAGCCCGTAGTCTCCGATGCGCACGGTCAGGTCAGAGGTCAGCAGGCAGTTGCGCAGGGCCAGGTCGCTGCGGGAAGAACGCGAGGAGGTGAGCGCAGGGGCAGCCCTCCAGCCACGCCCTGACCCCGCCCTTTCACACTGACTCCACCCCTCCCATGACCCTGCCCCGCCACACTGACTCTGCCCCTTCCCTCTGATCTGTCTCTCCCCTCTGACTGCTTTCACTCTCCCCTGCTGTCTTGTCTTCTCCCCACCCCTGGTTCCTCCAAGTCTCCTCTCCTTTTCCTCTGCACTGGCTCCTCCTCTTATTCATCTGACCCTTCTGGCTTCTCCTGCTTCTCTGTTGACTCCTCCCCCTCCTCTCCCAGCCACCTCTCCTCATCACGTGACCCTGCTTCCCCCTCACCTGGCTCCTTCCGTTCCTCTCCTGGACCCTCCTCCTCTCCTGACTCCTCCCCCTCCCCTGCCCCCCTCCCCTGGCTCCTCTTCCCTCTCCTGGCTCCTCCTTCTCTCCTGGACCCTCCCCTATCCTGGCTCCTCCTCCTTCTCTCCTGGCCCCTCCCCTCCCCTGGCTCCTCCTCCCCCTCTCCTGGCTCCTCCTCCCCCTCTCCTGGCTCCTCCCCTTATCCTGGTTCTTCCTCCTCCTCCCCTGACCCCTCCCCCTCCCCTGGTTCCTCCTCCTCCTCTCCTGACCCCTTTTCCTCTCCTGGCCCTTCCCCTCATCACCTGACCCCGCCTCCCTCTCACTTGGTTCCTCTCATTCCCCTCCTGGTCCCGCCTCCTCTCCTGGCCCCTTCTCCTCCATACCCTCCTCGGTTCGTCCCTATTTTGTGTCAGCCAGTCATGGGTCCGCCCCCCCTCTAGCCCCTCCCCTGAGGCCTCACCTCCTTCCCCCTTCCCCTTAGTAGCTCCTCCCGCGGCTCCCCGGCCCGCCCACCTGTGCACGTAGTTGTGGGAATGCAGGTGCGCCAGCCCGCGGGCGATCTCCAGGCCCATCCTCTGCAGCGTCCGCAGGTCTCGAGGGGGTAGCTCAGGGGACAGGCCCTCGGGGGGCCGCTGGGCTCGGAGGTAACGCTTCAGGTCCCCCTGGGAGGGAGGCAAAGAAGGTCAGCACCACCAGCCGCTCAGGTCTCCAGCTAGTCGGCCCGGAGGCTGGAATGGCTTCTGCTGTCACTGGGTAGCCCCTCTGAGCCTTAGTTTCCTCTGCTGCTTGCAGCAGGTAATAACACAGCCCATCTTGCCTGCTTGTTCAGGCCAGCCCCCAGGACAGGCAGCACTCATGAAATGTTAGCGCATGCCACACATCATCTACGATGATGATGATGATGACGACGAAGCCCAGGGGCACCAGGCTTGGCCCCGGCCTTGTCCAGCTGCCCCCTCTGCCCTTCCCCAACCCCCCAAGACCCTCACCAGTTGACAGAACTCCATAATCAGCAGAAACGGCAGCGTCTCCACGCACAGACCCAGGCACTGGAGGACATTGGGGTGCTGCAGGCTCCTGTGGAGTGAGGAGGTGGCTGAGTTGGGAAGGCAGCCCCTTCCTCTTCATCCTGCCCCAACCCCCAGCAGAACCAAACTGCTGCCTCCACCCTTTTTTGTTGTTTTTGTTTGTTTGTTTGTTTTGAGACGGAGTCTCGCTCTGTCGCCCAGGCGGGAGTCCTGCCTCAGCCTCCTGAGTAGCCAGGATTACAGGCATGCGCCACCACGCCTGGCTAATTTTTGTATTTTTAGTAAAGATGGGGTTTCACCATGTTGGCCAGGCTGGTCTCGAACTCCTGACCTCAAGTGATCCACCCTCCTCAGGCTCCCAAAGTGCTGGGATTACAGGCGTGAACCACCGCACCCGGCCCACTCTACCTTTTTGATCTCAGTTTCCTCACCTCGGAGTCTCTCTCCTCGACCACACCCCACTCCTTCCCCAGGTCCCCATCTCTGGATGGCCCTCACTGGCCTGCTCCTGGGGGAGCAGGTCCCCAGGGACCCCTTTACCTCTCCTTCCTCCTTACACCTCACCTCCACCTTCATTCCTGCCCCAGACTCTTCTCAGTCTTCTCCTCCTCGTCCCCACAGCCTCCTCCCAGCCTCCCTGGCTCTAGTCTCTCCCCTTCCCTTTGCCTCACCTGCTTTTCACCACACACAGCCCTCTGTCGATCCCCAGCACCCCAGGATAGAGCGCCGGCTCTTTGATTCCTCCTGCTCCTCCGGCTGGCCCAAGAGTCAGCTTTATCCCATGTGGGTTTTCCCAAACCTGCAGGCCCTTGCTTAGGCCCGGGCCTTTGCACCTACAGTTTTCTCTCTCTCTCTCTCTCTCTTTTTTTTCCTTCCTTGCTTCCTCCCTCCCTTCCTTCCTTCCTTCCTCCCTCCCTCCCTCCCTTCCTTCCTCTTTGAGAGGGAGTTTCATTCTTATCACTCAGGCTGGAGTGCAATGGAGTGATCTCAGCTCACTGCAACCTCCACCTCCCGGGTTCAAGCGATTCTCCTGCCTCAGCCTCCCGAGTAGCTGGGATTACAGATGCCCGACACCAAGCCTGGCTAATTTTTGTATTTTTAGTAGAGACAGGGTTTCACCATGTTGGCCAGGCTGGTCTCAAACTCCAGACCTCCGGTGATACGCCCGCCTCAGCCTCCCAAAGTGCTGGGATTACAGGCGTGAACCACCGCACCCTGCCTGCACCTACGGTTCTCTCTCTGCAGAACGCCCTCCTCTCATCAGAGTTCTCTTGGCCCCTCCGGGCCTCTGCCTCAACATCATCTCCCCGGGAAGCTTTGCTGCCCCCCCAATGCCAGGTTGGATACCCTCCCCTTTACCCTCACGCTGTGGGAAAGAGTCAGACTCGGGGGTTTGAACCCTGACTCCCACTTTCCTAGGTGTGTCATCTCAGGCAAGCCACTTCGCTGCTCCCTGCCTCAGTTTTCCTCATCTGTAAAAATGGGACAGCGATAACAACTTCCTCTGAGGAATTACATGAGATCTGAGAGAAGCTGGTATGTGCTGAGATCCTAGCAATTACTGCTGTTTTAATGGCAACATATTATTTGATTTTATTTTCACCCTGCATTCTTTTTTTTAAGACAGAGTCTTGCTCTTTCGCCCAGTCTGGAGTACAGTGGTGCAATCTCGGCTCACTGCAACCTCCACCTCCCGGGTTCAAGTGATTCTCCTGCCTCAACTCCGAGTAGTTGGGATTATAGGTACACACTACCACACTCGGCTAATTTTTGTATTTTTAGTAGATAATGGGTTTCACCATGTTGGCCAGGCTGCTCTTGAACTCCTGACCTCAAGTGATCCACCCACTTCGGCCTCCCGAAGTGCTGGGATTACAGGCATGAGCCACCGTGCCCAGGCTTCACCCTGCATTCTAAATGTATTTCCAGGGCTGCTCACTCTCCATGAGCTTCTTCCTGTCCTACATCCTTTGTACCTGCTGTTCCTTCTGCCTGGAATGTACTTCCCATGGTGCTTTGCATGGCTGACTTCTCCAAGTCAACCCGGCCTCCCTGATGGTCCTATCCAAGGTGGCCCCTGTCTCTGTCACATACTGCCTCATTTTCTCATGGTATTTGTCATTCTCTGACAGTTTCTCTCTCTCTCTCTCTCTCTCTTTTTTTTTTTTTTTTTTTTTTTTTTATGAGACAGAGTCTTGCTCTGTCGCCCAGGCTGGAGTGCAGTGGTGCAATCTTGGCTCACTGCAACCTCCATCTCCCGGGCTCCAGCAATTCTCCTGCCTCATCCTCCTGAGTAGCTGGGATTACAGGCATGTGCCACCATGCCTGGCTAATTTTTATATTTTTATTAGAGACGGGATTTCACCATGTTGGCCAGGCTGGCCTTGAACTCCTGACCTCAGGTAATCCGCCTGCCTGGGCCTCTCAAAGTACTGAGATTACAGGTGTGAGCCACCACGCCCAGCTGACAGTTTCTCTTTTTAAAATGCATTTCTGGCTTGGTCTGGTGGCTCTCACCTGAAATCTCAGCACTCTGGGAGGCCGAGGCAGGAGGATGGCTTGAACCTAGAAGTTTGAGACCAGCTGGAGCAGCATAGTGAAACTCCATCTCTACAATTAAAAAAAATATATAGTCTGGGTGCAGTGGCTCATGCCTGTAATCCCTGCACTTTGGGAGGCCGAGATGGGTGGATCACCTGATGTCAGGAGTTCGAGACCAGCCTGGCCAACATAGTGAAACCCTGTCTTTACTAAAAATACAAAATAAGCTGGGCTTGGTGGCACATGCCTGTAATCCCAGCTACTTGGGAGGCTGAGGCAGGAGAATTGCTTGCACCCGGGAGGCGGAGATTGCAGTGAGCTGAGGCCCCGCCATTGCACTCCAGCCTGGGCAACAAGATTGAAACTCTGTCTAAAAAAAAAAAAAAAAAAGTCTGTAATCCGAATACTTTGGGAGGCCAAGGTGGGTGAATCACCTGAGGTCAGGAGTTCGAGACCAGCCTGGCCAACATGGTGAAACCCCGTCTCTACTAAAAATACCAAAAATTAGCCAGATGTGGTGGTGGGCGCCTGTAATCGCAGCTACTCTGGAGGCTGAGGCAGGAGAATCGCTTGAACCCAGGAGGCAGAGGTTGCAGAGAGTTGAGATTGCGCCACTGCACTCCAGCCTGACAACAGAGCAAGACTTCATCTGAAAAAAAAAAAAAGATAAATAAATAAAAATAAAAGTTAGCCAGGCATGGTGGCTATGCAGGAGGCTGAGGCAGGAGGATCACTTGAGCCCAGGAGCTCAAGGCTGAAGTGAGCCTTGAAAAAAAAAAAAAAAGTATTTATTTATCTATTGTGTGTCTTCTCCACTAGGGGGTGAGCTCTCCTAGGATAAGAATTTGGTGTGTCTTCCTGCCTGTGTCCTCAGTGCCTAGACTAGTAGTAGATGCTCAATAAACACAGGTGGAGAGAAGGACTGGCTTGGAGGTCTGCAGGAGGATGAGAACATTTCAGGCTTGCAGCCCAGGGTCTGGCCAGGAGTAGGTGCACAGTAACTTACTAGTTATTTTCCTACTGGGGCCTGGCGGGAGGCAGAGCCACTTGTGTGCTGTGGGGCCACTGCCAGTACCCAGCCTTCTATTGCCTGTGTGTAACCGCGGCTCTGCTGTTTATGCTGTGTGTCCTCAGGAGAACAGGGTCTCTTGCTTCTGTTTGGTGGAAGAATCGTGTAACAAAGTGTTGTTATTGTTGTTGTTTTCTCACGCTGTCTCCCAGGCTGGAGTACAGTGGTGTGATCTTGGCTCACTGCAACCTCTGCCTCTGGGGTTCAAACAATTCTCCTGCCTCAGCCTCCTGAGTAGCTGGGATTACAGGCGCCTGCCCACCACACCTGGCTAATGTTTGCATTTTTAGTAGAGATGGGGTTTCACCATGTTGGCCAGGCTGGTCTCGAACTCCTGACCTCATGATCTGCCCACCTCAGTCTCCCAAAGTGCTGGGATTACTGGTGTGAGCCACCGTGCCTGGCCAATTTTTTTGTATTTTTGTAGAGATAGGGTTTAGCCCAGGCTGGTCTCCAAGTCCTGAGCTCAGGCAGTCTGCCCGCCTTGGCCTCCCAAAGTGCTAGGATTACAGGCAGGAGCCCGACAAAGTGTTCATGAAGCTCCTGCCATGTGTGGGGCTTCAACAGTGGCTGGAGTTCCCAGCATGGGAGACTTGGGGTGGCTGGTGTAGAAGGAAGCCAGGATTCACTGCACACCCACGAATCTGGCCAAGGCCGGCCGCTCTGCTCTCAAATCCTCCCAGCAACGTGCTAGGCAGGATGATGATCCCCATTTGATCCAGATGGAACAGAGGTGAAGCGACTTGCCTAGGGTCACACAGCTGGTAATGATGGGAACATTGGGATTTGATCTCAGGTCTGTGGCTCGCCCAGCAAACGTCTACTGAGAGCCAGCAGCACTTGTGCTCGGGTAACGAGACAGACCCTGAGCTGCTGCTAGTAGAGACCTGCACTGTCCAACAGAGCTTTGCGAAGGTGGGAATCTTCTGGACCAGCCCTGCCTACCAGGGGAGCCACTGGCCACAGGTGGCTATTGAGCACTTGAGATATGATGAGGGTGGCTGAGGAAATGTGTTTTTAATTTGATTGCATTTTAATTAGCTTACATTTTATTTATTTATTTATATAATAGAGACAGGGTCTCGCTCTGTTGCCCAGGTGGGAGTGCAGTGGTGCAGTCATAGCTCACTCCATCCTCCAATTTCTGGCCTCAAGTGATCCTCCCACCTTGGCCTCCCAAAGTGCCGGGACTACACGAGTATACCACCGTGCCCATCTTAGCTTAAATGTAATAGGCATATGTGGCCAGTGTTTGCTGGCACAGGTTTAGGGAGAGACAGGCAATAAGCAAGTAAGCAAATGATATAGTGACAACCTGGGGTATGGGTTATGAAGAAAACACATGCCATGACGGGGTGAAGCACCCCAGGACCCTCTTTGGAAGGAGGGGAGGAGTAAGGGAAGATGTCTCTGAGCTGAGGCCTGAGGAAGGGAAGGGGCCCCATCCACACCTGGGGATGAGCAAGGAGTGATATTCTAGAGAGGATATAGCAAGGTCCGATGCGCTGCGGCAGGGAATTGGCTTCCGTGGGGAGGGTCAGTGAAGAGGCCAGCGTGGCTGGGGTGAGGGGGACATTGGAAGGAAGGGACAGTGTCAGACTGCGCAGGGCCTGTGGGCTGTCAGGAGGACCAGATGTGTCCTGTAGGCAGTAGGGAGCCATGGGAGGTTTTGGAGTGAGGGAGTGCCAAAACCCAATGTGTTTCTCAGGGTAAAGCCCACCTTTACAACTGTTCTGATAAGGGGTCTCTGCGAACACACCCTTTCCAAAACAGGGAACTCACTACCTCACAAGGAATTTATCTGGCAAATGGATACCTAGACCCCATCCTAGAAGCACTGAGAGTGGAGTAGAGACCAAGAAGGGCAGGGATGGAGCTCCACAGTGGCCTGCTCGGGCACCTGCTCAGGGACCTAGTCTGTGGCCTGGGGAAGGGAAGTACCAGCTGGTACCCAACATTGGACATGGGAATCTCACATCCTCTCAGCTGCCCTCTTCATGAGGACACTAGGGCTTCCTGGACTCACTTTCCAGATGAAGATCCGGAGGTTCAGAGGGGAGAGGAGCAGGCCTCTAGCTCAGCTTCTGTGCTCCCGCCTCCTCCACCATCCTGCCTCTCACTTCCCACCCTTAGCTCGGTCCAGAGGAAGAACCTGAGGTTCAGGGAGGGAAGTTCTCCTGCCAGAGCTGCACAACCGGAAGAGGTAGATTCCAGGTGTGACCCCATACAGCACTCCTTCCACTCCTGAATGTCACCTCAACAAGGCACACACCCACTGAGAAACCCTCAGTACCTGTACGGCTGTGCTTCCGAGATGAACTTGCGTTGCTCCAGGGGCCCCGCGCTGGCTCGGAGCTCCTTCACCACCACCTGGGCGGGGGTGTAGTCGGAGAAAATCTCTCCCAGGATCACCTGGTCAAGGGGCACCCAGGAGTCAGCGAGTGCCGTTTCCCCAGCCCCGTCCCCTGGGACCAGCTCCACTCCACCACACAGCTCCCAACCCCCGGCTCCTTCCCAGCTTCTCCCTCCACATCCCACCACCCTTGACCCCCACCAGACATGGGGTGAGACACTCACGGGCCCAGAATCCGATGGACGCAGGGACGGATGGAAGGATGGACAGACGGACGGACGCGTGGAGAGCCGGGTGGCGCGGCGGAGTGGTCAATGGAGTGAGGAGGGAGGCGCTGACTGACAGATGTCGGGGATGGGGCGGGTGGGAGCCGGTGAGAGGTGGACGGAGGGGGGATGGGAGGCTGAGGGGGCATGGGGAGGAGGCGAGGGACAGATGAGAAGTGGTGAGAGCAGGGGTGTGGACACAGAACAGGAGGACAGCTCGGGATCCATGGAGCCCTGCCTCCCCTCCCCAGCCCACTCACCTTCCCAAACCAGCCACTCCCAATCTCCTGCAGGTAGCTCAGGTGCTGCCGGCTAAGGCCCAGGGGGGTGGTCATGTCTGGGGAGGGCAAGAGGGGAAAGCCCCTGAGTCTCTCCCCCTTCCTGAGTGCTACCAACACACCCCAGGTCAGTGGGGACTGAGACAGAGCAGACATCACTCTCTTTTCATTGGCTGCCACCCACATTCCATGTCAGAATCTCAGCTTCCTCATTGGCTGCTCACAAGGCTCCAGCATCCAATCAGTCCTTCCTTTTGGCATCCCAAGCTCCTATGATGTGATTTCAGCCTCCCATTGGCTGCCTCTGAGACTGTGCTCTATGGTAATCTCACCACCGCTTGCCCCTTAAAAATCCCCAAATCTGGTTTTGGATTAAGCAATGGCTTCCACCAAGATGATCTTTGTCTGCCTCCCCATAGGCTGCTTCCAAGATTCCAGCGCTCCCACCTATGCCTTTCCCATTGGCTGCCGCTGGTCTCAACCGCCCCAGCCCCTGAAGGAACACACTCAACATCTTCTGGCCTTTCCCGGGACACCATGGGATGCTGGTCATGGCGTGGGGCAGTACCTGAGTGTGAAGGCTGCGGGGCAGGCATTGGCAGGGAGACCTCAGCCAGCGGGAGAATGTAGACATCAGGCAGCGACTGTGAGGAGGAGGTCTCCTCCGCAGGGGGAGTGTACTCCCCGGAGCAGTCCTCCCCTTCAGGGTTCTCAAATTCCTGGGGCCAGGAGAGGAGAAGAGGGGTGGGAGAACGCAGGGCTGAGAGACACGCCATCGTCTTTCTCTTAAGTTTGTCTCCCCTTCATTTTTGTAACTGTCTCCCAGTCCCAGCCCAATTTCCATCCCCCATTTCCCCATCCCAAGGCTCCAGATCTTGCCATAGCTTCAAGCTGGAAGGTGCTCTCGGATTTACTGCCCCCTTCTCCCCACCAACCACCTGTGTAGGGGGTAAAGGCCTTGCTGGAGTCTTCCTCCCCAAGTTGAATCCCCTCATGCACCTCACCTTGAAGCCGACATCGCCCCGTTTGCAGCACAGACAGGTGAGGAGGAGGAAGATGAAGGCCAGCAGGCCGGAGCAGGAAATGAGGACCACAGCGTAGGGAGGAGCCAGAGGAGCCCGGCCCAGGGCGAATCCATCTGTGGGCACAGGGCTGGGCTGGGGTCCCAGCTTCAAGTCCCTGGATACCGGAATCATGCCCCCTCCCGTCCCGGCACGTCTTGGACTACAACTCCCGTGATGCTCTGCGACCAGGGTCCCTTGGCAGAGGTGCAGAGTGGCCCAAGGCATTGTGGGAGTTGTAGTTTGGGGCCTTCCCAAGTGGTTGGATTGGGGGTGGGGTCTCTCTTCTCGTCCCAAACTGGGACCCCCGCCACCTCATCCCACCCCATCCCCTCACCCCAGGCTTGGATGAATTCCAATGAGGGTTGAAGGAAAGAGGAGTGATAGTGAAGTCTGGAGCTTGCAGAATTTAAAATACGCTCCCGTGGACAGCCTCATTACCCCTCGTTGGGGAGGAGGACTAGCTCTCAGCTGCAGGCTGGGAGAAGATTCTTGCCCCATGCTGGAACCCCCCAGTTTGTGGGGTTGAGATCTGTCTCTTTTAGGGACGCTTGGCGCACACCGATGTTCTCTATCCCCAGCCCAAGACCCAGAGAAGGGAACTCCGCAAGCCCTGGGTCTCTCCAGAAGCCAGAGACAGCCTCCCGTGTTGTGTCCCCCTTAGAAATAGTATTCCTGTCCTCTGCCCCCAATTCTCCCAGAGGCCCTGTCCTTCCCCTTCTTCCTGCACACACCAGCACAAACACATGCGTGCACGCATACACACATGTTGCCCAAACGGAGCCCCCTCCCCACCCAGCCCCCAGCCTCCCTCCCACAGGCCCTGCTGACAGAGGCACCGTCCCCGCCGCTCCGGGCCCTGCTGGGCTGCGGGAAGACGCGCACCAGGTGACGGGGCAGGACCCGCAGACAGACCCCTGGGCAGACAGCGAGGCCGCCGCGGGGGTGGGGGCCACCGGACAGACTGATGGCCCGACAGACTCACCGGGGTGGGCCGGGGACGCCAGGCAGCCGGAGGCGGAGACGGCCGCAAGGAGGATGAGGGCGCCGGGGGCAGGCATCTTGTCGAGGATGGCAGGGAGGTGGAGGTGGTGGCGGCTGGGGAGGAGGGGGGGGCGGGCCCTCAGCCCCCAGCCATGGGGACCCGCGCGACCCTGGCCTCCTCCCGGCCCAGGAGAGGGGCAGGAGACGCAGGACAGGGGGAGGGAGGGGCTGCTTGCTGGCTCAGGTACCCCCCTCCCCCTCTTTGAAGGGACAGACGGATGAAGGGATGGAGAGGCGGACAGAGGAGAGATGCTGGGGAGCCGGGGTTGCTGGGGTGGGGGGGAGAGGGTAGGATGGGGGGGGCGAGAAAGAGGGCCCCGCCCCCGAGGGCAGCCAGGATTGGGGGAGCAGAGAGCCTGTCACAGGAAGGGTGGGAGGAGGGAGGATGGAGCGTCGTCATGGCAACTGGCTCCCCCGTAGCATTGGCTGCCAGGAGGGAGGGGAGGAAATGGGAGGGGGAGGGACAGACAGGGACCGGCACACACTTGCAGCGGGGGTGGGGGGGCAGGGCCCACGGGTGCCTGGCCCGGACACCGCTGTGACATGCCACCAGCATGGACACATGTGCTACACGCTAAGATGCAGATGTCAGGCACGCGCAGCCCACACACAGCTGACACACGTCGCAGGGACCCTCATAGACAAGCGCATCACATACAAAGGTGGACAGCCATCAGCAGACGGGGACACGTACACGTCACACACAAAGACGCAGGGACCGCACTGGAAACGCACAGGCAGGCCAGCTTCCAGCACAGATGCACCCGGCCACGCAGGAACGTCAAAGCATCACAAAGACCCACACATGCCCCGGACAAAGTAAAGCCCCAGATCCACAGACGCACACGCCACAGACAAAGATCCCCACGGACACCACTGTGACATGCTGACACTCATAGTCACAGCCACGCAGACAGTCCCTAGACAAATGGGCAACAAAGAATACCCACAGACACAAGTATCACATACATGCACGTCACACAGACATGCACAGACAGCA
Organism: Homo sapiens; assembly: GCF_000001405.40. Classification (NCBI taxonomy): domain Eukaryota; kingdom Metazoa; phylum Chordata; class Mammalia; order Primates; family Hominidae; genus Homo; species Homo sapiens. The sequence continues at coordinate 48,512,560 of NC_000019.10, forward strand.
ATTGCACAGACACACGCAGACACACACATCACATGAACTAACATAGACACGGACACAGCAGCTACACAGAGACAGGCACATCACATACATGAGTACACAGAAACATAATACATGCATGTATACGGACACGTAACATGCATCACTCACACGGACACAAGCTTCACTCACATGGATACACACAGACACACTACATACACATGCATGCGGGCACACACAACTCATACATACAGGGCTACATAAATCACATGCAAAAATACACATAAATACACCACACACTGATACATACAGACACATATAACATGCACATATACACAGTCACACATACATAAGCACAGACATAGGCACACAGATCAAATACACAGACACACAGAGTTGCACACATCACATACCTAAACAGACATGGACACACACATCACAAATACACACACCTTTCACACAAGGTTACAAAGACACAGAACCCCACCACAGTCACACATCACATACATAAACACACACTGGCACACATAACACATACAAAGAGTCACACACCCACAACACAGACACAGACACGCGCACAGACACACGGGTCGCAAATACCCACGTTTCCCGTGCGGTTACGCAGACATTACACAACCACAGCACTTGCCTCATACAAAAGATACATGATCATAGTTTATTTAATGTATTTATTCTTATGAGTATTTAGTCTGTGCCAGGTATCGTCCGCAGCGTTTTACACGTACAGAATTACCTCTCAATCCTCACAACCGCCCTCTGAGACAGGTATTTTTTAATCATGCCCATTGTACAGATGAGGCAACTGAGGCACAGCGCGGGGTAGTCACCTGCCCCAAGGCACACAAGCCGGGGAGTGGCAAAGCTGGGACTGGAACCCGGTCCATCGGGGACACCGACACATCAGACAAGGACACACATACATCACGTGCCAGGCCGCCGCCGTCTCGGGGTCACATCCCACCCTCCAGCGCCCCGAGCTGCAGACACACCCGGAAGCGCGGACTCCCACCCTGGGCGCGGACCTCTCCATCGTCCGTGAGCACCTGCGAGGCGTTCCCCTGGGTGAGGCTGGGCCGGAGCTGCGCACCCAAGACGCAGCCTCAGCAACACTCGGCGCAGGCGACCCAGCCCCCAACCCCAACCCCCAGCAGGGGCCCAGGGCTTTCCACCAAAACGCGCAGCCGTGGCGCACACCGGCCGGGCAGTGCACACTCCCCGCAGAGCGCAGCCGTCCTCATCGGGGGGCTCAGGGGAAGGGGCTGCCCTCAGGGTGTCTCATTGGAGAAACTGAGGCAGGTTCATCGCGGGAGGGAGGGGGCGCACGGCCTAGGCTGCAGGGTGGAGGGGATGCAATCGGGGGGCGGGGAGTGAGAAAAGACGCAATTCGCTGCCCGGGTGGCTGAAGGGCACAGAACCTGGCGGAAGCAGAGGCTTATGGGAGGTGTAGTCCTGGCCTTGAGACTTGTAGGAAATGTAGTCCTGCTCGACCCAGCAAGGAGGCTCAGATTAAGCTGCGGTTGGATGCGGGTAGCAGGAGCCGAGGAAGGGTCCGCTGCCTGGGTCTTTGGAAGTGATGTGGGCAGAATTATCAAGTCCTAGGGAGCGGCACAGGCGGGGCTGCAGTCCTGACTCTGGCCCCAGCTCGCTTGTTCATGTATTCACTCAACGAACGTTTACTAGGTGCCCACTATGTGATTAGGCAGGCGCTGGGCCAGAAGCTGGGGCTGCAGCAGGAAGCAAGTGAGACGCGTTCCCTCACCTTCTGGGAGTCTCGGGGGTTCAAGGAAAGCAGCCACGAGTGGAATAATTGCACATCAGGACTTAGCACTGCCGGGCACCACTGAGTCAGGGTGGGGATGGAGTGGGTCTTGTCTGGGGAGTAACAGAGGGTTCCCTAGAGCTTTCCAAACTGTGAGCGCCCAGCCATTAGCAGGGGTGATATCAAGATCCTCGGTGGTCTCAGAAACAAAGTCACTCTCTGAAAAGAAAGAAAGACAAAAAATCCTCCGTGGCAATCAGCACTTTTTTTTTTTTTAATGGGGGCCGGGCGTGGTGGCTCATGCCTACAATCCCAGCACTTTGGGAGGCCGAGGAGGGTGGATCATGAGATCAGGAGATCGAAACCATCCTGGCCAACATGGTGAAACTCGGTCTCTATTAAAAATACAAAAATTAGCTGGGCATGGTGGTGCGTGCCTGTAGTCCCAGCTACTCAGGAGGCTGAGGCAGGAGAATCGCTTGAACCCAGGAGGCAGAGATTGCAGTGAGCCGAGATCGCCGCGCCACTGCACTCCAGCCTGGTAACAGAGCGAGAGTCTGCCTCAAAAAAAAAAAAAAAAAAAAAAAAAAAAAAAAAAAAAAAGAGTATCAGTCTGTTTAGGTCAGTTTTATCACCAAACTTGCCCTAAAACTTTTTCCTTTTTGACACTTTATTGATTTCAAAACTGAAACTACATGTCAGTGGTTCTCAAAGTATGGTTCAGAGTCGCTTAGGAGTCCCTGAGACCCTTTCAAGGGGTCCATGAGGTCAAAAGTATTTGTATACTACCCTCCTGAGATGTTAACTGCCTTTTTCGTTCTCATTCACTCATAAGTGGACAGTAGAAGTTTCCAGAAGTTGCCTGACATGTAATGAATGGCTGCACTGAAGACAGACACAGATGCAAGGATCCAGCCAGACATTAAAGAGATGTGCGGCCGGGCGCGGTGGCTCACACCTGTAATCCCAGCACTTTGGGAGGCCAAAGCCAGCGGATCACTTGAGGTCAGGAGTTTGAGACCAGCCTGGCCACAGAGTGACAGAGTGGAACTCTGTCAAAAAAAAAAAAAAAAAAGATTTTCAAAATGACACAAACAATGCCACTCAATGCACTGAATTTTTTTGGAAAATAGTTTTTTTTTTTTTTGAGATCGAGTTTCACTCTCGTTGCCCAGGCTGGAATGCAATGGGGGCGATCTTGGCTCACTGCAACCTCCAGCTCCCGGGTTCAAGTGATTTTCCTGTTTCAGCCTCCTGAGTAGCTGGGATTACAGGTGCCCGATACCAGGCCTGGAAATTTTTGTATTTTTAGTAGAGACGGGGTTTCACCATGTTGGTCAGGCTGGTCTCGAACTCCTGACCTCAGGTGATCCACTTGCCTTGGCCTTCCAAAGTGCTGAGATTACAGGTATGAGGAGCCACTGCCACTGGCTTTTTTTTTTTTTTTTGAGATGGAGTCTTGCTCTGTTGCCCAGGCTGGAGTGCAGTGGTGCAATCTCAGCTCACTGCAACCTCCTCCCAGGTTCAAGTGATTCTCCTGCCTCAACCTCCCGAGTAGCTGGGACTACAGGCGCTCGCCACCATGCCTGACTAATTTTTTGTATTTTAGTAGAGACGGGGTTTCACCGTATTGCCCAGGCTGGTCTTGAACTCCTGAGCTCAAGTGATCCACCCGCCTTGGTCTCCCATAGTGCTGGGATTACAGGAGTGAGCCACCACGCCCTGCCAAATAGTTATTATTTTTATAAAAATAGGTTTATACGTTAACTTGCAATGGAAACCCAGTGCTTTGGGAGGCCAAGGTGGGAGGATCCCTTGAGGTCAGGAGTTCAAGACCAGCCTGACCAACATGGCAAAACCTTGTCTCTATAAAAAATACAAAAATTAGCTAGGCATGGCGGCGCACGCCTGTAGTCCCAGCTACTCAGGAAGCTGAGGCACAAGAATCGTCTGAACCCAGGAGGTAGAGGTTGCAGTGAGCTGAGATGGTGCCACTGCACTCCAGCCGGGGTTACAGAGCAGGACTCTGTTTCAAAAACAGCAACAACAACAACAAATTGGCTGAATGAAGGAAAGAACGAGGTTATTTCCTGCAGGTGCATTTGATGACTGATTCAAGCCAGGACCACTCCCCTGTTGCTTGGGTGTTGTCCACTCAGCACAAGTTTCCAGCCGATGGGTTATGACTGTCCATTCCAGGGAAGAGGAAGAGCAAGCTGTCATGAGGACGCAGAAGGGTGCACTGCACTGAACCAGGGTTCCTTGCAGAGAAGCCTCCAGAGAGGATGACGTTTAGGCCCGGCTGTGGCTGGGAGCAGGGTTGAGTCTGAGGCTGGGGGTGGGGAGCTGAGCAGGGAGGGCATTCCAGGCAGGGGCCACAGAGGGCACAAAGGCCTGGAGCTGTGGAACTGCTTGGGACCTTTGGGAAACCTGCACCTGCCCCGCCCACCACCTCCCCAGCGTGGTGGCTCCGACCCAAACCTTCCAGTCACTGCTGACTGGCTGTCTTTTTCCCACACCTCCACGTCCAGTCCATTAGCTGACTCTATTTTCAAAATATTCCCAGAATCTGGCCACCTCTCACCACCTCTACTTCCACCCTCGTTGTTTGCTTGGACTATTGCAGTAGCCTCCTTGATGATCTCCACACTCGGCCCCTCACCCCATGGTCTCTTCTTGCTACAGCAGCCGAGGAAGCCTCTTAACTCCGAAGTTAGCCCATGTCCCTCTTGTGCTCTCAACTCTCCCACGGCTCCCATCTCATTTGGAGTAAAGGCCAGCATCCTCCCCACGGCCCACGCAACTCCAAATTATCTGGCCCCCCGAGTCTGTTTGCCCTGTTCGCTGGTACACTTTGCCTTGTTCATTCCCTTCCAGCCATGCTGGCCTCCTCCCTGTTCCTCCAACACTGCATGGGCAAGAAACAGCTTTGGGGCCTTTGTACTCGGCGCCCCGCGTTCTCTGGGGACTCCCCGTTCCCCAGGTCTGCACCTGGCTGACGTCTTTCTTTCAGTTAGGCTTCTGCCCACGTGTGGCCTCCCCAGAGATGCTTTCCTTGGCCACCAATGGAGCAGCCCTGACCCTTACCCCCTTCTTGTCCCTTAACCCATTTCATTTTTCTTTCTTTTTTTTTTTTTTTTGAAATGGAGTTTTGCTCTTATCGCCCCGGCTGGAGTGCAATGATGCGATCTCAGCTCACTGCAACCTCTGGCTCCCCGGGTTCAAGAGATTCTCCTGCCTCAGCCTCCCAAGTAGCAGGGATTACAGGCACCCGCCACCATACCTGGCTAATTTTTGTATTTTCAGTAGATACTGGGTTTCACCATGTTGGGAGGCTAGTCTCGAACTCTGACCTCAGGTGATCCACCTGCCTCGGCCTCCCAAAGTGCTGGGATTACAGGTGTGAGCCACTGCACCCAACCTTTTTTTTTTTTTTTTTTTTTGAGACAGAGTCTTGCTCTGTCACCCAAGCTGGAATGCAGTGGCACGATCTTGGCTCACTGCAACCTCTGCCTCCCGGATTCAAGCGATTCTCCTGCCTCAGCCTCCTGAGTAGCTGGGATTACAGGTGCGTGCCACCACGCCCCGCTAATTTTTCTATTTTTAGTAGAGATAGTATTTCACCATGTTGGCCAGGCTGGTCTCGAACTCCTGACCTCAGGTGATCCTCCAGACTCTGGCACTCAAAGTGCTGGAATTACTGCAGCTGGTCCCTGTTTCATTTTTCTTCATTGCAATCAGCTCCACCTGACTTGGGGCCGCATATTCGTGCATAGAGCCCTGGAGAACAAGGATCTTTGCTTTTGTTTCCTGCTGTGTCCCCAGTGCCGGGTACACAGAAGAAGCTCAGTGACTGTGACTGCAGGAATGAAGCTGGGATGATAGGGAGAGACAGCCCCAGCAGTGGGCAGAGGTTGCCAGAGGCTCTGTCTGCAGAGCCAAGGAGTTGAGTCTCCACTTGGAAAGCGAGTGTGTGCGCAGCAGGGTAACCAGGGTGACCAGGCTGCAGGATGGCGGGGACACAGCCTCCTCCTCTTTTATGAAATTGAAGCACCATTAGGGTATGAGAGGCTGGGGGAGGAATATTCCATGAGCCCAGGATGCTGCCTCAGACTTCATTCACTAACTCATTCATTCATTCATTCATTCATTCATCCATTCAGCAAACAAACAAGCCTCCATTCCAGCAGCCTGGTTGGGTGGACAAAAAGAAAGAAGCTGAAGGGACAGCAATATCAATAATGATATTTTATTTCACCTTTTTTTTTTTACTTTTAAAATTTTTTCTTTTCCCACACCTGCCAAAACAGCATTTATTTCACTCTTTGTTTTTTTTTTAGACAGTGTCTCTCTGTCGCCCAGGCTGCAGTGCAGTGGTGCAATCTCGGCTCACTGCAGCCACCACCTTCTGGGCTCAAGCGATTCTCGTGCCTTAGCCTCCTGAGTAGCTGGGATTACAGACACGCACCACCACGCCTGGCTAATTTTTGTATTTTTAGGAGAGGTGGGCTTTCGCCATGTTGGTCAGCCTGGCCTCAAACTCCTGACCTCAAGTGATCCGCCTGCCTCGGCCTCCCAAAGTGCTGGGATTATAGGTATGGGCCACCACAGCCTGGCCTATTTCACTATTAATGGAGGTATAATTTACAACAATAACAAGCAGAGATTTTTTTTTTTTTTTTTTGAGGCAGAGTCTGGTTCTGTCGCCCAAGCTGGAGTGCAGTGGCGCGATCTCAGCTCACTGCAAGCTCCGCCTCCCGGGTTCACGCCATTCTCCTGCCTCAGGCTCCTGAGTAGCTGGGACTACAGGCACCTGCCACCATGCCCGGCTAATTTTTTGTATTTTTAGTACAGACAGGGTTTCACCATGTTAGCCAGGATGGTCTCGATCCACTCGCCTCGGCCTCCCAAAGTGCTGGGATTACAGGCGTGAGCCACCGCACCTGGGCTTTTTTTTTTTTTTTTGAGACGGAGTCTCGCTCTATCACCCAGGCTCTATCACGATGGCGCAGTCTTGGGTCACTGCAACCTCTGCCTCCCGGGTTCAAGTGATTCTCCTGCCTCAGTCTCCCAAGTAGCTGGGATTATAAGCATGCACCACCACACCTAGCTAATTTTTTTGTGTTTTTAGTAGAGATGGGGTTTCACCCCATTGGTCAGACTGGTCTCGAACTCCTGACCTCAAGTGATCCACCCTCTTCAGCCTCCCAAAGTGCTAGGATTACAGGTGTGAGCCACTGCGCCCGGCCAACAAGCAGAGATCTTAAGGGTACAATTTGAGGCCAGGCATGATGACTCATGCCTGTGATCACAACACTTTGGACTTTGCACTTTGGTGCAAAGTTGGAGAGTTTGAGACCAGCCTGGGCAACATAGTAAGACCCTGGTTCTACAAAAATAAAAATTAAAAAATAATCTGGGCATGGTGGCGCACACCTGTAGTCCTAGCTACTCAGGAAGCTGAGGCAGGAGGATCACTTGAACCCAGGAGTTGGAGGCTGCAGTGAGCTATGATCGAACTACTGCACTCCAGCCTAGGTGACACAGTGACACCCTGTCTCTAAAAAAGCAAAAAAAAAAAAAAAGCTGGGTGTGGTGGCTCACGCCTGTAATCCCAGCACTTTGGGAGGCCAAGGCAGGTGGATCACTTGCGGTGAGGAGTTCGAGACCAGCCTGGCCAACATGGTGAAACCCCGTCTCTACTAAAAATACAAAAATTAGCCGGGCGTGGCGATGCATGCATGCATGTAATCCCAACTACTAGGGAGGCTGAGGTGGGAGAATTGCTTGAAGCCGGGAGGCAGAGGTTGCAGTGAGCCAAGATCACGCCACTGCATTCCAGCCTGAGAGACAGAGTGAGACTCCATCTCAAAAAAAACAAAAAACAAAAAACAGAAAACAAAAAACTGGAGAACACGATGGCCTGGGAAGAAAAAGCTCCAAGAGCTCCAAGATATAATGTGAAGTGAAAAAAATCAAGTCACAGAACAATGAGAATAGTGTGATACAATTTACATAAGAAGAAAACAAGCCGGGCGTGGGAACATTTCTTGTAGTTCCAGCTGCTCAGGAGACTGAGGCAGGAGGATCCCTGGAGCCTAGGAATTTGTAGTGGCAGTGAGCTATGATCATGTCACTGCACTCCTGCCTGGGCAACAAAGGAAGATCCCATTCCCATCTCTAAAAATAATAAAAAAACAGAAAGCAACAACAATCCCAAGCTGCTTTTTTTTTTTTTTTTGAGACGGAGTTTCGCTCTTTCGCCCAGGCTGGAGTGCAGTGTGCGATCTTGGCTCACTGCAACCTCTGCCTTCTAGTTTCAAGTGATTCTCCTGCCTCAGCCTCCCTAGTAGACGGGATTACAGGCGCCCACCACCACGCCCGGCTGATTTTTGTATTTTCAGTAGAGATGGGGTTTCACCATGTTGGCCAGGCTGGTCTCGAACTCCTGACCTCGTGATCCGCCCCTCTCGGCCTCCCACCAAAGCTGCTTTTTTCTGTGTGTGACTGAGTCTTGCTCTGTCACCCAGGCTGGAGTGTAGTAACGCGATCTTGGCTCACTGCAACCTCCGTTCCCTGGGTTCAAGCAGTTCTCCTGACTCAGCCTCCTGAGTTGCTGGGACTACAGGCATGCACCACCATGCCCTGCTAATTTTTGTATTTTAGTAGAGATAAGGTTTCACCATATTGGCCGGGCTGGTCCTGAACTCCTGACCTCAAGTGATCCGCCTGCCTCTGCCTCCCAAAGTGTTGGGATTGCAGGTGTGAGCCACTGCACCTGGCCCCAAAGATGCTTTTTGATATATGTACACACACACACACACACACACACGCCCAGCAAAAGATGTGCAAGGATAGTATAGTAATGAAACTCGGGGTGCACATGAAATGTGAGGTCTGTATCACTCAATATTTTTGTTGTTTGAGATGGAGTCTCTCTCTGTCACCCAGGCTGGAGTGCAGTGGCATGATCTCAGTTCGCTGCATCCTTTGCCTCCCAGGTTCAGGTGATTCTCCTGCCTCAGCCTCCTGAGTAGCTGAGACTACAGGCATGCGCCACCACGCCCGGCTAATTTTTTTTTTGAATTTTTAGTAGAGACAGTGTTTCCCCATGTTGGCCAGGCTGGTCTCAAACTCCTGACCTCAAGTGATCTGCCCACCTTGGCCTCCCAAAGCCCTGGGATTACAGGCATAAACCATTGTGCCTGGCCTCAAATTTTTAAAAAAGAAGACTATATTCATACATACTAAGTATCCCTATATTTTTATTTGTTCATTTTTATTTATTTATTTTTTAAGAGACAGGATGTTGTTCTATTGCCTAGGCTGGAGTACAGTGACACCACCATGGCTCACTGTAGCCTTGCCTTCCTGGACTCAAGCAATCCTCCTGCCTCAGCCTTCTGAGTAACTGGGACTACAGGTGGACACCACCATGCCTGGCTAATTATTTCATTTTTGTAGAGACAGGGTCTCACAATGTTGCCCAGGCTGGTCTCGAACACCTGGGCTCAAGCAATCCTCCCACCCAGGCCTCTCATAGTGCTGGGATTACAGACATGAGCCACCACGCCTGGTCTCTCTCTCTCTCTCTCTCTCTCTCTCTCTCTATATATATATATATATATATATATTATTATTATTATTATTATTTTTCCTCTTTTCTTCGAGACGGAGTCTCACTCTGTCGCCCAGGCTGGAGTGCAGTGGCATGATCTTCACTCACTGCAACCTCTGCCCCCTGGGATCAAGCAATTCTTCTGCCTCAGCCTCTGTAGCAGCTGGGATTACAGGCATGTGCCACCACGCCCAGCTAATTTTGTATTTTTAGTAGAGACAGGGTTTCACCATGTTGGCCAGGCTGATCTCAAACCCCTGACCTCAGGTGATTGGCCCACTTCAGCCTCCCAAAGTCCTGGGATTATAGGCATGAGCCATCGCGCCCTGCTTTTCTTTTTTTTTTTTTTTGAGACGGAGCCTGGCTCTGTTGCCCAGACTGGAGTGCAGTGGTCGATCTCGGCTTGCTGCAACTTCTGCCTCCCGGGTTCAAGCGATTCTCTTGCCTCAGCCTCCCGAGTAGCTGGGATTACAGGGACGCTCCATCACGCCTGGCTAATTTTTGTATATTTAGTAGAGGTGGGGTTCCACCATGTTGGTCAGGCTGGTCTCAAACTCCTGACCTCGTGATCTGCCCACCTTGTCCTCCCAAAGTGCTGGGATTACAGGCTTGAGCCACCGTGCCTGGCCCCGGGCTCCATATATTTTAAATTGTCGTTTAAAACTTAGGTGGTCAGGCGCAGTGGCTCTTGCCTGTAATCCCAGCACTTTGGGAGGCCAAGTCGGGTGGATCACCTGAGATCAGAACTTCAAGACCAGCCTGACCAACATGGCGAAACCCCATCTCTACCAAAAAAATACAAACATTAGCTGGGTGTGGTGGCACGCATCCATAGTCCCAGCTACTTGGGGAGGCTGAGGCAGGAGAATTGCTTGAACCCTGGTGGTGGAGGTTGCAATGAGCTGAGATCGCGCCACTACACTCCAGCCTGAGTGACAGAGTGAGACCCTGTTTCAAAAAAACAAAAACAAAAACAAAACAAAACAAAAAAGAAAAGGAAGGAGAAGGAAGAGGAGAGGTGGATAATTGATGTTGGGTATCAATAAGGAGGATCTGCATTTTAAGTTAGGCCTGTTCATAAAATATCTTGAATGCCAGGACAGTTGCTTGGATTGTATTCTCTGGGCAGTGGTGAGTCATGGGAAGTTTTGGAGCAAGGTAGAACATCCATACCCCAGCACAGCAGTTAATCTTTTTCTTTTTTTCAGGGACAGGAGTCTTGCTATGTTGCCCAGGCTGGAATGCAGCGGCTATTCACAGAATAATCATACCACACCACACCCTTGAAACCCTGAGCTCAAGCAATCTTCCCACCTCAGCCTCCCAAGTAGCTGGGACTACAGGCACCCACCACCATGCCTGGCTTAGCAGTCACTTTTTAAGAGATGACTTCCTTGGCACCACAATCTAGATTATTTCCTTTTCTATATGCTCTCAAAGAACTTGGCTCCTTTATTTCATAGCATCTTGTTTTATTAGCATATTATATTGAGTAATATAATTAGGTAGTGTAATTATAAATACTTGACTCCCACTGCAATGCTGGTGTCAGGCAAGCAGGGACTGCCTTGGTCTTGATTGTAGTTATAGATCTGGAAGCTAGCTTAATAATTATCTGCTGAACAAATGAATGAATACTCTAGAGCTGTTGTTTAAAAGATAGCAACTCTTCCATCCTTCCAGAAGTTCTCATGACTGAACCCACCTAACTGTGGTTCAAAGGTTCTTGGCCGGGGGTCCAGGGACCCTCAAAAGTCTTGTGGATATAATTTATGGGGTCTATGGCCTTAGATAAGAAGAAAAATCACAAATCACATTTTCCTTTTCCCCAAGCTCTAATTGATATCTAGTATTTCTTCGTTTTTTTTTTTTTTTTTTTTTTTTTTTTTTGAGACGGAGTCTCGCTCTGTCACCCAGGCTGGAGTGCAGTGGCACGATCTTGGCTCATTGCAAGCTCTGCCTCCCAGGTTCACGCCATTCTCCTGCCTCAGCCTCCCAAGTAGCTGGGACTACAGGCGTCCGCCACCATGCCCGGCTAATTTTTTTTTTTTGTATTTTTAGTAGAGACGGGGTTTCACTGTGTTAGCCAAGATGGTCTTGATCTCCTGACCTCGTGATCCACCCACCTCAGCCTCCCAAAGTGCTGGGATTACAGGCTTGAGCCACTGCGCCCAGCTATTTCTTCCTATTTTCATGTCAGATTGTATTTTCCAAAGATAGCCTCAATAATATCTCCCATTCCATATGCTCTTCCAGATCTTGCCACTTCCCCATTGGGAAGTGAAGACTATGGGAAGTGAAGACTATGTCTCCACACCTTGAACCTGAAGGGACTACCTCAACCAACAAGGATTCAATAGAAGTGCTTCTGTGTGACTTCTGAGGTCAGGTTGTAAAAATGCCATGCCTTGTTTTCTTAGTACAAACACTCTTACAATTCAGCTTCCATGATGTGAGGAAGCCCAAGAGTCTGTGAGGAGGCCCACATGGAGAGGAAATGAAATCCCCAGCCCTCAATTCCCTCTGAGCTGCTAGCCAACAGCTAGCACCAATTCTTAGAACTCAGCCTCCGTGCTGTGAGGAAGCTCAAGAGTCCACGAGGAAGCCCACAAAGAGAGGAAATTATGTCCCCAGCCCTTAGTCCCCACTAAGTTGCTAGCCAACAGTCAGCACTAACTTGCCAGCCATGTGAGCCATCTTGAAAGTGGTTTCTTATTAGATGCACTGAAGACATGAATAGAAAAATAAAAATAAAATACAGAAAGTGGGTTCTTCAGCTCCCAGAGGAGCTGCCTCAATTGTTGCCTCATTGATCAGAGATGAGCTGCCTCTGCTGAACTCCACCCAAATTGAAGACCTACAAACAAAATAAATAACTACTATTGTCTTAAGCAATTAAGTTTTGCAGTGGTTTGTTACACAGCAGTAGATGACTCATACAATTATGAATACAGGTAACATTAGCAAGATCTGTGATTTTGTTTATTCTGGAATTTATTATTCTAGCAACATAAATCACAGATATTTCCAAATCACATCATGGTTGTTGCAAATACTTGAAATATTCTTTTGCTTCCTCACTGTTTTGAAATATCAGTTATAGGCCAGACGCGGCGGCTCACACCTGTAATCTCAGCACTTTGGGTGGCTGAGGCAGGCAGGATCACCTGAGGTCGGGAGTTCGAGACCAGCCTGACCAACATGGAGAAACCCTGTCTCTACTAAAAATACAAAATTAGCCTGACATGGTGGCATGTGCCCGTAATCCCGGCTACTCAGGAGGCTGAGGCAGGAGAAATCCTTGAACCTGAGAAGCAGAGGTTGCAGTGAGCCAAGATCGCACCATTGCACTCCATTCCAGGCAACAAGAGCAAAACTCTGTCTCAAAAAAAAGAAAAGAAAAGAAAAGAAAAAGAAATATCAGTTATTAGACTTGCTATTAGATCTGCTAGATTTTTTTTTTTTTTTTTTGAGATGGAGTCTCACTCTATTGCCCAGGCTGGAGTGCAGTGGTGCAATCTCGACTCACTGCAATCTCTGCCTCCCAGGTTCGAGTGATTCTCCTGCCTCAGCCTCCCGAGTAGCTGGGATTACAGCCGCACACCACAACACCCAGCTAATTTTTGTATTTTTAGTAGAGAAGGGGTTTCACCATGCTGGCCAGGCTGGTCTTGAACTTCTTACCTTGTGATCCGCCCACCTCGGTCTCCCAAAGTGCTGGGATTACAGCTGTGAACCACAACACCCAGCCTGATTTTTTTTTTTCTTTTTAAATAGTGACAGTGTCTCCCTATGTTGCCCAGGCTAATTAAACTCCTGGGCTCAAGCGATCCTCCTACCTGGGCCTACCAAAGTGCTGAGATTATAGGCATAAGCCACTGCACATGGCTGGATCTGCTAGATCTTGTTATTTAATGTTAATAAAGAAGCGTATATATTATATAAAAATGTGACTTTTGAATATTTTGAAAACTGTTTTAGTTGGTTTTGTAAGCCTATGAATTTTCTTTTATACACTTAACTTTTTTGAGAAGGTATTGTCAGGGTATAATATTCAAAAAACAGTTAAAAACATGATTCATACAAATATATAGTAAGCACACATCTAGGATTTATTTAATACATTAATGGGAGAACCAAAAGAATGACAGACTTGTTCAAAGGAGGATAGGACAGGCCAGGCACAGTGGCTCACGCCTGGAATCCCAGCACTTTGGGAGGCTGAGGCAGGCAGATCATCTGAGGTCAGGAGTTCAAGTCCAGCCTGGCAACATGGCAAAACCCTGCCTCTATTAAAAAAAAAAAAATTAGCTGAGCATGGTGGTGCGAGCCTGTAGTCCTAGTTACTTGGGAGGCTGAGGAGAATCACTTGAACCCAGGAGGTGGAGGCTACAGAGAGCTGAGATTGCACCACTGCACTCCAGCCTGGGTGACAGAGCGACACTCTGTCTCAAGAAAAGAAAAAGAGAGAATTCTAGATGAAAATGATGAATTTATAGAGAAAAACAGTTAATAACATTCAGAACAATAACTTTTGGGATTTTATGTCTACCCAAAAAACAATAATTTCGATGCATTGGTTCTGAACAAGTTAACATATAACTTTACAGAGTTTAGACCCTTAATCAATAGAAAGTCATACAAATTCCCCCAGAGTAGTGGTTGGCAAATTGTGGCCCACAGATCAAATTCTGCCCATTTTTGTAAATAAAGTTTTATGGGAACATAGTCACATACATTCATTTATGTGTTATCTTATTATCACTTATGAGCTTTTTGCATGACACCAGTAGAGTTGAGTAGTGGTAACAGAGACCACATGGCTTCAAAGCCTTAAATATTTATCTGACCCTTTATAGAAAAAAATTTGCCTCCCCATTCCTAGAATATCAGATGCTACTTAAGTGGTCTTGTTAGACAGTGCCCTTAGAGCCCTAATGTCCAATAAGGTAGCCACCAGTCACTTAGCTATTTAAATTTAATTCAGATGAAATAAAAAACAAAAAATTCAGTTCTCAGTTACACTCTCTATTTCAAGTCTTCAATAGCCACATGTGGCTAGTGGCTTTTGCACAGTTCAGGTGTGTTGCAAAGTGTTACCCTGGGAAGCACTGATGTCGAATAACATAGGAAGTATACACTGTTTGCATTATATCCAGAGTTCAGTTAATCTTTCTCAACAAGGCCCAAGGCCTGCTAAAGAAATATTTCAGTTATTCATTACTGCATTAAAAAAAATCCCCCCAATATGTAGTGGCTTAAACAACGATTTATTATTTTTCATGATACCATGTGTTGACTGGGCTCTGCAAGGCAGTTCTTCTGTTCATCTCATTTCTCTTGGAGTCTCTGGTCAAATTGGAGTCAGGTAGTGGCACGGACTGGAACTTTTTTTTTTTTGAGGCGGAGTCTCACTCTGTCACCCAGGCTGGAGTGCAGTGGCATGATCTTGGCTCACTGCAACCTCCGCTTCCTGGGTCCAAGCGATTCTTCTGCCTCAGCCTCCCAAGTAGCTGGGACTACAGGCATGCACAACTGCGCCGAGCTAATTTTTGTATATTTTTTTTAGAGATGGGGGTATCACCATGTTGGTCAGGCTGGTCTCAAACTCCTGACCTCCTGATCTGCCCACCTTGGCCTCCCAAAGTGCTGGGATTACAGGCGTGAGCCACCGTGCCCGGCCCCCAGGGAATGGAACTTCCCAGATGGTTTTATTTGTACATCTGGCGTTGTGGTGGGGTAGCTGGGAGGGTTGCAATGATCTCTCTCCATGTAGTCTCTTCACATGGCTGCTTGGACCCCAAAAGGGAGAGTTTCAAGAGGACAAGCCCAAACATACAAGTACTTTACCAAACTTCTGCTTGCATCATGTTTGATAATGTTGTACTGGCCAAGCCCAATATCCCATGGAGGGGACTCCACAGGGTGCAAACATCTGGAGGTGTGGTTCACTGAGACCCTTCAGGGTCCATGGTGCAAGAACAGGTTGAAGACCCCCCCTTGAATTTCCACCTGTTGTATGAGTCCCTTTCACCCATCCTGAGCAGCCACCACATCCCACTGAGTCTACGTAGCTCCTCAACCTAGGTAATGCCTGGTGCTCAGTGTGGGTCCTAGTGCAGCTGCTGCAGGCTCTCTGCCCTGGTGACAGGCTGGCTTCCCTCCATCAAGATTTGGAAGGGAGGGCTCTACCTGGTGACTTCTCTCTTGTCCAAGGGGGTCTCTCCAGATCTGGGCTCCTTGCCCCAGCACCACCAGTCCCACTTTTTTTTTTTTTTTGAGACAGAGTCTCACTCTGTTGCCCAGGCTAGAGTGCAGTGGCGCGATCTCGGCTTACTGCAAGCCCCGCCTCCCAGGTTCACACCATTCTCCTGCCTCAGCCTCCCGAGTAGCTGGGACTACAGGCACCTGCAACCACGCCCAGCTAATTTTTTGTATTTTTAGTAGAGATCGGGTTTCACTGTGTTAGCCAGGGTGGTCTCGATCTCTTGACTTCATGATCCACCTGCCTCAGCCTCCCAAAGTGCTGGGATTACAGGCATGAGCCACCGCGCCTGGCCTACCAGTCCCACATTTCTAATGTCCTATCAGCTCCTCCAGTCTCCCTGGAATCTCTTCCTCTAAATCTATTGTGTCTGCCCTGCCCAGGGCTTTTGAAATTCAAAAGCCAAAAATGGCCTTCTTTGTCGTCTGCATTCTGCCTTTTCCTGTGATATGGCCTCAGAAAGCTAGAGCTGTTGCCTGAACGAATGGGTGAACAACAGTAAACATTTGTGTATTCAGTTACCTATTGCTGCATTAAAAAATCATCTCCAAGCTGGGTGCAGTGGCTCACGCCTGTAATCCCAGCACTTTGGGAGGCCGAGGTGGGCGGATCACATGAGGTCGGGAGTTTGAGACCAGCCTGACCAACATGGAGAAACCGTCTCTACTAAAAATACAAAAAATTAGCCAGCTGTGGTGGCAGGTGCCTGTAATCCCAGCTACTAGGGAGGCTGAGGCAGGAGAATCACTTGAACCCGGGGGGTGGAGGTTGCAGTGAGCCGAGATCGCGCCATTGCACTCCAGCCTGGGCAACAAGAGCGAAACTTCATCGCAAAAAATAAATAATAAATAAATCAATCATCTCCAAACTCAAAACAATCATTGTTTATTATCTCATGATTTCTGTGAGTCCAGAGTTTGGTGTTTCATGTGGTTACAGTCAGATATCAACTGGGGCTGTGGTCATCTGAAAGCTTGACTGAGGCTGGATGATTTGCCACCTGGGCTTGTTCACATGGCTGGCATGTTGGAGCTGGCAAGATGGTTCCTCTCCACAGAGCTGCTTGAGTGTCCTCACAACATGGCAGCCAGCTTCCCCCAAAGCAAGTTATCTATGGTGGAAGTTGCAATGCCTTTTGTGACCTAGTCTCAGATTTCTTTTACTGTCACTTCTGTTACATTCCTTTGATCCCATAAGCCAAACCTGATTCCATAGGGAGGAGACTACACAAAGATGTGACCACTGGGTGGCGGGAATCATTAGGCGCCATCTTGGAATCTGTCTGCTGCAATCTGGGGCTGATATCACATGCAGTTAAAATAACTGAAACTTGGCCGGGCACGGTGGCTCACACCTGTAATCCCAGCACTTTGGGAGGCCAAGGCAGGCAGATCATGAGGTCAGGAGTTCGAGACCAGCCTGACAGACATGGTGAAACTGCATCTCTACTAAAACCATAAAAATTAGCCGGGCATGGTGGTGGGCTCCTGTAATCCCAGCTACTCAGGCTGAGGCAGGAGAATTGCTTGAACCCAGGAGGCAGAGCTTGTAGCGAGCCAAGCTCGCACCACTGCACTCTAGCCTGGGTGACAGAGTGAGACTCCCTCTCAAAAAATAAATAAATTAAATAAATAAATAAATAAATAAATAAATAAAACTCATCCATCTCCAATTGTCTAGGACACTCTGATCTTTCCTTCCTTCCTTCCTTCCTTCTTTCTTTTTTTTGACACAGTTTCGCTCCTGTTGCCCAGGCTAGAGTACAGTGGCGCGATCTCGGCTCACCACAACCTCTGCCTCCCCTGTTCAAGCAATTCTCCGGCCTCAGCCTCCCGAGTAGCTGGGATTACAGGCATGCACCACCACGCCGGGCTAATTTTTGTATTTTTAGTAGAGACAGGGTTTTTCCGTGTTGGTCAGGCTGGTCTCGAGCTCCTGACCTCAGGTGATCCACCCACCTCAGCCTCCCAAAGTGCTGGGATTACAGGCGGGAACCATCGTGCCCGGCCGATTTATCTTTCAAAGCCGTGGCTGAAACGTTCCCCACTGACCAATGACACTGCTGCCAGCCCCTGGGGGGACCACGTTGCTCTGTTCCCGGTGACGTAGCTGCCTTAACGCGTCCAGTGGGTCGTCCCAATTCCCCTCTGGCTTTGCACTTGTGTGTTTGCACATCTGCTGTTAATTTAAATGAGACAAAAATCCTCACTCTCTTTAAATGCAGAGAATACAGAGTTGTGGGTTTTATTTTACCTTTTTTTACAAAGAGAAAAGAGCGTGATGCATACTAAGGATCCTCTGTTGGCTCCACAAAGGCGTCTTCTAAGTATGCCTTTGGAATTCAGAGCCGGCAGTTAAATTCTGATGACCAAATCTGAGAAGTAAGAGTCGTGGTTTTCTTGGGGATGGAGGGAATGGGAATGAGGGCTCCCGGGATAAGGGATGGGGATGGGCTTTTGGGAGGCTGGGAATGTTCTTTTTTTTTTTTTTAACCTGGTTGCAGCATAACTGATGTGTTCATTTGGAATTAATTCATCAAGCTGTACACTTTTGAAACGTGTTGTCTCTTTTTTTTTTTTTTTTTTTGTGACAGAGTCTCACTCTGTCACTCCGGCTGGAGTGCAGTGGCACAATCTCAGCTCACTGCAGCCTCCGCCTCCCGGTTCAAGCAATTCTCCTGCCTCAGCTGCCCAAGTAGCTGGGATTACAGGTGCCGTGTTATCTTATGTTTGTACAGTATAACCCAATAAAAACTATAAAAAATGTTATTGACAGGGAAACAAATAATCAAATAAGATAACAAATCAGAGTCAAAGACTGTTTAGAAACAGGATTGTCCAGTGGTTAAGAGCCTGGGCTGTTTATATTTGAATCCCAGTGTGCCACCAAGGCTGTGTAGCTTTGGGTAAGTTACTCAACTTCTCGGACCTTAAAGTTGTATATCTGTGAAATGAAGACAACACCTACGTCTACCTCAATGAGAAGCAGGAAATATGATTAAGAATTGAGTTTAGGACTGGGCCTGGTGGTTCACACTTGTAATCTCAGCACTTGGGAAGCCGGGGAGGGCGGATCACGAGGTCAGGAGATCGAGACCATCCTGGCTAACACAGTGAAACCCCATCTCTACTAAAAATACAAAAAATTAGCCGGGCGTGGTGGCAGTCACCTGTAGTCCCAGCTACTTGGGACGCTGAGGCAGGAGAATGGCGTGAACCCGGGAGGCAGAGCTTGCAGTGAGCCGAGATTACGCTACTGCATTCCAGCCTGGGTGACAGAGCAAGAATCCGTCTCAAAAAAAAAAAAAAAAAGAAAGAAAGAATTGAGTTTAAGACTGGGTGTGGTGGTTCACACTTGTAATCTCAGCACTTTGAGAGGCCGAGGCAGGAGGATCACTTGAGTCCCAGAGTTTGAGACCAGCCTGGGCAACATAATGAGACTCCCATCACTATAAATTTTTTTTTTAATTAGCTGGGCGTGGTGGCATACACCTGTGGTCCCAGCTATTTGAGAGGCTGAGGCAGGAAGATAGCTTGAGCCCAGGAGGTCGAGGCTGCAGTGAGCTATGATTGTGCCACTGTACTCCAGCCTGGGCCTGGAGTGAGATCCTGTCTCTAAAAAACACCAAAACAAAACACCACAACACCAAAACACCAAAACAAAACACCAAAACACCAAAAAAAACCACCAAAACAAAACAACAGGGTTTACTCAAGCACAAAGTTTGAGATAGCCAGACTCTGAAAGAATGTGGTGATTCTTAAGTGGGGAAGAAAAGGTTTCACTTATGTAGGCAGAAACAGAGAAGTTTAACAGCATTTAACATGTTCCATACAAAGCCAGTACACAACGTTCTGTGATATGATCGGTGGCAGTTTGCTAGATTTTAACGAAGATTTATTTTTTGGTTTTTTTGTTGGTTTGTTTTTGAGTCTCACTCTGTCGCCCAGGCTGGAGTGCAGGGGCGTGATCTCGGCTCACTGCAGCCTCTGCCTCCTGGGTTCAAGCGATTCTCCTGCCTCAGCTTCCCAAATAGCTGGGAGCACAGGCACATGCCACCACGCCTGGCTAAATTTTATATTTTTAGTAGAGACGGGGTTTCACTGTGTTGGCCAGGCTGGTCTCAAACTCCTGCCCTCCGGTGATCCGCCTGCCTTGGCCTCCCAAAGTGCTGGGATTACAGGCGTGAGCCACCGCGCCGGACTAAGGAAGATTATTTTAACATTCCAGGAAGAGGGATAGTGATCTGAGGGGGTCTCATCTCTGACGCCATTCCATTACTTCTCATCATTTCCAGGAAGAAGCAGAAGTTGCAGTTGCTGGCTGCATGACTCAAGCCACTTAGATTTCTCTTGAGGCTCAAAATAATGTAATGTTCCAATAGCTTTAAGTTTGAATGATTTAATTTCACACCTACCGGGCAGAATTACCTGAGATAAATAGAACAAAGCATCTAGCCAGGTAGTTGTCACAGAGCAGATGTTCAATCAATGACATTCATATCGTTTTGGTGGTAGATGTGATACATGGGTAAAGAAATAGAAAATGGGCCGGGAGTGGCGGCTCACGCCTGTAATCCCAGCACTTTGGGAGGCTGAGGTGGGCAGATCACTTGAGGTTAGGAGTTCAAGACCAGCCTGGCCAAAATGGTGAAACCTGTCTCTAGTAAAAATACAAAAATTAGTCAGTTGTGGCGGCGTGTGCCTGTAATCCCAGCTACTCAGGAGGCTGAGGCAGGAAAATCACTTGAACCTGGGAAGCAGAGGTTGCAGTGAGACAAGATCATGCCACTGCACTCCAGCCTGGGTGACAGAGCGAGACTCCAGCTCAAAAAAAAAAAAAAAAAAGAAAAGAAAGAAAGAAAGAAATAGAAAATGCAGAACTGTCATGCCAATAAAAAATGGACAAGGACGTGAACAGACAAGTCACAAGGCAGAATGACAGTAGATTACAAACTGGTGGGAAGGTATTTATCCTCAGTACTCACTGTTTTTAAATTTCTTTGTGTGTGTGTGTGTGTGTGTGTGAGAGAGAGAGAGTCTCACTCTCTTGCCCAGGCTGTAGTACAACAGCTCAATCTCAACTCACTGCAACCTCCATCTTCCAGGCTCAAATGATCCTCCCACTTCAGCCTCCCGGAAAGCTGGGGGACTACAGGCGACCGCCACCACGCCCGGCTAATTTTTTTTTTCTTTTTTTTTTTTTTTGAGACGGAGTCTTGCTCTGTCGCCCAGGCTGGAGTGTAGTGGCGCGATCTCGACTCACTGCAAGCTCTGCCTCCCGGGTTCATGACATTCTCCTGCCTCAGCCTCCCGAGGTAGCTGGGACTACAGGCGCCCGCCACCACGCCCGGCTAATTTTTTGTATTTTTAGTAGAGACAGGGTTTCACCATGTTAGCCAGGATGGTCTCCATCTCCTGACCTGATGATCTGCCCGCCTGGACCTCCCAAAATGCTGGGACTACAGGTGTGAGCCACCACACCACGCCCGGCTAATTTTTTGTATTTTTAGTAGAGACAGGGTTTCGCCATGTTGCCCAGGCTGGTCTTGAACTCCTGGACTCAAGCGATCCGCCCACTTTGGCCTCCCAAAGTACTAGGATAAAAAATTTATTATTATTGTTATTTTTCATTTTTTATAGAGGTGGGGTCTGGATATGTTGCCTCAGGCTGGTCTTAAACTCCCGGGCTCAAGTGAGCCTTCTGCCTCTGCCTCCCAGTGTGTCGAGGTCACAGGCGTGAGTCACTGCACCGGCCAGTAGTAACTGTCTTCAGAGCGTGTATTGTTCTCTGAAGTAATCAAGTCCACTTATTTGTCTGTATGTTTACCGTCCATCTCCCCTCTTCTCATCCCTTAGAAAATGAGGTCCCTGCCAGGCACAGTGGCTCAGGCCTGTAATCCCAGCACTATGGGAGGCCGAGGTGGGCAGACCACGAGGTCAAGAGTTCGAGACTAGCCTGGCCAACATGGTGAAACCCCGTCTCTATTAAAAATACAAAAATTAGCCTGGGCTGGGCGCAGTGGCTCACACCTGTAATCCCAGCACTTTGGGAGGCTGAGGCAGGCGGATCACCTGAGGTTGGGAGTTGGAGACCAGCCTGACCAACGTGGAGAAACACCATCTCTACTAAAAAATACAAAATTAGCCGGGTATGCTGGCACATGCCTGTAATCCCTGATACTCGGGAGGCTGAGGCAGGAGAATCACTTGAACCCGGGAGGCGGAGGTTGTGGTGAGCCGAGATCATGCCATTGCACTCCAGCCTGGGCAACAAGAGTGAAACTCTGTCTCAAAAAGAAAAGAAAATGAGGTCCTCGAGGGCAGTGCTTCTGTGTCAGTCTTGCTCACTGCTGTCTCCCAGTACCTAAAACACAGGCTACCATACAGCAGGTGCTCAAGAAACTATTTGTGGACTCAATGAGTGAATACATAAATGAAAATGAGAGCCAACTCTTCACTTACCAAATTAGCAAAGCTCTCTAAAAGGCTTATATTCAGTGCCAGCGAGGATGCCGTGAGTGTGAATGAGTGGAGATTATTTTAACTTTTCTAGATGCCAACTTGGTACTCTTACCGAGTAATTCCATTTCTGGGACTCTGTTCTAAGGAAATAATATAAAATGTGCACAAAAGTTTATGCACGAAGATTTTCTCTATAGCATTATTTGTAGCAGTAAAAATAATAGAAACAGGTTTAATATTTGTATAATAAACATTATATATTTCTAACAATAAGGTCTAGAGAAAGGCTTTGTAAACTACAGAACAGCAATATTGTGAAATATCATGTAATTATTTTAATTAAAATGAAAAAAAGGTTTTATGATACATTAAGTAGAAATACGCAGGGCCGGACATGGTGGCTTATATCTGTAATCCCAGCACTTTGGGAGGCCAAGGTGGGTGGATCACCTGAGGTCAAGAGTTTGAGACCAGCATGGCCAACATGGTGAAACCCTGTCTCTACTAAAAATACATAAATTAGCCGGGTGTGGTGGTGCGCACCTATAATCACAGCTACTAGTGGGGCTGAGGCAGGAGAATCACTTGAACCCCGGAGGCAGAGGTTGCAGTGAGCCGAGATTGTGCCACTGCACTCCAGCCTGGGCGACAGAGTGACACTCCATCTCAAAAAAAAAAAAATGTGTAATACAGCAAGATATAAAATGATATACGGTCATCCATTGGAATCCATAGGGGATTTGGTTCCAGAACCCCACCTACCCTACAGATACCAAAACCTGAGGATGCTCAAGTCGCTGATATAAAACGGCATAGTGTTTGCATAGAACCTGCGTGTATTTCCCCTGTTTATTTATTTATTTATTTATTTATTTTTTGAGACAGAGTCTCTGTCACCCCAAGCTGGAGTGCAATGGCGCGATCTCGGCTCACTGCAACCTCCGCCTTCTGGGTTCAAGAGATTCTCCTGCCTCAGCCTCCTGAATAGTTGGGATTACAGGCATGTGCCACCATGCCTGGCTAATTTTATTTCATTTTATAATAAAATTTTATTAATTTAATTTAATTTTATTTTATTTATTTATTTTGAGACGGAGTTTCGCTCTTGTTGCCCAGGCTGGAGTGCAATGGCACAGGCTCCGCTCACTGCAACTTCCACCTCCTGGGTTCAAGCAATTCTCCTAGCTCAGCCTTCCAAGTATCTGGAATTACAGGCACACGCCACCACGTCCGGCTATTTTTTTTTTTTTTTGAGATGGCGTCTCACTCTGTCATCCAGGCTAGAGTACAGTGGCGCAATCTTGGCTCACTGCAACCTCTGCCTCCCGGGTTCAAGCGATTCTCCTGTCTCAGCCTCTGGAGTAGCTGGGACTACAGGCGCATGCCACCATGCCTGGCTAACTTTTTTGTATTTTTAGTAGGGACGGGATTTCACGGTGTTAGCCAGGATGATCTTGATCTCCTGACCTTGTGATCTACTTGCCTCGGCCTCCCAAAGTGCTGGGATTACAGGTGTGAGCCACCATGCCTGGCCTAATTTTTGTATTTTTAGTAGAGACAGGGTTCCACCATGTTGGCCAGGCTGGTCTTGAACTCGTGACCTCAAGTGATTCACCCACCTTGGCCTCCCAAAGTGCTGAGATTACAGGCGTGAGCCACCGTGCCCAGCCTCCTCCCGTGTATTTTAAATCATCTCCACATTACTTGGAATGCCTAACACAGTGCAAATACTAAGTAAATAGTTGTTATACTGTATTGCATAGGGAATAATGACAAGAAAAAAAGTCTATACACATTCAGTACAGACACAATTTTTTTCCTGAATATTTTTGATTCACTGTTGGTTGAATCCACGGATGCAGAAACCCACGGAACTGGTACGCAGTAGCACCTCCTCTCTCTCACACTATATATAGAGAGAGGGGATTTTATTTATATATGTCAACGTAGTGTAAATGTAAGTTTTCATATATACATGTGAAATTGGTAGGACAACAACAGGATGCTAACCACACAATTTTACAAAGATAAAACCTGGAAATACTGGAAGTAGATGTATCGGAATGCTATCACTGGTGGGAGAAATGTGACTCCTTGCTGGGGGACATACTGTTATCTGTGGGATGTATCTCCTCGCAGAGTTTTTTTTCTGTATATTTTTCCCACATATTTATTTATGTATTTTTTTAAATTTTTATTTATTTATTTATTTTTGGGTGGGGAGACAGAGTGTCGCTCAGGCTGGAGTGCAATGGCATGATCTTAGCTCACTGCAATCTCTGCCTCCGGGTTCAAGTGATTTTCATGCCTCAGCCCCCACCAGTAGCTGGGACCACAGTCACCGGCCACCACGCCCTACTAACTTATGTATTTTTAGTAGAGACGGGGTTTTGCCGTGTTGTTCAGGCTGGTTGGTCTCAAACTCCTGACCTCAAGTGATCCGCCCACCTTAGCCTCCAAGTAGCTGGGACTACAGATGTATGCCACTATGCCTGGCTAATTTTTTTATTTTGTAGCGATGAGGTCTCACTATGTTGTCCAGGCTGGTCTCCCACTCCTGGCCTCAGGTGATCCTCCCACCTTGACATCCCAAAGTGCTGTGATTACAGGCCTGAGCCACCGTGCATGGTCCTATTTATTCATCTATTTTGTAGAGACAGGGTCTTGTTCTGTTGCCCAGGCTGGAATACAGTGGTGTGATCATGGCTCACTGCAACCTTGACCTCCTGGGCTTAAGCCATCCTCCCACCTCAGCCTCCAAGTAGCTGGGACTACAGATGCATGCCACCATGCCTGGCTAATTTTTTTATTTTGAGGTCTCACTATGTTGTCCAGGCTGGTCTCCCACTTCTGGCCTCAAGCGATCCTCCCACCTTGGCCTCCCAAAGTGCCAGGATTTCAGGTGGGAACCACCGCACCCGGTCTCGGTTTGATCACTTTAATTGGCTGCATTGCATTGCAAGAATGACTGTATCTTGGTTTATTTAATTTTTCCCTTATGCACGGCATCTGGGTTGTTTCCAGCTTCTTTCCCATGACAAACATAAACAACACTGCAGTAAACATCACTGAGTTCACGTGATTTGGAGATGTGGAAATTCAGGAACGAAGGGGGCCCTTATCTAAATGTCAACCGACCTGTCCCATGGCCTCCAGAGAGACTGCATGTCCCTCCTCCTCCATTGTTTTGCAATTCTCAGCTTTTCTATTTTGAGCTTGTGTTATTTTTCTTATTTATTTATTTTTATTTTAATTGAAGTTCTGGGATACATGTGCAGAACACGCAGGTTTGTTACATAGGTATACATGTTTCATGGTGGTTTGCTCTATCTATCAACCCATCATGTAGGTTTTAAGCCCTGCATGCATTAGGTATTTGTCCTAATGCTCTCCCTCCCCTTGCCCCCCACCCCCCACCGACAGGCCCCGGTGTGTGATGTTCCCCTCCCTGTGTCTATGTGTTCTCATTGTTCGACTCGCACTTATGAGTGAGAACATGCGTTGTTTGGTTTTCTGTTTCTGTGTTAGTTTGCTGAGAATGATGGCTACCAGCTTCATCCATTTCCCTTCAAAGGACATGAACTCATTCTTTTTTATGACTGCATAGTATTCCACAATGTATATGTGCCATATTTTCTTTATCCAGTCTATCATTGTTGGGCATTTGGGTTGGTTCCAAGTCTTTGCCATTGTAATGTTTATTTATTTATTCTTTAAGATAAGAGTTTTGCTCTGTCGCCCAGGCCTGAGTGCAGTGGTGCATTCTCGGCTCACTGCAACCTCCACCTCCCGGGTTCAAGCAATTCTCCTGCCTCAGGCTCCCAAGTAGCTGGGATTACAGGTGACCACCACCACACCTGGCTAATTTTTGTACTTTTGGTGGAGATGGGGTTTCACCTTGTTGGCCAGGCTGGTCTCGAACTTCTGACCTCAGGTGATCCTCCCACCTTGGCCTCCCAAAGTGCTGGGATTACAGGCGTGAGCCACCTCGCCTGCCCTAAATGAGGCTTTATTAAGTTTGGGCTCAACATGTATGATGTGAATTCTTCCCAGTTTGTTGAGAGAGCTGTGGGTCTATGGTGCTGAGGGGAGTAGACAAAGCCCCTCCTCCTGACACCCCAAACCAATGGGGGAGACAGACAGAGCTTCCGACTTCCTTAGCTTGGGGACTGGCTTTTAAAAACCGCACAGGGCTGGGTGCGGTGGTTCATGCCTGTAATCCCAGCACTTTGGGAGGCCAAGGTGGGCAGATCGCGAGGTCAGGAGTTCAAGACCAGCCTAGCCAATATGGTGAAATCCCATCTCTACTAAAAAATACAAAAAGTACAAAAAATAGCCACGTTTGGTGGCCTATGCCTGTAGTCCCAGCTACTCAGGAGGCTGAGGCAGGAGAATCACTTGAACCTGGGAAGCAGAGGTTGCAGTGAGCCGAGATCACGCCACTACACTCCAGCCTGGGCGACAGAGTGAGGCTCCATCTCAAAAAAAATAAAAATAAAAATAAATAAAATAAAATAAAATAAATGAAAGTAAAAATTGCCCAGGAGCCAGGTGTGGTGGCTCACGTCTGTAATCTCAGCACTTTGGGAGGCCGAGGCGGGCGGATCATGAGGTCAAGAGTTAGAGACCAGCCTGGCCAACATGGTGAAACTCCGTCCCTACTAAAAATACAAAAATTAGCTGGGCGTGGTGGTGGGTGCCTGTAATCCCAGTTACTCAGTAGGCTAAGGAAGGAGAATTGCTTGAACCCGGGAGGCGGAGGTTGCAGTGAGCTGAGATTGTGCCATTGCATTCCAGCCTGGGTGACAGGGCAAGACTTTGTCTCAAAAAAAAAAAAAAAAAAAAAAACAAAACTGCCCAGGAAATTCTTACGCGCAGTCCTACGTGGGGACTAGCGGCCCAGAGCTACTGCTTATTAAGCATTTATTATGAGCCAGGAAAGGTGCAAAATGTTTTATCCTTGAGTCTAGTTCATGCCTCCAGCAGAAGCCCAGGCCCCTGGGTTCTAGCATGGTCTTCTGCCAGCTTCGACTTGGACAAGTGACGTCAGTGCCCTGTATGTTGGTTTTCTCATTGGAAAGATGGAGATAATAATAGTGCCTACTCATAGGATCATCATGAGGCTGAAACGCGTAGCTGTGCAGATCTCTTGGCACTGTGCCAGGCACTGAGTATGTTCTACACAAGTGTTTGACAAATATAATAAAACTGATGGCTGGGCACCTGTAATCCCAGCACTTTAGGAGGCCGAGGCAGGTGGATCACTTGAGGTCAGGAGTTCAGGACCAGCCTGGGCAACATGGTGAAACCCCCTCCCTACTAAAAATACAAAAATTAGCGGGGCATGATGGCGGGCACCTGTAATCCCAGCTACTCGAGAGGCTGAGACACGAGAATCGCTTGAACCCGGGAGGCAGAGGTTGCCGCGAGCCAAGATCGCACCACTGCACTCCAGCCTGGATGAAAGAGCGAGACTCCATCCCAAACAATTAACAAAAATAACTGACTGTGTATCTTGGAGTGACAGAGCTGTCCCTGCTTGTGTAATGTGCCTATCCATGCATTGGCGAGGCGTGTCGATCCTGCAGCTGGGAGAGAGTTTGCATGGGAGGAGGCAGCGTGAGAGATCAGTCCCCAGGCACAGAGGAAAACCGAGCTGGGACTCAGCTCTCACGGTCCTGCCATTCAGCCAGCTGAGAGGCACAGTCCCACATCCAGACCCTTACTTGTGCTGTCTCCTCTGTCCAGAACACTCTTTCCTTTCCTCACCTCCTTCAAAGGCTTGTTCCAATGTCATCATCTTGGTTTAAAGTGGAGATTCAGCTTAACCCCTTCCCCACCTGTGCCTACTGTCTCTCGATTGGCCTTATTCTTCTCCATGGCCCTCAATGTACACGTTTACCTGGAAAGTGCTCCCTGCAAGGCAGCTGCATACCATTATTAAGACTCTGTGACAGGCCGGGCGTGGTGGCTCATGCTTGTAATCCAGCACTTTGGGAGGCCGAGGCGGGCGGATCACTTGAGGCCAGGAGTTCCAGACCAGTCTGACCAACATGGTGAAACCCCGTCTCCACTAAAAATACAAAACTTAGCCTGGTGTGGTGGTGAGTGCCTGTTATCCCAGGTACTCGGGATGCTGAGGCAGGAGAATCGCTTGAACCCGGGAGGCGGAGGTTGCAGTGAGCCGAGATGGAAACACTCCACTCCAGCCTAGGTGACAGAGCGAGACTCCGTCTCAAAAAAAAAAAAAAAGAAAAAAGAAAAAAAAAAGACTCTGTGACTACATATATACACACACACACACACACGCATATATATATATATATATGCGTGTGTGTGTGTGTGTGTATATATAGGTGTGTGTATATATATATATATATATATATATAATTATACACACACACACACACACACACACACACACACAGAGATGAGGTCTCACTATGTTGTCCAGGCTGGTCTTGAATTCCTGAGCTCAACCGATTCTTCCACCTCACTCCCCCAAAGTGCTGGGATTACAGGCGTTAGCCACCACACCTGGGCTACTAATATGTATGTATGTATATATATATATATATATATTTTTTTTTTTTTTTTTTTGGATACAGAGTGTTGCTCTGTCACCCAGGCTTGAGTGCAGTGGCGCGATCTCGGCTCACTGCAAGCTCCTCTTCCCAGGTTCACGCCATTTTCCTGCCTCAGCCTCCCAAGTAGCTGGGATTACAGGTGCCCGCCACCATATCCAGCTAATTTTTTTTATTTTTAGTAGAGATAGGGTTTCACCGTGTTAGCCAGGATGGTCTCGATCTCCTGATCTCGTGATCTGCCCGCCTCAGGCTCCCAAAGTGCTGGGATTACAGGCGTGAGCCACCGTGCCCAGCTGATTTTTTTTTTTTTTTTGAGATGGAGTTTCGCTCTTGTTGCCCAGGCTGGAGTGCAATGGCGCGATCTCGGCTCACTGCAACCTCTGCCTCCCGAGTTCAAGCAATTCTCCTGCCTCAGCCTCCTGAGTAGCTGGGATTACAGGCACCTGTCACCACGCCCAGCTAATTTTTTGTATTTTTAGTAGAGGCAGGGTTTCACTATGTTGGCCAGGCTAGTCTCAAACTCCTAACCTCAGGCGATCCACGTGCCTCGGCCTCCCAAAGTGCTGGGATTACAGGCGTGACCCACCGTGCCCGGTCAATATTTTTGAAGGTCATTTTCTAACTGACACTAGGTGTGTGGGCCACCAGCTCCTCCCCCATGTTCTCTGCTCTGGCCGCACTGGCCTCCTTTACATTCGTCTATCACACCAGGCACCTTTCCACCACAGGGCCTTTGCACTGGCTATTCTCAATGACTGCAATACTCTTGCCCCAGATATGCACCCAGCTTGCTGCCTCACCTCCATCAGGCCACCTCCTCTGAGAGGCCCACCTTGACTGCCCACCTAAAGCATCTCTTAGTTTAGCCAGGCATGGTGTTGAGCGCCTGAAGTCCCAGCTATTCAGAAGGCTGAGGCAGGAGGATTGCTTGAGCCCAGGAGTTTGATACCAGCATGGGTAACATAGCCAGACCCCATCTCTACAAAAATAAAACATAAAAAATTAAGGCTGGGCGCAATGGCTCACGCCTGTAATCCCATCACTTTGGAAGGCCGAGGCGGGCGGATCACCTAAGGTTGGGAGTTCGAGACTAGCCTGGACAACATGGAGAAACCCTGTCTCTAGTAAAAAAATCCAAAATTAAGCCAGGCACGGTGGCTCACGCCTGTAATCCCAGCACTTTGGGAGGCTGAGGCAGGTGGATCACCTGAGGGCGGGAGTTGGAGACCAGCCTGACCAACACGGAGAAACCCCGTCTCTGCTAAAAATAGAAAGTTAGCTGGGCATGGTGGTGCATGCCTGTAACCCCAGCTACTCGGGAAGCTGAGCAGGAGAATCGCTTGAACCCGGGAAGTGGAGGTTGCAGTGAGCTGAGATGGCGCCATTGCACTCCAGCCTGGGCAACAAGAGTGAAACTCAGTCTCAATAATAATAACGGTAATAAAATAAAAAATTAGCTGGGTGTGGTGGTGCATGCCTGCCTGTAATCCCAGCTACTCGGGAGGCTGAGGCAGGAAAATCGCTTGAACCCAGGAGGCAGAGGTTGCAGTGAACCGAGATCGCGCCATTGCACTCCAGCCTGTGCAACGAGAGCAAAACTCCATCTCAAATAATAATAATAATAATAATAATAATAATAATAATAATAAAATAAAATAAAATAAAAAACTGGCTGGGCATGGGAGCACGTGCCTGTAATTCCAGCTATTCAGGAGGCTGAGGCAAGAGATTCACTTGAACCCAGGAGGCAGAGGTTGCAGTGAGCCAAGATGACACCACTGCACTCCAGCCTGGGCGACAGAGCGAGACTCTGTCTCAAAGAAAAAAAAAAAAAAACCTCACTCCATTACATCTACAGTCTCTTTTGTGGTGGGAGGTCACATGTTCGCACTTTCTAGGATTAGGACCCGAACATCTCTTGGGGGGGCAATGTTCTTCCCACCATGAGTCCGTTCTCACTTTTTTTTTTTTTTTTTTTGCCACTCTGTCTCCAGCGCCTGGAACGGTGCCTGGCATGCAACAGGTGCTGGGGAATGAATGAACGTGAATGGATGGGGCCCAGCGGCAGGAAGGGCTGGAAGCATGTGTCATGGAGCATGTTTTCAGGGACTGAGGGCCAAGGAGGAAGCCAGGCCCCTGGAGGAAGTGGGGGCAGTGCCCTGGCCCGAGGCAGGAGGAGGAGGAGCCGAACAGGGATGAGCAAGATGAGGGTGGGAGGTGGAAAGATGAAGCAGCGATTGGGGCGTCCTGTTCTCCTGTAATCCGGCCTCCTGCCCACCCATGCACCACCCTCGGGCTGGGCGCAGGCCTCCCTGAAGCCACTGCAGGGAAGGGGGGTATCGGAGGGTGGTGGTGCACGGTGATTCCCAACTGGCACAGCTGGTTTGACTGGTCCTGGCGTTTGGCAGAGGAGAGCGCCGGGGACAGGTGAGGATGGTGCTGGGAGCACCCCAGGCCCAAAAGACACAGGGGAGGAGTGGCTACCGTGCTCACCGGTGTACCCCTATAGACCCCAGACCCCCCAACACAACACTCCCACCGCACACCCCTCACTTGGCTCAGTCTGTCCCAGCCCAGGAAACCAGAAACCCAACCTCCCTGACCCCCAGTCCCAGCCCTTCCTCCCTCAGACCCAGGAGTCCAGCCCCTCCTCTCTCAGACCCAGGAGTCCAGGCCCCCAGACCCTCCTCCCTCAGACCCAGAGGTCCAGGCCCCCAGCCTCCTCCCTCAGATCCAGGAGTCCAGGCCCCCAGCCCCTCCTCCCTCAGATCCAGGAGTCCAGGCCCCCAGCCTCCTCCCTCAGACCCAGGAGTCCAGACCCCCAGCGCCTCCTCCCTCAGACCCAGGAGTCCAGACCTCCAGCCCCTCCTCCCTCAGACCCAGGAGTCCAGGCCCCCAGCCCCTCCTCCCTCAGATCCAGGAGTCCAGGCCCCCAGCCTCCTCCCTCAGACCCAGGAGTCCAGACCCCCAGCGCCTCCTCCCTCAGACCCAGGAGTCCAGACCCCCAGCCCCTCCTCTCTCAGACCCAGGAGTCCAGACCCCCAGCGCCTCCTCCCTCAGACCCAGAATTCCAGGCCCCCAGCCCCTCCTCCCTCAGACCCGGGAATCCAGGCCCCCAGCCCCTCCTCCCTCAGACCCGGGAGTCCAGGCCCCCAGCCCCTCCTCCCTCAGACCCAGGAGTCCAGACCCCCAGCGCCTCCTCCCTCAGACCCAGGAGTCCAGACCCCCAGCCCCTCCTCTCTCAGACCCAGGAGTCCAGACCCCCAGCGCCTCCTCCCTCAGACCCAGAAGTCCAGGCCCCCAGCCCCTCCTCCCTCAGACCCGGGAGTCCAGACCCCCAGCGCCTCCTCCCTCAGACCCGGGAGTCCAGACCCCCAGCGCCTCCTCCCTCAGACCCAGGAGTCCAGACCCCCAGCGCCTCCTCCCTCAGACCCAGGAGTCCAGACCCCCAGCCCCTCCTCCCTCAGACCCAGGAGTCCAGCCTCCAGCTCTGGTTCCCTGACACATTGTCACTACAGCCGTGGCCTGTTGGGCCCCCTGCTCTGTGTGCACCTGCCTCTCTCCCCACCCTGTTCCCCTTTTGTGACCATGCAGCCAGTAAGGACCCAGGTTCTGGCCTTCAGTCCCCCCACCCCACTCCCCCAGCATCCCTCCCCAGTCTCTGTCACCTTGGGGACCCAGGAGCCGGCACTCTCAGTGGCCCCCTCCCAAGAGAGGAGCCTAGGCGTGGTGTGGGGCCCACCCCAAGTGGCCTCCAGCCCAGCCCCAGCCCAGCTCAGGGCAGGCGGGGCATGAGTGTGAGTGTGAGTGTGCGGGGTGGGGCGGGCGGTGGTATCGGCCCTGGGGGCCTGTGCCGGCACATCGTGGGGATGGAGTAATCAGGGTGGGGTGGGGAGCAGACAAGGAGGTTTCGCTGCACCCCAAGATGGACCCAGTGATTAGAGGGGACGGCTGGGGGGAACCAGCGTGGCTTTGAGGTGTCAGCCGCCATCTCTCACCCCACCCATCTGAGGTTGCCTGAGCCTCAAGGGGGCATTGCGTGGGCTTGGGGACAGGGGTGTCCTCTACCACCCGTAACCTCCCCCCAACCCCCTTCCCCAGGTCCACATGTCTAAGTGTCCCATTTTTGTCTGTCTGGGTCACTGGGGTCTGGCCCAGGCCCCTCCTCCATCAAACCCAGGAGCCTGGTCCCCCAGCTCTGGACCGTGCCCCCTTCCCACCCCATTCGGGTTCCTCCTTGGATCCTTCCTGACTTGGGATTTGGACGCCCCGCCCCCAGCCCCTGCCCCCTCGGGAACCCAGCCTCTAAGCAGCCAGGGCTGGCTGTCCTCGGGCTCCCAGAACTCCCGGCAATGACTGGCTTTTAATGGAAAGGTCGGGCTCTGGAGGTGACAATGGCCTCGATTCTGTGGAAACGTGACCTCATGACCCAGTGACCTCCCTTTGCCTATGTCTGAGCTCCAAGAGCAAAATGGCACATCCCAGGGCTTGGGGGGCAGGTGGGCCCCCCCAAGAGAGGCCAAGGAATTGCTCCACGATGGGAGTCCCCTGCTGTCCACCCTCAGCCCATTGGCAAGGCCACTTCCAATGCCCCCTTCGCAATCAGCCCAAGGTGTAGAACAGGAGACAGCCTCCTTGTGGTCGGTGGCACACAGGTGACGTGTCCATCGTGCTTTGGGTTTATGGGAGTGGAGGGCATGTCCTGAGTGGCCCAGCCCATCCCCACCTGCCACCCTTAAGCCCCCAGGGATGGGTGTGAGTGTCCCTGGACGCCCTCACTGTCAACCCCTACCCAGGAACCCAGGACTACCTCCCTATCCCCAGTGCTATTCTTTGTTTTGGGGGCTTTTGTTTTGTTTTGTTTGTTTTGTTTTTTGAGATGAAGTTTCCCTCTTGTTGCCCAGGCTGGGGTGCAATGGCACGATCTCGGCTCACCGCAACTGCCGCTTCCCGGGTTCAAGCGATTCTCCTGCCTCAGCCTCCCGAGTAGCTGGATTACAGGCATGCGCCACCACACCGGGCTAATTTTGTATTTTCAGTAGAGACAGGGTTTCTCTGTGTTAGTCAGGATGATCTCAAACTCCCGACCTCAGGTGATCTGCCCACCTTGGCTGCCCAAAGTGCTGGGATTACAGGCATGAGCCACCGCGTCTGGCCTGTTTTGTTTTCGTCACCCAGGCTGGAGCACGGTGGTGCAATCATAGCTCACTGCAGCCTCAACCTCCTGGGCTCAAGTGGTCCTTCCACCTCAGCCTCCCGAGTAGCTGAGACCACAGGTGCACCGACACCATGCTCAGATAATTTTTAAATTTTTTGTAGAGATGAGGCCTTGTAGCCCAGGCTGATATCAAACTCCTGAGCTTCAGCGATCCTCCTGCCTCAGCCTCCCAAAGTGCTGGGATTACAGAGGTGAGGCACTGAGCCTGGCCCCCAGAGGCCCCCTCTTTGGCCTGGAGGAAACACCTCCCAATGTCTTTCCAGCCTCTAGGCCTTTGTCTCTGCCAGGCTTTCTAACAAGACGCCTTTTCCACCACTCAAGTCCCACTTACCCATCTGGTGAGTTCCTCTGTCCTTGGTTTTGCCTACTGGGGCATCCTTTTCCTGGGAAGTCATTCCTGGCCTCCCAAGAAGGTCCTGGCCTCTACAGCCAGGGTATCAAGCACATGGAACTTAGCCCAAGCCAGCAGTCAATACAAATAGCCTCCAAGCACACACCACAAGTTGCCACATTTTTTAAAAAAAGCAAAAAGAAATAGGTGGCCAGGCACGGTGGCTCACGCCTGTAATCCCAGCACTTTGGGAGGCTGAGGTGAGCAGATCATTTGAGGTCAGGAGTTCAAGATCAGCCTGACCAACGTGGTGAAACCCCATCTTTACTAAAAATACAAAATAATTAGCTGGGCATGGTGGTGCGCCCCTGCAACCCCAGTTACTCAGGAGGCTGAGGCAGAAGAATCACTTGAACCTGGAAGGCAGAGGTTGCAGTAAGCCGAGATGCACAGATCGTGACAGAGTGAGACTCTGTCTCAAAAACAAAAAAGAAACAGGTAAAATTAATTGTAGTTTTCTCCAGCTTTAAGACTGGAAGGGCCAGGTGTGGTGGCTCACCTGTAATCCCAGCACTTTGAGAGGCTGAGGCAGGAGGATCATGAGGTCAGGAGTTCGAGACCAGCCTGGCCAACATGGTGAAACTTCATCTCTACTAAAAATACGAAAAAAAAAAAAAATTAGCCGGGCATGGTGGTGGGCGCCTGTAATCCCAGCTACTCAGGAAGCTGAGGCAGGAGAATTGCTTGAACCTGGGAGGTGGAGGTTGCAGTGAGCCAAGATTATGCCACTACACTCCAGCCTGGGTGACAGAGCAAGACTCCGTCTCAAAAAAAAAAAAGACTAGAAGGAAAAAAGAAAAGAAAATAATTAATTGTAGGAATAGATTTTATTCAATTTGATGTATCTAAAATATCACCACTTCAGCATGTAATCAATATAGAAATTACCCATGAGATGTTTTATATGCTTTGTATCTCAATTTTGATGCTCAATTTCGAAAAGGTACATTAAAATGGAATTAATTAAATGAAAATTTAATTTCATTTAAATTAATTAAAATGAAATAATTTTTTATTTTTTAAAAATTTTTAAAATGAAATAAAATTAATTCATTTTAATTAATTTAAATTAATTTTAATTTTTTTAAATTAAATTTATTTAAATTAATTAAAATGAAATAAAATGGAAAATTTTCACTTTCTCAGTCACATTGCACATAGGTGCTAAATAGCCACCTATGGCCAGTGGCTTCTGGGATGGACAGCACAGATGTAAGCCATTTACTTACATGTCTTGTTTGTGGACACAATATCAGAGACTGACCCAGAGGAGGTCTCTACAGATATTAGTTGGAAAAATAGACTATTGGATGCCTGGATGAATGGATGAGTGGATGCATGGATGGATGGATGGATGGATGGATGGATGGACGGATGGTCGAATGGATGGGTAGATGGTTGGATGGATGGATGAATGGATGGAGGATGCATAGAAAGATGGATGCATAGATGGCTGGTTGAATGGATACCTGGCTGAGTGGATGAATAGAGGATGGATGGATGGATAGAAGGATGGTTGAGTAGATGCTTGGATGGATGAATGGATAGACAGTGATGAATGGATGGCAGGATGGATGGATGAATGGATAGATGAAGGAATGGTTGGGTGATGGATGAATAAATGGCTGAATGAATGCAGGATGGATGGATAGATGGATGGTTGGATGGTTGGGTGGCTAGATGAATGGATGGAAAATGGATGGATGGGTGATGGATGGCTGGATAGATGGATGGTTGAGTAGATGGTTGGATGGATGAATGGATGGATAGATGATGAATGGATGAAGAGGTGGATGGTTTGATGGCTGATGAATGGATGGAGGGATGGATGGTTGGATGGGTAGATAGATGGATGTTGAATGGATGATTGGATAAGTGGTTGGGTGGCTGAATGAATGGTTGGGTGGATGGTCGGGTGGATGGATGATGGATGAATAGAGGGACAGGTGGATGCATAGATAGAGGGATGAACAGCTGGAGGGATGAATGGATGTATAATCCTTGCTCCTCTCACTACCCATGACCAAGTGGCTCTGGGTTTTCCACTTGCATTTTCCCACACTCTTCATCTTTTTTTTTTTTTTTTTTTAATTGAGACCGAGTCTTGCTCTGTTGCCCAGGCTGGAGCACAGTGGCACAATCTCGGCTCACTGCAATCTCCACCTCCTGGGTTCAAGCAATTCTCTGCCTCAGCCTCCTGAGGAGCTGGGATTATAGGCACCCACCACCACTCCCGGCTAATTTTTGTATTTTTAGTAGAGACGGGGTTTTACTATGTTGGCCAGGCTGGTCTTGAACTCCCGACCTCGTGATCCACCCGCCTGGGCCTCCCAAAGTGCTGGGATTACAGGCATGAGCCACCAAGCCCAGCCCACTCCTTCATCCTTCTGGTCTCGTCCTTGTCTCCCAGATGTCCAAGACCCTCAGATTCATTTCTGGGGGTTGATGGTCTCCACTAGTATCTCTGCACTCTCACAATTGGCTAAAATGTCACTCTGGTGTCTTCTGGTTCCTCCTTGCCACCTCTGTAGGAGTCTGGACCCCTCGCCTTCCAGAATCAGGCTTTTGCATCTCCTCAGCTCCCTCCTCATTCTCCACAGAGATTCAGTGGACTTCTCCTGGCACCACCATGACCTTCACTCATTCCATCACGTCTTCCTGTGACAATTCATTCATTCCATCAACAGGCACTTATTGAGCATTTACTATATTCCAGGCTCTTCCCTTGGGAAATAACCGCAGATTTGACATAGAACAAGCCCTTCTTTCATGGGGTTGACAGTCTAGTGGGGAGATAGATGGTAAACAAGACAAAGAAGCAAAACATTTAGGAGGTCAGATGGTGACGAGTGCTATGGGAAAAAGTAAAACAGGAAAGAGGAATGGAGAAGTTGGTGGACGAGCCTGGGGGAGGTGACACTGGGCAGAGTCAGACGATAGGAGCCCACGAAGCTCCCAGGTATCAGGAACATGCGGGAATAGCAAGGGCAAAGGCCCTGCAGTAGGAGCCTCCCCTGGGTCTTAGGCCGCCTAGTTTGGCCAGTTTCTTTCCATTGCCCACTCAGGCACAACCTCAGGCCCTACTGCTCCCCAACCTTCCTGTGCCCCGGGGATGCCTCCGCACCTGCCTGCGAGTTTCCCTCTCAGGATCCCTAAGGACCTGGGCATTCCCTTCCCCAGACTCTCCCTAACCCCCCACCCCAGCAGCACACAGAGCCAGGGACAAAGGGTCATTGAATAGAAAACAAAGGTGAAGACAGCCCAGCCGGAGGCCTGGTGGGGTGTCATGGTTCAGTCCCCCACCTCCGACATCAGAGGGGTTCACTCAGCCTCAGAGGGGGATGCCTGGCCCTCTCACCCTTCCACCCACCCTGCAAGAGAGCCTTTTTATCAGCAGGAACATCAAGGCTTAACACTGAAAGTATCAAGGCAGAATGTTGAGGATGTGGACTCGGTAGTGGCTGGGGGCAGGGGCGGGTGCTCCCACAGCTCAGCCTCCTGGAGACGGGTCTTGGGGTGGTGAATTGAGAGATGGGATACCCCAGAACCCTCCTTTTCTGCTTACCATCAGAGTGAAGGCGGGCAGTGCTGTGTGCCCTGGGGGAAGCCACATTACCTCTCTGGGCCCCCTTCCTGCATCTGTTAGGTGAGTCTGACGTCTTCCATCCCCCTCACCTATGCAACAATAATTGGTCAGTATATACAATTTTATTTGTTTTGGCTTTTTTTTTTTTTCTTTTTGAGATGGAGTTTCACTCTTGTTGCCCAGGCTGGAGTGCAACAGTACAATCTTGGCTCGCTGCAACCTCTGCCTCCAGGGTTCAAGTGATTCTCCTGCCTCAGCCTCCCGAATAGCTGGGATTACAGGCACCTGCCACCATGCCCAGCTAATTTTTTGTATTTTTAGTAGAGATGGGGTTTCACTATGTTGGCCAGGCTGGTCTTGAACTCCTGACCTCAGGCGATTCACCCGCCTCGGCCTCCCAAAGTGCTGGAATTACAGGCGTGAGCCATTGCACAGGCTTTCTTTTGGCATTTTTTTTTTTTTTTTGAGATGGAGTCTCTCTCTGTCGCCCAGGCTGCAGTGCAGTGATGTGATCTCAGCTCACTCCAACCTCCACCTCCCAGGTTCAAGCGATTCTCGTGTCTCAGCCTCCCAAGTAGCTGGGATTACAGGCACCTGCCACCACTGGTGGGGAGACTGGCTTCATGACTCCAGGACTCTGAGGGGTCAGGGACCAACAGCTGGGGAGGGCCAGGGTTTGGGGTGGGGGCAGAAGAGAAGAGAACACCGTCTATGCTGAGCTCACTGTGTACCAGATCCTCCACCAGCAGCTGAGAGTGTCTCCCTCAGTCCTCACAACAGCCCGATGGGTGCCATTCACAGATGGGGAAACTAAGGCAAGATGAGCCTATGAGCAAGATGGTTCCCGGCCCCACAGCTGGGAGGCACTGGAGCTGGGATTTGAACCAGGGCTGTGACCTTCAGACTCTCACGCCCAACCATATCTGGCAGTTGTCTCTCATATCTGTGTCTCTCCCTGTCCCTGACCTTTCTATGTATCTCTGTCTCTGCCCTCTGTATATCGCTGCTGGGTCTCTCAGGGTCTCTGACCCCTGTGTGTCTCTGTCTCCTCTGGGTGTCCGTGTGTCTCTGTCTCCGCCCTCCGTGTATCTCTGTTGCGTCTCTCAAGGTCTCTGGCCCCTGTGCATCTCAGTCCCCTCCTGGTCTCTGTCTCCCATGCCCTCTGCCCTCTCCCTTTCTCCCTGGCTCCCGCCCTGTCTGTGCTGCCGTGGTCCTGGCTGTGCCTCTGTCCCTGTGTCTGTTTCCAGGGTGCCCCTTACGCGTCAGCCCGTGAGGGCAAGTTTCTGTCTGCCCCTTCCCCAGCGGTGGCCTAGTGCTTGGAACAGCGCCTGGCAGACAGGAGATGCTCAGTAAATATTTCTCAAATGAATAAAGGAATGAATGAGTGAATGAATGAATGAATGAATGAACTCGCTGAGATGGGCGAGATCAGCGCCATTTCCCAAATGAGCAACGTGGGCTCCAGGTGGGTGCCCACAGGCCCAGAACTGCCAGCCCGGAAGGTTCTGGCGTGGGCTTGGCACTGACCCCCTGGACTCTGCCCCCAGCTGAGCACCAGACGCCAGGACGTGCCCATCACTGCTCCTCCCCGCCCTCAGAGCAGGGTGGCTCCCTCTGGCCTCTCCCCGCTGTTGGAGGCGTGGGTAGCAGCTGGGAGAACCGGCTGGGTGCTGCCCCTCCCCTTGGGCCGGGCACGGAGTAGGCACCTGGCGGGCTCCCCAGGTGGCAGACGCTGTCGCTGCGCACACCTGGCCTCTGTGCCGCCTGCTCCCTGCTCGTCCTCCCCTCCCCACCCTCACCCACCTGCCATGGACGGGCCCGCCGAGCCCCAGATCCCGGGCTTGTGGGACACCTATGAAGATGACATCTCGGAAATCAGGTGAGGCCCAGACCTGGGCAGGAGCCAGGAGATCCCAGGGAGGAGGTGGCTGTTTGGGGGAGCCGGGGACTGTGGCAAGGGTGGCCTCCAGCCACCCGCAGCCGCAGGCCTGGCCCAGACTTAGCTGGAGGGGCTGGGCTGGGCTGGGGCATCCAGTGTGGTGTATAGGTCCCTCCTGAGAAGGGAGTGAGGACCCGACCGTGTTGAGTCACCAGTGGGGATGCCTGGGGTGTCCCTGTCGCTCTCCGGGCCTCAGTTTTTCTGTCTGTCAAAGGGGCCCACAAGCCCTGTGTCTCCCTGATAGAGCAGTGGAAGAGAGCAGGCAGCTTGGTGCATAGTAGTTGCTCAGGAAACACAACAGCCTGTAGTACCCAGGACACCCCATGCAAGCCCTGAAATAACGGGGGTGCTTGGGGGTGAAATGGGAGAGACTGGGATGCTGCTGAGACCCCCAGAGGGAGAAGCTGTGTTCTAGGGCACT
Source organism: Homo sapiens (assembly GCF_000001405.40). NCBI lineage: Eukaryota > Metazoa > Chordata > Mammalia > Primates > Hominidae > Homo > Homo sapiens. Next base: position 48,552,805 of record NC_000019.10, read on the forward strand.
TGGGGCGGAGAGGGCAGGCTCTGGACTCTTCAGGTCTCCTAACAGTGGTTAGGGCAGAGCACTGCCCACTTCCATGAGCTCAGCGTGACTCCCTCTTCCTGGGGATGAGTCAGACACTTTGACAGTACCTGCTTTCCAGATGGGGAAACTGAGGCTGGGAGGGAACGCGACATGACCGCAATTACGCAGCTAGAAGCAAATCTGAACCCGGTCTGTCTCACGCCAGAGCCTGTGGTTTCTCCTGCTCCTCACAGCCTTGGTGATGTCCCCTTTACACCCCTCCCCGTGGCTCCATCTTTTAGGGGAGCGCAGAGGCCCAGAGAGGGCAGGCAGCCTGCCCCAGATCACACAGCAAACTGCTGAGACAATCTCCAACCCCTCGTATCTTGCACTCTTGCCAAGTGAGACCTTCCTGGCAGCCTGGGCCCCTCCAGCCACCGTGGGCTGTGAGGAGGGAGACAACCAAGACCTGTTCTCAGCCCAGTTGCCTCATTCCTTTCTTATTTTATTTTATTTTTTTGAAATGGAGTTTCGCTCTTGTTGCCCAGGCTGGAGTGCAATGGCACGATATCAGCTCACTGCAGCCTCCGCGTCCTGGGTTCAAGTGATTCTCCAGCCTCAGCTTCCCAAGTAACTGGGATTACAGGAGCCCGCCACCATGCCCGGCTAATTTTATTTTTGTATTTTTAGTAGAGAAAGGGTTTCACCATGTCGGCCAGGCTGTTCTTGAACTCCTTGCCTCAGGTGATCCACCTGCCTCGGCCTCCCAAAGTGCTGGGATTACAGGCGTGGGCCACCACGCCTGGCCGCCTCATTTCATTCCACTGTTTCAGGCCCTCCCCTCCCCTCCCTCAGCCAGAAGCTGGGGCATGAAGAGGCCTTCCTGGGTGCCTGGGACTCCAGAGACAGGAGCAGTTCAATCCTGATTGCTGTGTGACCTAGACAAGCTTCCTGATGTCTCTGGGCCTCCTGGGCTGAGAGCTGTGACCAGGCTGGCCCAGTTCTGCGTGAGGGAGGCCCCAGCATTCTTTACTCAACATTGTCTAATCCAGGACTTCTGAGTTCTGCAATTCTTCTCTCCAGAGATAAACAGATAAGCCAGCTCGCCTCCAGGGTTCCCGCCTCTGGGAAGGCCTCACCCCCACCCCAGCCAGGCACCTGGGAGCCTTTTTTTTATCTCCGCGACGGCTCTGCCAGCTGGTCATAAAACGCCCTGAGTGACCTCGCTAAGTGGGTGACCTTGGTTTAGTCACTGACCCTCTGCGAAGCTCGGTTTCGTCATCGTGGGGGAGAATAGCCCTCCCCTGCAAGACTCCTCCAGCCCTGATGGCTGCAGAGCCCTGGGGGGGTGCCCTTAGGACCTCAAACTTCCAGGCACTTCTGGAATCCCCCAGGCCTGGAAGCGTGCCTCTCCCCAGCGAGCCTGCTGGAGCATCCCCCTGGGGCCCACTTCCTTCGGGATGTGCCCCTCCCAGACCCCCTCAGATACGCCACGTACCCCCCCAGATTCGCACCTCCTCCCAGGTTGCCCATCTCAGGGATGTCCCCTCCCCATCACTGGCTCAGATCCACAGGGCTTCTCCTGGCCCCGACTTCCCCCTCTGCTCGCCCCCAGCCTGTCAGTCCCCAACCCCCACCCCTGTCCCCTGACTCTCTGCCCTGGTTCTTCCTCTCGGTTGCCACAGCCCCAGCTCAGGCCTCCTCATCTCCCCCCAACCTCACCACTCCAGCCTTGGCTGTCCCAGGCTGCTCCTCCCCTCCTCCCAGCCATCCAGTGAATTCCTCAGCGCCCAGCCCTCACCCACCCCGCCCCCCCAGCCTCCTCACCTGCATTCCAGCTACTCTACTGCTTTTTTTTTTTTTTTTTTTTTTTTTTTGAGACTGAATCTGGCTCTGTCACCCAGGCTGGAGCACAGTGGAACGATCTCGGCTCACTGCAACCTCCGCCTCCCAGGTTCAGGTGTATTACCTCATCTAATCCTCACAGCCATCTGAGATGAACCCACTTTGACTGCTGTCATCCTGTGTCAGAGATGAGGCCCAGAGAGGTTGAGTAACTTGCCTAGGGTCACACAGCTGCCAAGCAGGGCACGGCCAGGATTTGAACCAGGGAAGCCTGACTGTTATCATGCCCTGGACAGGGAATTTAGGGATGATGAGCAAGACCAGGAAGGAGCGAGATCCAGGAGGTAGACTCAGCCCAGATGGGAGGTGAAGCGGGCGCTCTGAGGTTCTAGCCTCCGAGTAGCTGGGATGACAGGCGCGTGCCACTGCGCCCAGTTAATATTATTACTATTATTTTTTTGAGACGGAGTCTCACTCTGTCGCCCACGCTGGAGTGCAGTGGCACGATCTCGGCTCACTACAACCTCGGCCTCCCAGGTTCAAGCGATTCTCCTGCCTCAGCCTCCCAAGTAGCTGGGATTACAGGCACCCGCCACCATGCCTGGCTAATTTTTATATTTTTAGTTGAGACAGGATTTCACCATGTTGGCCAGGCTGTTCTCGAACTCCTGACCTCAGGTGATCCACCCGCCTTGGTCTCCCAAAGTGCAGGGCTTACAGGCGTGAGCCACCGTGCCCGGCCTATCTACTCTATTACTTTGAATTCCCTGGCCACGCTTGTTCCCTGCCACAGTGCCTTTGCTTATCTGGCTCCTTCCATAGGGATCCCAGAGACATCTTCTCTCTCTCTCTCTCTCTCTTTGCTTATCTGGCTCCTTGCATAGGGATCCCAGAGACATCCTCTCTCTCTCTCTCTCTCTCTCTCTCTCTCTCTCTCTCTTTTGAGACAGAGCCTTGCTCTGTGGCTCACACTGGAGTGCAGTGGCACAATCTCGGCTCACTGCAATCTCTGCCTTCTGGATTCAAGTGATTCTCTTGCCTCAGCCTCCAGAGTAGCTGGGATTACAGGCATGCGCCACCACACCCAGCTAATTTTTGTTTTTTTTTGGAGATGGAGTCTTGCTCTGTCACCCAGGCTGGAGTGCAGTGATGCGAACTTGGCTCATTGCAACCTCCGCCTCCCAGGTTCAAGCGATTCTTCTGCCTCAGCCTCCTGAGTAGCTGGGATTACAGGCACACTCTACCATGCCCGGCTAATTTTTTGTATTTTAGTAGAAACGGGGTTTCACCATGTTGGCCAGGCTGGTCTTGAACTCCTGACCTCAGGTGATGTGCCCACCTCGGCCTCCCAAAGTGCTGGGATTACAGGTGTGAGCCACCGCGCCCGGCCTAATTTTTGTATCTTTAGTAGAGAAAGGGTTTCGCCACTTTCGGGACTTTGCGTGCACCAGCGCAGTGTCCTTTGCCTGGGCTGACCTCTGCCCTCTCTCCTTCCTTTGCCAAACTTCTCAGGCGTTAAGATTCAACACGGGCAATTTAGGATTTTTGGCCAGGGGAATGAGAGAATGCAGGCAGACACCCACGCCAGGTCCCAGGTCCCTGATCACGCTGGTCTAGCTTCAAATCTGCCCCGTGGCACCAAAATATTGGCCTGTTCGTGGATAGGAAATGAATGTAGGAAATCTGTGAAAAGGACGTCAAGAATGAATGAATGAATGGAGGCTCCATTAAGCAACCTCTGAGCCGGAGCTTCCAGGATGAGTCAGGGTTAGCAGACGGGGAGGAGGGGCAGGGAGTGCTGGGAAAGGGAATGGTTGGGGCACAGGGACACAGGTGGCTTCAGGAGAGTAAGGGGCAGCTGGGTCAGGAGAGGGCCAGCTGCCGTGGAAACTCCCCGTGGTGGGCCATCCTGCAGCAGACCTGAGTGGCTCTCAAATGGTTCGTTTTTTAAGCACCTCCAGGGAGAGAAACTATTGTTTTCAGAATACACGCATATGTGATTTAAAAAAAAAAAAAAAGTTGCCAGCTCAGTGGCTCACACCTGTAATCCCAGCAGTTTGGGAGGCCGAGGCAGGTGGATCCCTTGAGGTCAGGAGTTCAAGACCAGCCTGGCCAACATGGTGACACCCCATCTGTACTAAAAATAAAAAAATTAGCCAGAGTTGTGCCACACACCTGTAATCTCAGCTACTCAGGAGGTTAAGGCAGGAGAATCGCTTGAACCCAGGAGGCGGAAGTTGCAGTGACCTGAGATCCTGCCACTGTACTCCAGCCTGGGCAACAGAACAAGACTCTGTCTCAAAAAAAAAAAAGTTGTCCTAGGCCAGGCATGGTGGCTCCTGTCCATTGCAGTACTTTGGGAGGCCAAGGCAGGAGTATCATTTGAGGCCAGGAGTTCAAGACCAGACTGGACAACACAGCAAGACCCCGTCTCTAAAAAAATAAAATAAAAACCAAACAAGGAATTGACCAGAATTTAATTCAGGATAGCAGCTCAAGGGACGGGTAGATGCCACAGGAAGGGGCCCAGAGATATCAGCAAGATGCATCGCTCAGAATGTTCTAGTTTATGGGGTTCATTATGAATTATGAGAAATTTAATATGTGAGATCGGGCTCTGTGGCTCATGCCTGTAATCCCAGCACTTTGGGAGGCTGAAGTGGGCGGATCACTTGAGGTCAGGAGTTCAAGACCAGCCTGGCCAACATGGTAAAACCCCGTCTCTACTAAAAACACAAAAATTTGCCAGGCGTGGTGGCACTTGCCTGTAGTCCCAGCTACTGGAGAGGCTGAGGCAGGAGAGTTGCTTGAACCCAGGAGGCGGAGGTTGCAGTGAGCTGAGATCGCATACTGCACACCAGCTTGGGTGACAAGATTGAAACTCCATCTCAAAAAAAGAAAAAAGAAATTTAATATGTGTTCCATGTGGTCTTGTATGTAAAAAGGACTTAAAAGGATAATAAGGGCTAAATTAAAATCGTAAGAGGCCGGGCACGGTGGCTCACGCCTGTAATCCCAGAACTTTGGGAGGCCGAGGTGGGCGGATCACCTGAGGTCGATAGTTGGAGACCAGGCTGACCAACATGGAGAAACCCCGTCTCTACTAAAAATAGAAAAAAGTCAGCCGGGCATGGTGGTGCATGCCTGTAATCCCAGCTACTCGGGAGGTTGAGGCAGGAGAATCGCTTGAACCCAGGAGGCGGAGGTTGCGGTGAGTCGAGATCGTGTCATTACACTCCAGCCTGGGCAACAAGAGTGAAACTCTGTCTCAAAAAATAATTAAAATTAAAAAAATTAAAAAAAATAAAATCGTAAGAGGAAAACATTTGGCACAGGCGGTAGGCAGGATGGGCTGCTGACCCAGTAGGCTGACAAGCCCAGGATGTTATAATCCCTGTAACATCCTTGCAGTTGTTCTCAACCTGTTGAGTGCTGTCTGTATTACCTCATCTAATCCTTACAGCCGTCGGAGATTAACCCATTTTAACTACTATCATCCCCTGTAAGAGGTGAGGCCCAGAGAGGTTGAGTGACTTGCCCAGGGTCACACAGCTGCCAAGCAGGGCGTAGCCAGGATTTGAACCAGGGAAGCCTGACTGTATCACGCCCTGGATGGGGAACTTGGGGATGAGCAAGACCCGGAAGGAGCGAGATCCGGGAGGGAGACTCAGCCCAGACAGGAGGCGTTAGCAGGCGCTCTGCGGTTCCAGGCGTTTCCTTGCATTCCCTGCGTGCTGGGCTACGGAGAGTGTCAAGGCCAGAGAAGCCACGCCGGCCTTTGGACCTGGGGCGCCTCGGGCAGCCAAGGAGAGCTGCGGTGGCCGCTCCTCCCCGCGCTCTGATCTCGGGAGTCCCTGGCGCCGGCACCTTCTGATCTCTGCCTCTTATTGACGGGGAGGGCGAGGAGGGGCCAGCTCTGGTTTTACAACCCCGGCCCCACCTTCCTTAGGGAGGGCTGAGCCACATGAATGATTTTATGGCCAAAGCCCTGCCAGTCATGAGGCTGCTTTTTCTTTTTTCTTTTCTTTTCTTTTTTTTTTTTTTTTTTTTTTGAGACAGAGTTTCACTCTGGTTGCCCAGGCTGGAGTGCAGTGGCACCATCTCGGCTGACTGCAACAGCCGCCTCCGGGGTTCAAGCGATTCTCCTGCCTCAGCCTCCTGAGTAGCTGGGACTACAGGCGTGCGCCACCACGCCTGGCTAAATTTTTGTATTTTTAGTTGAGACAGGGTTTCACCATATAGGTCAGGCTTGTCTCAAACTCCTGACCTCGGATGATCCACCCGCCTCGTCCTCCCAAAGTGCTGGGATTACAGGTGTGAGCCACCGCGACTGGCCTGAAGCTGCTTTTTCTGAGACGGGCTGATCAAGGGGTTTCAAACAATTAAGAAATAATAAGGCATTGCCTCCCCGCTGGGTGAGATTTGGGCAGGCAGACTAGGGAGAGGGGCTTCGGGGCCAGCACTAGCGGATGCGGGGACTTGGGGAGAAGTGGAAAAAGATGCTCACGGTTCCCTCCTTCTCCACCCAGCCCCTGACGAGGGACTCAGCCTTGAAGAGTGAGGGACAGGATGCGTTTTCCTTTCCACTCGCTCTTTGGGGTGGGGGGAGGCAGTTGTGCCTGGTGGGCCTGTGTACGGACTGGCAGAGGAAAGGTTGGAAGTGGTGATGTTCAGAGTTCAGGACCCATTTGGTTTTGTTTTTTGTTTTGTTTTGTTTTGTTTTGTTTTGTTTTGTTTTGGAGACAGAGTCTTGCTCTGTCGCCCAGGCTGGAGAGCAGTGGCGTGATTTTAGCTCACTGCAACCTCCGCCTCCTGGGTTCAAGCGATTCTCCTGCCTCAGCTTCCCAAGTAGCTGGGATTACAGGCATGTGCCACCATGCCTAGCTAATTTTTGTATTTTTGATAAAGACAGGGTTTCGCCATGCTGGCCAGCTGAGTTCAGGACCCATTTGGAAAGAACTAAGCAGCCCAGTTTGCCACCCAGAGGGTCTGGAGGAGGAACTGTGGGACCCAGTGGGTCACCCATGACATGGAATAAATGCCAGGCTGAGAAGGGAGACCCTCGCCTTGCCCGGAGGCCTGGAGTGGAGGCCCTAAGAGAGGTGTGGCCAGTTACTTACGTGGGGACCAGAGCCCCAAGGATCTGGGAAAGTGGGGACCGTGACACCGCAGGCAAGAAAGCCTGCAGGGGCCAGGTGCCACAGCTCACGCCTGTAATCCCAACACTTTGGGAGGGCAAGGCAGGAGGATTGCTTGAGGCCAGGAGTTCAAGACCAGCCTGGGCAACATAGCAAACCCTCATCTCTCTTTAAAAAAAAAAAAAAAAAATTAAAAAGAAAAGAAGAATGCCCACAGGAAGGCAGTCCTGGGTTCGAATGCCGCCCCTATGGCTCAGGAGCTGGGACCCTCCTGGTAGAAAGGACTGCCCTCAGGGTTGAGCGTCTGTGAAACGGGCAATGACCGGGGAAGGGCCTGACCTGGGCTCGCAGCTGACTCAGCATTTGTGCTGTTTCTCTCTTTCCTCCTTCCCCAGTTCTGAGACCGCTGCTGAGCCAGAAACTCGAATGCTAGCAAGGGAGGGGATGGGTGAGGAATGATAATAATGATGAGCTTCCTGAGCATCTGCCCTGAGCCAGGCCCTGTGCTGAAGGCTGTGTGGGGATGAGCTCACTGAGTCTTCACAACAGCCCTGTGTGGTCCCAGTGTTACAATGCCCATTTTACAGATGGGAAAACTGAGGCCCCACTCATAACCCTCATGCCAGAGAAAGGAATCCAACAGGGGCTTGGAACTGCAGTCAGAGGCTGCCCCTCAGTGGCCATTTCTTCTCGGGGGGACTTGTCACCCTTATGGTTTCCATGACCCTGGCCACCCTCCATAGATATATACCGTGAGCCCATAGGAAAACATTTTCTCGTAGCCACCTTTTTAAAAAAACAAAAGAAACAAGTGAAATTAATTTTAATCACATATCTAATCTATCTGAAATATCATTTCCACATATAGTCAATTTCAAAAACTGTCAATGAGGCTGGGCGTGGTGGCTCATGCCTATAATCCCAGCACTTTGGGAAGCCGAGACGTGTGGATCCCTTGAGGTCAGGAGTTCGAGACCAGCCTGGCCAACATGGTGAAACCCCATCTCTAGTAAATATACAGAAATTAGGACAGCCGTGGTGGCTCACATCTGTAATCCCAGCACTTTGGGAGGCCGAGGTGGGCCTATCATTTGAACCCGGGAGGCAGAGGCTGCAGTGAGCTAAGATCCTGCCATTGCACTCCAGCCTGGGCAACAAGAGCAAAACTCCGTCTCAAAAATAAAAAAAATAAAAATTAGCCAGGTGTGGTGGTGGGCGCCCGTAATCCCAGCTACTCGGGAGGCTGAGGCAGGAGGATTGTTTGAACCCAGGAGACGGAGGTTGCTGTGGGGCTGAGATCGCACCACTGCACTCCAGCCTGGGAGACAGAGCAAGATCTTGTCTCAAAAAAATAAATTCGGGCCCGGTGTGGTGGCTCATGCCTGTAATCCCAGCATTTTGGGAGGCCGAGACAGGCGGATCACCTGAGGTGGGGAGTTCCAGACCAGCCTGACCAACATGGAGAAACCCCGTCCTACTAAAAATAGAAGAGTAGCTGGTCGTGGTGGCACATGCCTGTAATCCCAGCTACTCTGCGAGGCTGAGGCAGGAGACTCGCTTGAACCCGGGAGGCAGAGGTTGCAGTGAGCCGAGATCGTGCCATTGCACTCCAGCCTGGGCAACAAGAGTGAAACACTGTCTCAAAATAAATAAATAAATAGATAGATAAAATAAATAAATTAATTAAGATAAAATAAATAAATAATAAAGGTATGCTGGAAGGGAGAGAGAGAGGAGGTGTTTGAGAGAAAGGAGGAGAGAAAAAAAGTGAAGAGCCCCAGGCGACAGGCGTCGTGCAGGGTGCGGTTCCACGGTGTAGTGGAGCATGCGACATTCAGGGAACAAGCCAAACTGGACAGTGAGAACGGAACACTGGCAGCCCAGCTACAGTGGGACTCGGATGGGCAGGGCCTGCGGTGAGACTGTCAGGCTTCAAGGGACAGAGCCAGGGACCTCGAACCTAACGTGTGTTCCCCATCAGGCAGATGTGGGTGAGATGCTCTACATCCCAGAGCCCCACTCCCCTCTTCTCCAAAATGGGCCTTGGCTGGGTGCAGTGGCTCATGCCTGTAATCACAGCACTTTGGGAGGCTGAGGCAGGTGGATCACCTGAGGTCGGGAGTTCAAGACCAGCCTGGTCAACATGGCAAAAACCCCATGTCTACTAAAAACACAATAATTAGCCGGGCTCATTGCTCACGCCTGCAATCCCAGAACTTTGGGAGGCCAAGGCAGGAGGATCACTTGAGATCAGGAGTTTTGAGATCAGCCTGACCAACATGGCGAAACCCTGTCTCTACTAAAAATACAAAAATTAGGTCAGGTGTGGTGGCTTATGCCTGTAATCCCAACACTTTGGGAGGCTGAGGCGGGCGGATCACCTGAGGTTAGGAGTTCAAGGCCAGCCTGGCTAACATGGTAAAACCCCGTTTCTACTAAAAATACAAAAAATTAGCCAGGCGTGGTGGCACATGCCTGTAATCCCAGCTACTCGGGTGGCTGAGGCAGAAGAATCACTTGAACCCTGGAGGTGGAGGTTGCAGTGAGCTGAGATGGCCATTGCACTCCAGCCTGGGCAACAAGAGCGAAACTCTGTCTCAAAAAAAAAAAAAAATTAGCAAAGCGTGGTGGTGTACACCTGTAATCCCAGCTACTGGGGAGGGTGAGGCAGGAGAATTGCTTGAACCCCGGGAGGTAGGGGTTGCAGTGAGCCGAGATCACACCATTGTACTGCAGCCTGGGTGAAGGAGTGAGACTATGTCTCAAAATAAATACATAAATAGAAATAAAAAATCATATGCATGTTTATATGGATTTTTATTATTATTATTTTATTTATAGATCATAGTTTTACTTGTTTTGAGGATATATGCAATATTTATATAGACTTTATTTATTTATTTATTTTTTGAGACAGAGTCTCACTTCCTCACCCAATCCAGAGTGCAGTGGCGCGATCTCAGCTCATTGCAACCACTGCCTCCCAGGTTCAGGCAATTCTCTTGCCTCAGCCTCCCAAGTAGCTGGGATTACAGGCATGTACCACCATACCCAGCTAATTTTTGTATTTTTAGTAGAGATGGGGTTTCACCATGTTGGTCAGGCTTGTCTTGAACTCCCAACCTTAAGTGATCCGCCTGCCTTGGCCTCCCAAAGTGCTGGGATTACAGGCGTGAGCCACCATGACCAGCTGATATTTATATAGACTTAAAGTGTGCAGGAATTGGCAAGAAAAAAAAAAGTTAAGCGGGAACTTTCCCTATCAGATCTTTTTTTAAAATATAAAATTTTATTAAAATAGATTTTTTGTGGAGACAGGGTCTTGCTATGTTGCCCAAGCTGATTTTGAACTCCCGGGCTCAAGCCATTCTCCCGCCTTGGCTTCCCAAAGTGGTAGGATTACAGGGGACTGAGCCACCGCACCCAGCCTCCTATCGGATCTTAAAACCTACTTTACAGCTACTACAATGCAAATCATATGATATCCACTCTGTGACCTAGCAATTCTGTTCCTAGTTATTTGCCCAAGAGAAATGAGAACGCCGGTTCCCACAAAGACAGGAACAACTGTGGCAGCTTTGGGAGTAATAGCCTGACCTGGAAACCGCCGAGGTGTCCATTAACAGAGGACTGGATCAACACATTGTGAATTTATTTATGCAGTGGAATTCTACTCAGCCGCAAATGGGAACAAGCTCTAATGTATACACAGACACGGAAAATGTCAGAAACATTATGCTAGGCAAAAACAACCAAAACACCAAAGAACCTCTTGTGTAAGATGACAGTTCCAGAACATGCAAGACTGGGCTGATGCAATCTGTACGGTGGGGGACGTAGAGGGGTGGCCTCTGGGGACAGGGCAGGGACTGATTGAGACAAGATGCAGGCTGGGGCGCAGGCACCGTGGCTCACACTTGTAATCCCAGCACTTTGGGAGGCCGAGGTGGGTGGATCACTTGAGGCCAGGAGTTCAAGACCAGCCTGACCAACATGGCGAAACCGCATCTCTACTAAAAATACAAAAATTAGCTGGGCGTGTTGGCACATGCCTGTAATCCCAGCTACTCGGGAGGCTGAGGCAGGAGAATCGTTTGAACATGGGAGGCAAGGTTGCAGTGAGCCAAGTTGATGCCATTGAACTCCAGCCTGGGCAACAGAGACTTCCTCTCAAAAAAAAAAAAAAACAAAAGAAGAGGAAGAAGAAGAAGAAGACTGGGCTGAGGTGGGTTGATCACGAAGTCAGGAGATCGAGACCATCCTGGCCAACATGGTGAATCCCCATCTCTACTAAAATACACACAAAAAATGAGCCAAGCGTGGTGGCAGGTGCCTGAAGTTCCAGCTACTTGGGAGGCTGAGGCAGGGGAATCGCTTGAACCCAGGAGGTGGAGGTTGCAGTGAGCCGAGATAGCACCACTGCACTCCAGCCTGGCGACAGAGCAAGACTCTGTCTCAAAAAATAAAAATAACAATAAAAAATAGGTCGGGTGCAGTGGCTCACGCCTGAAACCCCAGCACTTTGGGAGGCCGAGGCGGGCGGATCACGAGGTCCAAAGATCGAGACCAGCCTGGCTAACACGGTGAAACCCTGTCTCTACTAAAAATACAAAAAATTAGCTGGGCGTGGTGGCAGGTGCCTGTAGTCCCAGCTACTTGGGAGGCTGAGGAAGGAGAATCGCTTGAACCCAGGAGGCAAGGTTGCAGTGAGCCGAGATCACACCACTGCACTCCAGCCTGGGCAACAGAGCGAGACTCCGTCTCAAAAAAAAAAAAAAAAAAAAAAAAGAAAGAAAAAAAGAGGAACTTACAAGAACAATGGAAAGATTACCCCATGAACACCCCTATGCCCACCACCACTAAAATTTGGGGTTTTTTAAATTTTTAAAATTTTTTTCTTTTTTACAGTGTCCCTTTCAGGATACACTTAAATTTTATTATATAGTACTTGTTTTATCACAGATCTTTGCATCCCTCTAGCCATCTATCAATCCTTCTGGGTTTGTTGTTGTTGTTGTTTTGAGATGGGGTTTCACTCTGTTGCCCAGGCTACAGTGCAATGGCTTGATCTTGGCTCACTGCAACCTCTGCCCCCCAGGTTCAAGCGATTCTTCTGCCTCAGCCTCCCGAGTAGCTGGGACTACAGGTGCGTGCCACCACGCCCGGCTAATTTTTGTATTTTTAGTACAGATTGTGTTTCACTATATTGGTCAGGCTGGTCTTGAATGCCTGGACTGATGATACACCTGCCTCAGCCTCCCAAAGTGCTGGGATTACAGGAATAAGCCACTGAGCCCAGCCTAATTTTTGTTTTTTTTAGTAGAGACAGGGTTTCGCCATGTTAGACGGGCTGGTCTCAAACACCTGACCTCAGATGACCCGCCTCCGTAGGCCTCCCAAAGAGCTGGGATTACAGGCATGAGTCACGGTGCCCGGCCTAATCCTTACTTTTGATGCATTTCAAAGTAAGTTACAGACATCTGAATGTTTCACCCTAAACATTCCAGGCTGCATATTATTAACTACTTCAGTATTTGTTTATGGGGGGGTGTGTGTGTGTGTGTTTGTGTGTATGTGTGAGAGAGAGAGACAGAGAGATGGAGAGAGAGAGAGATGGAATCTCCCTCTGTCACCTAGGCTGAAGTGCAATGGCTAGATCTTGGCTCACTGCAACCTCCACCTCCCAGATTCAAGCGATTCTCCTGCCTCAGCCTCCCGAGTAGCTGGGATTACAGGTGTGCACCACTACGCCCGGCTAATTTTTGTATTTTTAGTAGAGATGGGGTTTCACCATGTTGGCCAGGCTAGTCTCAAACTCCTGACCTCTGGTGATCTGCCTGCCTCGGCCTTCCAAAGTGCTGAGATTACAGATGTGAGCCACTGCACCTAGCTAGTGGTTTTGTTTGTTTGTTTGTTTTAATAGAAGTTTACCTACAGTAAACCACACAAATCTAAAGTGTGCTAGTTTTTTGTTTGTTTGTTTGTTTGTTTTTGAGACAGGATCTTGCCCTGTCACCTAAGTGGTACAACCACAGTTCACTGAAGCCTCGACCTCCCCAGCTCAGGCAATCCTTCCACCTCAGCCTCCCAAGTAGCTGAGAAGACAGGCACATGCCACCACACCAGGCTATTTTTTTTTTTTTTAGACGGAGTCTCACTCTGTTACCCAGGCTGGAGTGCAATGGCATGGTCTTGGCTCACTGCAACCTCCGCCTCCTGGGTTCAAGTGATTCTCCCACCTCAGCCTCCCAAGTAGCTGGGACTACAGGCGCACACCACCACACCCAGCTATTTTCGTATTTTTAGTAGAGACGGGGTTTCACTCTGTTGGCCAGGCTGGTCTCAAACTCCTGGTGTCGAACTCCTGACCTGGTGATCTGCCTGCCTTGGCCTCCCAAAGTGCTGGGTTACAGGTGTGAGCCACCGCACCTAGCCTAAATATTTTATTGTTATTTGTAGAGACGGAGTCTCACTATGTTGTCTAGGCTGGTCTCAAACTCCTAGGCTCAAGTGATCTTCCCACTTTGCTTCCCATTTTGGGAGGATTTGGGCTCCCAAAATGCTGGGATCACAGGCACGAGCCACCGCACCCAGGCTAAAGTGTGCTCATTTTGAGAAATATATGTACGGCTGGGCACAATGGCTCATGCCTGTAAAGCCAGCACTTTGGGAGGCCAAGGCTGGTGGGTTGCTTGAGGCCAGGAGTTCGAGACCATCCTGGCCAAAATGGCAAAACCCCATCATTACTAAAAATACAAAAATTCGAGGGATGTGCCAGGCGTGGTGGCTCACACCTGTAATTCTAGCATTTTGGGAGACTGAGGCGGGTGGATTGCTTGAGCTCGGGAGTTCCAGACCAGCCTGGGCAACATGGTAAAACCCCGTTTTTACTAAAATATAAAAAATTAGCTGGGCGTGGCAGTGTGCTCCTGTAATCCCAGCTAGTCAGGAGGCTGAGATGGGAGAATCACTTGAACCCGGGAGGCAGAGGTTGCAGTGAGCCAAAATTGTGTCACTGCACTCCGGCTTTGGTGACACAGTGAGACTCTGTCAAAAAAAAAAAAAATTAGAGGGACGTGTTGGCACACACCTGTAATCCCAGCTTCTTGGGAAGTTGAGACATGAGAATCACTTGAACCTGGGAGGTGCTAGTTGCAGTGAGCCGTGATTGTGTCACTGCACTCCAACCTGGGCGATAGAGCAAGACTCTGTTTTAAAAAAAAAGAGAGGGAGAGGGAGAGATGCAGAGATGCATGTATAACCCAAGTCCCTGTCAAGATGTAAACTCCTTTTGAGTGGCTGAATTCCAGCGTTTTTCCAGGTCCAGACTCATTTACCCCGTCCCCTGTTGTTTCTGGCCTCTCTTGGAACATCATTGCCATGATCGCCCTGGGATATATTTCACTGCGCGCTTCCTCAAGGGCATCTGTCTATTCCTTATGTTTCTAGGGGGTCAGGTTCATTCGGGGATCTGGCAAATAGAACACAGTATTTAACCAGGCACGGTGGCTCACACTTGTAATCCCAGCACTTTGGGAGGCTGAGGCGGGCAGATCACGAGGTCAGGAGTTTGAGACCAGCCTGACCAACATGGAGAAATCCCGTCTCTACTAAAAATACAAAAATTAGCCAGGCGTGGTGGTGCACGCCTGTAATCTCAGCTACTCAGGAGTCTGAGGCAGGAGAATCGCTTGAACCCAGAAGGCAGAGGTTGCAGTGAACTAAGATCATGCCTGGGCGACAGAGCGAGACTCTGTCTCAACAACAACAAAAAAAGAACACAGTGTTACCCGTGTGTCGGACATTGGCTTTGAAGGTAGGAAGGACATAGCACAGGGAAAAATTCTGCCACTTCCCAGCTCTCCTGCTAGTGAGGAAGGCAGATTTAAAGAAGGCAACAGACCAGGTGCGGTGGCTCACGCCTGTAACCCCAGCACTCTGGGAGGCTGAAGTGGGAGGGTCGCTTGAGCTGAGGAGTTCAAGACCAACCTGAGCAATGTGGTGAGACTCTATCTCTACAAAAAATGTAAACATTAGCCAGGTGTGGTGGTGTATGCCTGTAGTCCCAGCTACTCAGGAGGCTAGGCTGAGGCAGGAAAATCACTTGAGCCTAGGAGACTGAGGCTGCAGTAAGCTGTGACCGCATCACTGCACTCCAGCCTGAGCAACAGAGCAAGGCCCTGTATCCAAAAAATAAAAATAAGCAGGGCACGGTGGCTTATGCCTGTAATCCCAGCACTTTGGGAGGCCAAGGCAGGAGAATCCCACGAGCCCAGGAGTTCAAGACCAGTCTGGGCAACATAGCGAGACCCCTGTCTCTACAAAAAATTTAAGAATTAGCTGAGTGTGGTGGCACACACCTGTAGTCCCAGCTACTGGGGAAACTGAGGTGGGAGGATCGTTTGAGCCCAGGAGCCGGAGGGTGGAGGTCGAGGGTGCAGTGAGCCAAGATCAAGCCACTGCATTCCAGCCTGTGCAACAGAGTGAGACTCCATCTCAAAAAAAAAAAAAAAAAGTATTAAAAAGGGCCGCAAAGGAGGCCAGCAGGATGCGGAGATGGGCAGTAATGTGCACGGGGTGGGAGGTCTCTTGCTTTAGCCAAGGTGGTCAGGGAAGACCCAAGCCCTGAAGACAGAGAAGGAGCTGGCCTTGAATCCTGTAAATGTTCCCAAACGATCTCCCTAAGAGGTTATGCCAGTCACACTCCTGCCAAGAGAGTATCTCTGCGCCACGGCCAAGGGTGAGTCATCCTGCTGAGAGGTTGAGCTGGGGACGCCTGCCCAGATGGGCTCCAAGTGAGGGAGAGCCTGGCGGGGAGAACAGCCCGGACAGAGGCAGGGCAGGGCGCCGGGACACTGCTTGGCGCGTCCTGGGAGTGAAGCGCATTGAACCCAGCTCAGGCTGGTGGTGGGGGAGTCTTGGCAATGCTCTCTCTCCAAAGGCGAGTTGATCACAGACGCTGGCAGTGAGTCAGCGGCACCGCCAGGGCTGCTGAGAAATCCCTCCTGCTGTCCGATCGCATTCCTGGAAGGGTGGGCCGCTCAGGGCCCCCCAGCTCCAGTCCCACTCAGGCCCCAGAATCCCAGCAGCCCACCACTCACTTCTTTGCGCTCACTCTTCCTTCTGGTCCCCACACACCGCTCCCTCTCTCGCTACCTTCAGTCTTTGCTCAGATGTCGAGTTCCCAGAGGGGCCTCCCTGACGCCACCGTTCTAGCAGCATTTAGCATTTAGATAAATGACAAATTTTAGATTAAATGTTAGATAAATTTTAGGCTGGGCGTGGTGGCTCACGCCTGTAATCCCAGCACTTTAGGAGGCTGAGGCAGGCAGATCACAAGGTCAGGAGATCGAGACCATCCTGGGTAACATGGTGAAACCCTGTCTCTACTAAAAATACAAAAAATTAGCAGGGCGTGGTGGCGGGCGCCTGTAGTCCCAGCTACTCAGGAGGCTGAGGCAGCAGAATGGCGTGAATCCAGGAGGCGGAGCTTGCAGTGAGCCAAGATCGCGCCACTGCACTCCAGCCTGGGCGACAGAGAGAGACTCCGTCTCAAAAAAAAAAAAAAAAAAAAACATATATATATATATATATATATATATATATATATATGATAAATTTTAGATAAATTTTTATCTAAAATTGTAACTCACTGGATTCAGTGACATCTATCTGTAATCCCAGCACTTTAGGAGGCTGAGGTGGGAGGATCGCTTGAGCCCAGGAGTTTTCTTTCTTTTTTTTCTTATTTTTTAAAGAGATTGGGTTCTCACTCTGTGTAGCCCAGGCTGGTCTTGAACTCCTGGCCTCAAGCAGTCCTCCCATCTAGGCCTCCCAAAGTGTTGGGATTACAGGCATGAGCCACCATGCCTGGCCTCAAGATTGGTTTTTTGTTCTGAGACACAGACTCACTCTGTCACCCAGGCTGGAGTGCAGTGACATGATCCCAGCTCACCATGACCTCCGCCTCCCAGGTTAAAGTGATTCTCCTGCCTCAGGCTCCTGAGTAGCTGGGATTATAAGCATGCGCCACCACGCCTGGCTAATTTTGTATTTTTAGTAGAGATGGGGTTTCGCCATGTTGCCGAGGCTGGTCTCAAACTCCTGATGTCAAGTGATCCACCTGTCTCGGCTTCCTAAAGTGCTGGGATTAGAGGCATGAGCCACCTCGTCAAGATTGTTAATCACATCTGCAAAGTCCGTTTGGCCATTTGTGGAACACAGTCTCAGATTTCAAGGATTAGGACGACAACATCATTGGAGGCTGTGATTTGGCCAACCACAGTCACAGAGATGGAATTACACAGAGTTTACCTTCCAAGTCTGGCTCTTTCACTCAGTGCAATGCCTGGGAGAGCCTTCCCTGTGGCTGTGGGAACCGCCGGTTTGTTCTTTTTTTTTTTTTTTCTGAGGCGGAGTTTCACTCTTGTTGCCCAGGCTGGAGTGCAATGGCGCGATCTGGGCTCACTGCAACCTCCACCTCCCAGGTTCAAGTGATTCTCCTGCCTCAGCCTCCCAAAAAGCTGGGATTACAGGCGTGCACCACCATACCCAGCTAATTTTTGTATTTTATTAGAGACGGGGTTTCGCCATGTTGGCCAGGCTGGTCTCAAACTCCTGACCTCAGGTGATTTGCCTGCGTCAGCCTCCCAAAGTACTGGGATTACAGGCGTGAGCCACCGAGCCCGGCCAGTTCTTTTTCATCGCTGAGTAGTATCGCATGGCACAGAATACTGCTGTTTATCCACTTACCCATGCAAGGACGTTTGAGCTGTTCCCAGGGTTTGGCAATTATGAGTACAGTGGCTATAAACATGAGTGTAGATGAGGGTCAAGTGTAGATGTTGGTTTGAACATATAGGCTTCCATTTCTCTTGGACAAACACCCAGAAGGGAGAGTGACTCTGGTTTTTGCTGGTTTTTGTTTTCCGTTTTTGTTTTTGTTTTTTTTTTCTGAGACAGAGTCTCACTCTGTTCCCCAGGCTGGAGTGCAGTGGCGCGATCTCGGCTCACTGCAACCTCTGCCTCCCAGGTTCAAGATTCTCCTGCCTGAGCCTCCCGAGTAGCTGGGACTACAGGCGCCCGCCACCACGCCCGGCTAATTTTTTGTATTTTTAGTAGAGACGGGGTTTCACCATGTTAGCCAGGATGGTCTCGATCTCCTGACCTCAGGTGATCCGCCCACCTCAGCCTCCCAAAGTGCTGGGATTATAGGCATGAGCCACCACACCTGGCCTATTATTATTTTTAGAGATGAGGTCTTGCTTTGTCACCCAGGCTGGAGCACGCAGTGGTGAGATCATAGCTCCCTGTAGCCTTGAACTCTGGGCTCAAGTGATCTTCCCACCTCAGCTTCCTGAGCAGCTGTGACTACAGGTACAGGCCACCATGCCTGGCTAATTTATTTATTTATTTATTTATTTATTTTGAGATGGAGTTTCGCTCTGTCCCCAGGCTGGAGTGCAGTGATGTGATCTCAGGACACTGCAACCTCTGCCTCCCGGGTTCAAGCGATTCTCCTGCCTCAGCCTCCCGAGTAGCTGAGATTACAGGCGCCCACCACCGTGCCCAGCTAATTTTTGTATTTTTAGTAGAGATGGGGTTTCACCATGTTGGCCAGGCTGGTCTTGAACTCCTGACCTCAGGTGATCCGCCCACCTCAGCCTCCCAAAGTGCTGGGATTACAGGCTTGAGCCACAGTGCCCAGCCTGCCCAGGCTGGTCTTGAATTCCTGGCTTCAAGCGATCCTCCTGCCTGGGTCCTTCAATAAATATTGACAAGCACCTCCCTGCTGCCAGGCTCTGCTGAGAGTACTTTAGGTACATTGGCAAACAAGACAGAACAATAACAAAAGAAAAAAACACCAGATTTTTTTAAATTCCCAGGCTCATGGAGCTTACATGCAAGCGGAGAAGATGGTCAATAAACCATCAATGTCATATGTCAACTGTAGAGTAGCTCAGGAGTGAGTGACAGGTGTGATGGTAGGCAGAGCAGGGGAAGAGGGTGCAGGGGGTCTAGCTGTAAACAGGATGCTGTAGGGTAGCCCTCATGATAAGGGGTGACATTTGGAACAAAGACTTGAAAAAGGTGAGGACAAGAGGCATGAGGCACCATGCCCGGCTGCACTTGTGTTTAATGAAAACTATGATGGCTGCTGTGTGACCTTAGGGGACTATATTAACCTCTCTGGGCCTCCATTTCTTGGAGCATGAAGTGGTCCTTTCACTACTCACTTCCTGAGGTTCTGGGAGAAGTCTAGGATCATGCATGTTCTTGGCATAGAGTTTCTGTACGGGTGGCTCCCCTCCTGGTGCCAGGCCCTTTCCTGGGATTGGAGGGGGATGGACAGAGGGAATTCAGAGGTTTAAGGAGGCTGTGGCCCCATCTCCTGGGGCAAGGAGGCTATTGGTCTAGAAGGTCTGCATTTAGAGGGTGACATCTGTGCTGGGAGCGGTGGCTCATGCCTGTAATCCCAGCACTTTGGGAGGCCGAGGTGGGCGGATCATGAGGTCAGGAGACCGAGACCATCCTGGCTAACACAGTGAAACCTCGTCTCTACTAAAAATACAAAAATTAGCCAGGCATGGTGGCATGCACCTGTAGTGCTAGCTACTAGGGAGGCTGAGGCAGGAGAATAGCTTGAACCCAGGAAGGCGGAGGTTGCAGTGAGCTGAGATCACACCACTACACTATAGCCTGGGCAACAGAGCAAGACTCCATCTCAAAAAAAATTAAAAAAAAGAGGGTGATATCTGACCTGTGTCGAGGTGGAAGGAGGAGATGGGAAAGGCACTCAGAGAGTGGAAAATGGGCGTGCCTGGAGCTGGTGTCTGCAGCAAGGAGGCCAGAGGAGGAGGCACTGGCCTAGGCTTTGACCTGAGGGCACTGAGGTGCCACAGGAGGGCTGGGAGCAGAGGAGGGGCAGCGGAGAAGACCTGGAGGAGGCTGAGTCGAGGGCCCACAGGGAGAGGAGAAGGCCTGAGGTGGGCAGGAATGCAGGGACAGAGAAGGAACCAGGACCCAGTAGTCCATGGAGGAGGGAGGCAGGAGGGCTGGGAAGTTGGGCCTTTAAGAGTTGCATGTCTGCTGGGCACGGTGGCTCATGCCTGGAATTCCAGCACTTTGGGAGGCTGAGGCAGGCAGATCACCTGAGGTCAGGAGTTTGAGACCAGCCTGGCCAACATGGTGAAACCCTATGTCTACTAAAAATACAAAAATCAGTTGGGCGTGACGACAGGCACCTGTAGTCCCAGCTAATCAGGAGTCTGAGGCAGGAGAATCGCTTGAACTTGGAAGGCGGAGGTTGCAGTGAGCCGAGATCGTGTCACTGTACTCCAGCCTGGTGACAGAGCAGGACTCCATCTCAAAAAAAAAAAAAAAAAAATTTACATGTCCAGGGGGCTTGCAGGCAGAACCATTCACCCTCCAGGAGGCTGAGTCATTCCCGGGGATCACCTGCCTGCTGTGGCCACCCACCCGGAGGAGCTCTGTCTGCTGTCCCTGTCCCTGGCCTCTCGCTGGCTTAATTGTCCCTTTCATTCCTCCACTCAAATCGAGCGATATCAGCACGCCAGGCCCTGGACGTGTTTTGTGGGAACAAACAGGCCTGTTTGTCTACGTCCCAGGCGTAGAGAAGTTCGTCCCGGGGCCAGATTTGTTTTACAAGGTGGACAGCAGGCACAGGGTACCTGTTTTAGGAATGCGAGAATGCAGCCACGTAGGCATGTGGGTGGGGGACAGGGGGGTCCTGGCTCTGCGCTCAGGCCCAGAGAGTGGCAGGGTCGGGGGACATTTCCAGGAGCGGGAACAGCAGCTCCAGGGGCCCAGAGGTAGGACTACTGCTCGGTGCATTTGGAGGTCTTGGCTGGACTGTGGCGTTCATGGGGAAGGAGGGACTGAGTCTACAGGGCTGAGAGGCCACCACAGCTTGGGTTCAAATCCCAGCTCTGTTCAGCTCTTGTGTGGCCACAGTCAAATCGCTTCCCTCCTTGAAGCTCCATGTCCTCTCTGTAGCAATGGAAGCTACAGCGGAGCCCAATTCTACCCCACCCACTGCACGACAATTGGTTTGTTTCTATGTTTGTTACTAGAGTCAGGGTCTCACTCTGTCACCCAGGCTGGAGTGCAGTGGCGCAATCTCAGCTCACTGCAGCCTCAAACTCCTGGCTCAATTGATCCTCCCGCCTCAGACTCCCAAGTAGCTGGGACTACACGTGTATGCTACCACAGTCGGCTAATTTTTTATTTTTAAACAGAGACAGTGTTCTCGCTATGTTGCTCATGCTGGTCTCGAACTCCTGGCCTCAAGTAATCCTCCTGTCTTGGCCTCCCAAAGTGCTGGGACTACAGGTGCAAGCCACTGCGCCCAGCCCTTGAGGAGTTTTCAAAGTATCCACAGCACCCAAGGCTGAGAACTGCTACAGCAGCTGAAAGCCATAAGTGTCTTTGACTTTCCTTTTGTCCTGGTAAACCCCTTCATTCCTTCCTTCCTTCCTTCCTACACTCATTCAATCAAACACTGGTTGAACACCAACAAGTCCCAGCACTGTGGGCTCCACCCTGGCCTCTGGGGAGTGGGGGAGGGACCCCCGATTTGGAGATTGTAGGTGCCAAGAGGAACGGGCAAGATGCCCTCCTATTCATTCATTTATTCCTTCAGGGCCTCTCCAAGGGCACAGGGTCTTTTCTTGTTGGCATCTGGGTTTTCCTCTCCTGTAAGCTGGGAAGGAGATTTCTCCCTCAAGGAGCTGTTGGCCAGATCAAAGACTAAAATAATGCTAAACAGAGCTTCCGTTTCCTGATAAATGTATCAGGAGCCAAGCACTTAAAATATATTATCCCGTTGAATCCCCAAGTAGGATTAAAACCTCAAAGCAGAGATTGCTCTTATCCTCACATGACAGATGAGGAAACTGAGGATCAAAGAAGTGAAGTCCGCTGCCCAAGGCACAGAAAGGACAAGTAGGACCTATGGAAGCCCAGCCAAGGCCCAGCAGGCGCTCAGTGGCTAATCCTCCTGAAAACTAATTACCTCACTGCGCCTGCCCACTGGACTAAATTTGCCTGGTAACCGATGACATCATCACTAATTCCGCGCCCACGCTCAACCTATGGGATAACTGATGACATCACTGAACAAACAAAGTAACTGCAGTTTATTGAAGGCCTACTGTGTGCGCAAGGCTGTGCTAGGCAGGCCTCCTCTGAGTTCACATAAGGCCCCGTGGTGCCTGCTACTGCATGAAATAGCCATAATAATTTTAACTCAAAGTTATGGAATGCAGACTATGAGCTACTCTCTGTTTTAACCTTTTTTTTTTTTTTTTTTTTTTTTTTGAGACAGAGTCTCGCTCTGTCCCCTGGGCTGGAGTGCAATGGCACAGTCTCGGCTCATTGCAACCTCCACTTCTTGGATTCAAGCAATTATCCTGCCTCAGCCTCCCGAGTAGCTGGGATTGCAGGTGCCCACCACCACACCTGGCTAATTTTTGTTTTTGTTTTTGAGATGAAGTCTCACTCTGTTGCCCAAGCTGGAGTGCAGTGGCGCGATCTCAGCTCACTGAAACCTCCACCTCCTGACCTCGTGATCCACCCGCCTTGACCTCCCAAAGTGCTGGGACAACAGGTGTGAGCCACCGCGCCTGGGATCTTTATTAACTTTTTAAAATTAAAAATATATATATATATATATTTATATATATTTTGAGATGGAGTTTCACTCTTGTCGCCCAAACTGGAGTGCAATGGTGCCGTGATCTCGGCTCACTGCAACCTCCGCCTCCTGGGTTCAAACGATTCTCCTGCCTCAGCCTCCGGAGTAACTGGGAGTACAGGCATGCGCCACCACGCCTGGCTGATTTTTGTCTTTTTAGTAGGGGCGGGGTTTCACCATGTTGGCCAGGCTGGTCTCAAACTCCTGACCTCAGGTGATCCACCCACCTCTGTCTCCCAAAGTGCTGGGATTACAGGAGTGTGCCACTGCGCCTGACCAGCTTTATAAAGTTTATAGGGACAGTGTCACCACTTTACAGAAGAGGGACTGAGGCTCTGAGGAGGAAGTTCCTTGCCAGGGTCCGAGTGTCGCCACCCTGAGAACTCCAGCACCCACCTCCCTACTCTCCCTCATGGCGTCTCCCCCACCTTTCCACAGCCAGAAGTTGCCAGGTGAATACTTCCGGTACAAGGGCGTCCCCTTCCCCGTCGGCCTGTACTCGCTCGAGAGCATCAGCTTGGCGGAGAACACCCAAGATGTGCGGGACGACGACATCTTTATCATCACCTACCCCAAGTCAGGTACCTGCCGGGCTGCGGGCGTCGGGGGCTGGGGAGAGTGGGGAGGGGGTGCGGCAGAGGACAGGAAAGGCACATAGAGAAGGAGGGGAGGAGGAAAAGTGGGGCCGGGTCTGTTCAGAGCGGTGCCCCTGCCAGAAGTAGCCTCCCAGGGATACCCACCCGGTGCCCAGCCTCTCCCCTCCAGGTCAGTTCTCAACACTTCACCTTCCCTGACCTCCCTGGCTGAAATAGCGTCCTCGTTCTGTTCCTCCCTTTCCCCTTTACCCTCTACTTCTCTTTTTTTTTTTTTTTTTTGTAGAGATGGGGTCTCGCTACATTGCCCAGGCTGGTCTTGAACTCCTGATCTCAAGTGATCCTTCTGCCTTGGCCTCCCAAAGTGCTGGGATTACAGGCGTGAACCACCACACCTGACCATTTTTATTTTTATTTTTCGAGACAAGGTCTTGCTCTGTCACTCAGGCTGGGGTGCAGTGGTGCAATATCAGCTCATCAAACCTCCCACCTTGGCCTCCCAAAGTGCTGGGACTACAGGTGCTGGTCACCACCAAATTGTATACTTTTTTTTTTTTTTTTTTTTTGGAGGTCTTGCTCTGCTGCCCAGGCTTCAGTGTGATGGTACAATCTCGGCTCATTTCAGCCTTGACCTCCTGGACTCACATGATCCGCCCAACCTCAGCCTCCTGAGTAGCTGGAACCACACGTGTGCACCACCATGCCTGGCTAACTTTTGTGTTTTTTGTAGGGACAGGGTTTCATCATGTTGCCCAGGCTGGTCTTGAACTCCTGGGCTCAAGCGATCTTCCTGCCTCAGCCTCCCAAAGTGCTGGGATTACAGGCATGAGCCACCGCGCCTGGCTAAATTGTATACTTTAAAGTGGTGAATTACACACAATTTGAGTGTTTGAGTTTGAGACCAACCTGGGCAAAATGGCAAACCCCCCTCTATTTTTTTTTTTTTTTTTTTTTTTTTGTGACGGAGTCTCTCTGTCGCCCAGGCTGGAGTATAGTGGCATGATCTCAGCTCACTGTAACCTCTGCCTCCTGGGTTCAAGCAATTCTCTGCCTCAGCCTCCTGAGTAGCTGGGATCACAGGTGCCCGCCACCATGCGCGGCTACTTCTTTTTATTTTATTTTATTTTATTTTTGTATTTTTAGTAGAGACAGGGTTTCACCATCTTGGCCAGGCTGGTCTTGAACTCCTGACCTCATGATCCACCAGCCTTGGCCTCCCAAAGTGTTGGGATTACAGGTGTGAGCCACTGAGCCGTCTTTTTTTTTTTTTTTTTTTTTTTTTTTTTTAGAGACAGAGTCTTGCTCTGTTGCCCGGGCTGGAGTGCAGTGGCGTGATCTCGGCTCACTGCAATCTCTGCCTCCTGGGTTCAAGCGATTCTCCTGCCTCAGCCTCCTGAGTAGCTGGGATTACAGGCGTGTGCCACTACACCCAGCTAATTTTTGTATTTTTAGTAGAGATGAGGTTTCACCGTACTGGCCAGGATGGTCTTGATCTCTTGACCTCTTGATCTGCCCACCTCGGCCTCCCAAAGTGCTGCGATTACAGGTGTGAGCCCGGTCAATAAGTAGCATTTAAATGACCAAAGGGAAATAACAAAAACTCTTCCTTCCCTTTTTTCTCCTCTCTTCCCCACCTCCTCCAACAAGTATTTATTAAACACATATTATGTGCCAGGCAGTGTTCTAAGTACAAAGAAGGCTGCAACTCTCCAGACAGACTGAAATGTCTCCCTTTATGGAGCTCACATTGTACTGGGGCAACCCAGAAAATAAATCAACAAATAAAAATATGACACTATGATTGGTGGCAATAAATGCTGTGAAGAAAAGTAGAGGGTAGGCGGGGCATAGTGGCTCATGCCTGTAATCTCAGCACTTTGGGAGGCTGAAGTAGGAGGATCACTTGAGGCCAAGAGTTCAAGCCCAGCCTGGGCAACATAGCAAGACCCCATCTCTAAAAAAAAAAAATTAGCCAGGCGTGGTGGTGTGCGCCTGTAGTCCCAGCCACTTGGGAGGCTGAGGCAGGAGGATCACTTTAGCTAGAGAGGTCGAGGCTCCAGTGAGCTGCGATCACACCACTGCACTTCAGCCTGGGCAACAGAGTGAGACCCTGTCTCAACAAATAGAAAAAGGTACAATTCAATGACTTTGCCATGTGCGTGGAGCTGGTCATCCATCACCACAATCAATTTTAGAATATTTTCAGCCGAGCACAGTGGCTCACACCCATAATCCCAACATTTTGGGAGGCCGAGGCAGGAGGATCTCTTGAGCCTAGGCGTTCGAGAGCAGCCTGGCCAACATGGTGAGACCTCATCTCTACAAAACATACAAAAATTAGCCAGGCACGATAGTGTATGCCTGTAGTTCCAGCTACTTGGGAGGCTGAGATGCGAGGATTGCTTCAGTCTGGGAGGTGGAGGTTGCAGTGAGACGCGTTCACCCCACCGCACTCCAGCTTGGGTGGCAGAGACTGTCTCAAAAACAAAAAACTGAGTGGGCCAGGCACGGTGGCTCATGCCTGCAATCCCAGCAGTTTGGGAGGCTGAGGCGGGTGGATCATTTGAGGTCAGGAGTTCGAGACCAGTCTGGCCAACATGGTGAAACCCCGTGTCTACTAAAAATGCAAAAACTATCCAGGCGTGGTGGTGCGTGCCTGTAATCCCAGTATTCGGCAGGCTGAGGCAGGAGAATTGCTTGGAACCGGGGGGTAGAGGTTGCAGTGAGCCAAGAGTGCACCACTGAACTCCAGCCTTGGCGATAGGGCAAGACCCTGTCTCAAAAACCAAAAACAAATAAAAATAAAAATAAAGAACATTATCATCATCCAACAAGAAACTCTGGACCTATAAGCCATCACCTCCCAATCCTCATATCCCCTCCCCCCTGGGCCCTGGTAACCACCAATCTCCGTTCTGTTTCTATGGATTTTTCTATTTTGGGCATTTCATGGAAATGGAATCTACACTATGTGGCCTCTTGTGTCTGGTTTCTTCCTGAGCATCACGTTGTCAAGGTTCAACCACATTGTAGCATGTGTCAGAGTCTCATTCATTTTTATGGTCCAATAATATTTTATGTTATGTATAAACTATATTTTATTTATTCATCAGTTGATAAGCATTTGGATTATTTCCACTCTGGGGCTTATTATGAATGAAGCTGCTACGAACATTGCATGCAAGTTCTTTTTTTTTTTTTTTTTGAGACGGAGTCTCGCTCTGTCGCCCAGGCTGGAGTGCAGTGGCGTGACCTTGGCTCACTGCAAACTCCGCCTCCCGAGTTCACGCCATTCTCTTGCCTCAGCCTCCCAATTAGCTGGGACTACAGGCGCCCACCACCATACCCAGCTAATTTTTTGTATTTTTAGTAGAGACGGGGTTTCACCGTGTTAGCCAGGATGCTCTCCATCTCCTGACCTCATGATCCACCCGTCTTGGCCTCCCAAAGTGCTGGGATTACAGGCACGAGCCACCGCGCCCGGCCTTTTTCTTTTCTTTTCTTTCTTTCTTTTTTTTTTTTTTTTTTGAGACGAAGTCTCGCTCTTGTCCCCCAGGCTGGAATGCAATGGCGCAGTCTCGGCTCACTGCAACCTCTGCCTCCTAGGTTCAAGCGATTCTCCTGCCTCAGCCTCCTGAGTAGTTGGAATTACAGGCACCTGCCACCACGCCCAGCTAATTTTTGTATTTTTAGTAGAGACGGGGTTTCACCATGTTGGCCAGGCTGGTCTCGAACTCCTGACCTCAGGTGATCCACCTGCCTCAGCTTCCCGAAGTGCTGGGATTACAGGCGTGAGCCACTGCTCTCGGCCTTGCATGCAAGTTCTTGTTTCTATTTTTATTTTTTGAGGCAGGGTCTCGATCTTTCGCTCAGGCTGGAGTGCAGTGGTGCAGTCTCAGCTCACTGCAGCCTTGACCTCCTGGGCTCAAGCTATCCTCCCACCTGAGCCTCCTGAGTAGCTGGGACGACAAGTGCACACCACCACGCCCAGCTAATTAAAAAAACTTTTT
Organism: Homo sapiens; assembly: GCF_000001405.40. NCBI lineage: Eukaryota > Metazoa > Chordata > Mammalia > Primates > Hominidae > Homo > Homo sapiens. Next base: position 48,580,106 of record NC_000019.10, read on the forward strand.
TTTTTTTTCACAGACGAGATCTCACTGTGTTGCCCAGACTGGTTTCAAACTCCCGAGCTCAAGCAATTCTCCCTCCTTGGCCTCCCAAAGTGTTAGGATTATAGGAGTGAGCCTCTGCACTGGGCCCTGCACACAAGTTCTTACGTGGACATATGTTTTCTTTGTTTTTTATGGAGACAGGTTCTCACTGTTGCCCAGGCTGGAGTGCAGTGGCGAGATCTCTGTTCACTGCAACCTCTGCCTCCACAGGTTCAAACAATTCTCCTGCCTCAGCCTCCGGAGTAGCTGGGACCACAGACATGCACCACCACGCCCAGCTAATTTTTGTATTTTTAGTAGAGACGGGGTTTCACCATGTTGGCCAGGCTGGTTTCAAACTCCTCACCTCAGTCAATCTACCCACCTCAGCCTCCCAAAGTGCTGGGATTATAGGCGTGAGCCACCGTGCCAGCCCGAAGTGGCTTTATCTTTTTTCATTCTTCCCAGCAATAGATGATCCTCTATTGCCCCACATCTTCTCCAGTGATTAGCATCAACAGAGATTTACTTATTGGAGACAAGGTCTTGCTCGGTTGCCCAGGCTGAAGTGTAGTGGGAAGATCATGGCTCACTGCAACCTCGAACTCCTGGGCACAAGTGATGCTCCCACCCCAGCCTCCCTAATAGCCACCACACCCAGCTAATTTTTGTAGCGATAAGGGTCTCTGGTTGGTCTCGAATGCCTGGGCTCAAGCGATCTTCCTGCCTCAGCCTCCCAAAGTGCTGGGATTACAGGCATGAGCCACTGTGCCTGGCCAGTTTTTTTCTAAAGCTATTTTGATAGGTGCCTACTGGTGTTTCACTGTAGTATTAATTTGCATTTCCCTAACAGCTAATGGTGTTTGAGCATCTTTTCATGTGCTCATTAGCCATCATATATATTCCTTTTTTTTTTTTTTTTTTTTTTTTGAGATGGAGTTTCACTCTTATTTCCCAGGCTGGAGTGCAATGGCGCGATCTCAGCTCACTGTAACCTCCACCTCCCAGGTTCAAGTGATTCTCCTGCCTCAGCCTCCCTAGTAGCTGGGATTACAGGCATGTGCCACCATGCCTGGTTTTTGCATTTTTTTTTTTTTTTTAGTAGATCGGGGGTTTCTCCATGTTGGTCAGGCTGGTCTCGAACTCCCAATCTCAGGTGATCCGCCCAACTCGGCCTCCCAAAGTGCTGGGATTACAGGCATGAGCCACCGCACCTGGCCATATATTCCTTTTTGTTTGTTCTATTACTTGCCACTGACTTGAAGCTCACAAATGTATTATTTGGTAAAGTGTTGAAATATTTTTCCTCTTTTGAATTGGATTGTTTTCTTATCATTGAGATTTGAGAGTTTTTTTTTTTTTTTTGAGACAGAGTCTCGCTCTGTCACCTAGGCTGGAGTGCAGTGGCGCGATCTCAGCTGCCTCCCAGGTTCACGCCATTCTCCTGCCTCAGCCTCCCGAGTAGCTGGGACTACAGGCGCCCACCACCACGCCCGGCTAATTTTTTGTATTTTTAGTAGAGACGGGGTTTCACCGTGTTAGCCAGGATGGTCTCGATCTCCTGACCTTGTGATCCACCCGCCTCGGCCTCCCAAAGTGCTGGGATTACAGGCGTGAGCCACCGTGCCCGGCCGAGAGTTCTTTATATGATGTGAGTACAGATCCTTGATCAGATACTTGTTTTGCAAATATTTTCTCCCAATCTATGGCTTGTCTTTTCATTTTCATATCAGCGTCTTCTCAGAGTATGTTTTATTATTATTATTATATTATTATTATTATTATTATTATTATTATTAGAGATGAAGTCTCGCTCTGTCGCCCAGGCTGGAGTGTAGTGGTGCCATCTTGGCTTACTGCAACCTCCGCCTCCTGGGTTCAAGCGATTCTCCTGCCTCAACCTCCCGAGTAGCTGGGATTACAGGTGCCCGCCACCATGCCTGGCTAATTTTTGAATTATTAGTAGAGACGGGGTTTTGCCATGTGGGCCAGGCTGGTCTCGAACCCCTGACCTCAGGAGATCCACCTGCCTCGGCCTCCCAAAGTGCAGGGATTACAGGCGTGAGCCACTGTGACCAGCCTTGATTTTGCTTATGTTTTTCTTTCTCCTTATACCTTGACATTGTCCCATCTTGGAACTTTAAACAAATAAGTTTCTGGTTTTTTTAAATAGTTCCGTGGTATTTCATAACATAGGATATACAATAATTCTTGCTTAACCAGTTTCCTAGTGACTGATATTAATGTTCAATCTTTTGCCTATGTATATACAATGTAAACTTTAAACACAATGCCTTGTACATGCAGTACTTGGCATTGAACACACTTACCTCTAGGACAAATATCTGGACAAAGAATTGCTTGGTCAGAGTCTGTACATTTGTAATTTTGATATGTAATGGCTACATTTCCCTCTATAGAAATTGTGGAAGCTTGTTCTCTGAGCCGGGGGTGTGGTTAACACCTGAAATCCCAGCACTTTGGGAGGTCGAGGCAGGCGGATCACTTGAGGCCAGCAATAGGAGACCAGACTGGCCTACATGACCCCATATCTACTAAAAATACAAAAATTAGCTGGGCATGGTGGTGCGCGCCTGTGGTCCCAACTACTCGGAAGGCTGAGGCATGAGAATTGCTTGAACTGGGGAGGCAGAGGTTGTAGTGAGCCAAGATCGTACCAATGCACTCCAGTCTGGGCAACAGAGCGAGACCCTGTCTCAAAATAAAATGAAAAAAGAATTATTTGCAGTCAGGCACGGTGGCTCATGCCTGTAATCCCAGCACTTTGGGAGGCCAAGGCAAGTGGATAGCTTAAGCCCAGGAGTTCAAGACCAGCCTGGGCAACATGGCAAAATCCTATCTCTACAAAAAAAAAAAATTAGCCAGGCGTGGTCGTGCATGCCTGTAGTCCCAGCTACTTGGGAGGCTGAGGCAGGAGAATCGCTTGAACCCTGGAGGTGGAGGTTGCAGTGAGCCGAGATCACTCCATTGCACTCCAGCCTAGGCAACAAGAGCAAAACTCTGTCTCAAAAATAAAAAATAAAAGAAAAAACAGAAGAAAATACCAAGTGTGGCAAGGATGTTGAGAAAATGGGGCCCTTGTGCACTGTTGGTGAGCATGTAGAATGGTACAGCTGCTATGGAAAACAGTTTGGCAGTTCCTCAAAAAATTAAAGATAGAATTACCATATTAACTCAGCAGTTCCACTTCCAGGAATATGCCCAAAAGAACTAAATACTAGGTGGGGGCACTCTGACAGATATTTGTACACCAATGTTCATAGCCACATTATTTGCAATGACCAAAAGCTGAAACTATCCAAATATCTGCCGTTCATGAATGAATGGATAAACAAATTATGCTATATTCATACAATGGAATATTATTCAGCTGTAAAAAGGAAGGAAATTCGTCCGGGTGCAGTGGCTCATGCCTGTAATCCCAGCACTCTGGGAGGCCGAGGCGGGCGGATCACCTGAGGTCAGGAGTTCAAGACCAGCCTGGCCAAAATGGCCAAACCCCGTCTCTACTAAAAATACAAAAATTAGCCGGGCCTGGTGGTGCGCGCCTGTAGTCCCAGCTGCTTGGGAAGCTGAGGCATGAGAATGGCTGGAACCCAGGAGGCGGAGGTTGCAGTGAGTGGAGATTGCGCCACTGCACTCCAGCCTGGGCGACAGAGCCAGACTGTCTCAAACAAACAAACAAAAGGCCAGGCACAGTGGCTTACGCCTGTAATCCCAGCACTTTGGGAGGCTGAGGCAGGCAGATCACGAGGTGAAGAGATTGAGATCATCCTGACCAACATGGTGAAACCCTGTCTCTACTAAAAATACAAAAATTAGCTGGGCATGCTGGCGTGCGCCTGTAGTCACAGCTATTCGGGAAGCTGAGGCAGGAGAATCACTTGAACCCGGGAGGTGGAGGTTGCAGTGAGCTGAGATCGCGCCACTGCACTCCAGCCTGGAAACACAGCAAGACTCCGTCTCAAACAAACAAAAAACACCACACACAGGAATAGCTAAAATAGGGTGCAGCCACTTCCTCTAGGGCTGAAGCCAAACTCCCAAGAAAGAAAGAAATTGGGAAGAAGGACTTCCCTGCCCAACCGGCTCCCCACACAAGATTAGAGTTTCGCTGCAGAGGTATGGTCATGACCCACTGGGTGACTGAGAAGTTCACTGAAGTGCAACAGGCCACTGAAATTTGCTAGGGGGAGGGGTAAACGTCACTGCGTGTCTAGTGCAGGGCTGGCCCCTGTCCATCACAAGATCCCGCTAAGAGGAGCTCGTGAGAATCAGGAAGAGCCCCATCCTCATTCAGTGTTCCTCCAGCGCCCTCTGCTGACAAGGTTTAACACTGAGCTAGCTGGCAGAGGAGAAATGTTTACAGGGTCCAGCTCCAATATCACAAAAACGGCAGAGAGGCATGAAGTTGGAGCCACCAGCCTGTAAACTGATAACTGGTACAAGGTGGTTGTTAGAATGAAATCCAGTGAATGGATTGGATGTGGTGGCTTACGCCTGTAATCCCAGCACTTTGGGAGGCCAAGGCAGGAGGATCGCTAGAGGCCAGGAGCTCCAGACCAGCCTGGGCAACACAGTGAGACCCCATCTCTACAAAAATTTTAAAAATTAGGTGGGCGCAGGCTGGGCATGGTGGCTCATGCCTATAATCCCAGCACTTTGGGAGGCCAAGGCAGGTGGATCACCTGAGGTCAGGAGTTTGAGACCAACCTGGCCAACATGGCAAAACCCCATCTCTACTAAAAATACAAAAACTAGCCAGGCGTGGTGGCACACTTCTAGTCCCAGCTACTTGGGAGGCTGAGGCAGGAGAATTGCTTGAATCCAGGAGGCAGAGGTTTCAGTGAGCCGAGATAGAGCCACTGCACTCCAGCCTGGGCAACAGAGTGAGACTCCTTCTCAAAAAAAAAAAAAAAAAAAAAAAAGCTGGGTACATGTGGTCTAGCTACTCCAGAGGCTGAGGTGGGAGGATCACTTGAGCCTGGGAGTTGGAGGCTGAAGCTGAAGTAAGCTGTGACTGCAACAGTGCACACCAGCCCAGGTCACAGAGCGGAATCCTGTCTCAAAAAGAATTAAATGCAATGAATACTAACAGAAAGTAATTTTGAACGTAATTGTTTCTCTTCTGAACAGCCTGTGGTCTCCTGAAATTCAAAACTGTGAATTGGGTCCTTGATGAGGTCCCTTTCCACTAGGTAACATTCTGTGGCTCCCCACAGAAATAAAGAGGTGAACCTCAGCCGGGCGCAGTGGCTTACTCCTGTAATCCCAGCACTTTGGGAGGCTGAGGCAGGTGGATCACTGGAGGTCAAGAGTTCGAGACCAGCCTGGCTAACATGGTGAAATCCCATCTCTACTAAAAATACCAAAAATTAGCCAGGCGTGGTGGTGCATGCCTGTAACCCCAGCTACTAGGGAGGCTGAGGCAGGAGAATCACTTGAAACCGGGAGGCGGAGGTTGCAGTGAGCCAAGATCGCGCCATTGCACTCCAGCTTGGGCAACAAGAGCAAAACTCCGTCTCAAAAAGAAAAAAAGTGGGGGTAGGGGGGAGGGATAGCATTAGGAGATATACCTAATGTTAAATGATGAGTTAATGGGTGCAGCACACCAACATGGCACATGTATACATATGTAACTAACCTGCACGTTGTGCACATGTACCCTAAAACTTAAAGTATAATAAAAAAAGGGGTGACCCTCAAAAGTGGGCAGTGAAAAGTGAAAAGAGCAGAGATTTTTATGTCCAGACACCTGGGTTCAATTCCAGCTTTCTCCATGTATTAAAGGAGTGCCTGCTGGGCATGATGCCTCTGCTCCCAGCACCTTGGGAGGCTGAGGCAGGAGGATTGCTTGAGCCCAGGAGTTCAAGACCAGCCTGGGCAACATAGTGGGACCGTATGTCTTCTAAAAATAAAAATAAGAAATTAGCCAGGTGTGGTTGTGTGCACCTGTGGTCTCAGCTACTCGGGAGGCTGAGGCAGGAGGATCTCTTAAGCCCGGGATTTCAAGGCTGCAGTGAGCTGTGATCACACCACTGCACTCCAGCCTGGGTGACAGAGCAAGATTCTGTCCCCAAAAAAATAAATAAGTAAAGCAATTCTGGCTGTACTAATAGATCAGCCTCAGAATTTCAGCGGCTGAAGCCAAGTTTGTTTCTTTTTCCTATAAACTGTAGTTGGTGCAGGAAGGGTGGAAGGAAGTTGGTGGGGGGATATCCATGCATTCCCAGACATTTGGTTCCTTCCATCTTATGGCTCTGCCATCCCCGGGAGTCCCAGATTCTCCCCTGGAGTCTCTGTATCCAGAAGCAGAGAGGGAGTGGAGAGTCACGTGGCGTGCGTTTATGGGCCAGGCCTGGAAATAGCCGCACATCACATCGCCGCCACCTATACTTCCTTGGCCAGACCCAGTCTCTTGGCCCCACACATAGCAGCAGGGGAGAAGAGAAAAGGTCATCACGCCATATTCCCAGCAGAAAAATGAAATGGGGTTGGGTGGACAGCTCACCAGTCTCTGCCCTGCACCACTTTCCTAGCTTTGTCCCCTTGGACGAGCGACATGGTTTCTGTAAGGCTCAGTTTCTGGCTCCGAAAATGAGGTTAAGCAACCTTGCCTTCTCTGCCAGCTGTAAGGAATCAGTGTGATAAAATAGGTGGTAAATTGCTCAATAAATGCTGTCAGGCAGGGCGTGGTGGCTCACAGCTGTAATCCCAGCAGTTTGGGAGGCCGAGGTGGGCAGAGCACCTGAGGTCAGGAGTTCGAGACCAGCCTGGCCAACATGGGGAGACCTCGTCTCTACTAAAAATACAAAATTAGCCAGGCGTGGTGGTGGGCGCTTGTAATGCTAGCTACTCGGCTGAGGCTGAGGCAGGAGAATTGCTTGAGCCTGGGAGGTGGAGGTTGCAGTGAGCCGAGATCGCGCCATTGCACTCCAGCGTGGGCAACAGAGTAAGACTCTGTCTTAAAAAAAAATAATAAAAGGTGGCAAATTGCTCAATAAGTGCTGTTGTGATTATTCTGATGATATCTCCCTCTTCAGCCCTCCCACACCCAATTAATCTGCTCGATTTCTCCCAACAGGCACGACCTGGATGATCGAGATCATCTGCTTAATCCTGAAGGAAGGGGATCCATCCTGGATCCGCTCCGTGCCCATCTGGGAGCGGGCACCCTGGTGTGAGACCATTGTGGGTGCCTTCAGCCTCCCGGACCAGTACAGCCCCCGCCTCATGAGCTCCCATCTTCCCATCCAGATCTTCACCAAGGCCTTCTTCAGCTCCAAGGCCAAGGTTGGGAGGAGGGGTGTGTGTCAGTTGGGAGGGGCTGCATGGGTGTATGGGGTAATGGGGGGACGGAGCATAACTCATTGATTCATTCAGCACCTATTTGTTAAACACCTACTATGTGCCTGACTCTGATCTAGCACAGTGGTCAATATACACACAGAAATGCCTGCCCTTTGGCAGGGAGTGATGGCTCATGCCTGTAGTCCCAGCACTTTGGGAGGCTGAGGCGGGAGGATCACTTTGGGCCAGGAGTTTGAGACCAGCTTGGGCAACATAGTCAGACCACATCATTACAAGAAATTTTAAAAATCAGTCAGACGTGGTGGCACACACTTGTAGTCCCAGCTACTTGGAATGCTGAGGTGGGAGGATCACTTGAGCCCAGCAGGTCAAGGCTGCACTGAGCTGAAATCACCTTACTGCACTCCATCCTAGGCAACAGGGCAAGACTGTCTCAAAAAAAAAAAAAAAAAAAAAAAAAAAAAAAAAGCCGGTGCTGGCATGGTGGCTCACGCCTGTAATCCCAGCACTTTGGGAGGCAGAGGCAGGCAGATCACTTGAGGCCAGGAGTTCAATACCAGCTTGGCCAACATGGTGAAACCATGTCTCTACTAAAAATACAAAAATTAGTCGGATCTGGTGGTGGGTGCCTGTAATCCCAGCTACTCAGGAGGCTAAGGCAGGAGAATTGCTGGAACCTGGGAGGTGGAGGTTGCAGTGAGCTGAGATGGCACCACTGCACTCCAGCCTGGGAGACAGACCAAGATTTCATCTCAAAAAAAAAAAAAAAAATTACAGCCAGGCGCAGTGGCTCACGTTTGTACTCCCAGCACTTTGGGAAGCCAAGGTGGGCAGATCACCTGAGGTCAGGAGTTTGAGACCATCCTGACCAACATGGAGAAAACCTGTCTCTACTAAAAATACAAAGTTAGCTGGGCGTGGTGGCACATGCCTGTAATCCCAGCTACTTGGGAGGCTGAGGCAGGAGAATCGCTTGAACCCAGGAGGCGGAGGTTGTGGTGAGCCGAGATCGCGCCATTGCACTCCAGCCTGGGCAACAAAAGCAAAACTCCGTCTCAAAAAAAAAACCCCCATATATTATACTACATATTATAATAATTTAATAGTATTACAATATACTTTAATTATATTTAATATTTATATGTTTAACATATAATAACATAATGCAATATAATATAATACATAAAATGTCTGATGGGATAAATTTACATTGGGGGGAGAGGGCTGGAGATAGAGTTAGAGGTGGGTGTGGGGCTGCAATTATAAATAAGGAGGTCAAGGGGGCCCCCAGTGAGTAAAAACCCGGGAGGTGATGGTGGGAGCCACAGAGGTTTCTAGAGGAAGAGCATTTCAGGCAAGAGGGAAAAGCAGGTGCAAAGGCCCTGAGGTGGGTGTATCTGAGGTGCAAGAGGGAGGTCGGTGTGGCCGGAGCCAAGTGAGCAAGTGGGGAAAGGAGTGGAGATGAGGTCCGGGTGGGGAGGCAACAGGGGCCAAAATGTGCAGGGCCGCGTGGGCCCGGTGCGGACTTGAGCTCTGACCGAGTGACGAGGCAGCGCGGCAGGGATCGCAGCAGAGGAGGAGCCCGAGCGGGCTTAGGCTTCACCGGCGCCCTCTGGCGGTCAGATGGGGACCGACTGTCGAGAGAGCAGAAGCCGGGAAGCCCGAGAGGCGGCGCTGGCCGGGGTCCAGGGGAGGGGACGGTGGCTGGACTAGGGTGATGGTCACGGAGGTATTTTGAAGGTGAGACCGGGAGGATTTGCTGACAGACTGGATGTGGGTGTGAGAGAAGGGGATGAGTCAAGGGTGACTCCAAGGTTTCGGCGGAAGCAACTGTCAGGGTGGGGCAACTGGGAAGGGGAGGAGGGAGGGGAGCAGGCGGGGGAGGAAGACACGGGCTCTGCGGCGGCCCATCCCACGTCCAGCAGAGGCTGCCGGTGGGCACAGAAATGCACCCATCGGGATCTGAGGGGAGAGACTTGGGCTGACACGTCCATTTGCAATTCCTTGGCACATATATTCTGTAATTAATCGAAGCTCCAGGACTGGGTGATATCGCCAAGGAATTGAGCGTGGACAGAGCAGAGAGGGGGGGCTGCAATCAGGAAGTCCCCAAGACCACCCTCAGGCTCAACGACTTAGCAAAACTCATAGTGTTCAGCAAAGCTGCTGGACTCCCGGGTTATAGTCAATTACAATGAAAGCAAACGTGAAAATCAGGCAAGGGGGCCGGGCGCGGTGGCTCACGCCTGAAATCCCAGCACTTTCAGAGGCCAAGGTGAGCAGTTGATTGAGCCCAGGAGTTCAAGACCAGCTGGGCAACTTAGAAACACCCATCTCTACAAAAAAGTTTAAAAATTCGTCACGTGTAGTGGCATACACCTGTAGTCCCAGCTACTTGGGAGGCTGAGGTAGGAAGATCACTTGAGCCTGGGAGTTTCAGGCTGCAGTGAGCCATGATTGTGCCACAGGCACTCCAGCCTCAAGGACAGAACAAGACCTTGTTTCTTTTCTTTTTTCTTTTTCTTTCTTTTTTCTTTTTTTGAGACAGAGTTTCCCTCTTGTTGCCCAGGCTGGAGTGCAATGGCACGATCTTGGCTCACTGCAACCTCTGCCCCTCTGCCTCCAGGGTTCAAGCGATTCTCTTGCCTCAGCCTCCCAAATAGCTGGGATTACAGGCGCCCACCACCATGCCCAGCTAATTTTTTGTATTTTCAGTAGAGACGGGGTTTCACCATGTTGACCAGGCTGGTCTCGAACACCTGACCTCAGGTGATCCACCCGCCTTAGCCTCCCAAAGTGTTGGGATTACAGGTGTGAGCCACAGTGCCTGGCCGACAAGACCTTGTTTCTAAAAAATAAGACTAGGCTGGGCATGGTGGCTCATGCCTGTAATCCCAGCACTTGGGGAGGCCGAAGCAGATGGATCACTTGAGGCCGGGAGTTTGAGACCAGCCTGGCCAACATGGTGAAAACCCGTCTCTACTAAAAATACAAAAATTAGCCAGGCATGGTGGCACCCACCTGTAGTCCCAGCTACTCGGGAGGCTGAGGCAGGAGAATTGCTTGAACCTGGGAGGCAGAGGTTGCAGTGAGCTGAGATCGTGCCACTGCACTCCAGCCTGGGAGACACAGCGAGACTTCGTCTAAAACAAAACAAAACAAAACAAAAAAATCCAAGGGATTAGGAAATACCTCTCAGGACCTAGGGGCAAGGGCCAGGCCTTTCTCTGGGCAGAAAGGAATCCTCTACAGCACAGGAATCAGGAAGGAGCCCTGGAAAGCACCAATGTTATTACAAGACCTCACACCAGCAGCCACGTTTCTCTAAGTCTGTTTTCATTTAGTTTTTGGTGGATCTGGGGGTGTTTTGTTTTGTTTTTTGGTTTATTTGTTTTTGAGGCAGGGTCTCGTTCTGTCATGTAGGCTGGAGTGCAGTGGTGTGATCACAGCTCACTGCAGCCTCGACCTCCCGGGCTCAAGTGATCCTCCTGCCTTAGCCTCCCGAGTAGCTGGGACCACGGGCACGCACCACCACATCAGCTAATTTTTGTATTCTTTGTAGAATGGGGGTCTCATTATGTTGTCCAGGCTGGTCTCAAACTCCTGGGTTCAAGTTATCCTCCTGTCTCGTCCTCCCAAAGTGCTGGGATTACAGACATGAGCCACCGCAGCTGGCCAAGTGTTCTTTCTCAGCCTCCCTCCCTTTATGCCTTTGTCATTCCCTCAAGCAATTTCCAGAACCTCCTGTGTGTGGGGCTCTGGGCTAAGGCTCTAGGAACGTGTAAGACCTTGCCTGTCCTCAAGGGGTTCCTCAATCTGTGAGTAACCAACATGGTAAAACCCCATCTCTACTAAACATACAAAAATTATCCTGATGTGGTGGCACGCTCCTGTAGTCCCAGCTACTCAGGAGGCTGACACAGGAGAATCGCCTGAACCCAGGAGGCAGAGGTTGCAATGAGCTGAGATGGCGCCACTGCACTCCAGCCTGGGCGAAACAGAGTCAGACTCCATCGCAAAAAAAAAAGAGTCTGCCCTGAGTCCTTCCTGCTTCAGGGTCAGAAGAGAGGGGTCTCCAGGGCAGGAGGCCTCAGGGGCTGGGGTCTTGCCTGTGTCTGACGCCTTCTCCCCTCTCCTCACCATCCGCACACAGGTGATCTACATGGGCCGCAACCCCCGGGACGTTGTGGTCTCCCTCTATCATTACTCCAAGATCGCCGGGCAGTTAAAGGACCCGGGCACACCCGACCAGTTCCTGAGGGACTTCCTCAAAGGCGAAGGTGGGGACAGGGTAAAGCGGGGCAGGAGGGGTGGGGAGGAGCCCCAGAGGACCCTGATGGGCAGAGGGACAGAGGAGGGGTAAGAAAGGGAGAGAGACAGAGACACAGGGCATCAAAAGGGGCAATAGAGACAGAGAGCAGGTGGCCAGGAGAAGAGACGGAGGGAGAGAGGCTGAGAGACCGAAAGACACAGGACAGGCAAAGGACAGAGGAGACAGAGACAGGGAGAGACACAGATACAAAAAGACTGAGAGAGAGGGCAACAAAAGAGACAGGGGCCCGGCATGGTGGCTCATGCGTGTAATCCCAGCACTTTGGGAGGCTGAGGCAGGCGGATCACAAGGTCAGGAGATTGAGACCATCCTGGCTAACATGGTGAAACCCCGTCTCTACTAAAAATACAAAAAATTAGCCGGGTGTGGTGGCGGTGCCTGTAGTCCCAGCTACTTGGGAGGCTGAGACAGGAGAATGGCTTGAACTTGGGAGGTGGAGCTTGCAGTGAGCCAAGATCGTGCCACTGCACTCCAGCCTGGGCGACAGAGTGAGACTCCGTCTCAAAAAAAATAAAAAATAAAAAGAGATAAGGAAATAAATGCAGAAAGAGAGATGGAGTCAGAGAGAGACAGGGAGAGACAAGGAAACAGGAGGAGACAGGCCCCTGGTACTAAGAAAGGCAGCGCCCTTTGGCCACGTGTTCCTTTCTCTGCTGCTGTCAGAGACCCTGGCTTTGGAGGGAAATCCAGGTGTGTGGAGGCGGACTGGATGGACAGATAGACAAAGGCCCCCCAAGATGGGCAACCAGGGGAGAAGCAGGTTGGAAGAGCCCCAGAACTTGGTGGAAATGTGGGGGCTCTGGGGGAGGGCATCCAGCTCTGGGGGCTGGACCTGGGGGTTTGTGGGGCACAGCTAGTTAGACCCATGAGCCCCAGTGGGGCTGGGGGAACCCCGCCACTCAGCCCTCACCCCACTTGTCCCTCTGCCCACAGTGCAGTTTGGCTCCTGGTTCGACCACATTAAGGGCTGGCTTCGGATGAAGGGCAAAGACAACTTCCTATTTATCACCTACGAGGAGCTGCAGCAGGTGAGTCCCCACCTCCTCCAGGTGCAGCGTCCCCCCCATACCCTCTGCTCACACCCCACACTCTCCCCTTCCCGAGGGTCTCAGGACCCCTCCGCTTCCCCATGCAATGCGCCAGCCCCTGGGGATACTGCAGGAACAGAACAGAGGCCCTGAGCCTGTGAGCAAGACCACAGACAAAATCCCTAAACCACACAGCAGGCTGGCGGGGCAGAGGAGCTGAGGAGCAAAGGCGAGTGGGAAGGAAGATAAGGAATGGTCAGGGGCGAGATTTAACCCAGGAGGGTTGGCCGGACACAGTGGTAGTGGCTCACACCTGTAATCCTAATGCTTTGGGAGCCTGAGGCGGGAGGACCCCTTGAGCCCAAGAGGTCAAGGCCACAATGAGCTATGATGGTGCCACTGTACTCCGGCCTGGGCAGCAGAGCAAAACCCTGTCTCAAAAGAGAGAGAGAAGGCCAGGTGTGGTGGTTCACACCTGTAATCCCAGCACTTTGGGAGCCCAAGGCAGGTGGATCACTTCAGGTCAGGAGTTCAAGACCAGCCTGGCCAACATGGTGAAACCCCATCTCTACTAAAAATACAAAAATTAGCCGGGCACAGTGGCACATGCCTGTAGTCCCAGCTGCTCAGGAGGCTAAGGCAGGAGAATGGCTTGAACCTGGGAGGTGGAGGTTGCAGTGGGCTGAGATCACACCACTGCACTCCAGCCTGGGCGACAGAGCAAGACCTTGTTCCAAAAAATAGAAAGAAAAAAGATTGAACCACATGAAATGCCTGCATTCAACCAGTTTTTATTTATTTTTATTTATTTTATTTAATTAATTTATTTATTTTTGAGACAGAGTTTCGCTCTTGTGGCCCAGGATGGAGTGCAATGGCATGATCTCGGCTCACCGCAACCTCCAACTCCCACGTTCAAGCAATTCTCCTGCCTCAGCCTCCCAAGCAGCTGGGATTACAGGCATGCGCCACCACGCCCGGCTAATTTTGCATTTTTAGTAGAGACGGGGTTTCTCCATGTTGGTCAGGCTGGTCTTGAACTCCTGACCTCAGGTGATCCACCCACCTCGGCCTCCCAAAGTTTTTATATTTGGACCAGTTATATATTTATATAACTGGTCGGCCCCGCCAACTAGTTTTTATTTTAAGATGGTAATTTTGGCTGGGCACGGTGGCTCACGCCTGTAATCCCAACACTTTGGGAGGCCGAGGTAGGCAGATCACCTGAGCTCAGGAGTTCCAGACCAGCCTTGCCAACATGGTGAAACCCCGTCTCTGCTAAAAATACAAAAAAATTAGGCGGCCATGGTGGCGGGCGCCTGTAGCCCCAGCTACTCGGGAGGCTGAGGCAGGAGAATCGCTTGAACCTGGGAGCTGGAGGTTGCGGTGAGCCAAGATCGCACCATTGCACTCCAGCTGGGTTATAGAGCAAGACTCTGTCTCCAGAAAAACAAAAACAAAAACAAAAAGGTAATTTTATATGGTTTTCCCAAATGTTGTTATTATCCCTATTTTATCGACGAGGAAACTGGAGGTTTGTAACTTAAGAGAGGGTTGATAATTTGCCCAGGGCACATGGCTCTTGCCTGCAGACTCCATGTTTATTTTTTCCCAACCTGGTAACTTTCTTTTAATGGAAAGCTCCAGAAGAGGTGTCGGTGCTACTCCTCCCCCTCTTTTCCAGCAAGCATTCTTCTCCAAACCCAGAACTGGGCCACAGAGCCTAACAGCTTCTGGGCTGCCCCTGGGTGTGAGGCGCCGCCCACATGTTAGAATTTCTGGGACACGTCAGTGGTTCAAGAAGGTAAAGAGAAGGAAGGTTATGAAACCAGGAGTGACCTGGAAAATCGGAGCCATGGGGTTGGCGGAGCTGACCAGAGGGCTGACCATGCTGGGTGCTGCATATCAGAAGGTAGTGATGGCCGGGCATGGTGGCTCATGCCTGTAATCCCAGCACTTTGGGAGGCCGAGGCAGGCAGATCACTTGAGGTCAGGAGTTCGAGATCAGCCTGGCCAACGTGGTGAAATCCTGTCTCTATTAAAAATACAAAAATTAGCCAGGCATGGTGGTGCATGCCTATAATCCCAGCAGCTACTTTGGAGGCTGAGGCAGGAGAATCACTGGAACCCAGGAGGTGGAGGTTGCAGTAAGCTGAGATAGCACCACTGCACTCCAGCCTGGGTGACAGAGCCAGGCTTAGTCTCATTGTAATCCCAGCACTTTGGGAGGCCGAAGTGAGCAGATCACCCGAGGGTGGGAGTTCGAGACTACCCTGACCAACATGGAGAAACCCTGTCTTTACTAAAAATACAAAATTAGCCAGGCGTGGTGGCACATGCCTGTAATCCCAGCTACTCGGGAAGCTGAGGCAGGAGAATCGCTTGAACCCGGGAGGCAGAGGTTGCGGTGAGACGAGATCATGCCATTGCACTCCAGCCTGGACAAAAAGAGCGAAACTCCGTCTAAAAAAAAAAAGGCAGAGGGGCACAGGGGAGGACTAAGGGCTCCAGGGACCTGAGCTCCTCTCTGGCTGTGTGGCCTTGGACAAGTGTCTCTCCCTCTCTGGGCCTCTGTTTACCAATTGAGATAATGACACTTCCCTTGCAAAGCTGATGGTGGGATCGGCACAAATGTATGGGGGGCTTGGATCAGAGCTTGGTACATAGTAGACACTCAGAAAGGAAGGTGATATTTGAGCTGCAGCCGTGGCAATGGGCCCTTCTGGAAGCCCCATGCCAAGGCCCAGAGGGAGGAATGTGTAGGGAATGGTGAGTCCCAGAAGGAGAGGGTGGGAAAGGTATTGGAAGAGCTGTGACCAGACCACATCTGTTTTTTGGGTTTTTTTTTGTTGTTTTTTTTTTTTTTTTTGAGATGGAGTCTCACTCTGCCACCCAGGCTGTAGTATAGTGGTGAGATCTCGGCTCACTGCAAACTCCACCTCCCAGTTCAAACGATTCTCCTGCCTCAGTCTCCCGAGCACCTGGGATTACAGGTGCCCGCCACCACACCCAGCTAATTTTTGTATTGTTAGTAGAAACAGGGTTTTACCATGTTGGCCAGACTGGTCTCGAACTCCCGACACCTGTCTCAGCCTCCCAAAGTGCTGGGATTACAGACATGAGCCACTGCACCTGCCCCACATCTGTGCTTGAAAGCCGGGTCTGGGTCTGGGACTGTGTCCCAGGGCACTCGGGAGCCACGGAAGAGTTGGGAGCCAGTGAGGAGCAGGGTCAGCTGGGGTGTGGGGGATGAGCTGGAGGGGGATGGAGACTGGAGGCAGGAAGGCTGTGGAGCAGCCGGCTGCTGAGGCATGGATCCAGGAAGGGGAGGATGAGGCCTAAGCAGTTCTAGGCTACAGGGACACAGAGGAGGGGATATGGCAAGGGGAGGCAGGTGGGGAGGGACAGGGCTCATGATGGACAGGTTTTGGGGGTGAGGGGTACCCAGAGAGGGAGGCCAGGCTCCTGGGTGGATGGTGGGGCCATCCTGCAATGGGGGCCTGGGGGAGGAGCAGGTTTGAGATGTAGACCAGCCAATGCCTGTCTCTAACCTGAAGGAGG
Source organism: Homo sapiens (assembly GCF_000001405.40). NCBI lineage: Eukaryota > Metazoa > Chordata > Mammalia > Primates > Hominidae > Homo > Homo sapiens. The sequence goes on from NC_000019.10 coordinate 48,596,378, forward strand.
GTGATTCCAGGTAAGGTGATGCACTGACCTCTGCCCCCGGATGTGACCTCTGCCCCCCACTGTGACCTCTGCCCCCGGCTGTGACCTCTGCCCCCTGCTGTGACCTCTGCCCCCTGCTGTGACCTCTGCCCCAAGCCCACCTATTCCCTCCCACCTAGAGAACCCTCCAAAGACAGAAACTGCAAAAACCCTTAGAGGCGATATAGCCCAACCCCTCAGTTTGGAGTTGGGGAAACTGAGGCAAAGAGGCAGCGTCCCTCAGGCAGCCCCAGGTTAGGACCCAGACATGCGGATCCCAGGTTCCACGCTCCTTCCTTGGCCGAGTGCCCTCCCTCCGCTGACCCCTCTCCCCTGCCTGCAGGACTTACAGGGCTCCGTGGAGCGCATCTGTGGGTTCCTGGGCCGTCCGCTGGGCAAGGAGGCACTGGGCTCCGTCGTGGCACACTCAACCTTCAGCGCCATGAAGGCCAACACCATGTCCAACTACACGCTGCTGCCTCCCAGCCTGCTGGACCACCGTCGCGGGGCCTTCCTCCGGAAAGGTGCGGGGGTTCTGGGGTTCAGAGCCCACTAGGCCACTGCCCGGCTGTGTGACCTGGGAGAGTTACTTAACCTCTCTGGGCCTCAGTTTCTCACCCAGCTGTAACATTGGGTGAACAGGGTCACTGTGGCCCCAGGGTTGATCACGCACGGGGCTTAGCACTGACTCAGCACACGTGCCAGCCACCCGAGGCGTCCCCATCCAGAGAACTCCCAACGACAGCAAAACATCCAGGAGTACTGCCAACGCCAGGTTTACCCGAGAGAGATTTAGAGTCTTCATGAGTCCTCCTCGACGGCCATGTTCACGGCAGAAATACTCAAGCCCTGGGTTACGGGGCGCAGGCGGTAGCATAGTTGTTTCCTCTTCCTGCTGTAACAAAAACACCGCAAACTCCATGACTCAAAACACGTTTACTCTTTTTTTTTTTTTTTTTTTTGAAAGAGTCTCGCTCTGTCGCCCAGGCTGGCTGGAGGTTGCAGTGGCGCGATCTCGGCTCACTGCGACCTCCACCTCCCAGGTTCAAGTGATTCTCCTTCCTCAGCATCCTTAAGTAGCTGAGACTACAGGCACCTGAAACCATGTCAGGTTAATTTTTGTATTTTTAGTAGAGATGGAGTTTCACCATGTTGGTCAGGATGGTCTCAATCTCCTGACCTTGTGATCCACCCGCCTCGGCCTCCCAAAGTGCTGGGATTACAGGCGTGAGCCACCGCGCCCGGCCTTTTCTTTTTTCTTTTTTGAGACGGAGTTTCACTCTTGTTGCCCAGGCTGGAGTGCAATGGCGCGATCTCGGCTCACTGCAACCTCCGCCTCCCAGGTTCAAGCAATTCTCCTGCCTCAGCCTCCCAAGTAGCTGTGACTATAGGCACCCACCACCACGCCTGGCTAATTTTTTGTATTTCTAGTAGAGACAGGTTTTCACCGTGTTAGCCAGGATGGTCTCGATCTCCTGACCACCCGCCTCTTCCTCCCAAAGTGCTGGGATTATAGGTGTGAGCCACTGCGCCCGGCCAAGTGAAGCATCTTCTAATCTCTGACCCTCCTCCCTTCTATAGGGACCCAGGTGATGACACTGAGCCCACCCAGATACTTCAGGGTCCTCTCCCCATCTCCAGATCTTTAGCTTAATCCTATCTGCAAAATCCCTTTTGCCACATAAGGTCACATATTCACAGGTTCCAAGGATTAGGACGTGGATATGGAGGGAGTCTTTATTCAGCCCACCCCAGGGAACCCCTCCCCACAACCTCATTAAGGGTGCTGGGTAACATGGGGCACGTGCACTTGCCAAAAGGCAAACTACGGTCCTCTGAATGCCATGAGCCCCAGGTTTCCAGGTGAGGGGTGATGCCCCTGTGATAGCCCCACAATGAGAAAACTGAGGCTTGGGAGGGGTGCCGTGGCTCACACCTGTAATCCCAGCACTTTGGGAGGCCGAGGCAGGTGGACCACCTGAGGTCAGGAGTTTGAGACCAGCCTGGCCAACATGGTTAAACGCCATCTCTACTAAAAATATAAAAATTAGCCGGGCGTGGTGGTGCGTGCCTGTAATCCCAGTTACTCGGGAGGCTGAGGCAGGAGAATCGCTTGAATCGGAGGTTGCAGTGAGCCGTGATCACACCACTGCACTCCAGCCTGGGCGACAGAGCGAGACTCCATCTCAAAAAGAAAAAAAATGGAAAACTGAGGCTTGGAGGGTTCCTGAGGCTCGCTTGCTGCGCCAATCAGCAAATTGTTTGCAAGCCCTGAGCACAGAGCCTGCAGAAGGGGGTCCCTTCCATGTCCAAGCAGTAATGGCTGCAGCATGGAGCGTTGTGGGGGCATTGAGACAGGAGGCCTTGTTCTAGCAGGGGAGGTTTGGGACTGGTCGCAGAGGAGGTGACACAAGCTGTAAGGTGGGCAGGAATTCAGGGTTGGAGGCAGAGGTTCTGGGCAGAGACTTAAAGGGTCCGGGATAAAGGGGAGGACTGGCAGGAATCCTGCAGTAGCAGAGGCAGTGAGGGCGGAGGTGAGAACGGCGCCAGGTGACAGGCCAAGACTCTGCCACCATAGGACACAAAGGGGGCAATGTGGAGGGTAGGGAGGACGGTGTTTCTGGCAAAGGGAACACCTCGCCAAAGGCCGGGAAGGGGAAGGAGGTTGCTGGAATGTTGGAGGTAGGGGCGCAGTGCTCCCCAGAGGCTCCTCACCCCCTGGTGCCCCCTCTTCTCCAGGGGTCTGCGGCGACTGGAAGAACCACTTCACGGTGGCCCAGAGCGAAGCCTTCGATCGTGCCTACCGCAAGCAGATGCGGGGGATGCCGACCTTCCCCTGGGATGAAGACCCGGAGGAGGACGGCAGCCCAGATCCTGAGCCCAGCCCTGAGCCTGAGCCCAAGCCCAGCCTTGAGCCCAACACCAGCCTGGAGCGTGAGCCCAGACCCAACTCCAGCCCCAGCCCCAGCCCCGGCCAGGCCTCTGAGACCCCGCACCCACGACCCTCATAATAAACACGTCGATTCTGTCCAGGTTCCTTGATGCGCTGTGGCAGGGCAGGCAGCGGGGCGTGGAGAATCCTCACCACACCAAGGCTTCCAGAGGCCGGGGTCCCCGACTCAGAGTCCCGCCCAGAGGCAAAGGTGCTGCAGGAACCCAGCGCTGGGCATCTCACTTCCCGGGGTGGGGGCCTGACTCCCCAGTCTGAGGGAGGAGGGGGCTGGGGGCCTGGACTCCTGGGTCTGAGGGAGGAGGGGCTGGGAGTCTGGACTGCCGGGTCTGAGGGAGGAGAGGGCTGGGGGTCTGGACTCCCGGGTTTGAGGAAGGAGGGGCTGGGAGGCTGCACTCCCGGGTCTGAGGGAGGAGGGTCTGGAGGCTTGGACCCCTCAGTCTGAGGGAGGAGGGGTTGGGGGCCTGGACTCCCGGGTCTGAGGGAGTAGTATCTGGGGGCCTGGAGTCTCGAGTCTGAGGGAGGAGGAGCTGGGGGCCTGGACCCCTGGGTCTGAGGGAGGAGGGGGCTGGGTTGTGGACTCTTGGATTCAGAGCCAGTCTTTAGTAACGCACGTTTTTGGCATAAAGTGGTTTTATTCCGAGCAGAGGTAAACGGGAGCTCCGGCAGACCCGCCCTCTCAGCGCCCACAGAAAGTCCCACCACCCACCCTGTTCCCCTGTGGCTGTACCACATTCCACTCCCTCAGTATTCAGCTCCTTGCCTCAGTTTCCCCACAGCTCCTGAACACAGTGTGCCTGGCAGCGACTCCCCATCTTCCCCTCCACAGCTCTAGCAGCTCTAGCTCGGGGCCTCACCCGGGCCCCTCATCAGGAAGGCCTGACCCTCGGGAGCTGTGTGTGTCTTCTTTAGGATCCGCTGCCTGGGGACGCTGCCAGCCCATCTTCTGGGTTGTGACACTGAGGTCTGGTGCAGGCAATGGGCTTGCCCAAGTCCTTTTTTTTGTTTGAGATGAAATCTCGCTCTGTCACCCAGGCTGGAGTGCAGTGGCGTGATCTCAGCTCACTGCAACCTCCGCCTCCCGGGTTCAAGCAATTCTCCCGTCTCAGCCTCCTAAGTAGCTGGGATTACAGGCGCCCGCCACCACACCTGGCTAATTTTTGTATTTGGTAGAGATGGGGTTTCACCATGTTGGTCAGGTTGGTCTTGAACTCCTGACCTCAGGTGATCCACATGCCTCAGCCTCCCAAAGTGCTGGGATTACAGGAGTGAGCCACCTCGATCAGCCTTTCTTTTTCTTTTTTCTTTTTTTTTTTTTTTTAAAGAGATGGCCTCTCACTGTGTTGCCCAGGCTGGAGTGCAAGGGCATGATCTTGGCTCACTGCTGCCTCCACCTCCTGAGCTCAAGGGATCCTCCCACCTCAGCCTCCTGCGTAGCTGGGACCACAGGCGTGCGCCACCACACCCAACTAATTTGTTTTTTTAATTGTAGAGATGGGGTCTCACTATGTTGCCCAGGCTGGTCTCCAACTCCTGGCCTTAAGCAACCCTCCCACCTTAGCCTCCCAAAGTGCAGGGATTACAGGCATGAGCCACCACTCCCGGCCCAAGTTGCAGAACAAGTGACAAACATCCCTTCTGCTTGACAGACGCCGAGGCCAGAAGCCTTGTCCAAGGCAGGGCATTGAGGCAGAGGGCTCTGAGCCGACAGTTGTCCGGCACTGCTCCTTGGGTGGGCCAGCAGATTTGGCTTGGGCTCCTGTTCAGGGTTGCCCCCCAAGTCCTGCCCGGGGGGCCCAGTCTGACGGCCTGACGCCTCTGGGCTCTTGAAGTTTGAATGTAGCATCCCCACCGAACCGCCTTCGGGCTGGGGACAGATAGCGGAGGCGGTGGGCGGGGGGCAGGGGCAGGGCACCGCCCCACGGAGGTCGGGAGTCCACTTCCCCCCAGGGGCCTCCTCCAGTGCCCCGCTGCCTCATCAGAGCCTTGGCTGGAGTGTCCTTGGAGCCCCAGGATTTCTTGAGCTGTGGAGGGAAAGAGAGGGAGGTGAGAGGAGGCTGGGGTGGGGCCCTGGGGGCATCCCAGATCCAGGGAAGGCAGGAGGTGAGGCAAGAGAGAAGCAGCGAAAGTGACAGACGGCCAGGCACGGTGGCTCACGCCTGTAATCCCAGCACTTTGGGAGGCCGAGGTGGGTGGATCACCTGAGGTCAGGAGTTCAAGACCAGCCTGGCCAACATGGTGAAACCCTATCTCTACTAAAAATACAAAAATTAGCCTGAGGTGGTGGTGGGCGCCTGTAATCCTAGCTACTCGGGAGGCTGAGGCAGGAGAATCGCTTGAACCCGGAAGGGAGAGATTGCAGTGAGCTGAGATAGCGCCACCGCACTCCAGCCTGGGCATCAGAACAAGACTCAGTCTCAAAAAAAAAAAAAGGAAGTGATAGAGGATTTGAGGGAGGTGGAAGGAGATGGTGGAGGAGGGAAGGGAGGGAAGAGAGGAGAGAGGGAGGAGAGAGATGGAGGCCGGACGCGGTGGCTCACACCAGTAATCCCAGCACTTTGGGAGGTGGGAGGATTGCTTGAGCTCAGGAGTTCGAGACCAACCTAGGCAACACAGTGAGACCTCATCTCTCCAAAAAATACAAAAATTAGCCAGGCGTGGTGGCGTGGGTCTGTAATCCTAGCTACTTGGAAGGCTGAGGTGGGAGGATCACTTGAGCCCAGGAGGTTGAGGCTGCAGTGAGCCGAGATCATGCCACTGTACTCCAGCCTGGGAGACAGAGCGAGACCCTATCTCAAAAAAAAAAAAAAAAAAAAAAAATGGGTGGAGGAGGTAAAAGAAGAGGAAGGGGTAAGGGAGAAGGTGAGGGAGGAGAAAGAAGGAGAGGAGGGAGGAGGGGAGCCAGGAAGGAGAGAGAGGAGACAGAGAGGGTGAAAGGGGAAGGATGAGGTGAGGAAGAGGCAGGAAGGCAGCAGCAGGAGGAGGGACAGAAAGGAGAGGGATGCAGAGGAGGAAGCAGGTAAGGAGGACGGTGTGGGGAGCCCGAGAGGGAAGGGGGGAAGTGAGAGGGCAAACCTGGGACCCCCTAACCTACAGAGGGACAAGGAGCTGGGTCCCCACCTCTGCAGCTGGGGAGGAACCGGAAGCGCCGGCATCTGCCAGCCGGGATCAAATATTTGCCAAGGGAGGGGATGCTGGGTGAGGGTGCTCAGGACCAGGTGAAGGTAAGGACCTTGCCCCTGCCCATCCCCCGTCTCCTCTCCAGCTAGGAGCCTTCCTTGCCTGGGACGGAGGGAGATGATTCCTGATTCCCAAGGCATTGCAGAGCAAGACCCTATCTCAAAAAAAAAAAAAAAAAAATATATATATATATATATATATATATATATATATATATATATATATATAGCTTTCTTTGGCCTGGGATGAGGATGTCACAAAATAAATAAATTCCACTTCAGGAATGTATTTATTTATTGTTTATTATTATTATTATTATTATTATTATTATTATTATTATTATTTTGAGACAGCCTTGCTCTGTCACCCAGGCTAGAGTGCAGTGGAACGATCTCAGCTCACTGCAACCGCCGCCTCCCTGGCTCAAACGATTCTCCTGCCTAAGCCTCCGGAGTAGCTGGGACTACAGGTGTGCACCAACACACCCAGCGAATTTTTTTGTATTTTTAGTAGAGATAGGGTTTCACTATGCTGGCCAGGCTGGTCTCGATCTCCCTGTTTCAGGAATGTATTGTTGTTGTCATTACTACTCTATTTCATTTAGCCAAGTGGATTCCTCCCCCAACCAAACTCGGAATGAGTGCCCTTGCTCTGCTCCTTCCTAGATGAGGATACCGAGGTTCAGAGAATTCAAGTCCTCGGCTTCCCCCCACCTAGTCTGTCATGCCAGGATTTGCACCCAGGGCTCTCCTGTCTCTGCCCCATGCCACCCAGCGCCCACCTGCCCAAAATGCAGCAGGCGTGCAGGAAATGAACAAACGATGCCATTATGAATTTAGGGGTGCAGGCCCTCAGGAAACGCCTGCTCTGGCTGGGAGCAGGGCCCCTGGAGCCTGGCTTGCACCACCCTGGGCAAACGCCTTCCCCTTCCTGGGCTCCATCTTCTGGCACCAGCCACAAGGTCTCACCTCGTTGTCCCCATCACTGGAGCCAGACAGCTGGGACAGGCGGCTTAGGTCCCACATGGAGCGGCTGGGCCGGGCCGGGGGGCCGCTGGGGGTCCGGGCGCGCTGCACACTCCTTAGAATGTCACTGAGTGCCGGCCCCGGGGTAGCAGGGGAGACGCGGCAGGCGGCCAGGCGGTGGGCCAGCGGGCCGTCAGGCGGCGGAGGCGACGCGGGGGCCACGGAGCGGCGGCGGGACACGCGGTGCGGGCTGCGGCCCCGCTGCAGGCCACCTATGACCGAGGGTTTCTGGGGGGGCGCAGGTGGGAGCGGGCAGGAGGCCGCGTACAGCGTCCGGAACTCAAGGCTGAAGGCGTCAACAATTTCACCAGTCAGCAGGGTCACCAGGCCTCGGTGCAGGCGTGCGTCACTCCACGTGAAGCTGGGGGTCGGGGAGTAGGGGGTCAGAGTCTCCAACCCTGAGGGCCCAGCCCGGCCCCCATCCTCAGCCAGGTCCCAGGGGAGACCGTAGGACCTCAGGCGAGTCCTGACCTCTCCAGCCTCAGCTTCCCTGTCTGTAGAATGGGCACAACTGAAGTACCTACTCGGGAGGGGTGGAGTGAAGACAGCCCAAGTTAAGACACTTATATAATCAGGGCCAGGTGTGGTGACTCACACTTTGGGAGGCTGAGGCAGGAGGGTTGCTTGAGCCCAGGAGTTTCAGACCAGCCTGGGCAACATGGTGAGACCCTATCTCTACAAAAAATCAAAAAAACTAGCCAGGTGTGGTGGCGCACACCTGTACTCCCAGCCACTTGGGAGACTGAGGCGGGAGGATCCCTTGACCCTGGGATTTTTTTTTTTTTTTTTTTTTTTGTGAGACGGAGTTTCGCTCTTTTTGCCCAGGCTGGAGTGTAGTGGCATGATCTCGGCTCACTGCAACCTCTGCCTCCTGGCTTCAAGCAATTCTCCTGCCTCAGCCTCCTGAGTAGTTGGGATTACAGGCACCTGCCGCCATGCCCGGCTAATTTTTTGTATTTTTAGTAGAGATGGGGTTTCACCACATTGGCCAGGCTGGTCTCGAACCCCTGACCTCAGGTGATCCACCCGCCTCGGCCTCCCAAAGTGCTGGGATTACAGGTGTGAGCCACCCGTGCCCGGCTGAGCCTGGGAAATTGAGGCTGCAGTGAGCCGTGATAATACCACTGCATTCCAGCCTGGGCAGCAAAGCAAGACCCTGTCCCCCTCGCCCCCCTCCCAAAAAAAAAAAAGCCAGATGCGGTGGCTCACTCCTGTAATCCCAGCACTTTGGGAGGCTGAGGCGGGCAGATCATGAGGTCAGGAGTTTGAGATCAGCCTGACCAACATGGTGAAACCCCATCTCTACTAAAAATACAGAAATTAGCTGGGTATGGTGGCACATGCCTGTAATTCCAGCTACTCAGGAGGCTGAGGCAGGAGAATTGCTTGAACCCGGGAGGTGGAGGTTGCAGTGAGCTGAAATCACACCACTGCACTCCAACCTGGGCGACAGAGCGAGACTCTGACTCAAAAAAAAAAAAAAAAAAAAAAAACTTATCTGGAATCAGACTGGAGTTTAAACCCAGGCTCTGCCTGGTCCCCACTTAGGAACACCTCAATGCCTCAGTTTTCCCCTTTGGAAAGAGACGGAATTCACTTCCGGACACTAACAGGGATTGTTTTAAGACCCAGCTGCTTCCTAGAATGACTGCCATTTAGTCAGTCCTGGCTGTGCACCAAGCTCTCCACGTTGCTGCTCCCTGCAGTGCTCATCTGCAATCTGGAGCAAAAACCTAGGAAGGCCGTGTGCAGTGGCTCATGCCTGTAATCCCAGCACTTTGGGAGGCCGAGGCAGGAGGATCACTTGAGGCTAGGAGTTTGAGACCAGCCTGGGCAACATAGCAAGACCCCATCTCTATAAAAAATTTTACAAAATTAGCCGGGCATGGTGGTGCACGCCTATAGTCCCAGCTACTCTGGAGGCTCAGGGAGGAGAATCACTTGAGCCTGGGAAGTTGAGGCTGCAGTGAGCCAAGATCGCGCCACTGCACTCCAGTCTAGGCAACAGAGCAAGATCCTATTTTTTTTTTTTTTTGAGATGGAGTCTTGCTCTATTGCCTAGGCTCAAGTGCAGTGGCACAATATTGGCTCACTGCAACCTCCACCTCCCAGGTTCAAGCCTCCCAAGTAGCTGGGATTACAGGTGCACACCACCATGCCCAGCAAATTTTTGTATTTTTAGTAGAGATGGGGTTTTACCACGTTGGCCATGCTGGTCTTGAACTCCTGAGCTCAGGTGATCCACCCGCCTCGGCCTCCCAAAGTGCTGGGATTACAGGCGTGAGCCACTGCGCCCGGCCAATTTTTTAAAATAAAAAATAAAATTAAGAAATAAATACAACATAGGAATATTCAAATGACTGAATTTGAATCAAGCCCCCTGCACGTAGCTGGCCCTGAGAGCCTGTGAGCTGTGGGGGCCGGTGCCCTAACACTTCCTGTCATCACAGTAGTTGTTATTGAAAGCACCAAGTGCCAGGCGTGGTGTGGTGGCTCACGTCTGTAATCCCAGCACTTTGGGAGGTCGAGGCGGGCAGATCACTTGAGCTCAAGAGTTCGCAACCAGCCTGGCCTACATGGTGAAACCCTGTCTCTACTAAAAATACAAAAATTAGCCAGATGTGGTTGCATGCGCCTGCAGTCCCAGCCACTCGGGAGGCTGAGTTACGAGAATCGCTTGAAGCTGGGAAGCAGAAGCTGCAGTGAGCTGAGATCACGCCACTGCACTCCAGCCTGGGTGACAGAGTGAGAGACTCCGTCTCAAAAAAATAAAAGCAAGCAAGCACTGAGCATGAATCCTGGCACACAGCAAGTGCTCAGTTAATACACCCTCTTCTTTCCCAGCCTCTTTGGAATTCAATGAACCTGGCTCTCATCCTGGCTCGGGGACCCTGGATACATCACTTTCCCCAGCCTTAGTTTACCCATCTGGAATATGGGGTCACTATGGGAGGTGTGAGGCTGAAGTCAAGCCCTTGGCGGGTGTACAGCACAGAGAATGCGGACAAGCTTGTGGCCAGCGTCCTCTGGGTTCAGGGCGTCTTCACCTTGGCAGGGATGGCAGAGCCCTCTTGCGCCCCGGCAGGTCGGCGGGGCAGGCCACCCCTTGGATTGTGACACCCACTCCTCTCACCTATGACCTCATCCCCAGAGCGGCCAGTGGGAACCCTGAGGGATCTGTGAGATCACTCATTCCATTCACAGACTCTTGTTGGGCAGCAGCCACCCGCTCACCTCCATCCCCAGGACTTAGAGGGACGCAGGGCGTTGGGAACAGAGGACACTCCAGGCGCTGACCCTGGGAGGCCAGGACCAGGGCCAAAGTCCCGTGGGCAAGAGGAGTCCTCAGAGGTCCTTCATTCAGCGGTTCCGGGAGGTCTGGGAAGCCCACGGCCTGGCTGGGGCAGGGTCAACGCCGCCAGGCCGCCATGGTCCTGTGCTGGCTGCTGCTTCTGGTGATGGCTCTGCCCCCAGGCACGACGGGCGTCAAGGACTGCGTCTTCTGTGAGCTCACCGACTCCATGCAGTGTCCTGGTACCTACATGCACTGTGGCGATGACGAGGACTGCTTCACAGGCCACGGGGTCGCCCCGGGCACTGGTCCGGTCATCAACAAAGGCTGCCTGCGAGCCACCAGCTGCGGCCTTGAGGAACCCGTCAGCTACAGGGGCGTCACCTACAGCCTCACCACCAACTGCTGCACCGGCCGCCTGTGTAACAGAGCCCCGAGCAGCCAGACAGTGGGGGCCACCACCAGCCTGGCACTGGGGCTGGGTATGCTGCTTCCTCCACGTTTGCTGTGACCAACAGGGAGGACAGGGCCTGGGACTGTTCTCCCAGATCCGCCACTCCCCATGTCCCCATGTCCTTCCCCCACTAAATGGCCAGAGAGGCCCTGGACAACCTCTTGCGGCCCTGGCTTCATCCCTTCTAAGGCTGTCCACCAGGAGCCCGGTGCTAGGGGAAGCATCCCCAGGCCTGACTGAGCGGCAGGGGAGCACGGCCCGTGGGTTTGATTGTATTACTCTGTTCCACTGGTTCTAAGACGCAGAGCTTCTCACATCTCAATCAGGATGCTTCTCTCCATTGGTAGCACTTTAGAGTCCATGAAATATGGTAAAAAATATATATATATCATAATAAATGACAGCTGATGTTCATGGAGCATTCTTTGTTTTCTTTTCTTTTTCTTTTCCTTTTTTTTTTTTTCTTTTTGTAGAGATAAGGTCCAGCTATGTTGCCCAGGGTGGTCTCGGATTCTTGGGCTCAAGTGATCCTCCCACCTCAGCCTCCCAAAGTGCTGGGATTACAGGTATGAGCCACGGCACCTGGCCAAGCCTGTCTTACGTTACGTGCCACTGAATCCTCACACCAAGCTGGGAAGGTAAACACTCTTTCAAACATTTCAAACATCCTGGTCTCAACTCCAATCATTCTCAAAGTGTGGTCCCTGGACCAGAAACAGCAGCAGCAGCAAGTGGGAACTTCCTGAAAATGCAGATTCTCAGGTCCTGTTCCAGGCACGATGAATGGCAGTGGGGTCCAAAAGCTGTGTATTGTTCTCTCTTTTTCTTTTTGAAACAGGGTTTTGCTCTGCTGCCCAGGCTGGAGTGCAGTGGTGCAATCTTGGCTCATTGCAGCCTCTACCTCCTGGGCTCAAGCAATCCTCCCACCTCAGCCTCCTGAGTAGCTGGGACTAGAAGCATGCTCCATCATGTCTAATTTTTATTTTTTTAAATTTTTGTAGAGATGGGGTCCTGCTATGTTGCCCAGGCTGGTCTTGAAGTCCTGGGCTCAAGCGATCCTCCTGCCTCAGCCTCCCAAAGTGCTGGGACTACAGACATGAACCACCACGCCTGGCCTTTTTCCGTTTTCTTTTTCTTTTCCTTTTTTTTTTTTTTTTTTATTTTTTGAGACAGAGTCTCGCTCGGTCACCCAGGCTTTAGTGCAGTGGCGCGATCTTGGCTCACTGCAACCTCCACCTCCCAGGTTCTAGCGATTCTCCTGCCTCAGCCTCCCGAGTAGCTGGGACTAGAGATGCATTCCACCAGGCCCGGCTGATTTTTTGTATTTTTAGTAGAGACAGGGTTTCCCCATGTTAATCAGGCTGGTCTGAAACTCCTGACCTCGGGTGATCCACCTGCCTCGGCCTCCCAAAGTGCTGGGATTACAGGTGTGAGCCACCACGCCCAGCCCAAAAGCTGTGTTTTAACAAGCGCTCCCAGGGATTCTGGTGCATGCACAGGGTTGAAAGCCACTGTTCCTGAGCAGTGTTCTCAGCTGGGCACCTGTGCTCCCCAGTGGGCATCTGCGCTGTCTGGAGAGGTTTTCGGTTCTCTAATTGGCAGGGAAAGTCGGGGGTATGGGGCGTGTGATGCTACTGACCTCTGCTGGGTGGAGGCTGAAGATGCCGAGGAGCCTCCCACAATGCACCCAACAGCTCCTAAAACAAAGACTTACCCAGCCCGAGCGTGGGTGCCACCCCTGTTGAGGGACCTGGTTCTAGAGGCTCTAACCCTATCAGCCCATGACATAGAGGGGGAAACTGAGGCACAGAGAGGTGAAGTAAGTTGCCTGAAGTCACACAACGAGGAACTGAGAGAGCTAGAATTTGAATCCAGGCCGTCTGGTCCCAGAGGCCACACCCCTCTCCTCCCTAGCTGTGCTGTGACCCTGTGAGGTAGGTGCTGTTATTATTTGCAGTTTCTTTCTTTCTTTTTTTTTTTTTTTTTTTTTTGCTTTTTTGAGATGGAGTCTTGCTCTGTCTCCCAGGCTGGAGTGCGACAGCGCGATCTCGGCTCACTGCAACCTCTCTCCTGGGTTCAAGCAATTCTCCTGCCTCAACCTCCCAAGTAGCTGGGAAGACAGGGTTTCACCATGTTGGCCAGACTGGTCTTGAACTCCTGACCTCAGCCAATCTGCCCGCCTCAGCCTCTCAAAGTGCTGGGATTACAGGCGTGAGCCACCATGTCCGGGCATTTTCTTAGATGCTCAGAGAGGTGGAGTTATTTACCCGAGGCAGAGCTTAGATCCCAATCCAGGTGCTCCTGATTTTGAACAAACCCCACCCCCAAACTGTTTGCCCAGTTTTCCAGATAAGAAAACACCAGGTCAAAGAGAAGCAGACTTACCCAAGACCACTAAACAGGCCAGCACCAGGTCCGGCCGCGGCACCAACCTCCTCCGCAGGGAAGAGTGTTTTGCCCCCATTACACAGATGAGAAAAGAGAGGCCTGGGCAAGGGGATGCCAGCTGTTCTCTGAGCACACTGAGGGAAAGTGGGGTATAGGACGCCGGGAGGTGGGGGGCGGGGCGGGGGCTACACCTGTAGGATCCTGAGATGACCCTCTCGCCGTCCAGCAGCACAAACTTCTCCCGCACGGTGCCGCTCACCTGCCGTCGCCAGCGGCTCTGGAAGCTGCAGCCCCGCACGACACGGACATCCACGTTCTGTTGGTGTGGGGAGTGGAGGGTACACCCTTGCTGAGGCCCACTGCATGGATTCAGGCTCCCTCCAGACTGGTTCTAACTGGGGGACCCATGACTCCATAGAAGTATCTGTCCAAGGCCAGGCGTGGTGGCTCACACTTGTAATCCCAGCACTTTGGGAGGCCGAGGCGGGTGGATCAGCTGAGGTCAGGAGGTCGAGACCAGCCTGGCCAACATGGCGAAACCCCGTCTCTACTAAAAATACAAAAGTTAGCCAGGCATGGTGACACATGCCTGTAATCCCAGCTACTGGGGAGTCTAAGGCAGGAGAATCGTTTGAACCCGGGAGGTGGAGGTTGCAGTGAGCCGAGATCACGCCACTGCACTCCAGCCTGGGCGACAAAGCAACACTCCGTCTCAAAAAAAAAAAAAAAAAAAAAAAAAAGAAGTATCTGTCTCAGCTTCCTTAGAGCCACTGATATCAACCCTCAGGCGTTTCTTGGGGATACCCAAACTCAGTGACTCAAGATTCCTTGGGAATGCCCACCCCCACCTCCCCAGTGCTGTGGGCATCAGATCCCAGGGGACCATCCCTGCTAGCATCCATCTCAATGACCCGGAGCTCCATGGAAGGGTCTGCCCCCACTGCCCCCATGCCAGGGGAATGGGGACTCACAGGACCCCCTGGCCCGGCCCCTACCTCCGTGTTCCAGGGGTTCACCCCCAGCTGCTGGGCCAGTTCCAGGAAGGCAGGCAGCTGCTGGCGGTCCAGGAGCAGGTAGACAGGTACCCAGCGGCGCGTGGCAGCATCCACCAAGTCCAAAAGCAGGTCTGGGTCAGTGAAGACGTCCATGACCACGGCCACCAGCTGGGCATGGGGAGAGGGGCGGTGGGCTTGTGAACGGAAGCTGGCTCAGGGGACACTCAGAGGGTGTGGGAAACCTGACATCTGGAATCTGGGAGTAAAGTGCTCTGGGGGCTGGGAGTTTAAAGTTCAGGTGGGCTAAAGGGGAGACCCCCAGACATACACTGCTGCTCAAACAGCACCTACGTGTGAATGAGCAAAACGCTGCCCCTCCATGAGATCCCCAGCCCCTCCTCGAGATTCCCGGCCCCTAAATGCTGGAAAACTGTAATCATAAATCATGTTTGCTTGTTTTTTTGTGTTTTTGTTGTTGTTGTTGTTTTTTGTTGTTTTTTTTTTTTTGAGACGGAGTCTCACTCTGTCTCCCAGGCTGCAGCTCAGGGGCGCAATCTCAGCTCACTGCAAACTCCACCTCCCGGGTTCAAGCAATTCTCCTGCCTCAGCCTCCCAAGTAGCTGGGACTACAGGCGCCCACCACCACGCCCAGCTAATTTTTTGTATTTTTAGTAGAGATGGGCTTTCACCGTGTTAGCCAGGATGGTCTCGATCTCCTGACCTCGTGATCCACCTGCCTCAGCCTCCCAAAGTGCTAGGAGTACAGGAGTGAGCCACCACGCCCGGCTTTTTTTTTCTTTTTTTAAAAGACGAAGTCTTGCTCTGTTGCCCAGGCTGGAGTGCAGTGGCGCAATATCAGCTCACTGCAACTTCGGCCTCTGGGACTCAAGCAGTTCTCCTGCCTCAGCCTCCAGAGTAGCTGGGATTACAGGCACCCACCACCACGCCCGGCTAATTTTTGTATTTTTAGTAGAGACGGGATTTCGCCATCTTGGCCAGGGTGGTCTTGAACCCCTGACCTCAGGTGATCCCCCAGCCTTGGCCTCCCAAAGTGCTGGGATTACAGGCCGTGAGCCACCGTGGCTGGCCTACAAATCACGTTTATAACACAGAACAGCGTCCCCTGAGCTGCGACACTGCGGTACCCAAATGTCCACGGCAGTTTGGCTGTAGGATCAGTGGTGGATGTCCCGTAGGGCACTGTGGGCAACTGCATTTCTGGGTCCTGTGGAATTTTCTGGGTGCTGGGTGCAGGACGGCTGACCTGCTAGGCCACCGTGGCGAACTTGGGGGACACGGAGGTGCTGAAGGCCTGGATCTTGCAGGCAGCATAAAGCAGTGGAAACCCTGACTCAGCAGCCAGACAGCCTGGGTTCAAATCCCCACTCGGCCACTTACAGGGAAGAGATTTAACCGCCCCCGTGCCTCCGTGGGCACAATAGTCCCTCTGGCGGTACAGGGTTCCGGGACGATGATGCACATTAGTCCCTGAGAAACCCTTCACGTGGGAGCTGGCGGACGCTAAGGCTGTGAAGTACACAGCAGGCTTTCCAAGGGCTGCAGTGTGGACATCTGGGCCTTCCTTGGAGGGAGAGTGGAAACCCCTGGCTTGGTGATGAGGGGATGGGGGAATGACTGAGACTGGGGGTGTCATAATTAGGTTCAAGGGGCATCGATACCTAAGGGCATCCAGGTCTTGGGGGAGGGTAGGGGCCCCCATTTCTTTCTTTTTTTTTTTTTATTGAGATGGAGTCTCGCTCTGTCGCCCAGGCTGAAGTGCAGTGGCTTGATCTTGGCTCACTGCAACCTCCGCCTCCCGGGTTCAAGCAATTCTGCTTCCTCAGCCTCCCGAGTAGCTGGGACTACAGGCGCCCACACCATGCCCGGCTAATTTTTGTATTTTTAGTACAGACGGGGTTTCACTATGTTGGCCAGGCTGGTCTCAAACTCCTGACCTCGTGATCCGTCCACCTCGGCCTCCCAAAGTGCTGGAATTACAGGCGTGAGCCACCGCGCCCGGCCGGGCCCCCCTTTCTGAGAGTAAGGATGAGGTCTGGGGTTGTAGGCACCTGAGTCCTGGGGCTGGAAGGTGTGCACTCCTGGGTCCCAGGGGTATAGGTCCTTTAGGGTAGGGGTGTGCGCTTGCAAGTCCCAGGAGGACAAGGGAGAGAATGCCTGGGTCCCCGTCCCAGTCTGGTGAATGGACACAGGGCCCCCGCGACACCCACCTTGTGGGCAGCCTGGATCTCCAGCCGCACCAGCTCCTTGAGGGGCGGCTGACCCTCTCCAGGAGGCTGGGTGTACAGCTGCGCCCGGGTGATGCCTTTCCACGCAGAGTCCACTGGCCAGCCCAGCCGCAGGACGGGCGCCGGCTGCTCCGACTGCCCAGGCCAGTAGCTCAGGCTGCCCGCGTCCACATCGGTGGTGGTGGCTCCCTCTGCCATCCCGCTGGGCTCCTGCTTGGCCACTGTCCAGTCTTCAGCTGCCGCTGCCAAGCCCTGAACCTCATCCGCACTGAGGAAGGGCCACAGCTCCTCGCGCTGCACGCAGGTCTGGAACGCCTCCGCGCCCTTGCTCAACAGAGCCTCCAGTGCCAGCCGCTGGCCCTCGGAATATAGAAAGCCGGGGCTGGCCCCGGGCACCCTGGGACCGGAGTCCACTCCTTCCAGCGCCGCCAGCTGGGAGGCCGCCATCGGGGTCACTCGGGTGGGAGGACTGACTGTGAGAGGCTGGGTCCCCGGGGGTCTGGCTGTCTCTGGGGACTGTGATCATCTGGGGGTTCTCCTGATAGGCAGACCCTACGTGGCCATCCGAGGCCTCCGGCGGGGCCCTGCAGATGTCCAAATGGCTCCCTGCAGCAGCCCCTGCCACACTGTTCTGACAATCACGCTGCCCAAATAAGCGACCATCCAATGTGTCAGGCCACTCAGATCCGCCACCTGCCTGCACCCAGTGGCACCATGCCTGGCTGGCCTTCCGTGACCTTCCTGCCAGCCGTCTCTGCTGGTCAGGTTGACCTCCTGACACCATCCCCAACTGTGTGACCCATCAGCTGGCCATCTCTGCTCAGCCACACGACAGCCTCCAACCCACCAGTCACACAGTGCCCAGTCAGACCCTTCAGCTGTCCTGAATTTGGTCAGGCTGACCACTTGATCATTTCCAGGCGGCAAGCTGCCTGCCTGTCTCTAATCACCCAAAGGTCCTTAAAGGCACGACAGGTTGCCTGCCTGCCCCCGGCCAAGAGCACGACGAACTGACCCTCTCCTTCCACTGTCTGGCAAACGCCAATGGCTTCCGACTGACAGTCACAGTATCTGCCTGTTGGAGCATCTGTCTCTGGCCAAATCTGACAGCCCCCACGAGTTTCTCCTGCTCATCAGCTCTCACCCGCAGACCAGCCAGGATGCCTCTCCACTGGGCCTGCTCGCTCAGCCTTAAAGGCCGAAGGCTTGGCAAACCCTTCCCTACCCTGTCAATGGGGGACCCTGCTCCCTGGACCCTCCTCACACTCCTTCCAGCTGCTGCAGTGGAGGGTGAAATGCGCTACAGGGGTCTCCATTACTATGGGACAGGTCTATGATCTTCACAGCCCATCTAGGTGTGAGTGCCACCTAACCAGCCACCCTCCTCAGGCTGGCTGCCCCTGCCTGGGGCCTGGCCCTGGGACCTGTTCCAGGCCGTCCTCTGATCTGCGGGGAGCCCTACCCAAGCTGCCCCCAGCCTGGTTTCTGCCTAAATGCTATCTCCTGCCAGCTACCCGGACGCTTCTTCCCGGACAGGGGCCAGTCTCTATCTCGCCCTGTCTCCCTCCCAAGCCTCAGTTATCCCCTTGAGGCTCCTGACCCAACCTCGGGGACCCTGGACCCTTGATCCCTGCAAACCAGAAGCCCTTCATTCCAATCCCACCAACCCAGGCCGCTGCTTCCTCCAGACCACAGCAGGGAGCTGCAAAGAGAAGAAAGGAGTCAAGGCAGGCCAGCCTCCCCGCCCCACCCTCACCCATCCCCCCCATCGCCGGGGCTCACCCACACCGGCTAGTGCCGGGCTCAATGGCCTCCCTTCCAGTGCCTGCTTTTTCCGAGAACGTAGGCTGTGGCTCCCCGGCTTCTACTTCTGCGGTGCTTCCCGGCTTCTGGCCTCACTCATCAGGCCTCGACCTGGAATCCAGGGAGCCCGGCCCCTTGTGTAAACACAGGAGGGCCCCCACAGGCCCCTGGAGGAGGTCCGGGGGTGCGGCTCACACGCTTTCTTTACCTGTGCTCTCCCAGGGGGTGAACGCCCCTCTAGACTCAGGCTTCCCGGTCCCCGGGGGGTTGAGATTGCCTCACCTGTTCCCAGGCAGTCTCTCCCTCCCCACAGCCCTGCCAGCCTGCACCCTGCACTTCCCGGTCCACGCCCCACCCGCCATCCCAGCACCAGGGAGGGGCACAGGATCCTTTAAGAGGGGCGGGCGTGGCTGACCCAAGGAAGCCGGTGTGGGAACACCTGCCACCTGGCTGTTGGGAAGGAGGCAGGGAGCTTCCGGGGCAGTGGGGGCAGGAAGAGGGCTGGTCTTCACTGGCATGACGTCCCTGTCCCCAAACCAAATGCATTCTCACCCGCAGGAACCAATTCTCCAACCCATCCCCCAATAACACACACAGAGCACTGTCAGCAAAAATCTTTTTAATAAGAGAGTAGGATCCAGGGTTAGTTTTTGTAGCCTCGGCTGGCCCGTCGGCCTCTGGCACGCTCGAACTTCCGGCCCTTGGAGCGGACGTAGGGTCTGTGGGGAGAGGAGGGAGTGAGAGGGGGGCCCTCTTAAAGGAGGCCATTGTGGAGTGGCACAGGAACACCACAAGCCTGTCACATTCAGCCCCAGGAGAGTCAATGCTGCTGGAAAAGCTTGGCAGAGTGGGAAGCCAAGGAGCCAGGAGGGGCTATGGAAGCACCTGCCCCACCACCTGGAGGGTCCCAGCCTGGGCTGGCAAAGGCCGGTGAACTGCATGCTCCCCAGGAGATGCCTGCTCAGGCCCTGGAAAACACAGCTCCAAGCAGTGTTGAAGGGAAAAGCAGGCAGGATGAGGCAGCTGAGAGTTCCAGAAGGCCTGGGGCTGGCTGGTACGAGGGATAGGAGAAGCAGCCCAAGTGTGGCCAGGCCTGGCCCTGCAGGCTGAGTCTGGGGAGAGGGCAGGGCTGGGGGCCTGATACTCACTTGGTGTGGCTGTGCGGGGTTCCTGGGGCCTTGCCGAAATGCCGGTACACCTCTCGGCCCTTGCGAGGACCTAGGGAAGGGGAAGGAGAACCGGGTGAGACAGGGATCTGGCGCCCAGCTTCTGGCCTCCCAGATCCAGGAGGGTGAAGGCTGCCAGTAGCCACACAGCTCAGTCCAAACCCGTCGACCACGTATCACTCACCGGAGAGCAGGACAGTGCCACAGCCCTTAGGGGAGTCCAGGGCCAGCTGGTCGAAAGTGAGGATCTTGCCCCCTGCCCTGAGGATGCGGCTGCGGGCCCGGCTGGTCACGCGCAGTGCACATACCTGGTGGAGAGGACAAGGCTGGCGGGTCAGACCCCTGCGTGGTCACCCAGGGGCTGCCAGGACTCACCCTCCACTGCCTTGGCGCAGCAGAGCCCTGGTAACCAACACTATCGTTTACTACCCGGAGCACCCTGGGCTGACAGCAGCAGTTCTCAACACTTCCGGAACTTTCACCACCACATCCCTGGTGTTATGCTAGAAACTACAGCAAGGAAGCTGGGCCAAAAAAAGACCTGTGCAGAGGTGACAAAGGAGTCTAGACTTGAGCCCAGGCTGTCTGGCTCTAGGGGCCAGCACTAACAGTTTACAACTTGCCCCAGAAGAAGCTTGCCCAGGGGACCCCACCATCAACCATGCCAGAGACGACCCACACCAATCCTCAAAGCCACTCAGACAGGCAGGATGCTTGCCTCACCAGCGGTGGCAAGACTGAGGATGGACCAGCACAGCACAGCACAGCACAGCACAGCACAGCACAGTACAGCAAGGGTCTGATGGGTCTGCCCAGCCCCCGCCAGCTCACCTTCAGTTTGGGTACCTCCTGAACCCGCACATCATCAGTTATGGTCCCCACAACCACGGCCGTCTTGTTTTCCCGGCCAGGAAGCTTCATCTTCCGGATCTTAGGGTGGGGAGGATGTACGTCGTAAGTTGTTCTGGTGTTTACATTCAGCCCCGCTTGAGGCATCCCCAGGCCAGGGCAGCTGTGCCCTCTAACGGGACCCCCCACTCACACCACACCCCTTAAACCCCACAGGCCTCTCCTCAGGTCCAGCTGGGGAAAGCTCCAGATAAAAAAAAAAATGCAGACTGTTCAATAGGGCCTCCCTCAGCAGAGCCTTTGACATAAAACTCAGTTATGACTTGGGGCAATCTCCTGAAGCCACCAGGACACCTCCACCTCACAAAGAGAAGGAGAGGAGGACCAGGAGACTTGCCCACTGCCCATGGACACTCAGTTCCAACCAACAGTCCAAGCTCTACGCTCGCGACTGGCTGAGACAAACCCTTGATGCCCTGGTTGCTCCCAGAGCTCCAAGTCCTGCCTCCCTTCCAGACAGACAAGACCCAGCGGCTCCCAGGTCTACCGTGCTCTCTGGACCAGCCACTCACCATCCGGGAAAGGGACAGAGGCGGCCGGTTGGTGCGACTCATAAACAACCTCTTCAACACAACCTGGTTGAATGTGGAGTTGGTTCTTCTGGCCAGAAACCTGTATAACTGGAGGGACGGGAAGACAGTGAGAAGCTGGGACAGCCTGCTCCCCCGCAGCCTTCCAGTGAAGGGGCAAACACATGATGATCTGGACTAAAATAATCTTTATCCCTTTCCCCCAACCCACCGACCTAGAGGGAGAAAGCTGGCCCAGGTCCTTCCTGGCCAAGGACCTAGAAAATCCTGGCTCCACTCCCGAGCTGTACACAGCCTAGAGGCTGAAAATACAAATGCAGGAGACCCTGGAACAGAACCAGAGACCCGAGACTGCTCTGCAGGCCCCTGGGAGGAGCTTGGTGCCAGCACTAGAATGGAGGATCTGCAAGTCAGACCTGGGGTGACCCTTCCCAAAGACCTCAGGGCCCAGCCTCACCTTGACCAACAGCCTCAGGTAGATATCCTGGCTCTTGGGCTCCTTGCGCCGAACCTTTCGGTCCTTGTTATGGCGGATGTCCACTCCCTGTGGGGGTGAAGAGGCAACCATGGACCCAATTACCCCCAACCATAGCCAATTATTACTTATTTCTGAAACTGAGAGCTGGGACACAAGCCCAGGTCTGAACACACCAGCTCAAATCCCAGGCCCACCACCAGGAGACCTGTGGGCTGCCACTGATCCCTCTGTAAAAAGGGGCTGTTTACAAAGCCTTCAGCCCATGGCACACAGAACCCTGAAACATCGTAACACAGCAATCATATTAACTTAATACAAAAAGGTCAATTCTTTACAACTTGTATTTTGCAACAATGTTATCAAAACTGGTTCCCATACCCGGAGGGATAACCAAAAATATCAAACCAATGGCAGTAATGATGAAAACGAATCCTTATTCAGAACCTAGCAATACTACTAGAACCACCTCTCCTACAGCATCAGTCAATCCAACAACCCTTACCAAATAGTGTCTTTTTAAAACATCGTTTTTAAAGTGGAGACAGGGTCTCACAATATTGGCCAGGCTGGTCTTGATCTCCTGGGCAAGGAATCCTCCCGCCTCGGCCTCCCAAAGTGCTAGGATAACAAGCGTGAGCCGCCTCGCCAGGCTCCTACCGCCCTGCTGCCTTTCTGAGCAACTTAAGTTTTTCAGACTGTGTTGACAATTACAAGAACTATTTAATAGCTCCACTTATGCAGCACTTACTGTGTGCAAAACCCCGTGATGAGCATCTCCTGTGAATTATTTCTTCCCAAATTCACAAACTTGTCAGATGAGATTACTGTGTACCCAACGAACAGCCAGACACTGGGGCAAAGGCTCAAAAACCATCACAAGGTGGGAAGGGGCCTGAGACTCAGAGACCTGCCTGGTCCCCAAATCCAGTTATTCGGCTCTCGATCCTCTCACCCGCCGCGGCCCCCATCGAACCCGACTTTTCATACTAGAAAGTGACAGGTCCAGATAAAGGCAGCAAAGCCAAATAACTAAGAGTGGCTGCGGGTCCAGCCACCTGGGTCGGAATCCTGGCTCTGCCACTTCCTGGCTTTGTAAACCCAGTCATATCAGCCTCCGAGTACCTCCACTTGGTCATCTACTAAGTGGGGGCGGTAGGCTATGACTGACCCATCCCTGCTTTCCTGGCCCCCAGAGTAGGTCCCCAGTATCGGGAATTGCTCCCTCCGGGCAGCCGCAGACCCCCTGCCGCCCTCCAGCGTGCCCCTAGCCCAAAACCACGGCGGATGGCAGCGGATTATCCAGCCCCGAACGCCGCAAAGCGAGCTCACCATGATGGCGCCTCCTGCTCGGCCAGGTCCGGAAAGAGAGAACGGGCTGGGGTGGGCGGGGAAAGCCTCAAGCGAGTGGCGCCGCCGTGACGTCACATGGGTGCGACGCGGCGCTCTACCACGATCCGGACTTCTCTGTGGTGAGTTGGACGACTGACTAGCCGGGCGATAACGGCAGAGAGCATAGAGCGCAGGAACAAGCGCAACGTCCAAGAGGGAAGGGCCAGCACGTCGGGGGCCTCTCTGGCCCTACCCAGGCCGTGTTCTCGATAGCTTTCCGGAAGAAAGGGATCTGGGAGCGAGATGCGTGTAGCTAGCACGATGCGTCGCGCGGTGACGCTCTGGCCCGACGCCGACGGCCTCTCAGTGGCTCCCGGAGGACCCGGCGGGCCCAGTGTTGGAGGTGAGGAGGCGGGGCTGGCAGGGCTAGTCGGGGCATCTGGAAATTTCCGACCCCACGCTTCGGGCGTTTCCTTATCAGGTTCACCGCTCCCTGATCTCGCGCTGCACTTCGTAGGCGCAGCCGCTGCTTGGGAAGTCCTACTTAAGGTCTAACCCGAGATGATCTTGCTGCACCTCAATCTATAGCATCCTGTATTCCCATCCTTTGAGTTCCGCTTCTCCTTCTCCCCCGGCCCCTAGATGGCCCTTCCCTGACCTAGAAAGAGGGAGACAGAGTTTCATAGGGGAGGCAAAATGGAGACTCCGTGGCTTGGGGGTGGGGGGAATGGAGGCCCAAAGGGTAGGAAGGAGACCTAGAAAGAGGGGTGAGATGGAGACCCAGGGAGAAGTAGTGGCAAAGAAAGATGGTGAGATGGGGCCTTGCAAGGCTATAACCAAATTCAAATCCTGGCTCTGCTAGTTACTAATGGGGTGATTGGGCAAGTCATTTAACCTCTCTGTGATCTTGGGAAAATCACTTAACTTCTTTGGGCCTTACTCTCCTTATGGACAAAAAGGGGATGACAACAGGCCTGGCACACAGGGGTGTTTTTCAGGATTATGAAAGTTAATAAAACTGCTGAGGTCAATATTTTGCACATAATAAGTGCTCAATAAAAATTAGCCTTCACTCCTATTATAGCATACATATTGTGTGCAACCAGATGGACTGGCTGGGGCAGTGATTAAAATGACTTATCTACTCTTCCCCCCACCCGCCAGGGAGGCCCCTGCCTCTTGGTTCTCAGGCACATTGAGCCTGGAAGGGCCTCCTGCAGTTGGCTGTCAATGCTGCTCCTCACTTACCTCTCCTCCACAGAGCTGAAGGTCAGGCCAGGACAGTGAGACCTGACTCCTTGCTCCTACCAGCCTACTATGGCTTAAGACCCAGGGCCAGGGTCCCGTTGATGTAACAGAGCAGAGGACCAGCAGATGAATGGACACCTTGAAGCAGAGGAGCAGCAGGACCAGGTAAGGGACCATCTAAAAGCCAAGATCCTCATACTGTGGAAAGACAAAATCTGAAGCTTTTCTTTAAAAAAAAAAAAAAAAAATTGGAGGCCAGGCGTGGTAGCTCAAGCTTGTAATCCCAGCACTCTGGGAGGCCAAGGCCTGCGGATCACCTGAGGCCAGGAGTTCGAGATCAGCCTGGCCAACATGGTGAAACCCCATCTCTACTAAAAATACAAAAATTAGCCAGGCATGGTGATGCGCACCTGTAATCCCAGCTACTCGGGAGACTGAGGCAGGAGAATCATTTGAACCCGGGAGGCAGAGGTTGCAGTGAGCCGAGATCGCGCTGCACTCCAGCCTGGGTGACAGAGTGAGACTCCGTCTCAAAAAAAAAAAAGAAAAAACAGGGTCTCACTCTTGCCCAGGCTGGAAAGCAGTGGCACAATCACAGCCTACTGCAGCTGCAACCTCCTGGGCTAAAGTGATCTTCCCACCTCAGCTTCCCAAGTAGCCTCCACCATGGCTGGCTAATTTTTTTATTTTTATTTATTTATTTATTTTGAGGTGGAGTTTCGCTCTTGTTGCCCAGGCTGGAGTGCAATGGCACGATCTTGGCTCACTGCAACCTCCGCCTCCCGGGTTCAAGCAGTTCTCCTGCCTCAACCTCCCAAGTAGCTGGGATTACAGGCATGCGCCACCACACCCAGCTACTTTTGTATTTTTCATAGAGATGAGGTTTCTCCATGTTGGTCAGGCTGGTCTCAAACTCCCGACCTCAGGTGATACGCCGGCCTCGGCCTCCCAAAGTGCTGGGATTACAGGCATGAGCCACTGCACCCGGCCAATTTTTTTATTTTTTCTAGAGACTAGGTCTCCCTCTGTTGCCCAGGCTGGTCTTGAACTCCTGAGCTCAAGGGATTCTCCCACCTCAGTCTCTCAAAGTGTTGAGCTTACAGGCATGAGCCACCGCGCCCAGCCTGGGAGCCCTTCCATAAGTGATTTCAGACCTTCTCTCCAGGCAGGTGTTCCAGTGGGATAATTTAGGAATCAGAGAAACTGAGGGGTTGAGGAGGATACTTATTATTTATTATTTAGGTGCACTGGCCCAGTCAGATTAACATCGAAAAAGACTGAGCACCGAACAAAGAGTCAAGTTACATTTTAAGTATTTCGTGGGGTAGGGGGAGATCTGTGCAGGGGGAAGCATATTATAGCAGCGAGAAACAAAGACAGTTATTCAATTGAGACATGCATTACATTATTTCTTACTTTTCAAGGAAAAACATGTTTTAGGACTTGAGTTTATCCTGTCTAGTGACCTTGCAGCTGCACAGTTAGAGAAACAGGGTCTTCACGATGCCTGGGAAAGGGAGTTAGATAAGGCTCACTAGCCACAAACAGAAAAACAGGCAGTTAATTTTTAAAGGACTCAATCTCGGGCCGGGCGCAGTGGCTCACGCCTGTAATCCCAGCACTTTGGGAGGCCGAGATGGGCGGATCACGAGGTCAGGAGATCGAGACCATCCTGGCTAACACGGTGAAACCCCGTCTCTACTAAAAATACAAAAAAAATTAGCCGGGCATGGTGGCGCGCGCCTGTAGTCCCAGCTACACACGGGAGGCTGAGGCAGGAGAATGGCGTGAACCCGGGAGGCGGAGCTTGCAGTGAGTCGAGATCGCGCCACTGCACTCCAGCCTGGGCGACAGAGCGAAACTCCGTCTCAAAAAAAAAAAAAATAAAAAAAAATAAAGGACTCAATCTCTTTCTCTTCCTCAGGGGGAATTGGGTTTTTTACATACAACTGAGTTTTTGCTTACACATTCTTTAATTTCTTTTAATTCCTGTTTCAGTGTGAATAGCTTTCTCCCTACTTCCCAGACAGGACAGCTGAGGCCAAGAATTCAGGGGCTTCCCAGCAGTCACACAGCAAGTGTGTGTGAGCTGCAGGGTCCTTTCTCCTTTTCCTCCTCCCTGTCCTCTCGTCTGTGTGACTTAGGCTCTATGTTTGAATCTCAGCTTCTTTGCCCAGTGTCTCTGCCTTTCCTTCTCCCAGGGCCCCAAGCTCAGTTGCTGTGCCCCAGTCTCAGTCTTACTGGGTTTCTGTTCCCCCTTCTCTCCGTGTCATTCCTTGGCACATACTATCTGGTGCTGTTGCTACTGTGGGTTGGATGCTAGGTACATGATTTGGCAATAAGCAAACTTCTTCCTACATTTGTCTCTCTTTTTTTTTTTTTTTTTTTTTTTTTTGAGACAGAGTCTTGGTCTGTTGCCCAGGCTGGAGTGCAGTGGCATCATCTCGGCTCACTGTAACCTCCGCCTCTTGGGTTCAAGCGATCTCCTGCCTCAGCCTCCTGAGTAGCTGGGATTACAGGTGCGTGCTACCACACCTGGCTAATTTTTGTATTTTTAGTAGAGATGGGGGTTTTGGACCAGTGAGGTGGCTCACGCCTGTAATCCCAGCACTTTGGGAGGCTGAGGCGGATGGATCACGAGGTCAGGAGATCCAGACTATCCTGGCTAACACGGTGAAACCCTGTCTCTACTAAAAATGTAAAAAATTAGCCGGACGTGGTGGCACGTGCCTCTAGTCCCAGCTACTCAGGAGGCTGAGGCAGGAGAATCGCTTGAACCAGGCAGGCGGTTCAGTGAGCCTAGATCGTGCCGCTGCACTCCAGCCTGGGTGACAGAGCCAGACTCCATCTCAAAAAAAAAAAAAAAAAAAGAGAGAGAGACGGGGGTTTCTCCATGTTGGTCAGGCTGGTCTCGGACTCCTGACCTGGCGATCCACCCGCCTCGGCCTCCCAGAGTGCTGGGATTACAGGCGTAAGCCACCACGCCTGGCCTACAGCCTACATTTGTCACTTTCTAGTGAGCTCTGTCCTTGTCTCCTAATGCATATCTCTTTCTCTCTATGCAATTCTGTTTCTAAGTCTCCTAATATATACTTGCCTTTCTTTCAATTTCACCATGTCTTTGCCTCGGTGCATCTGTCAACATCTTCACTTTCTGTCCCAGTTCCTCCCAGCCCCTGGGCTTCCAATATTCTCTCCCTCCCTCACCTTTGACCTAGAGATACTGTCCCCATCTCTCTGTCTCTGTCTTGCCATGTGACTGGTTCATTCACTGGGCAGATGTTTATCTCATGCCGCTTCCATTCTGGTTTGAGCCTGAGATAAATAAGTCTGAATTAATGAGCCTCTCCTTCGCGGCTTCCATTCCAGAAGTGTCTGTCTCCATCTGTCTCCGTGTCTGTCATTTTCAGGGTTTTCTTGTATCCTTACCTTGCACATTCTCAATCCCACTGTTTTGGTCTCTTGTTTATATCTCTGCTTTTCTCTGGGTCTCTCTGACTCTGTAACTGTCCGAAAAAAAAGTATCCTTCACTTTCCCCACTCTCCCTCTCCTCCCAGCTCTCTTATTGCCTCATCCAACCTCTGTGGGTCTCTGCCTTGCTCTGTGTCTGGATCGGATCTCTGGGCCTTTGTTACGCGTGTTAGAGTCTCTGTCTTTGCAGCTAAAGACCTCCTCCCTCACGCCCCTTTTCTTTTGTGAATTCAATGGATGAGACAGGCCCACTCTCCCTTAACAAAGATGGCGACAACGGCGCTGTCTATGGGGCCGCGACGTCGTCTCCGCTGCGCGTCGGCCCTCACCCACGATGGCGGCCAGTCTCCCGAAGCGCGAGGCCCCGCCCAGCTCTCGGCCTCTCCCGCGGCCGGTCCCTGCACCAAGCTCGCGAGCTGACTGGCTCCACCCCCCGCGCCCTCGTATTGGTGCGGCCCAGGCCGGCTGCACGGCCATTGGCTGAGCGGATGCACACCCTCCCCCCACCCCTAGGTCTGATGGGGGCTGTTGGTGCTGACTTGCGGGACCGCCTGGAGGAGGACCCGGCGTGTGAGGAGGGTGCGGGGGTCGGGGCAGGGACCGGAGTCTAGGGGACTGAGGGACCAAGAGGAACAGAGACTCAGGCCCGGGACTGGGGCACCGGGGTGGGAGATGGAAATGGAAAACCTGGGCCAGGACTGAACCCAGCCAGGCCTGGGACTGGGTTCTGGAAATAAGAGTGCGGATGGCGGTTTGGGGGCCCAGGGCCAGACACGCAGGCCTATGGATTGGGGACCAATGGATGGAGACCCAGGTCCAGGTCTCGGGGACCCAGGGACAGAGACCCAGGCCCAAGACTGGAGGACATCTAGGGCTCTGTGCTTGAACCTGATTTGAGGTTCCCATAATGGGGCCAGGGCAGGTTTGGGGGTGAAGCAGACGTCCTGGACCCGAGAGAGCCGCTGGGGATAGGGGGGCAGATGTAGTTCCTAAGGGTGAGTCCACAGGCGGTGGGGGGTGGGGGGCTGTCCTGGCGCTCTGGGCCTGGGGAATGTGAGGGGCAGGACTGGCAGGTGGCTGGGCGGGGCAGTGGGGAACAAAGGTGAGCGAAAGGAGGAGGCAGAATCCGGGCAGAGGGCAGGGAGAGGGCCTGTGGGGAAGGGACCTCAGTCCTGCTCCCACCCGCTCCCTGGAGAGCAGGCGGCCAGACACCCAGGTCAGTGCTCAGGGACCAGCTCTTGGCCCCTGCCCCTTGCAGGCGCTCGCATGTGGCTCCTCTCGGACCCCGTAGTCCCTGTCATATCCCTTCTCTCCAGCTGTCTCCATGCCTGCCTCGTACCCCTCCTATTTGCTCTCCCTTCCACTCTGTCTTGCCTTTCTCGTTGGGGTGAAAAAGTCTTACTCTCTTAAGTATCTTTCATCGCCTGAGTTTCACCTCATTGACCCTGTTTGTCTCCTCTCAGTGTTTCTCTGGCTCTCAGACCCTATCTCTATTGCGTTTGTGATTGTTTTGCTGTTTTACCCACTGCACCGTATGGGGGGTGGGGGTGTCGGGGAGGTGTGTCTTTCAGTCTTTGCATGTCTGTTTCTGCATATCCAATCCCACTATCCATTCCCCTTCCTGTGCCTTCTTTTCCCCCAAAGCCCGTTATCATCACCCAACCACCTGTATATTTCAATCCTTTCTCTTGTTTATCTATTCCTATGAAGGCAAGGATTTGGGGCTATTTTGTCTCCTGCTGTGTTTGCTAGGCCTAGCACCGTGATTGGCACATAAAGGGTACTGAATACTTACTGGGGAATAAATGATTGGATGTTTGCATGCCCGGGTCTCCGGCCCCCTCTGGGATGCTGGCCTCTGTCCCGCATCCTCAAGGTCTGCCCACACCTGTCTGAGCCTGTCTGTCTCTGATGCTCCTGTCTCACCTGCCACTGCCCCTCATTGTCTCCTCCTGTCCACAGCCCCTGCCCCTCCCTGCCCCTGCCATGGGGTCCTGAATTCTCACCCCTTCTCTCCTCCCTTCCCACAGAGGCCAGACCAGGAGCTGACCGGGAGCTGGGGCCACGGGCCTAGGAGCACCCTGGTCAGGGCTAAGGCCATGGCCCCGCCCCCACCGCCACTGGCTGCCAGCACCCCGCTCCTCCATGGCGAGTTTGGCTCCTACCCAGCCCGAGGCCCACGCTTTGCCCTCACCCTTACATCGCAGGCCCTGCACATACAGCGGCTGCGCCCCAAACCTGAAGCCAGGCCCCGGGGTGGCCTGGTCCCGTTGGCCGAGGTCTCAGGCTGCTGCACCCTGCGAAGCCGCAGCCCCTCAGACTCAGCGGCCTACTTCTGCATCTACACCTACCCTCGGGGCCGGCGCGGGGCCCGGCGCAGAGCCACTCGCACCTTCCGGGCAGATGGGGCCGCCACCTACGAAGAGAACCGTGCCGAGGCCCAGCGCTGGGCCACTGCCCTCACCTGTCTGCTCCGAGGACTGCCACTGCCCGGGGATGGGGGTGAGGTGCTGGGCAGCTGCTCTATCCTGGAGCCACCTTGGTGTCTCTGCAGAATTTCCTCCATAGGCAGCTGTGTCTTTATTTTTCTGTGTGTCTGGGTGATGTATCTCTCTGGATCCGTTAGGAGTGATACACAGGGATGGGCTACAGAAGGAACAAAAAGACAAGAGGACCGGATGTGGTGGCTCATGTCTGTAATCCTAGCAATTTGGGAGGCTGAGGCGGGTGGATCACCTGAGGTCAGGAGTTCGAGACCAGCCTGGCTAACATGGTGAAACCCCATGTCTACTAAAAATACAAAAAATTAGCCGGGTGTGGTGCTGCGCACCTGTAATCCCAGCTACAGGAGGGTGAGGCAGGAGAATCGCTTGAACCCAGGAGGCAGAGGTTGCAGTGAGCTGAGATCGTGCCATTGCACTCCAGCTTGGGCAACAAGAGCAAAACTCTGTCTCCAAAAAAAAAAAAAAAAAAAAAAAAAGCACAGGCAGAGGTCGCGTGCAGTGGCTCATGCCTATAATCCCAGCACTTTGGGAAGCCAAGGCAGGCAGATCACCTGAGGTCGGGAGTTCGAGACCAGCCTGGCCAACATGGCGAAACCCTGTCTCTATTAAAAATACAAAAATTAGCCGGGCATGGTGACGGATGCCTGTAATTCCAGCTACTCGGGAGGCTGAGGCAGGAGAATCACTTGAACCCGGGAGGCAGAGGCTGCAGTGAGCCGAGATTGCACCATTGCACTCCATCCTGGGCGACAAGACCGATACTCCATCACAAAAAGCAAAACAAAACAAAAACGCAGGCAGAGAAAAGTGATTTACATCTGCTGTTCTCTTGCTAGATTTATGTTTCTGTCTCCTATCCTCTTCCCCTTTGCATGGGTCTTGACCACAGGTGAGTCACCCAGGGTGGTGAGAGCAGCAGCCTGAGACAGGACCAGGTACCACCCAGAGTGATGGGTGCCAACAGAGGTCTAGGGCTTCCCTGGAGTTCAGAGGTGGCATCTAATCCTGCCTGGGGCCCCTAAGGGCTGGAAGTAACCTAATCCTGGGTAATAGGTGTTTGGGGTGAGGAAAGTGGGAACCACAGCTCTGAACTACAGCTCCTCCCACACATGGGGACAAAGGGCATTTGGTTTCACACCTAAGCCCTGCCTTTGTCTCAGCAGCTAGGAGTTGGGGCAGGGCTGCATACCTAGGCCTGGCCACATGAGAGCCAGCAGGTCCCAGGGGCCAGCCCTCCACCAATTCCGTTGGGGGCTGATGAAGGGACTGTTTCCAAGGTGGGGGGCCTGGGTCACTGGCCTCTGCAGACCCTAACCTCTCTCCACAGAGATCACCCCTGACCTGCTACCTCGGCCGCCCCGGTTGCTTCTATTGGTCAATCCCTTTGGGGGTCGGGGCCTGGCCTGGCAGTGGTGTAAGAACCACGTGCTTCCCATGATCTCTGAAGCTGGGCTGTCCTTCAACCTCATCCAGACAGGTAAGGGCCAGTGAGAATGGGAGCTGGGGGCTGGGACAGCTGAGTCCTAAGGGAGCAAAGTGGTGGGTGGGACTCCTGGGTCTATGGGGCTGGGGTGGGACAGCCTGCCTAACAGCCCGGTATCCCACTTCAGAACGACAGAACCACGCCCGGGAGCTGGTCCAGGGGCTGAGCCTGAGTGAGTGGGATGGCATCGTCACGGTCTCGGGAGACGGGCTGCTCCATGAGGTAGAGCAGGAGCACCCTGCCCCTAGCCCTGGGCCCTGGGGGACTATAGAGACTGCCACCAGGACCCAGGCTTCTGGTCTCCCACCCTCCAGGTGCTGAACGGGCTCCTAGATCGCCCTGACTGGGAGGAAGCTGTGAAGATGCCTGTGGGCATCCTCCCCTGCGGCTCGGGCAACGCGCTGGCCGGAGCAGTGAACCAGCACGGGGGGTAGGTTGAGGATACCACGAAGGGAGGGATGAGCCCCTCCTGGGGTGATAGGGACCCCTATATCTCCCACTCAGCCAAACCCACAGTCAGTCAAGTAAATCAGCCTGCCTGTGGGATGCTCACCCCCAGCTCCTGGACATTTTTGCCTGCCTGCTTCCCAGCTGTATCCCGAGCGCCCAGAACTCTGCCTGGCATGGGAGGCACTCAGTGAATTGTAGGGAGCAAATGAAAGATGACCAGGAACCTGGCCCCGTAAGGAGTCGCCTGGAGGTGGCCCCACGGCTGTGGTGGGCCTGGGCCATGGCCTTCGTGGTCTCATTGCCAGCTGCTTTCCTACCTGTCTCTTTCCCCAACCCCTGTTTGCTCCTTCCTTCTGTGTGTCCGTCCATCTCCGGCTGTGAAGATTTGAGCCAGCCCTGGGCCTCGACCTGTTGCTCAACTGCTCACTGTTGCTGTGCCGGGGTGGTGGCCACCCACTGGACCTGCTCTCCGTGACGCTGGCCTCGGGCTCCCGCTGTTTCTCCTTCCTGTCTGTGGCCTGGGGCTTCGTGTCAGATGTGGATATCCAGAGCGAGCGCTTCAGGGCCTTGGGCAGTGCCCGCTTCACACTGGGCACGGTGCTGGGCCTCGCCACACTGCACACCTACCGCGGACGCCTCTCCTACCTCCCCGCCACTGTGGAACCTGCCTCGCCCACCCCTGCCCATAGCCTGCCTCGTGCCAAGTCGGAGCTGACCCTAACCCCAGACCCAGCCCCGCCCATGGCCCACTCACCCCTGCATCGTTCTGTGTCTGACCTGCCTCTTCCCCTGCCCCAGCCTGCCCTGGCCTCTCCTGGCTCGCCAGAACCCCTGCCCATCCTGTCCCTCAACGGTGGGGGCCCAGAGCTGGCTGGGGACTGGGGTGGGGCTGGGGATGCTCCGCTGTCCCCGGACCCACTGCTGTCTTCACCTCCTGGCTCTCCCAAGGCAGCTCTACACTCACCCGTCTCCGAAGGGGCCCCCGTAATTCCCCCATCCTCTGGGCTCCCACTTCCCACCCCTGATGCCCGGGTAGGGGCCTCCACCTGCGGCCCGCCCGACCACCTGCTGCCTCCGCTGGGCACCCCGCTGCCCCCAGACTGGGTGACGCTGGAGGGGGACTTTGTGCTCATGTTGGCCATCTCGCCCAGCCACCTAGGCGCTGACCTGGTGGCAGCTCCGCATGCGCGCTTCGACGACGGCCTGGTGCACCTGTGCTGGGTGCGTAGCGGCATCTCGCGGGCTGCGCTGCTGCGCCTTTTCTTGGCCATGGAGCGTGGTAGCCACTTCAGCCTGGGCTGTCCGCAGCTGGGCTACGCCGCGGCCCGTGCCTTCCGCCTAGAGCCGCTCACACCACGCGGCGTGCTCACAGTGGACGGGGAGCAGGTGGAGTATGGGCCGCTACAGGCACAGATGCACCCTGGCATCGGTACACTGCTCACTGGGCCTCCTGGCTGCCCGGGGCGGGAGCCCTGAAACTAAACAAGCTTGGTACCCGCCGGGGGCGGGGCCTACATTCCAATGGGGCGGAGCCTGAGCTAGGGGGTGTGGCCTGGCTGCTAGAGTTGTGGTGGCAGGGGCCCTGGCCCCGTCTCAGGATTGCGCTCGCTTTCATGGGACCAGACGTGATGCTGGAAGGTGGGCGTCGTCACGGTTAAAGAGAAATGGGCTCGTCCCGAGGGTAGTGCCTGATCAATGAGGGCGGGGCCTGGCGTCTGATCTGGGGCCGCCCTTACGGGGCAGGGCTCAGTCCTGACGCTTGCCACCTGCTCCTACCCGGCCAGGATGGCTGAGGGCGGAGTCTATTTTACGCGTCGCCCAATGACAGGACCTGGAATGTACTGGCTGGGGTAGGCCTCAGTGAGTCGGCCGGTCAGGGCCCGCAGCCTCGCCCCATCCACTCCGGTGCCTCCATTTAGCTGGCCAATCAGCCCAGGAGGGGCAGGTTCCCCGGGGCCGGCGCTAGGATTTGCACTAATGTTCCTCTCCCCGCGGGTGGGGGCGGGGAAATTCATATCCCCTGTTCGTCTCATGCGCGTCCTCCGTCCCCAATCTAAAAAGCAATTGAAAAGGTCTATGCAATAAAGGCAGTCGCTTCATTCCTCTCAGACCTTCTGCCCTTCCTCCATCCGACAGCCCGCGGGAGGACTCAGACTCCAGCACTTCCAGCAGCGCCTGCCCTCTATGGACGACAGCCCGGAGCTGCCCACGGGCTGCAGCCAGTATGCCAGGGAGCTGCCCTCTTCTTCCACAACAGCTGGCTCTGGGGTTCTCAAGATTTATTCAGGATCGTGTTAACGGAGGCGGTGGGAGGATAGGGTCCCTGACGTGCCGGGGACACACACAGAGAACCCTCCCCGCCCCCGCAAGGGAGGGGGGAGGCTCGCTTTTTCTTAAAAATATAAATGTATTTATCTGCATTATCACGTCCCTGGGGCACCCAGCTGGCCGGCCCGTGGGCCACAGGGCAGGAAGGGAACAGGGCGTAAGTCTCAGCAAGGCGGAGGAGAGCTCCGCCAGGTGGGGATGTGGGGCAGCCTCACAGGGCCCCGTGCTGGGCCTGGTATCGGGACAGCACGGCGCGGTAGTGGGACAGCTCCTGGCGCACGGCCACAACTTCCTGCCGCAGCAGGGCGTTCTCCTTCTCCAGGAAGGCCGCCCGCACCGATATCTGGTTCTCCTTGAGCCGCCGGGCGTCACGGGACCGCTTGGCTGCCTCGTTGTTCTTGTACCGCCGGCTCCAGTATTTCTCATCCTGCAGGAGAAGAGGGGGAGAGCACTGAGGTCCAGAGGGACCCAGGTCCCAGCGAGAGAGGAAGGGAGCCCCAGCAGCGGGGCCTAAACCACACCAGGTCTCTGCTGGGATAGGTACCCAAGGGTCTGCCTTTCTAGGGCCCTGGTTGCTAAGGAGATTGGGCCCCTAGCAACAGTAAAGGCATGAGATAGACCCCCCACCCTCAAGCAACTCGCTTCAAGTCTCCACTCTGCAAAGCGGACCCCAGCCCTCCCCACATGATAAAGGCCTGCATGCAGTTAGCTCTTGCTTGCTAAGGATGCTTGTTCCCTAGCAACAAGGCCTTCATGGTCTGAGGGCTTCTCCCAATGAAGAGCACTGCCCTGCCCTGCACATTGCCTTTCCAGATCCTGGTTGCTAAGGAAAGCTTGGTGCCCTGGTGATGGGGTTTGGTGTCCCATAAAATCCTCGCAGAGCTGGGGCCTTCTGACCTGGTTGCCAAGGCAACCTCATCCATCCTTGGCAAACAAAAGTGAGGTCTAAGTGGTTTCAATGACTGTGGCCAGCCTCTGACCTGCTGGCCTTGAACTGAGGCCAGAGAATAGCCTCCTCCCCAGTAGGACCTGACTGAGAGAAGAGCTGTCTCTTAGGAAAGGGGACTATCCTGAGACCTCCCCAGAGGATTATACCTAAAGTCCTCCCATCCTGGAAGTTGGTTCCTAAGGAAGACTCCTCCTTAGTAACCAAGGACCACGGGGCTCAGAAAGATGCTCTCTACTCCACTATTTAATTAAAGCCCAGTTCCTGCTTGTGAGGGTAAATCCAGTCCCTAGCAACAGGGCCCTCTAGAAGGAGAAACCACTGGTGTAGATCTGACTTCCAGGCCAGTCCTAGGTGCTTCAAGTAGCTATGTGTTACGCAAGGGTATGGCAAAGTCTTGTTTGTTTTTGAGATGGAGTCTCGCTCTGTCGTTCAGGCTGGAATGCAGTGGCATGATCTCGGCTCATTGCAACCTCCACCTCCCAGGTTCAAGCGATTCTCCTGCCTCAGCCTCCCAAGTAGCTGGGATTATAGGTGCCCGCTACCATGTCCGGCTAATTTTTGTTCTTTTTTTTTTTTTTTGAGATGGAGTTCTCACTCTGTCGCCCAGGCTGGAGTGCAGTGGCGCGATCTCGGCTCACTGCAACCTCCGTCTCCTGGGTTCAAGCGATTTTCCTACATTAGCCTCCCAAGTAGCTGGGACTACAGATGAGTGCCACCATGCCCAGCTAATTTTTGTATTTTTTTGTAGAGACGGGGTTTCACCATGTTGGCCAGGATGGTCTCCTGATCTCGTGATCTGTCCGCCTCGGCCTCCCAAAGTGCTGTGATTACAGGTGTGAGACACCACACCCGGAACATTTTTGTACTTTTAGTAGAGGCGAGGTTTCACCATGTTGGCCAGGCTGGTCTCAAACTCCTGACCTCAAGTGATCCGCCCACCTCAGCCTCCTAAAGTGCTAGGATTACAGGCGTGAGCCAACGCGCCTGGCCCGGAATGACAAAGTCTTGTAACAGAAGCCCAAGCAACTCTTGCTAGGGAAGACTCCAGTAATGGCAAAAAACAAAATCATGCAAAGATGCAATGACTGCTCAAATCACCCCAAATCAGAAAGTGGCACTGGCTGCTAACAGAAGCCTGAAGTCTCCCACCAGTGAGAAGTCCAGGCCCAGGAAACAAGGCCTAAAGGGGCTGGCACAGTCTTCATCCTAGCCAAATGCAATCACTCCAAAGGAAGTCCCACATCAGAGATCAAAGGCCTGCTGAGTAAGGAGAGACAGGCCACAGGCTGATATCCCATTGCCAAAGGAAGACTGTCCTTTGCAAGTGTGCCTGGTGGAGCTCTGGACCCAAGTAATAGGAGAAGCTCCAAGTCTCTACAAGTAGACCTAGCAGAGCTGGCTGAGTCAGCACCCCACAGTGACACTGTCTTTTGTTTTAAGACAAGGTCTCCCTCTGTTGCCCAGGCTGGAGTGCAGTGGTGTAATCTTGGCTCACTGCAGCCTCAATCTCCCAGGCACAAGCAGTCCTCCCACCTCAGCCTCCCAAGTGGCTTGTAGAAATGGGGTTTTGCCATGTTGCCCAGGCTGGTCTTGAACTCCCGAGCTCAAGAGATCCTCCTGCCTCAGCCCCCTAAAATGCTGGGATTACACGAGTGAGGCCCCTCGCCCAGTTGACACTGTCTTTATAAACCTCAGGCCCCTGCCCCCTTGTGCCCCGTGGCCAAGGAGGACTAATCTGTGGCTGCAGGCCAGGAGAGGCTGAGCACTAATCCCAAGGAGAAGCCCAGGCTTGACTGTGAGAAAAGGCCCCTCCCTGGCTGTGGGGCATGTCTCCAGCCAAGTCTATCTCCCACATCCAGCTCTGCTCACCTTCTGCTCCTCCGGCACCTGGATTTTTCTTGCCTTCTTCATGATTGGCTGGGGCTTAAGTTCCTCTTCTGAGAAGCGATGTCTTCGAGGGTCAAAGGTCTCGTGGCCAGGAATGCTTGATAGGGCAAGATCAGCTGGGTCGGGTTCAAAGGTCATCAACACCTCCACGGTGTCTGGGTCCACAGGGCTGGGTGTGTCCCGAGAGGTCAGGCCTTGGGGAAACAGCACGTGTCAGCTGAGTGTGTATTTTAAGGAGGGGGTTTCCTGAAGCTACTTTTTGCTGTGGTATCATAGCCACATGGAAAGTCCTTCTGGGATCTAGCATAAATTCGGCCAGGGATTAATCTCCCTAATATAAAATATGAAGGTTCCCTTGGCCAGGCGCAGTGGCTCACGCCTGTAACCCCAGCAGTTTGGGAAGCCGAGGCGGCGAATCACCTTTAGTCAGGAGTTCAAGACCAGCATGGCCAACATGGAGAAACCTCATCTTTACTAAAAGTACGAAAATTGCCCAGGTGTAGTGGCGGGTGCCGGTAAGCCCAGCTACTAGGGAGGCTGAGGCTGGAGAATTGCTTGAACCCGGACCCTGGAGGTGGAGGTTGCAGTGAGCTGAGATCATACCACTGCACTCCAGCCCGGACAACAGAGCGAGACTCCGTCTCCAAAATAACGAGAAAAATGAAGGTTCCCCTAAGCCATAAAGATGCTTAGAGATCATGGAGCCATATCCACCTTTACAAACAAGGAAACTGAGTCCCAGTCATAACTGACTTGCCCTAGGTAACACACGAATCAGGGCTATTGCTTCTACACTTGATCTTAGCCAAAAGGCCGAGAAGCGATGGGGCTATTGCTTCTAAAACCTCAGGACTTCAGATGCACAGTCTAGCCTGAATCCTACTTACCGAATCCACGACCTAAGCTTAGACCCCAGACTGTCCAGAGAAAAAGAATCTACTGCACTGAAAAGCTCTCAAGTTAGAGTCTAAGAGCTACTCGCTGGAAAGAGGAGGAGAAGCTGCTCTAAGGTTCCAGAAGATTGGTTCGAAAGGAGGCGCCTGTACCTTTAAGCACCAGCCAGCCGGGGCCAGCTAAGGACACAGGTTCAGGGCCGAGTCACGTGCTGACGCCTGCTTCCCTCCTCCTCCCTTCCTCCCAGGCCCCCGCCATCGGCGCCCTCACGTTCCCCCGGCCCCGCCCCCCTCGCGCTTGAAGGCGCCTGCGCGAAGCGCGGAGGAGGGATGGGAGGACTCACGTGGCGCAGGAATGTGCCGCTGGGAAGGGTAGGGCCCTGGTTCGGCCCGGAGGTCGGACCTGGAGCAGGTGTGCCCAGGAATCCCCGACCTGCAGTCCGTCCCTGGAGACCTCAATGTGCCCAAAGGGAAACATCTTTCCTCTTGCTCTTCCAGTCACTTAGTTCCACTCAACCTCCAAAGATTCCCAACCCCCTGCTCTCCGGGGAGCATCGGCCTCCTGGACCTTCCCAGAACCCCCGCCACTGGGCTACCACGATTCTGGGATCCCAGGCCTCTCCTAGGAATATAGGAAGCTTGGCCCCAGCCCCAATTGGAGGATCCAGAAACAACATCCCTAACGTTTTCCCTTCTGAAGAACTCTGGGACCCGGGGCTGCAGCACGCCCCACTGGGGGACCCAGGGACCTGGGCTGCCAGTCTCTTATGTCCTGGGTAAACAGAATTCTGTGCCTCTCCTTTGCCTTTGCCCCTGTAAAGGACCTAGGGGCTCCAGTCCTATCCCAGTTCCATCGATTATGGGCCCAGATTCGGGGGTCAGTCCACTCCCCAGTAAATAACTCTGGTGTTCCGGACTTCCAGTTCTGGCTTCACGAGTATCCACATCGTTTGTCCCCAAGTCCCACAGAAAAACCCACAAAATCTCATTGGGCAGGCTTCCTGGAATTTAGGGTTCCAAGTCTCTCCTCCCCCATGGATCCATTGGTCCCTGACCCATTAAGAGACACCGAATCTGGCCCCCTCCCACGACACCTCTCGACAACTGGACACAGAATTCGAGGCCGCAGCCAGGTCCCACGGTCCCAGCCCCCAGCGTCGCACAGCCCCGCCCCCTGAGTCCAAGCCCCGCCCCGTCAGGACCCGCCCCGCCCCCTTCGCCGCACCTGCGCGGTGGCCGCTGGCGGTCCCGAGGGCAGCCCGGGCGGGGGCGTGCCCAGGAGAGGAGCGGGGGGAAGCCGAGCCGCACGAACCCGGCCCTGGGGAGGGTGCGGGCGTCCGCGCGGGCGACGGCTCCGGCGACGGGCCACCGGGGGGCGGCGGGCTGGGCGGGAGCCCGTGCTCCAGCAGGAAGGCGTCCAGGTCTACGTACTCCACATCGCCGAACGGCAGCGTGCGCTCCCACAGCAGTGGCGCCAACAGACCCGGGGCGGGCACCGGCCCCGGGCGCCCCCGCGGGGACCCTCCGCCCACCACTGCCCCAGCCGGGGCATCCGCCGGGCCCGCAGTCTCCAGGCCTGGCCCAGGGGTTGTGGCTGCAGGCAGGGCCGCCTTGCGCTCCTTTTCCTTCAGGAGACCTGCGGGCCGGGAAAGACGGGTTGGGATGAGGGTGAGGTGGGGGAGATAGAGATGGAGAAGAGACCCCGAGTCCGAGAGGCACAGGGCGGAGATCCAGAGAAAGAGGGGACGGGGGGTCGGAGAGGAGAGACGGGAGAAAAAGGGACGGAGACGCAGAGTGGGAGAGAGACCCAGAAAGAATGGAGACGGGGGTGGCAGAGACAGGTGGACAGATTCACAGAGATGGGGACAGAATGCCGGGAAGGAATAGACACACAGAAAGACAGCGAACCAGAGAAAGAGAGACGGAAGTTCAGGAATAGGGGGGCAGGGACAGGGTAGGTGGAGGGTTGGGCAGGTGAGAGAAAAAATGACAGCTCTGTAATTTCACTGTAATTACCCAACCCCCATCCCCTGCGCGCTGTACCCCCTTCCCCTCCCCCACCATCTGTAAGGGGCAGGAAGGGGCTCTATTCCTGGGGCACATCCCTCATCCCTAGACTCCATGTGACCCCATGACGCCCCGCCCAAGCCCGTGTCACCACCGTGTGAGCACCCGACACACCCCCTCCCTGGGACCCCAGGGGTCCAGACTCCCGGACCAAAAGGAAGAGGAGGCTGGGGCCTACACTCTTGTGAACTAAGCGGGGAGGACGTTGGGGACGTTGGTGCCTGGGTCCTTAGGGTGGACGGGCTTCAGAGCCGGCGCTTTTGGGTCCTGGGCGCTAAGGGATCTAGGGGCCTAAACACCTGAGTAATTGAGTAGATTAAGGTTGGGAAGATGGACTCCCCGCACGCAGGTTTCTATGGGACCCCACCCCACGGCACCTGAGTCCCTAAGGGGGTAGGGTGTCCGAAGTGGGTGAGATGGGGGTTAGAACTCACAGCTGGCCGGCTCTTTGGGCTTGCTGGTCCCCTGCAGAAGGCTCCGCAACCCAAGCAGCGCTCCCCCGCCAGGGGGTGTCCCGGCCGGGCCGCCCAGCAGCAGAGGGGCCGGGGTCCTGTCGCTCACAGGCCGCGCCATCGCCTGGCACCTGCCCCCAGGCTCACGGGTTCATGGAGAGGCGAAGGGCTGGCCTGCCAGTCACCAGCACACTCCAGTGGTTTGGACGAGTGTCTGCCCAGGGGCGGGCGAGTGTAGCCTGCAACCCTCCAGTATCCAGAACGCTGCAAATCCTAGGAGCGACGGGGATTTGAGGTCCTCGGTGCAGAAACGTGCAACTCAAGAGGGTCCCGGGAGATCATGCAATCTGGGCGAGGGGGTGTCCAGATCAAGCGGTCGGCTCTTTGCAACCGAGGGTGAGAGGGGACTCAAGGCGCTCCTTCTACAAGGTGGGCGAGCCTGGCTCTTGCAAAATCTGCAGCTCTCGCAACGGAAGGCGCTTTGCAATCTGCACCGAGAGGTGTGCGCGGAGGGGCGGAGGAGGGGGCAGGAGGAGGCGGCCGCCTTGAGGCGTGGCCAAAGCAAACTTCTTTCGCGGAAAAAAAAATCCAAACCAAAACACCCGACGCCACAGCGCGCGCCCCTCCTCCGGGTCCCCGCCCGGCGCGTCCAGCCCCGCCAGCCTCTATGGGCATGCAACCCAGCCGCGTGCCTCCCTCCGGCTGCAAACACGGACCAATCGTCTCCGACACCTTGAGACGCACAGCCAATGGGGCCTCTGGGTCCGCCAGGGCCCAGGAGGGCGCGTGAGGGGCTCAGCGCGT
This sequence comes from Homo sapiens, assembly GCF_000001405.40. Lineage (NCBI taxonomy): Eukaryota > Metazoa > Chordata > Mammalia > Primates > Hominidae > Homo > Homo sapiens. The sequence continues at coordinate 48,637,678 of NC_000019.10, forward strand.
GAAGTTGCCTTGCCTTTCGGTGGGAGGCGGGACACTGACCTACATTTGCCCAATGGGAGGCGGTACTGGGGGGCGGGACCGTGACCCAGTTTGGGCCAATGAGGCAGGCGGGAGGGGGAAGCACATGGCTCTGCTCGTGCTGCCTGATGGCGAGGGGGGTGATGGGGGGAAAAGGGGCGCCGCTTAAAGGGGCCGCGGTCCTAAAGATGGTTTTGAGAAGCAGGAAGCCAAAATACCGAGAGCGGAGGTTTAGAAAGAGGAAGATTGGTTTCCGGAAGAAGTCTGTTCTTTAATACCCAAATGTTTCCCCACCGCGCCTAGAATCAGACCACTGAGAAAACAGGAAGTATTCTGTCCCTTTAATAGCTTTGTTTTAGGGGTAACTCCCCTCGCCTTGTGGGGAGGCTTAGGACGGGCGGGTGCAATCCTCGAAGGGGAGTCTCAGCGACCATGGGGGACACCATCCACTGTAAGACAGAGAACAACGGCAGGGGGCGTCAGTATAGGATGGAAGGGGCGGGGGGTGTGCAGGGGGCGTGGGCTGCGCCGCGCTGGGCCCTACCGTCGGAAGTCTGCGAGCGGGGAACCAGAATGTACTAGGTCGAGAAGCACTGGGCTGAACCACAAGAAGCCAATAGGAGGGGGGAATCGGGACGTCCAGATTCAGCAGTAGGCTGAACTACTTGAAGGTCTTCATGGGGGGGGGGGGGTGTGGACTGTACCATGTTGCGAAGCCGGGGGTGTGTGAGATTCCTGGGCTAAACCACAGGGAGGCAGAGGTGGAGGGAAGGGGTTGTACCTTGTAGATTCTCAGTAAGGGGGAAGGGAGCATCAGATTGTGGAACAGCGTAAGGTAGTACGACTTGGAAAGGGAGAGAGGATCCAAATTGTACCATTTTGGAAATTCACAGTAATAGGAAGCACAGAACAGTAGGTAATTGGACCATAGGAAGGCAGGGGTCAAGGGTTATAGACCAAGTTACAAAGCAGTGAAGAGGAAAGACAAATCGTGGGCTAGCAATGGCCTAGGGCTGGCAGGTGGACTGTACCACATAGACATGTAGGGAAAGAGAGAAAAAGAGACAGCTCACGAGGCTAGACCATATAGACGCAGGAAGGAGGATGGGACTGAATCACACTGAGACACCAAGGGGAGACACATATAAGAGGGTTAGCCCAAGACTTAGAGGGGGTGCAGACTGGACCATACCATGCAGGCGGTAGTTGGGGCCTCGGCAGCGCCTCTCGGGGTGCCGGGGGTCCCTGTTGCCCCTCAGTGCCCTGTGGGCCAAGGGCTGCAGGGGCCGGCTGTTACCGCTGAGGCTCTGGAAGATCTGAGATGGAGGATTCTGGCTCAGGAGTCTCAGGGAGTGCATCTGCAGTGGAAGGAGGGTGGGAAACTGGGAGTGAATAGTGAATGGTCTTGGTGACGTCACGCAGGAAACCCCGCCCCTGGGAGCAGGTGGGCGGGGTCTGTTCTCAGCCCCACCCACCCCCAAGGTGGTCTGACCCTCTTACCTACTTGAGTTCAGTCTATGAGGAGAGGGAGGGCAGGTGAGCAAGGGGATGCCCAGGCCAGTGAGTGGAGTACCCAGGCCTAGGAAGGGCGGTGCGGACAGAGGGTCACCTGAAGGGAGGTGATATTGAGGGCCCGGTCAATGAGGATCCAGGTGACAGTCTCGGAGCAGGGCGGGGTGCTGAGAGAGCCCTGATAGGTGATGAAGCCGAAGGATTCAGGGAACAGGAGCTCCAGGCTCAGGTCTTGAAGAAAGTAGGCATCATCTGCGGGAATATCAGGCCAGAGTAAAGAGGGATGGCACTCTTGAACCCCCTCGTGTGTGACCACTGCCCCCAGCACGCCAGGGACTTACTCTTGTAGGAGATGCGAGTGATGGTGTCGCGGTTAAGGAGGCGACTGAGGAATGGGTTAGAGGTACTGGCAACCTGTGTGGGGGTACGAGGTGAGGACACAGGAGCCCAGAAGTCCAAGCCCTCAACCTTCTCCTCCCCCAGGACCCAGGAGTCTGGGCCTCCCAGCACCCCGCTTCCCTCAGACCCCGGGTTCCAGGCACCCAACTGCTCCCTCCCTCTGAATCTCGCCTCCGCTCACGTTGACAAAGAGGCTGAGAATGGCCAGGCCATTGGGGCCGCGGGAGGCAGCGCTGAAATTCCCGTAGAGTTCCTGGTTGAAGTGAATGAGCTGCACCTGGGGGTAGCACAGAGCATGGGGTCCCCCAGCAGAAGGGGAGGAGAGCATGACCCCAGCTTTGGGGGCCCGAATCAGGCTGAGGATTAGTGCTTAGGGTGGGAGGCCAGTTCTGTGGAGGAGGATGGGGTGAGACACTAAGAGGGTGAGGTGGGAGGAATTGGGGTGACTCAGGGCGGAGGGTGGCGGGTAAACAATCAGTGGCCACTACCTCAGCAGAGAAGCCCTGGTGGTTGATCTGATGTTCCGAGCCGGCTCCGTCGCGAGCTCCAAACAGCAGCCGCAGTTCACTGAGTCGGTGGCTGTAAAGGAGGGGACCTCCAGACACATTGACCACAGGTCGGGGTGCAGGCAGGAAGGAGACATGTCGGCCGGTGTTGTACAAGGTTCCCCGGAGCTGTGGGAGAGGCGGGAGCTGTCAGGGGGCAGGGAGAGATCTTTTATCTCTCGTTTCCCACGCCTACATTTTCTGATTCCAACAGTCTTTTTTTTTTTTTTTTTTTTTTTTGAAACGGAGTCTCGCTCTTGTTGCCCAGGCTGGAGTGCAGTGGCGTGATCTCGGCTCACCGCAACCTCCGCCTCCCGGGTTCAAGCGATTCTCCTGCCTCAGCCTTCCGAGTAGCTGGGATTACAGGCATGCGCCACCATGCCCGGCTAATTTTTTATTTTTAGTAGAGACAGGGTTTCTCCACGTTGGTCAGGCTGGTCTCAAACTCCCGACCTCTGGTGATCCACCCGCCTCAGCCTCCCAAAGTGCTGGGATTACAGGCGTGAGCCACCGCACCCGGTCTTTTTTTTTTTTCTGGGGGGAGACGGAGTCTCGCTCTGTCGCCCGGGTTGGAGTGCAGTGGCGAGAGCTCCGCTCACTGCAAGCTCCGCCTCCCGGGTTCACGCCATTCTCCTGCCTCAGCCTCCAGAGTGGCTGGGACTACAGGCGCCCGCCACCACACCCGGCTAATTTTTTGTATTTTTAATAGAGACGGGGTTTCACCGTGTTAACCAGGATGGTCTGGATCTCCGGACCTCGTGATCCGCCCGCCTCAGCCTCCCAAAGTGCTGGGATTACAGGCATGAGCCACCGCGCCCGGCTTTTTGTTTTTGTTTTTTTTTTTTTTAAATAGAATCTCACTCTGCTGCCGAGGCTGGAGTGCAGTGGTGAGATCTCGCCTCACTGCAACCTCTGACTCCTGGGTTCAAGCGATTCTCCTCCCTCAGGCTCCCGAGTAGCTGGGACTACAGGTGTGTGCCACCACACCCAGCCAATTTTTGTATTTTTAGTAGAGACAGGGTTTCACTGTGTTGGCCAGGCTGGTCTCAAACTCCTGACCTCAGGTGTTCTGCCCACCTTGGCCTCCCAAAGTGCTGGGGTTACAGGCGTGAGCCACCGTGCCTGGCCTCCAACAGTAATTTAATCATTCAACATAATTTGAACACTGACCACTTTCCAGGCTCTGTGCCAGTTTGTAAGTTGGTGCCCAATATTGGTGAATTTGTTTGATTAACAAATATTGACTGAGCTGGTGCTATGTGCCGTGGATGCAAGAATAGAGCAATAAACAAGTAGACAAAAGTCCTGGGCCTTATGGAGTTTATGTTCTAATGAAGGCAAGACAGACAATTGTGAATCACATAAGTAACTGCTTAATTAACTACATCCTGAGCTCATGTTTGGGGGAACTGGGAGCTCTGAGGTGTCATGGGGAGCTCAGCTTAGATGGGGGATGTCAGGAAAAGCTTCCCTGCAAAGGTGACATTTTATTTTTATTTATTTATTATTTTGAGACAAAGTCTCATTCTGGCACCCAGGCTAGATTGCAGTGGTGCCATCACAGCTCACTGCAGCCTCAAACTCTTGGGCTCAAACGATCCTCCTGCCTCAGCCTCTCAAGTAGCTGGGACCACAGTCACATACCACCATGCCCAACTAATTTTCAATTTTCTTTTTTTTTTTTTTTTTTTTTTGGTAGAGAGGGTTCTCCCTATGTTGCCCAGGCTGGTCTTAAATTCCTGGGCTCAAGTCATCATCCTGCCTTAGCCTCTGAAAAATACTGGAATTACACGCATGAAGCACTGCACCTGGCCAAAGGTGACATTTTAATGGGGACCTGAAGGATAAGCAGGGGTGACTTGCAAAAGAACAAAGAGAAGGGCATTCCAAGAAGAGGGAACAGCAAGTGCAAAGGCCCTGAGGTGGCCTGTTTGAGTAACAGCAAAGAGACTTCATCAAAGTCCAGTGAACAGAGGAGAGAGAGGTTATGGGGGCTGAATGGTGCAGGACCTTGTGGAAAACAGTAGAGAGTTTTGTATTTTTATTTAAATAAACTGCATATATAGGCTGGATGTGGTGGCTCACGCCTGTAATCCCAGCACTTCGGGAAGCTGAGGTGGGCAGATCACCAGAGGTCAGGAGTTTGAGACCAGCCTGGCCAACATGGTGAAACCCCATCTCTACTAAAAATACAAAAACCAGCTGGGTGTGGCGGTGGGCGCCTGTAATCCCAGCTACTTGGGAGGCTGAGGCAGGAGAATCGCTTGATCCTAGGAGGCGGAGGTTGCAGTGATCTGAGATCATTCCATTACACTCCAGCCTGGGCGACAGAGCGAGACTCCGACTCAAAAAATAAAATAAAATAAAAATAAATAAACTGCATATATATAACACATTTGCCAGAATGCCAAACATATAGTAAGTGCTATGTAAATGTTTGCTGTTATTACATATCCTAATAGGAGGATTTTGAGCAGGAGTGATATGATCTTATTTGTGTTTTAAACATCTCTCTAGCTGTGGGGTGAATAGATTGCAGGAAGTTGAGAGGCAGGCCAGTGAGGAGGGTACGCCACCAGTCCAGGTGGGAGATGATGGTGCCTACATGAGACTGGGGGCAGTAGAGGGCGTGATAGGTGAAAGGATTTGAATAATATTTAGCAGCAAGGCTAGAAAGAACATGGATTGGAAATGGACATGAGGGAGAGAGGATAGGATGGGGAATGGCTTTGAGGCTTTTGGCTGGGGCAGCTAAATGAAAGGCAGTGCCGGCTCTTATAAGAAATGGTATTGGCCAGGCGCGGTGGATCACAGCTGTAATTCCAGTACCTTGGGAAGCCAAGGCAAGGAGGATCACTTGAACCCAGGAGTTCGACATCAGCCTGGACAACATAGTGAGACCCCACCTCTACAAAAAACTTAAAAAGTTAGCCAAGCATACTGGCATGTGCCTGCAGTCCTGGCTTCTTCCTTCCTTTCCTTCCTTCCCTTCCTTCCTTCCTTCTCTCTTTCTCTCTTTCTTTCTCGCTCTCTCTCTTTCTTTTCTCTCCCTCTCTCTCTGTATTTATTTCTTTCTGAGATGGAGTCTTGTTCTGTCACCCAGGCTGGAGTCCAGTGGCGTGATGTCAGCTCACTGCAACCTCCGCCTCCCGGGTTCAAGCAATTCTCCTGCCTCAGCCTCTCAAGTAGCTGGGATTACAGGCACATGCCACCACACCCGGCTAATTTTTGTATTTTTAGTAGAGATGGGGTTTCACCATGTTGGCCAGGCTGATCTCGAACTCCTAACCTCGTGATCCACCCACCTCGGCCTCCCGAAGTGCTGGGGTTACAGGCATGAACCACCACACCCAGGCATGTCCTAGCTATTTTTGAGGCTGAGGTAGGAAGATCACTTGGGCCCAGGAATTTGAGGTTACAGTGAGCTATGACTGGGCCACTGCACTCCAGCCTGGGTCACAGAGTGAGATCCCAATTCCAAAAAAAAAAAAAAAAAGTATGGTTCCCAGCATGGTACTATAAAGCAGGTCCCAGCATTCATGCTACGCTGCTTGGTTTGAATGCCAGTGCTGGCTCTCTGTGTGATCCTAGGCAAGTAACTTAACCTCTGTGTGTCAGTTTCTGCATGTATATAATAAGGTTAATAATTGTACCCATTTTGGCTGGACGCAGTGGCTCATGCCTGTAATCCTAGCACTTTGGGAGGCCGAGGCAGGTGGATCACCTGAGGTCAGGAGTTCAAGACCAGCCTGACCAAAATGGAGAAAACCCATCTCTGCTAAAAATACAAAAAATTAGCTGGGCGTGATGGTGCGCATGCCTGTAATCCCAACTACTCGGGAGGCTGGGGCAGGAGAATCGCTTGAACCTGGGAGGTGGAGGTTGCAGTGAGCTGAGATCACATCATTGCACTCCAGCCTGGGCAACAAGAGCAAAACTCCATCTCAAAATAATAATAATAATAATAACAATAATAATAATTGTACCCATTTTGTGGGGTGGTTATGAGATGAGAGGCTTATCAAGGTTTTAAATCTGCCTGGCACAGGAAATGTTCTGCTTTTCATTGCTTCTGCAGAGATGGGGAGACTAGGGGACCATGCTTGGGATGGGAAGAATGGGTGATCCATTTTACAGTGTAAGCAGCCTCCTCTCCACCCACTGGGTGTCCCCTCCTCCCCCAAGGCTGCTCTCCTACCTCAGCACCCCATTCCCCAGCCTCTATTCATGCCCATCCCCAGTGGGTTCAATAGCTCCTCCCTCCAAGCCCCTTACCTTCTCTCCTCCAGTGCTGAGCCTTAATGGGGGCAGAAAGGGGTCATAAAGAACCCTCTTCAGCTCCACATCCACGGGGCTCTGCCGCTTCCCCACAGCACACAGACTCCACGCTGCATTCACCAGGCCCCAGAAAGGAGGCCCTGGGGGTGGGGTCGGAGTAGGAGGACAAGGAGTCAGAAATAGAGACTGGATCCCAGGGCTGGTATCTGCTGAGTGGGCTGTGGTCTGGACTCCCAGATCCCAGGGGAGGAGGGGCTAGGGACCTAGACTCCTGGGTCTGAGGGAGGACTGGGCTCAGATCCAGAATTCTGGGTCCTAGAAGAATCTTGGAATAGTTTCCAAGTTTAGCAGAGACGGGTTTCACCAAGTTGGCCAGGCTGGTCTTGAACTCCTGACCACAGGTAATCCACCCACCTCGGCCTCCTAAAGTGCTGGGATTTCAAGCGTGAGCCACCGCGCCCAGCCGATCAAACCCATCTTAAGCCACTGTAGATGGAACTACAACTCCCAGCAGGCCCCAGTGCTACCAGCCTACCCCTCTGCTGCCTACCTGCCCCAGAGCCCCGTGGGAGTTGTAGTTCTTTTTTTTAATCGCTCTTATCCCACAGCTGGATTATTATTAATGTGTTGGGGAGAGGAGCTGCAAGAGAAGGCTGGACAAGGTGGGGGACGGGGCCACCCAGCCTCTGGTTCCTAGCAGGAGCCAGGACCTTCCTCTCCCGGCAAACACACACATAATCTCCACCCCCACACTTTCCTTCCACTCACTCCCACTCACTACTTGAAATGCGCATGTATAATGTCCCATGGTGAGCCCCTGGGGTTCAGAAGCTGGCCCGACTCCTGAGGGACAGAGGAGGGGGCTGGGACTCCTGGTCCTGGGGGGGAGGAGGGAGCTGGGAACCCAGGTTCCTGAGTCTGAAGAAGGAGGCGCCGGGAGGGCCGGACTCCTGGGTCCCCGCCTTGGCGGCACCTGGCACGAAGTTTCCCTGGAGATTATCCTTGTAGCTCCACCAGTCCTCGGGGTCAGGTGCTGGTCCGATGTGAGCTGGGAAGAGAGCAGCCTGAATCCCTCTCCTTGGCATCCCCACCTCCACCCTCCCTCGGGGGCTCCTCCCGGGAACCCCAGGTCTTACCTGCTGCCCCCAGTGCAGCCCAGAGTACCAGCGCTCGAGGGGCGCTCAGACGAGCTGCAGCCCCCATCCCCAGGAGGCCTCCGAGGGACCCCTGCCCAACGCCCTGCCCCCCTCTCTCAGCTCCTCTGTCCCCTCCTTCTGGGACCCTGTCCCTCCAGGACTTCCAGCTTTCCTCTCCTCCCCACAGGGAGTCCCAGTTCCCCAAATGCCAAAGCAGCCAGGGACTGAGATCCGCCCTTCAAACCCACTCTTCTTCTCTCTCCCGTCTCTCTGTGTCTTTCCTCTTTCCTCTGCTCTTTTCCCGGAACCCTCCAGTCTCCCTCTAGCTCCTGATCTTCCTACTCCTCTCAGCCTTCTGCTGCCCCCAGGGCTACCTCTTGGTTCCTAACCCACACCTCCTCTCCGTTCTCTTTTCATTAAGCTCTCCCAAGCCACCTAACTCCAGGTCTCCATCCCGCATCTCCTCCTCCTCCTCCCTCTCTCCTTTCCAGCTCCTGCCTCTTCTCCCCTCTCTCCTTCTTCACCTCCTCCCGCCCTCCCTCAGTGTCGGCCTCCAGCTTCGTGCTCTCCCCACCTCCTCCTCTCCTGCCTCTTCTCCCTGTTTCAGTCTCTCTTCTCTCTTGTCCCTTCCTCCCTCCTCCCCCTCCCTCTCTCCTCTCCCGTGGTGTTATTTAATTTTGTTGTTGGGCTGGGGGAGCAGGTGATCTCATAGCGGCAAACACTCCTCGGGTTGGCTTGGGGTGGGATGTGCGAAAGGGCAGGATTCGGAAGGAGGTAGGGGGCTGGTCCTCGGCTCCCAGCCGCGCTGGGGCCACGCGGGCGGGGGTGGCCGGGACACCTGGGGCCGGGAGCAGGCTGTTTCCATCCTCCGCAGCAAGGGGAAGGGGGGGCGCTTAAGGTGGAGCTGGGAGTGGCTTCGGAAGTCTCCATGCTGGGGGCCGCCGGCCTTGGCGGATGCAGGGTCCCCCTGCTCGCTGGGACCCAGGTTGGAGCCGCCCCAGCGCCCGCAGCCCCCCTTCCCCGCCCCAGGGCTCCACTGGGTCTCTGCCTGGGGCTGCCTTAACGGGGCCGGGGGATCCCCTAGGAGCCTGAAGTGCAGTGAGGGCTGCTCGCCTGGAGGGGGAGGCAGAGACCTGGCGAGGGAGAGAGGGGCGGGGAGGAGGAGCCGGGAGGGCAGAGGCGGAGAGCGGGAGGTGAGGACCCACATCTGCGTAGGCTGGGGAGGGGAAGGGAGCCTGAGATGGATACGGAGAGGAAGGGCGGAGGGACAGAAGGTTAGAGAGGCAAGAACAAACCGCCAGGCAGGAGTGAGGAGGAGGGGGAGGAGGTGAAGGAGGAGGGGGAGGAGGGAGAGGAGGGGGAGGGAGAGGAGGGGGAGGAGGGAGAGGAGGAGGGGGAGGGAGAGAGGAAGGAATGAATGAGAGAGATACAGATAGAGGCAGAAAAGGAGATACAGAGACGCAGCGAGACAGACATGGAGACATAGAGACACACACTTAGAGATAGACAGAAACTCAGAGACCAAGCAGCAGATGGGGTGGGGAGAGACAAAAAGAGAGAAAGAGCGATCCAAAGACAGAGAGAGACACCACATTTTTGTATTTGGGGAGAAGAGATGGGGTCATGCTATGTTGCTCAGGCTAGTCTCAAACTCCTGTCCTCAAGGGATCCTCCCACCTTGGCCTCCCAAAGCATTGAGATTACAGGCATGAACAACCATACCCAGCCTCAGAGAGACCACATATTACTGTTGTTGTTGTTATTTATTATTTTTCACCCCGTCTAATGGTAGTGAAACTGCTCATTGTCTTCTTTTATTTTCTTTTTTGAGACAAGCCTTGCAATGTCACCCAGGCTGGAGAGCAGTGGTGCGATCATGGCTTGATCCAGCCTCGACCTCCTGGGCTTAAACACTCCTTCCACCTCAGCCTCCCAAATAGTTGGGACTACAGGCACATGCCACCATGCCAGGCTAATTTTTAAAAATTATTTTTTGTAGAGATGTAGTCTTGCTATGATGCCCAGGCTGGTCCGGAACCCCTGGGCTCAAGGGATCCTCCTGCCTTGGCCTCCCAAAGTGCTGGGATTACAGGTGTGAGCCACCTTGTCCAGCCTGACACCAAACATTAACGAGACAGAGAGACATAGAAAGAGACACACATACATCAGTACAGGTGGAGAGAGACACAGAGAGGGAGAGACATAGAAACACACACACAGACTGAGCATGGTGGCTCACACCTGTAATCCCAGAACTCTGGGAGGTCAAGGTGGATGGATCACTTGAGGCCAGGAGACTGAGACCAGCCCGGCCAACATGGCCAAATGCCATCTCTACTAAATACATAAAAACTTAGCCAGGCATGGTGGCTCACGCCTGTAATCCCAGCACTTAGGGTGGTCGAGGTGGGTGGATCACCTGAGGTCAGGAGTTCAAGACCAGCCTGACCAAAATGGTGCAACCCCGTTTCTACTAAAAAATACAAAAACTAGCTGAGCGTGGTGGCACACACCTATAATCCCGGCTACTCAGGAGGCTGAGACAGGAGAATCGCTTGAACCGGGTAGGTGGAGGCTACAGTGAGCCGAGATCCCAACAGTGCACTCCAGCCTGGGCAACAGAGTGAGACTCCATCTCAAAAAAAAAAAAAAAAAGAAAGAAAGAAAGAAACACACACACAGAGCTAGAGACAGAGACCTGGGAACAGGCACACACACATCTATAAATAGAGACACTCGTGCAGAGAAAGAGACATCAACAGAGAGGAACAGATGGACAGAGATAGAGAGACCCAGATAGAGGGAGAGAGGACCAGAAGCAGACCAACTGACATGATGGGAGAGACTACAAAGGAATCAGAAAGACAGAGGTATTCAGAGATAGCAAATTGGGATGGACATTCAAAGACCTAGAGATGGAGAGAGACACCCAGAAAGAAACCCAGAGAGTCAGGGGTGGAGAGAGACACGAAGAAAAAACACAAGAAGGAAAGGTACATACTAATAATTTATTGCTGGCGGGGCTTGGTGGTTCATGCCTGTAATCCCAGCACTTTGGGAGGCTGAGGAGGGAGGATCACTTGAGATCAAGAGTTTGAGACCAGCCTGGGCAACATAGTAAGACCTCGTCTCTATTTTTTATGAAAAAGAAAAAAACAGGCCGGGCACAGTGGCTCACACCTGTAATCCTAGCACTTTGGGAAGCTGAAGCGGGCGGATCACGAGGTCAGGAGATTGAGACCACGGTGAAACCCCATCTCTACTAAAAATACAAAAAATTAGCCGGGCGCGGTGGCGGGCGCCTGTAGTCCCAGCTCCTCGGGAGGCTGAGGCAGGAGAATGGCGTGAACCCGGGAGGTGGAGCTTGCAGTGAGCTGAGATCACGCCACTGCACTCCAGCCTGGGCGACAGAGCGAGACTCCGTCTCAAAAAAAAAAAAAAAAAAGAAAAAAGAAAAAGAAAAAAATAGTTGGGGAACGGCAGCTCACGCCTGTAATTCCAGCACTTTGGGAGGCCGAGGAAGGCAGATCACTTGAGGTCAGGAGTTTGAGACCAGCCTGACCAACGTGGTGAAACCCCGTCTTTACCAAAAATACAAAAATTAGGCTGGGCGCAGTGGCTCACGCCTGTAATCCCAGCACTTTGGGAGGCCAAGGCGGGCGGATCACAAGGTCAGGATTTCGAGACTGGCCTCACCAGCATGGTGAAACCGTGTCTCTGCTAAAAATACAAAAATTAGCTGGGCATGGTGGCACACGCCGAGATTGCGCCACTGCACTCCAGCCTGGGCGACAGAGTGAGACTCTGTCTCAAAAAAAAAAAAAAAACAAAAACAAAAATTAGCCGGGTGTGGTGACGCATGCCTCTAGTCCCAGCTGCTCGGGAGGATGAGGCATGAGAATCACTTGAACTCAGGAAGTGGAGGTTGCAGTGAGCCGAGATCACACCAGTGCCCTCCAGCCTGGGCAAAGAGTGAGACTGTCTCAAAAACAACGACAAAACAAAACAAAACAACGACAAAAAAATCTGTTGTTGTGTGACAAATTACCCTAAAACTCAGTGGCTTAAAACAACAAACATTTATTGTGTTCACAGTTCCTGAGGGCCAGGAATGTGGGAATGGCTTCATTGGGTGGTTCTGGATCCTTCTTGAGGGTGCAGTGAAACTGTTGGACAGGGCTGCAGTCATCTCAAGTCTTTTATGACCTAGTCTCCCAAAGTCACACACCTTTTATTCCACGCATCAGAAATGAGTCACTAGATCTAGCCTACACTCAAAAGGAAAGACGTTAGGATCCTCTGCTCTTGGGCCGGGAGCGGTGGCTCACGCCTGTAATCCCAGCACTTTGGGAGGCCGAGGAAGGCAGATCACTTGAGATCAGGAGTTCAAGAGCAGCCTGGCCAACATGGTGAAACCTCGTCTCTATTAAAAATACAAAAATTGGCCGGGCGTGTTGGCTCACGCTTGTAATCCCAGCACTTTGGGAGGCTGAGGCGGGCGGATCATGAGGTCAGCAGATCGAGACCACGGTGAAACCCCGTCTCTACTAAAAATACAAAAAATTAGCCGGGCGTGGTGGTGGGCGCCTGTAGTCCTAGCTACTCTGGAGGCTGAGGCAAGAGAATGGCGTGAACCCAGGAGGCGGAGCTTGCAGTGAGCTGAGATCGCGCCACTGCACTCCAGCCTGGGTGACAGAGCAAGACTGTCTCAAAAAAAAAAAAAATACAAAAATTAGCCGAGCATGGTGGCGTGTGCCTGTAATCCCAGCTACTCAGGAGGTTGAGGCAGGAGAATCGCTTGAAGCTGGGAGGCAGAGGTTGCAGTGAGCCAATATCGAGCCATTGCATTCCAGCCTGGGCGACAGAATGAGACCCTGTCTAAAAAAAAAAAAAAAAATCCTTTGCTCTTGAAAGGAAACGTATCACAGAATTTGGGGATTAATTTTCAAACCACCACAGGTGGGGAGAGGAAGAGAGACACAGAGTTGTGGAGAGATGGACCCTTAAAGACTTGGGAGGGGCCGGGTGCAGTGGCTTATATCTGTAATTCCAGTGCTTTGGGAAGCTGAGGCAGGAGGATCACTTGAGCCCAGGAGTTTGAGACCAGCCTGGACAACACAATGAGAACCCATCTCAGCAAAAAAAAAAAAAAAAATTTTTTTTTTTTGAGACAGAGTCTAGCACCATTACCGAGACTGGAGTGCAGTGATGCAATCTCAGCTCACTGCAGCCTCTGCCTCCTGGGTTCAAGCGATTCTCCCGCCTCAGCCTCCCAAGTAGCTAGGATTACAGGAGCCTGCCACCAAGCCTGGCTAATATTTTGTATTTTTAGTAGAGACAGGGTTTCACTATGTTGGCCAGGCTGGTCTCGAACTCCTGACCTCATGATCCTTCTGCCTCGGTCTCCCAAAATGCTGGGATTACAGGTGTGAGCCACCGTGCCTGGCCTCTGCAAAAAATTTTAAAAACCTTGTCAGGCATGGCAGTGCACAGTTGTAGTCCCAGCTACTTGGGAGGCTGAGGTGAAAGGATGACTTGAGCTCAGGAGGTCGAGGCTGCAGTGAGCCAAGATCACAGCATTGTACTCCAGCCTGGGCAACACAGCAAGACACTATCTCCAACAACAACAAAAAAGTTAAGGATCTTGAGACGCAATCATCCTGCATTATCTGGGTAGACTCTAAATCCAATGACAAATGTCCTTATAAGAGAAAAAAAGCCATAGGGAGATTGGGAGAAGGCCGTGTGAAGATCGAGGCAGAGGTTGGAATGAGGCAGCCACAAGCCAAGGAATGCCAGGAGCCACCAGGAGCTGGAAGAGGCATGAAACATTCGCCCCTGGAGTCTGTGGAGGGAGTATGGCCTTGCCAACACCTTCATTTTGGACTTCTGACCCCGAGAGCTGTGAGACAATACATTTCTGTTGTGATAAGCCATCATGTTTGTGGTCATTTTTTGTGACAGCCAGCCTGGGGCTGGGGAGAAATTAAGACATGGAACCTGGCTGGGCGCGATGATTCACACCTGCAATCCCAGCACTTTGGGAGGCTGAGGCAGGCGGACTGCTTGGGCTCAGGAGTTCGAGACCAGCCTGGGCAACATGGCGAAACTCCATCTCTATTTGTATTTAGTAAAATTTAAAAAGAAAGAAAGAAAGAAAGACATGGAGTCCGACAGAGGCAGAGGCAATGAAGGAACTAGAGCTATACAGAAAGTGAAAGGCTGACTGATACTGCAAGAAGAGCAGACTCTACCTAAAATGTAGGGCTTTCCTCCTCCAGGAAGCCTTCCCTGACCGCCCCCCCCCCCCCAGGCTGGGTCAGTGCTTGCTGTGAACATTCACAATGTCCTGTGCTACCTCCATGAGAGCATACATCTTGTTAGAAAGGGACTGTGTCCCCATGTGTTCCACCGGAGGGCCCAAGCCTGACCCGTCTCTGAGTCCCCAGCCTCACTGCACACAGAGCCTGGTGTACGGGGTCCTCAGGAGAGAACTCAGGCATTATTGAATGAAACCATGCTCATGATGTCTTTCCCTGGAGAGTCTGCCAGTTCCCATGTGCCTGGGTGACACTCGGGTTTTCTGCAGTGCCCATGGAGGGCCTTGCCTCCTCCAGGACGTCTTCCCTGAACTGCAAGACATGGCCAGGTGCCTCTTCTAGGCTCCCACAGTGCCCTGCGCTGCCTCCATTGTTGAATATCCTACCAAATCTCATTGTACCAAGGTCTCCCTCCTACCCCACCCTCCCAGACTAGGCAAGTCCCTAGTCCGACTCAGGTCAGGGTGTCAGAATTTTCCAGGGAGACCACAGGAGAATATGTTGAATGAATAAATAAGTGAGTGAATGAAATAAAAACACAGGGACTGTGGCACTGAGAGACAGGTGAGAAAATAATGTTTTTGTATAGGGCTTAAGAGGAAGGCTTTGGCCGGGTGTGGCTCCCGCCTGTAATCCCAGCACTTTGGGAGGCTGAGGTGGGCAGATCACGAGCTCAAGAGATCGAGACCATCCTGGCTAACACAGTGAAACCCCGTCTCTACTAAAAATACAAAAAATTAGCCGGGCATTGTGGCGGGCGCCTGCTGTGGTCCCAGCTACTCAGGAGGCTGAGGCAGGAGAACCTGTGAGGCAGAGCTTGCAGTGAGCCGAGATAGCGCCACTGCACTCCAGCCTGGGTGACAGAGCGAGATTTTGTCTTTAAAAAAAAAAAAAAAAAAAAAAAAAAGAGGAAGGCTTCCTGGTCCTGGTGTGATCTGGTGTGTTAGAACATTTGACTTTCTTTTTTTTTTTTTTTTTTTTTTTTGTGAGGCAGAGTCATTCTGTCACCCAGGCTGGAGCACAGTGGTGGCAGAGTCTCATGATCTCAGCTCACTGTAACCTCCACCTTAGGGTTCAAGCGATTCTCCTGCCTCAGTCTCCCAAGTAGCTGGGATTACAGGGGCCCACCACCACGCCCAGCTAATCTTTGTATTTTTAGTAGAGACGGAGTTTCACCATGTTGGCCAGGCTGGTCGCTGGTCTTGAATTCCTGACCTCAGGTTATCTGCCCACCTTGGCCTCCCAAAGTGCTGGGATTACAGGTGTGAGTCACCGTGCCTGGCCAACATTTAACTTCCTGACTATCTCCATAATCCTAACCAGTGCTCAGGATGCATCTTTTCCCCTCAAGTCCTCCCCACAGCCTCCTTCTCAGCTTCTCCCCCTTCCAGTTTCCCTCCCCTTGCAATCCATGCCCCACAGATCCCAGAGGGTTTTATTTTTATTTTTATTTTTTTTTGAGATGGGGTTTTGCTTTGTCACCCAGGCTGGAATGCAATGGCGTGATCACAGCTCACTGCAACCTCAACTTCCTGGGTTCAAGTGATCCTCTCATCTCAACCTCCCAAGTAGCTGGTACTACAGGTGTGTGCCACCACACCCAGCTATTTTTTAATTTTTCTTTTTAAACTGTATTTACTTATTTATTTATTTATTTAAACAGGGTCTTGCTCTGTCACCCAGGCTGGAGTGCAGTGATGTGATCATAGCTCACTCCCAGGCTCCAGGGATCCTCTTGCCTCAGCCTCCCAAGTAGCTGGGGCCACAGGTGCATATCACACACCCAGCTAATTTCTGTTTTTTTGTTTTGTTTTGTTTTTGTTTTTGTAGAGACAAGGTTTCACCGTATTGCCCACACTAGTAATTTTTTTTTTTTTTTTTTTTGAGACAGGGTTTCGATCTTGTTGCCCAGGCTGGAGTGCAATGGTACGATATCGGCTTGCCGCAACCTCCGCCTTCTGGGTTCAAGCGATTCTCCTGCCTCAGCCTCCCGAGTAGCTGGGATTACAGACATGCGCCACCACACCCGGCTGATTTCGTATTTTTAGTAGAGACAGGATTTCTCCATGTTGGTCAGGCTGGTCTCGAACTCCTGACCTCAGGTGATCCGCCCGCCTTGGCCTTCCAAAGTGCTAGGATTATAGGCGTGAGCCACCGCGCCAGGCCAACACACTAGTCATTTTTTATTTTTTTGTAGCGATAGAGGTCTCACTATGCTGGCTGGGCTGGTCTTGAACTCCTGGCCTCAAGCAGTCCTCCCACCTTGGCCTCCCAAAGTGCTGGGATTACAGGCGAGAGCCACCCTGAGTGGTTGTGTTACATTCAGAGTGGACCCTGCCTCTCCCACGGCTCCCCTGCACCTCTGGACAGAGTCCCCCTCCTCAGCCTTTCTTGTCGTGACCAGATTCTTCTAATGTCCTTGAAGATCCACCTGTGAGAGAAGTTTTCTGACCTGTAGGCTGGGTTTGGGGTACTCTCTGGGCTCCCCCAGTGAGCTGAGCCACCTCAATGATGATGATGATTGCCCGTATCACTCTGTTTTAACACGGTTTGTCTCTCACACAAAGCTGATTCTGCCCCTCCCCTGCTCACAGACCTCCCATGGCTCCTCAGTGCCCTGGGGGAAAAAAACCCAGGTCCTCAGCCTGGTCTGAGAGAACCCACATGCCCTGGCCACCCCCAGTCCCCAGCCTCATCTCTTCTCTCACCACAGAGACCTCCTGCCCTGGGATCTTTGCCAAACTGTTTCCTCTAACTGGGCTCCCTTTCTCCCTTCTCTGCTGGGCAAATTCCTACTCAGACTTCTGCACACTTCAGGAGTCCCCTCCTCCAAGAAGCCATCTGGCAATGCCACGAGGTGGGCAGGGGCCTCCTCAGAGCTCTGGAAGCCACCTGTGCTGCCTCCATTATAGCGCAAAGACAGACTGGGCTCGGTGCCCAGAGGGGGAGGGAACGACCAGGCCGGAGGTGGGTCCCAGATGTGGATTTCATGCCTATTCGTCTCGGGTGCTGGGAACAAAGTTTGGGTCATGAGGAACATATGGGGCCTGCTCTGCACCATGCTTTCATCTCCTATCTCCCCAGCCCCTGAGTGGGAGGCGGCAGCGCCAGGCCTCTACAGGCCTGGGTGGTTCCCACAGCCCCTCTTGGCCTCCTCACTGCTATCTCTTTGCCTTCAACTCCCACTGCCCCTGGGAGCCTAGAAAAATCCTCCTTGATCTATACTCTCGCCTTCTGGGTTCCAGTCTCCTGGAGGAGGTGTGGACTGTGGACTCTGGGTGTTTAAATTTTATATATATATATATATATATATAGAGAGAGAGAGAGAGAGAGAGAGAGAAAGAAAGAAAGAGAGAGAGAGAGAGAGACAAGAGTCTTGCTCTGTTGCCAGGCTGGAGTGCAGTGGCGCAATTTTGGCTCACTGCAACCTCCACCTCCTGGGTTCAAGCGATTCTCCTGCCTCAGCCTCTAGAGTAGCTGGGACTACAGCTGTGCACCACCATGCCTAGCTAATTTTTCTTCTTTTTCTTTCTTTCTTTTTTTTTTTTTTTTTTGTTGTTGTTGAGAAGAAGTCTTGCTCTGTCGCCCAGGCTGGAGTGTAGTGGTGTGATCTCAGCTCACTGCAACCCACCTCCCAGGTTCAAGCAATTCTCCTGTCTCAGCCTCCCGAGGAGCTGGGACTACAGGCGCACGCCACCACACCCAGCTACTTTTTGTATTTTTAGTAGAGACAGGGTTTCACCATGTTGGTGAGGCTGGTCTCGAACTCCTGACCTCAGGTGATCTGCCCACCTCGGCCCTCCAAAGTGCTAGGATTACAGGCATGAACCACCGTGCCCAGCCTATTTTTTCTGTGTTTAGTAGAGACGGGGTTTCACCATGTTGGCCAGCATGGTCTCGAACTCCTGACCTCAAGTGATCTGCCTGCCTTGGCCTCCCAAAGTGCTGGGATTACAGGCGTGAAAGACCACGCCCAGCCTAAATAATATTAATAACAAACTCAAGGCCCTGAGCAGTGGCTCACGCCTGGTGATGGGATTACCCAGCACTTTGGGAGGCTGAGGCAAGAGGATTGCTTGAGCTCAGGAGTTCAAAGCCAGCCTGGGCAACAGCAAAACCTTGCCTCTATTTAAAAAAAAATAAAAACAAAAAAAAACCTAGCCTGGTGGCTTGCGCCTGTAGTCCTAGCTACTTGGGAGGCTGAGGCAGGAGGATCCCTTGAGCCTGGGAGGTTGAGGCTGCATTGGGCTGCAATTGTGTCACTGCATTCCTGCCTGGAAGACAGAGTGAGACCCTATCTCAAAATAAATAAATAAATAATAAACTCATACAGCTGTCAGTCTGCACTAGGCACTGTTCTAAGCCCATTATATATATTAACTCATTTAATCCTCAAAACGTACCCTGTAGATTATTTTCTATTATTTTATTATCATCCTCATATTATAGATGAGAAAACTGAGCGATGTGGCTCAGCAGGGCTGGGATTTGTGGTTTTGTTGTTTGTTTTTTGTTTTTTTTTTTTTTGAGATGGGGTCTCGCTGTGTTGCCCAAGCTGGAGAGCAGTGGCATGATCTCGGCTCACTGCAACCTCCACCTCCTCGATCCAAGCGATTCTCCTGCCTCAGCCTCCCGAGTAGCTGGGATTACAGGTGTGCACCACCGGGCCTGGCTAATTTTGGGGGGATTTTTTTGTTTTTGTTTTGTTTTGTTTTTTTCTGTTTTTTGTTTGTTTGTTTTGGCTTTTTGTTTGTTTTTTTCTGTCTAGCGGAGGTTGCAGTGAGCCGAGATCATGCCACTATACTCCAGCCTGGGCAACAGAGCGAGAATGTCTCAAAACAAACAAACAAACAAGAGACCTTGAGATGGGGAAGAGATTATTCTGGATTATCTGGGTGGCCCCATCTCCCATCCAAGAACTAACAGGGTCTGACCCTGCTTAGCTTCTGAGATCAGACAAGATCGGGTTCATTCAGGGTGGTATGGCGGTAGACCGGGTGCCCCTCGTCTAATTACAGGAGTCCTTAAAAGCAGAGAACCTTTCCCAGCCATGGTCAGAAAGAGATGTGAGGATAGAAGAGGCAGGAAAAATCTGAAATGTGAAAGGGACTCGACCTGTCGTGGTTGGCCGTGAAGATGGAAAAAGGGGTCATGAATCAGGCAATGTGGGTGGCCTCTAGAAACTGGGAATAGAAAGGAAACAGATTCTCTCTTAGAGGCTCCAGATGGAATGCAGCCTCGTTAGCACCTTGATTTTAGCCCAGTGAAACCCATGTGAGGCTTTTGATCTGTAGCGTGTAAGATGATAAATTTGTGTTGTTTCAGCTGCTGAGTTTATGGTAATTTGTTATGGCAGTAACAGGAAAGGAATTCGACAGTTCTCTGTTACTGAGCACGTGAGGGAATTCTACGTCCCCACCTTCATACAACTGAGTGGAACCACATGAGTAATCCCGATGAATGAGCTGTGATTGGAAGGGCCGGGAGTCGTTCCTGGACCAAAGCTGTTTTGCTTGCATAAGACCATTCAGTGCTTTTCCTCTTTCCTTGTCTCAGTGATCAAGGATGCCCTGGGTTACGGGTGGTGCTACAAGGTGGTGAACATCTCTCAGCCTGGGTCCTTGACTGTGTGGAAAACCAACCTTTGCCAACTTGCATGGAACATGTATATGAACAAGAAAGAAACTTTGTGTTTTCTTTTTCTTTTTCTTTTCTTTCTTTCTTCTTCTTCTTTTTTTTTTTTTTTTTTTTTTGAGACAAGGTCTTGCTCTGTCAACCAGTTTGGAGTATTGTGGCCCAATCATAGTTCCCTGCAGTCTGGACCTCCTGGACTCAAACAATTCTCCTGCCTCAGCCTCCCAAGTATGAGGACTACAGGCAGGCACACACCACAATGCCCAGCTAATTTTTGTATTTTTTGTAGAGATGGAGTATCACCATGGTGCCCACGCTGGTCTAGACCTGGGCTCAAGTGATCACCAGCCTCAGCCTCCTAAAGTGCTGAGATTACAGGCATGAGCCACCACACCCAGCCAGAACTCAATAAACTCCATAGAGCCAACAGAGCTAGCCTAAGCTGCCTAATGGAAGGTCTCAATGAAGTAAGGAAACTGGCTTGCCATAACATGAAAAGGTGTGTTCCAGGAAGAGAACAGCAAGTGCAAAGGTCCTGGAGCAGAGTGTGCTTTTTTTTTTCCTTTGAGACGGAGTCTTGCTCTATTGCCCAGGCTGGAGTGCAGTGGTGTGATCTCAGCTCACTGCAAGCCCCACCTCCCTGGTTCACGCCATTCTCCTGCCTCAGCCTCCAGAGTAGCTGGGACTACAGGCGCCCATCACCACGCCCAGCTAATTTTTTTGTATTTTTAGTAGAGACAGGGTTTCACCGTGTTAGCCAGGATGGTCTCGATCTCCTGACCTCATGATCTGCCCGCCTCGGCCTCCCAAAGTGCTGGGATTACAGGCGTGAGCCACCGTGCCCAGCAAGTGTGCTTTGTTTTTAAAGGAATAGGAAGAAGACCAGTGTGGCTGCAGTGATGTGAATGAGGAAGACTTATAAGAGGTGAGGTCGGTGATGTGGTGGAGGTAGATCATGCAGGGCTTTGTGGGGCAGGGCAGGGACTTTGGGTTTTATTTTGAGAGTGATGGGAAGCCATTCAAGAGTTTATTTTTTGTGTTTTGTTTTTTGTTTTTTTCTGCATTAAAAAATGCAGAAGAAAAAAAAGAGTTTATTTTTAGCGATGGGGTCTCACTCTGTTGCCCAGGTTGGAGTGCGGTGCCACGATCATAGCTCACTGCAGCCTCCGACTCCTGGATTCAAGCAATCCTCTGCCTCAGCCTCCCAAGTAGCTGGGACTACAGGTATGCACCACCATGTCCAGCTAATTTTTTTTTTTTTTTTGTAGAGATGGGGTTTTGCTATGTTACCACGTTTGCTGGTCTTGAACTCCTGGCTTCAAGTGATTCCCACCTCAGCTTCCCAAAGTGCTGGGGTTACCGGCATGAGCCACCATGTCTGTCCTGACATGATTTAAAGTGATCATCCTGGCTTCCATGTGAAGAAGACTTTCAGGGGGTAGTGATGAGAGTAGTGTGGGGACTATTGTAATAATCCGGACGAGCAGTGATGGTGGTTTGGACAAAGGTGGTAGCAACAGAGATGGTAAAAATGGTTGAATTATGGGAGATATTTTGTGGATGTGGACAGGATTTGCTCATGGATTGGATATGAAGGTGGAGTATGGGGGCAGTGAATGCCCAACTGAATTGGCTTCAAGAGAGGATGAAAATAACAAAGATAAGGAATATAGTTTTTCTGGAACAGAGGACCCTTCTTAGAAAATTCCTTGGCCGGGCGCGGCGGCTCACGCCTGTAATCCCAGCACTTTGGGAGGCTGAGGCGGGTGGATCACCTGAGGTCAGGAGTTCGAGACCAGCCTGGCCAACATGGGGAAACCCGTCTCTACTAAAAATACAAAAATTAGCCGAGCATGGTGGCTCGTGCCTGTGATCCCAGCTACTCAGGAGACTGAGGCAGGAGAATCGCTTGAACCTGGGAGGCGGAGACTGCAGTGAGCCAAGATCACTCCACTGCACTCCAGCCTGGGTGACACAGTGAGACTCCATCTCAGAAAAAAAAAAAAAAAAGAAAGAAAGAAAAGAAAGAAAAGAAAAGAAAAGAAAATCCCTTAAGACTGGTCGCAGTTGCTCATGCCTGTAATCCCAACGCTTTGGGAGGCTGAGGCAGGAGGATTGCTTGAGCTCAGGGGGTCGAGACCAGCCTGGGCATCATAGTGAGACCCCATCTCTACTAAAAAAGAAAAGAAAAGAAAATCCCTTAAAAGACTCCTACTTCAGAGATGACCCCACCCTGGGTTCATCGGGAGGCTAAGGGCAGGTTCTCCCAGATTATGTAACATTTTATTGGTGGCATGGGGGTCAAATAGTCTCCCTGGAGGCAATTTCTTGCCTTTTTCCATCTAACCAAGAGCAAACCCAGAACGTTTGCTGGAAGGCACCTTTCTCCCTACCTGGTATCCTGTGACATCATGGCATATCCTGACTCCCCATTGGCTGAGAGGCCCAGCTTTCTCTCAGAGAAGGAAATTATTAGGCAACACAAATCTGACTAGCACCCAGTTACATCATAGGAGTGTGCTTATTGTATTGGCCACTTTGTTCCAGGTCCAAATGGACCTCAGGACAGCGCGGTGGCTCACGCCTATAAACCCACCACTTTGGCAGGCCAAGGTGGAAGGATCACTTGAGCCCAGGAGTTCGAGACCAGCCTGGGCAACATAGCGAGACCTCGTCTCTACCAACAACAAAATTAGCCAGGCATGGTGGCCTGCGCCTGTGGTCCCGGCTACTTGAGAGGCTGAGGTGGGAGGATTGCTTGAGCCCAGTAGGTCAAGGCTGCAGTGAGCTACCATAGAGCCACTGCACTCCAGCCTGGGCAACAGAGTGAGACCCAGTCTCAAAAAACTAAATAATTAAAATAAAATAAAATAAAAAATTTTGGCTGGGCACAGTGGCTTATGCCTGTAATCCCAGCACTTTGGGAGGCCTAGGTGGGCGGATCACCTGAGGTCAGGAGTTCGAGACCAGCCTGAGCAATGTGGTGAAACCCCATCTCTACTAAAAATACAAAATTAGCCAGGCGTGGTGGCACGCACCTGTAGTCCCAGCTATTTGGGAGGCTGAGGCAGGAGAACTGCTTGAACCGGGGAGGTGGAGGTTGCAGTGAGCCGAGATCATGCCATTGCACTCCAGCCTGGGCAACAAGAGCAAAACTCCATCTCAAAAAAATAAGTAAGTAAATATAACTATAAATAAAATAATTTTTTTAAAAAAGAGTTAGAAACAAACAAATGGACCTTAAATCACATCCCTTCCTCTAAGACTCCCTGAGTACCCCCTCAGTGACTCTCCTGAAAAGATCACCCAAATTTGAGATTATGTTGTTTGCTGTGGGTGCAGGGGCAGGGGTCAGGGTGGCAAGGAAGGTCCCAGGCTGTGGCAACCTTCCATTCCGTGGTACTTACCGCTTCCTGCCTTTTGCGCCCCTCCCCTCTGGCGTGCAGGCCAATTGTTGAGTGGGAATACAATTCTGCTTAGCACCAAGTTATGTCATACCACTCTGTGGCTTCCGATTGGCTATTCTTTCAAAAATGAGTCACTCAAAGTATCTCAATTCCTTTCTCAGAGCCTATCCTGAGGCCCATCAGAAACCAACAGTTCCTACGTCTGGAATTTTCTAGAAATCTGGAACTGCTGTCCCTCCCTTTGTGAGATTTCCCGCCTTTTCCAACCAAGCCCCGCCCATTGGCCTTCGGCCTATCGTCAGGCAACACCAATCTGACTAGCACCCAATGACGTCATAAGAGCGTTCTTATTGGATTGGCCACTTTGTCAGGGTCCCGTTGTGCTGTGGTCCTAACTTCAGCTCCGCGTATTGATTCAAGGCCTTGTTCGCTTCCCTCTAGAGAGTGTGCCAGCATCGATCAGGGGTCTGTAGACAAAAATTCCCAAAGATTTGAGACTTTATTGGGGGAAACAGATCACTGGCGGGGAATAAGCCACAGGCCAAAGGAGGAAATGTTGGGACCAGAAGTCCCGCTTGCCGCCTTTTGCTAAAAGTTCCGCACGCCTGCTCGGCGTGGGCGCAAGCATAGTGTCGTCGGGGCTCTGCGACGTCTGATTGGCTCTCTGCAGTGCACCGTCGAGGTAGAAGGCTCAGCTCCTAGTCGCTCCCAAATTACTTTGTTGGTGCTCGAGGCAGCCCCATCTCACGTCTAGTGCTCCGGCCTGGGACTGGGTGTGGGTGCCCGCACGCCGCGGCAGCCTCCGGCGCGCTCCTCCTGCTGCAGCCGCTTCAGGGGCCGGGCCCAGCGCGGCCTCCATGGCAGCGCGAGGCCGTGGCGGTCGAGGATGAGGCGCGTGGGGTCGGGGTCGCCCACGGCGCTGCCCAGCAGCAGGTAGTCGGTGCCTGGCTGCAGGCGCAGGCAGCCGCAGGTCAGGTCGGCGCGGGGCACCCAGGCGTCCTGGTCGCCGCGTCGCACGGGCTGCGCCCGCTGCTTGTAAACGGCCAGCACGCGCACGGCCAGCCGCTGCCATGCCGGGCCCGCCGCCTCGGACGCTAGCACCTGCGCGCGGAGAACTGTGGGGAGGGGAGATGTCAGCCCAGGTCGTGGGGAGCTTCCAGGGTACCTCTGGGTCCCGTGGGGTCAGTCACAGTGGGCAGGAGCCCGAGACCGGTGGGTGGGCTTCTGGTATCGCAGTGGGGAGAGAAACCTTGAACCTTGGAGAGTTTGACCCTAAATCGTGAGGGGTAGAGCCTGCTGGAGGAAACATCTTTGAGATAAGGAGTTAAACTATAGTAGGTGGGGCTGGGGACAGGGCAGAAGAGGCAGGTCCAGGGTCTCTAATGCAGTGGAGTCAGAAGGTATCAATGGTGGAATTCTTGGGAAGGAGGGGTCACATTGCCGGGGGAGGGGCTCTGGGATAAATTTCGAGGACCAGAAGAAGGAAGAGACTGGTCCCTGGAATGTGAGGGCTGAGGTCATACTGATAGTGATTCAGAAAAACATAAATTTTTTTTTTGAGACGGAATCTTACTCTATTGCCCAGTCTGGAGTGCAGTGGTGTGATCTCAACTCACTGCAGCCTCTGCCTCCCAGGTTGAAGTGATTCTTGTGCCTCAGCTGGGTTTACAGGATCCTGCCACCACGCCTGGCTAATTTTTGTATTTTTAGTAGAGATGGAGTTTCACCATGTTGGCCAGGCTGGTCTCGAACTCCTGACCTCAAGTGATCCGCCCACCTCGGCCCCCACAAAGTGCTGGGATTATTAGCATGAGCCACCGCGCCCGGCCAGAAAAATGCACTTTCTGAGAGGCTGGGTGGGACTCTGACTAGCCAGCTGGGTCTGCGGGGCAGGAGATCCCTGTGGAAGGTGGGGAAAATCTTTCCACCTGTGAAGGCCTAGAACACTAGTGACCAGATGAGGTTCCTGAGGGAGAAGTCTGCGGTCCTATACATTGAGAGAAATAGCTGGCGTTGGTCTAGATTTGTTGGCTGGGCCGAACTCCTGAGTGTCTTAAGAGAGCTGAATAGCCTGAGGTCATAGACCCCAAGGTCATGGAGCAGGTGTGGACTGGGGATTAGGGAACCGTGGGACAAGTCTTTATGGGAAGTGGGGCTAAGGCTCAAATATCTGGGACCATGAAGGGAAGCAGAAAGGGTCTCTGAGATAGGGAGGACAGGGCAAGAGTTCATTCCACTCAACCAGTTCCCCTATCTCTTCCATCCCTCAGAGATGTCAGGCTGAAGGAGATGATGAAACTCTGTAAGCCGAAGAACATGGGGAAAGAGGAGACACAGGAAGGTAGTGAATGCCCCCTCCCCACTCCCCTCCCCATTTGTCTTCTGCCCCATCAATTTCTAGATCAGGAAGGGGTTTGGAATCCAACACTCCTTCCCATTTAAGATGAGAAAGTGGAAGGCCAGAAAGGGGGTGGCTTAGAAGCAGTCATCAGAACCAGCTGTGTAGCCTTCAGCTGTCTGTCTCCCCAGCACTCACCATGGTCCTGCTGGCAGTACCTCCGAAGGCTCATGTGTACCCTGGTGTCCGACATATTGCAGTAGTTTTGACACTGAGGGTCTGGGGAGGGTCAGGCTGTCTGCAGTGGGCTCCTGGGGCCTAGACCACAGCCTTCTGCCCCTGCCCATCCCTCCGTTCCATCTTGATGGCCAGCTGGGGTACCCAAACCTTTGGGACTGGGCTCAATGGGTGACCCATGTATCCCCATCTGGGGACCCAGTCAGCCCATCCTCATTCCCACTTGCCACTCAGGGACCTCCGTGCCAGACTGTCTTACCAGAGCTATAAGCACCAGGAGTAGTGGCAAGGGTGGTTGTTGCCTCTGGAATTCCTGTGAGACCAAAGGAGAAATTAACCTCTTAGTCATTTCCCCCAGGATCCCCTCGCCCCTGCCCCGGGAATCCAGGCACCCAAACTCTTAAGTGTTTATTCCTTTAGGACTCAAGAGTGCAAGCATCCCTTGCCTTCAGGCCCCAAGCCTCCTTTTCCTCAAGAGTCCAGAATTTCAGTCCCTGCTTATCCGAGGGCCCAGAGTCCAGCCTCCAGCCTTGGGCTCCCAATTCCCAAGGCCCCAGCCCTCACTGCAGCTGTGCACTGGAGACCTGGGATGTCTCCTTCCCGCTCTACTCAGGCTTGTGGCCTGGCCCCTCAAGACTTACGCTGGCAGGGCATCCTGGGGGAGCGGCTCTGCTGGTAGCCAGGGCCACAGCGGTTGCAGGTCAGGCCTGTGACCCCTAACTTGCAGGTGCACTGCCCACTGGTCTGGTTGCAGGTTCCTCCTGTTGCCCCAATAGGGTGGCACTGGCAGGCTACATGAGCAGAGGAGCTGGGGGCATGGGGTATCAGGGCCCCAGATGCCCCTCCCAATTCCACAGTGCCTCCTCCCTCAGCCTGGGGAGTCCAGGCCCCCAGCCCCTCTTCCCTCAGACCCAGGAGTCCAGGCCCCCAGCCCCTCCTCCCTCAGGCCCAGAGTCCAGGCCCCCAGCCCCTCCTCCCTCAGATCCAGGAATCCAGGCCCCCAGCCCCTCCTCCCTCAGCCCCAGGAGTCCAGCCCTACCTCTGCTCCCCCCAGGCCTGTCTGCAGGCCACACTCACCTCTGCAGGCCCTGCGGCTGAAGATAGGCTGGCTAGGGTCCCTCCAGAACCCAGGTTGGCAGTAGTGGCAGTGCCGCCCAGCTGTGTGGTGGCGGCACCGCTCACAAACACCCCCACTCCGGCCGCCCGACAGTCTGAACAGCTCAGAGTTGAACCGGCAGCGTCGGGCGTGCTGGTTGCAGGAGCAGGCTAGGAGCAAAATGGGGTGGGGGCGCATCAGGGCCGAGTGTGCTGCTCCCCAGTCCTCAGCTTTCTTCCCATGGCCCTGCCCTCATGAAAGGAAGCCGTGAGTGTCCAAGGTAGAAGAGAATGCCTGGGTCCCAGGACATCTCTATTATTATCTTTTTTTTTTGAGACGGAGACTCACTCTGTCACCCAGGCTGGAGTGCAGTGGCGCGACCTCAGCTCACTGCAACCTCCACTTCCCAGGTTCAAGCGATTCTCCTGCCTCAGCCTCCCAAGTAGCTGGAACTACAGGCACGTGCCACCACACACAGCTAATTTTTTTTTTTTTTTTGTATTTTTAGTAGAGACGGGGTTTCACCGTGTTAGCCAGGATGGTCTCACATCTTTTAAATGGGTAGGCCGGGCTCATGCCTGTAATCCCAGCACTTTGGGAGGCCAAGGTAGGTGGATCACCTGAGGTCAGGAGTTCGAGACCCACATGGCCAACATGGCGAAAACCCATCTCTACTAAAAATAAAAAAATTAGTTGGCTGTGATGGCTTGTGCCTGTAGTCCCAGCTACTCGGGAGGCTGAGGCAGGAGAATCTCCTGAACCCGGGAGGTGGAGGTTGCAGTGAGCCAAGATTGCACCACTGCACTCCAGCCTGGGCAAAGGAGCAAGACTCCATCTCAAAAAAAAAAAAAAAAGGTACATTGGACTGGAGCTGGTAAGTCCGGGGGGACTCATGAACCTCCTGAACATCTGTGAAACTGGGCCTCTAAAGAGTAGGCTGCATCCAGGCACGATGGCTCGTGCCTGTAATCCTAGCACTTTGGGAGGCCAAGGTGGGCAGATCACCTGAGGTTAGGAGTTCAAAACCAGCCTGGCCAGCGTGGTGAAACCGTCTCTACTAAAAATACAAAAATTAGCTGGGCGTGGTGGCACGCGCCTGTAATCCCAGGTACTCAGGAGGCTGAGGCAGGAGAATTGCTTGAACCCAGGAGGTGGAGGTTGCAGTGAGCCGAGATCACGCCACTGCACTCCAGCCAGGGTGACAGAGCAAGACTCCATCTCAGAAAAAAAAAAAACAAAAAGAGTGGGCTATGGCCTGTGGAATCAGACCCTTTTAGCCTTGTCGGTCTCTCTGACCGTATTCCCTGGACAGGTAATTTATCCCTTCTGTAGTTTGATTGGCTGTGAAATGGCATTTATAATGTTTACTTGAGGCTTAAATGAGATAAAGTGGATAAAAAGTGCATAGCCCAGGCCTGGCGGAGAGCAAGTACTTGGCTGTCTAGCATTCGTACGTGCAGGACACCCTGCACTGTGTTTGATGTATTTCATCTCCACAAGGGCTCTGTGAGGCTGGCACTATTATCATCCCCATTTTACAGAGGGAGAAAGCTGAGGCACAGAGAGGTACAGCTAGCGGGTAGTTGGAGGCAGGACTTAAACACAGGTCTTCTAGCTTGACAGTCTGAGCTCTTAGCTCACTCCAGTAATACACAGCTCCCGTGAGGATTATTTAGCATGTGCATTATCCTGGGAGCGTTTGTCAGGTGTTTTAAGGTGGCTCTCAAACCTTACTGCTCATCAGAATTACCAGGGAAATGTTTTGTTGTTGTTTTTATTAAAAATACATTAACAGGGCATAGTGGCCCACACCTGTAAGTCCCAGCTACTCTAGAGGCTGAGGTGGGAGGATCACTTGAGCCTGGGAGTTGGAGGCTGCAGTGAGTTATGATTGCACCACTGCACTCCAGCCTGGGCAACAGAGTGAGACCTTGTCTTTAAAAAAGAAGCAAAAATCCAAAACAACAACAAAAGCCAGATTGCAAGGCTCCTCCCTAGGCTTTCTGATGGGCCCAAGGATCTGTATTTCCAGCAAGCACTGCAGAGTGAGATGCTGATACAGGGGGTTCACAGACCACTCTTTTTTTTTTTTTTTTTTTTTTTTTTGAGACAGGGTCTCACTCTCGCCCAGGCTGGAGTGCAGTGGCACGATCATAACTCACCACAGCCTCCAACTCCTGGGCTCAAGGGATCTTCCCACCTCAGCCTCCTCGGTAGCTGGGTCCACAGGCATGCACCACCACACCAGGCTACTTTAAAATTTTTTTTTTAAAGACGGGGACTCATTATGTCTCCCAGGCTCATGGACACTCTTTGAAGAGACTTGGACTGCAGGGTGTTTTGACACTAAGAGGTTTGAGAGCCCTGGACTGGCAGGTCCCTGAGAGCCCGGAAGAGTTGTGGGATAATCAGGGAGCTCAGACGGCTGCATGTTCTTGGAAAAACAACTCCCCCTCTCCCAGCCTCTGTTTTCTCCCTGTCCAGAGAGAATCCAGATCCCTCTCTCCCAGGGTTTTTGTGGGCATTCAAAGTGGCAAAGCTATTCAGATGATCAGTGAGTTGAGTCAGGTTTTGGATTCTTTCTGACCCAAGGGTAATCGTTTTGCCTCACTTCCCCTGTGGAGAACTCAGATGAGGGAGAGGAGATGCAGACCAGGATGTCTGTGAAGCCCATAGCTCTGCCACAGGCATTAGTCTCACCTGGCCACCCTGACCTTTCTCCACTGCAGCATTGTCAGTCTCTTACCCGGGTTTGGAGGGCACTGCCCTGCTCAGTCTGGGGGGATGTGGTGACCCTCAGGACAGCCTCCCCAGCGCCCAGGCCCTGTCCAGGCCCAGGATGAAGGCTGCCTCATCCTCAGGCCTGGTGAGTCTCACCCCTCACTCCCCTGCTTAGGTAAAAGATTTGGCCAAAGAATGGGGATGGTCTGTAAGTTAGCCCATGTGATCTTCATGTATGAAGAAATAGAGGGGCAGAGGCCGGGCGCGGTGGCTCACGCCTGTAATCCCAACATTTTGGGAGGCCAAGGCTGGCAGATCACCTGAGGTCAGGAGTTTGAGACCAACCTGGCCAACATGGCGAAACCTCATCTCTACTAGAAATACAAAATTAGCCGGGCGTGGTGGCACACACCTGTAATCCCAGCTACTCGGGAGGCTGAGATAAGAGAATGGCTTGAACCCCAGAGGCAGAGGCTACAGTGAGCCGAGATGGCGCCACTGCACTCCAGCCTGGGTGACAGAGCAAGACTCCATCTCAAAAGAAAAAAAAAAGAAATAGAGGGCCGGGAGGCAAAGCGCATGGGAGGTGGAGAGGGAAGGCCAGGGTACACTTGCACACGTGTGTATATGTCTGTGTCTGTTGGTAGAGTTACCTCCCAGGACCTCAGACCCTGTACCAAGTGTCTCAGGCTGGAGGAGGGAGGGGGTCAGGGCCGGAAGGAGCTGACACCGGCTGTCTCTGAGGAGGGGCTGTTGGAGGGAGGTAGGGAAGGCCTGGTCTGGAAGCACCTGTGGGAAAGAGGGCATCGCATGGGACATTCCTGGGGGGCCCCTGTCCAGCTGGATGGAGCAGCGGATTGTTGCAGCATCTAGGAACTCAGGGCTCCCTGGGTTAAATCCCTTGCTGGCAATGAGACTTAGGGCAAGTGACCTCTCTTTGAGCCTCACCTTCCTCAGCTGGGGAGTGGCGACTTTGGCAGGTGCTCAGGAAGCCGTTCCTTTGTGCCAGGTACCACATTGGGCTTTATTTAAAGGCTTTATGTGTATTAATGCATTTAATTTTCACTACAGCCTGTAAAGGATGTGCTGTTACTATCCCCAATCTATGGTGGAGGAAACTGGGGCACCAAAAGATTAGGTCACTTGCCCAAGGTCTCACAGCAGGTAAGCAGAGGAGCTGGGATTCAAGCCCAAATAGTCTGGCTGCCAGGCCACCAAGGCCGTGCTCCTGTCTGTTGCCTCTTGTCTGCCACGTGGTGTGACAGTACCCAGCAGGAGCCTGGCAGGGACAGGCTGAGACCCCAGAACTTGGCTTCCTGAGCTCAGATCCTGGCCCTGCCACACGCAGCCACTGTGTGTCCTTGTGCAGGGGACTTCTGAACTCTAGGCCTGAGTCTCCTCATCTGTAAAATGGGCCTGATGACATCCCTGCCTGGCACACGTAGGTGACTGATAAATATGTGTTTAATGACCGAATACTTTCCCCCTGTGGTTGGTTTGAGGAGTCAGGTACCATCCAGCTGTCCTGTTCCCCTACAACTGTTCAATAAATATTACCCAAGTACCTGCATCCAGCCAGGCCCTGGGATGGGTGCTCGGAAACTGTTATTACATCATCATCACCACCACCATCATCATCACCACTATCACCACCATCATCACCACTATCACCATCACCATCATCACCACTATCACCACCATCATCACCACTATCACTATCATCACCACCACCATCACCATCACCACCACCACCACTATCACCATCATCACCACCACCATCACCACTATCACCATCATCACCACCACCACCATCATCATATCACCATCATCACCACCATCACCACCACCACCATCACCACCATGACCACCATCATCACCACCATCACCATCACCACCACCACCACCACGACCATCATCACCACCACCACCATCACCACCACCACGACCATCATCACCACCACCACCATCACCACCACCATCACCACCACCACCATCACCACCACCATCACCACCACCACCATCACCACCACCACCATCACCACCACCATCACCACCACCACCATCACCACCACCATCACCACCACCACCATCACCACCACCATCACCACCATCACCACCACCACCACCATCACCACCATGACCACCATCATCACCACCATCACCACCATCACCATCACCACCACCACGACCATCATCACCACCACCACCATCACCACCACCATCACCACCACCACCATCACCACCACCATCACCACCATCACCACCACGACCACCATCACCACCACCACCATCATCACCACCATCACCACCACCAGTCATCACCATCACCACCACCAACACCACCACCATCACCATCATCACCACCATCACCACCACCATCATCACCATCACCACCATCACCACCACCACCACCATCACCATCACCACCACCATCACCATCGTCACCACTACCATCACCATCACACCACCACCATCACCATCACCACCATCATCACCATCACCACCACCACCATCACCATCACCACCACTACCATCACCACCACCATCACCATCATCACCACTACCATCACCATCACCACCACCATCACCACCACCACCATCACCATCATCACCACTACCATCACCATCACCACCACCATCACCATCACCACCATCATCACCATCATCACCACCACCATCACCATCACCACCATCATCACCACCACCATCACCACCACAGTCATCACCATTATCACCACCACCATCACCACCATCATCACCATTACCACCATCACACCATCATCATCATCATCACCATCATCACAGGCTGATGAGTGTTGGGGAGAGGCTGAGCCCCTCATGAGCAGACAGGCCCATGTGTGGCTGAGATACAGGACTGGCTGCAGGGAGGAGGTATGAGGGGACCGAGTCTGAGACTGGGGTGAGAGGCAAGGAGCACCCAGTTCCAGCGAGGGAAGGGAACATCCTGCTCCCGTAGGGACAAAGGACCCAGTGGCAGGCAGGCAAAGGCAGGGAGAGTGAGGGGCGCAGGACTCACGTAGGCAAGGGTGGGGGTGCCGGGGCGTGGCAGGCCGCCAGGGCCAGTCTCGATGGGACGGGCGGCAGCTCTCGCACCCCGGGCCAGTGGTATGGTGGCGGCAGTGGCAGCGGGGGGGCCGGGCACGGGCGGCACAGCGGGCAGCGTGGCCATGACACTGGCAGCGGCCTCTCAGCCCAGCTGCCGCTAGCCCGGCCTGGCCCCCAAACTCCACACGGAGGTGGCTGGCCGCCACAGTGGCCTTAGGACCTGGTGTGGAGTGGAAGGTCACCCTTTCAGGGCCCCCTAAGGCCCCAGGCCAGGCGGGCCTGTGCCACAGCAGCCTCCAGGGACCCCCTGAGGCCCAGGCAGCAGACAGGATGAGGGCTGGGGGTCCTGGGGTACAGAAGCGCAAGCTGACAGATGTCAGGAGGAAGGGGCCACCCAGGGCCAAAGTCAGGCTGCCATTGCAGGTTTCCCTGGCGCCAAGGTGGTTTCCTGGGGACAGGGCACAGGCCTGAGGGCAGGAGGCCGCCACGGCAGCCAGCTGTGTCACTGGCGGGAGGCAGAATTGGGGGCGGCCCTGTGGATCGTAGCATGGGTCCGCAGTGGCCTGGCCCAGGAGGAGCAGGAGGGCAAAGGTCACGGGCATGGTCACAGCAGAGCCAGCACCTGGAGGGAAGAGAGGTGGCTGGGCTGGGGATCTCAGCCGCAGCCTCTACCCCTCCTGGAGGTGTCCTGTGGAACTGGGGCATTCCACCCCCAACCCGTCCAGGCCCCCTCCCCGGCTGCATGGAAGCGAGGAAAATAGTTCCATCTGGGGAGAATTACTGTTTACATAACCCAAAGGGGAAAGAACGCAGACAAAATCGAGAATTTTGCCTGAACTAATCCGTAGCTTAACACCCCAGAGTTATCCGTCAGTGTCGAGGGGCAGGGGGCCCTGGGGAGCGGTGAGCGGCTGGAGCAGAGGGGCTGGCCAAGGCCAGCAGACGTGGAAACCTAGAGAGGGACACAGAGACAAGCAGGGCTGGGCAGGAGAGGGGGCTTAGGGACAGATGAAGACTCAGTCACAAAGAAATAGAGGACAGGACAGAGGCAGAGAGAGGACAGTCAGCCTAGGGGAGGCGCTCGGCACAGAGAAGTTGCTGCAAAGACAGAGGAACAGACAGGAGGCTGAGAGGCTGAGACAGAGGCCAGGCACCCAGAGGCCACAGGGAGCTGGGAGACTGAGGCTCGGACTGCCTGGGGGCTGGGATAGGTGGGCAGGTGGGCTCAGAGACACCCAGCCTGGCAGGCCCTGGGGAGGGGAGGGAAGGGGACAGGCTAGGGGTGTCTGGCGGGGGATCAGAAGTGAGAGACCGAGGCCCAGGCCTGCAGGGATCAGAGCCATTGCCTTTCCCACATGGGGCCCTAACCTTGTTCTCCACACCCTGGGCACGGAAGGGGATTATCACCAAACAACCCAGCCTCCCTGCCACCCGCCCACCCACCCCCAGCGCCCCACCCTTAACCCTTTCCCACCCGAGTGCAAAGCCCAGAGAGCTGAGCTGAGGAAAGGGATGCTGGGAGCTGGAACCTGGGTGGCTCTGGGGCTTGGGAGCGGGACAGTGGGATCCCCATGGGGTCAGGGGAAGCAGACACCTGGGTTCCCTTCAGAACTCAGGGTGTGGGGACCGGAAGTTAGCGTTCTGGGACTTTCTGCTCACCTCAACCCTGCCCTCTATTCTGGGCCTCAGGGCCTGGAGACCAGAGTCCCCACATTCTCCACCCATCCAGAGTTCCCCAGAGCAGATGGGGGAACAGATGTTGGGGGCGGTGGGTAATGAGGAGGAGAGAGGCAGGAAGGCAGGAGCTGGGACAGGGTGGGGTGCCAGATGCCAGGGCGCCCGTGGGGGCAGAAGCCCAGACCCTAGGAATGGCAGGAGCTGGGAAGGACTGGACTCTGAAATGCCCCCACTTTCCCCTTCCAGGGCCAGCAGCCTCTGGTGAGGAGCTCACTGTGGACTGGGGGCCTCGGAGCCTTTCCAGGCCCTTGGCTCTGAATCTGCGCCCAGGAATGTCCCTGGGCTGGGCATCTCTGGGGCACCCTGGCGGTTGAGGTGGGCCACACCTGCCCCAGCCTGGCCTCACTGCCCATGTCCCCACTGCTGTTGGCCACATGCAGACGCTGCCTCCCCTGGCCCAGATGACAGGCCTCGCCCTCCGCCCTCCCAAGGAGCCTGGCGCCATTTTGCACCCACTCAGGTGGCAGCCGCCTGCCTGGCCCTCAGCAGCATCCTGTTAAGGGCCAGTCCCCCATGTCCCCTTTCTCTCTGGATAGTTGCTGGATAGTTCAGGGGGTGGCACCCTCTGGCCCTTAGCACCTTGAGGAACCAGGCTGTGAGTTCCCTAGTGTTCCTGGGGGATCCAGAAACCAGTCGTGGCCCACAGAGAGCCCATACCCCTCTTTAAGAAAGAGTCCAGCCATGCTCCCAGCAGACTCATAGGAGGCCTGCCTGGGCGGCCTGGGGTCCATCTGGGACCCAGGCTTCCTTTCCCTGGCTCTTGGCATGCACCCCCCAACCCGAGCCCTGAGGCCCCGACATTGGCCAAACCTGCACTCAAGAAGAGAGCGTCCTGCAGCCAGTTCCCCGCAGGCTCTTCCTCCAAGCTGTGGCGCGGTGGGCTCTCAGGAGGGAGTGGCGTGGCTGTTCTCAGGCCCCAGGCTAGTGGGGTTTCTGGGCTGGGCGGGGGCTCAGAGCAGAGCCCGCAGAATCTAACACCGCCACCCCCCTCCCACCCCAATCCCTCACCAACCGCAGCCACGCTATCCCCACAGGGACCCCTGCCAGCCAGGCCACCCGCAACGGTGTGGGACGTGAGTGCCGTTGCCCCCGGCGGTCCAGCAGCAGGACAGCCCCGAGCAGCCTGGCCTAGGAGGCTCACCGCAGGTAGGACGGGAGGCTGTCAGTCGGGGGTCCCGCTCCATCCCACTCCACCCCTGCCCACTGGCTCAGCCCCGCCTTGTGGTGGCCGCCATCGCGATCGGGCAGGGGCTGACCTTTGGGAGACAATCGCTGTTGGAAACTTTGCTCAGCCCCTGCCTCTGGCTGCGTGACCCCAAGCCAGCCCCTCCTCCTCCTCTCTGGAACCTTTTGTCAGCTGTGGGTTCACCGAGCCTTAAGGTCAGTAAAATCTGTGCTCTTGGAAGGTTCAGACCAGCCCCTGGAATTCAAAAGACCTCAGTCGCTTTCTAAGATGGTGGGGAAGGCGACAAATGAGCTGAGAACACCTGGGCCCCAGTGTTTCTCATGCGGCAGAGGGAGAAGGCGGGGACCCCCGGGGTGCGGGGGACCAAGCTCAAAAGCACCTCCCCAGTGCCGCTGGTGTCCTGCGAGTCCTCAGTGCTTTCATCGTGACATTTTCATGCGAATGTTGCTGTCTGTTCTATTCCATCTCCGAATGGGTTGACTAGAAAAATAATGTTTTCTGTCACTTCCCGCTGAGAAAAGCAAGGGCCTCATGGAGTTGGGGCGCGGCACCTGCTGCCCTGGGTGGCCCCAGCGTTTATCGTGGTGTAGCGTGGGCCCAATCCTGACAGGCTTGGGACCCACTGCCCCAGGCCCGCCCCCAGGGGGTGCGAGGGCACAGCAAAGGCGACCCTCGACTCTGGACCCTTAGGTACCACGTTGGAGGGGGCCAGATTTGGCAGGAGCAGGACAGGGACATCGGATTTGAAAGAAGGGAGTCACTCCGAAAGCTGGGAGGTGCATCAGCTGCAGGAGGATGGAATGGGGCTGAGACGCCCCCCATCAGAGGGGGCATGTCAGAGCTGGGGGCCCAGGCTGTGTGAGTCAGAGTGGAACTTCGGGATTCAGGCGCAGGTCCCTCCGCTGACCCTGCCTGAGCTCCCCCTGTATGGGACTTTGCCGGGGGTTCGCGCTGGGAACACAGACCCCTGCCCCATCAGGCTCAGTGTCCAGAGAGGGAGGGGGAGACCCCAGCAGCGCAGGTCCTTCTGTGCTCTAGGTTGTTGGAAGGTGCCAAGTGCCTTGGAGCAAAGCAAGTGGGGGGGGCGGCCACGGGGGCCCGGGGATTGCAGATGTAAGTGGGGTGATGCGGAGGGGCATTTGTGCTGAGCCCACCGCCAGCACAGAACCCAGCTTTGCTGCCACACAAAACTGAGGAAGAAGGCTTAGGTCTCGCTGCGTCTTCCTCCCCACCTGGGCGAAGTCTCAAGCTCCGGCTCCTGGAGGGAAGCTTTTGTTCCTTGCAGCTTGAGCTGCCTGAGTTGATGGGCGCCCCTGCGGGTGCCCGGGGGCAGGCGGGGAAGAACAGACGGAGCTGCCACAGCCGAGCACATAGTGCCCCAAGCTGGGAAGGAGACTGTTTTTTTTGTTGGGGAGAGTTCTTTAAGGGCTGGAGACCTTCACCCTCACAGCTTCTACAGAAGGCCAGGCCTGCCCAAGGCACATCTCTGAGGTGGGTTCAACCCAGAGAGAACCTCAGTGCTGGGCTCACACAGACCTCTAACCCCTGCCTTGGTGGCCCAGATATAACGGAGTCTCCACGAGGCAGGGCAGGTCACCCGCAGGAGTTACTGGGCATTGTGTGGCTGGGTAGGGCCTGCCCTCCCGGACATGTTCAAAAAGGCCAGGATGGTAACCCCAGCCATACTGCCTGGGTTCAAATCCACCTCTGTCCTAGCTGTGTGACCGAGAACAAGCTTCTTAACCTCTCTGTGCCTTCATTTCCTCATCTGTTAAATGAGGAAGAAAGAATGGACCTTCCTCATGGTGGGCGGAGGGGGTCATGAGGACTGAATGAGCTGACATGCCCACGGGTTCTTATCTGAGCTCTCTGGGAAAGTCGTGTTCCGGAACCTTCTGCTTCCTGGCCCTGTTGTCGGATGCATAGTACGTACGTGACATGGCATCCATGGTAGGTCTGGGCCGCATCACATTGTCAAACATGTTATGTTTTAGGCAGCAGAGCACATGGGTGTTCACAGTAAGAGAAGTAAAGTCTGCAAATAGCCACATGACCCTCCTCCAAGCCAGGGTTGTCCCCAGATGAGTTCAGTCCAGGTTGGCGTTTGCCGCTCCCCCTGAGGAAAATGGCTGACAAGGAATCGCGGACCAGGACAGCCAGCCCCGTGATGGGCCTGCCCGCCAGCACCCTCGCAGCCTCGGCCTTGGCTGGTGCTTTTCTGCGGCTTTCTGGTTGTCTAGGCTGAGAACAGCCACAAGAGGGAGCACCTGAGATTCCAGGAGAAGCCAGAGCAGCCGCGGTACCCACTGCTTGATCTGCAGGGCCTGGGGGAAAATGCAGACACAGGACCCCTTGTTTAGAATTTATGAAGGATTTTAAGACGGCAACACCAGATCATTAAAGCAAGCGTGGGGCCTGTCTCAGCGCAACTGCACGAGTCACACAAAATGAAGGCGGACCCCGCGGGGGGCACCCTTGTCCTGAGCTGGTTTCCCTTGGCCAGTGACCCAGGCTCCTGTCCCTGCCCTGCACCCCCACTGACCCCAGCTCTAGCCTTGGGACCTGCCTGGGGGCTCCAGCTGGGCTCAGAGCTCAGCTCCTTCTCCGTGGGGCAGGACCCTGAGTTGAGTGGATGGCAAGATCATGTTTGGGACACAGTTTTCACCAGCTCAGTGAAAAAAGGCTTGGGCAGATTTAATTCACTTTTTGCAAACTAAAGCAGCACCAGGAGCATTTTTCTTAGGCCTTAGGCCAGCTGGCCTTGCTGGGGACCCACACGAGACTTTCAAGGAGGGCCCCAGAGTGTTCAGGCTTCTCAGAAGGGTCAGATGAACCAAATGAGGAGCCCTGGAATAGAGGAGGATGACAGCTGAAGAGGCCTGGAGGGCCCCAGATTGTTCAGGCTTCTCAGAAGGGCCAGATGAACCAAATGAGGAGCCCTGGAATAGAGGAGGATGACAGTTGAAGAGGCCTGTAGGCCCCCGATGTTTAAGAGGACAGGCGGAGGGAGAGATGGGGAGCCGGGAGGGGTGAGGCAGAAGCCAGAAGTTTTAGGGGTGAGCCCATGCCAACCAGGGCTTCAGCAGGAATGGGGTGGGAGGGAGGGGGTGAAGGGATGACTGCTGAGCTGTAGCCATTGGAGTGGCCACAGGGAAACCATAGGACATTGGTCAGAGGAGTGGACAAGGGGAGAAGAGAAAGCCGATCAGGACATGGTAGAGGCTGGGAGCAGAGGACCTTCTGGGAGCCCTGGGGAGAGCTGGAGGAGACTCGGAAAGAGCAGCCCCCGGAGAAGGGACCATCCATCCCACGGCGAGGACCGGGACCGAGGTCCTTGGAGCCCAGTCAGGCCCAGTGGTCAGGGCTGGACCTGGAGGTGAATAGGTGTGGGCCCCACGGTGAGATGGCCCTGCACACCCACCACAACCAAACACGACGGCGAGCGAGGCTGGGAAATGGGGCCTTCCCGTACTGCTGGTGGAAACGGAAACTGGGGCAGCCACCTGGCAGCTCCCAAAACGATTCAACGTAGAGTTCACCCTGTGACCCAGCACACAGGTTCGTGGCAGCACTATTTGCAACAGCCGAAAACTGGAAACAACTCCAGTGCCTATCACCTGATGAGTGAATACATTGTGGTCTACCTGGACAATGGGACTTTCAGTCTTGAAAGGAGTGAGGCAATTATCTGGGCGTGGTGGCTGTACCTGTAGTCCTACCTGTAGTCCCAGCTACTCGGGAGGCTGACGCAGGAGAATCACTGAAACCCAGGAGGTAGAAGTTGCAGTGAGCCGAGATTGCGCCATTGCACTCCAGCCTGAGCGACAGAGTGAGACACCGTCTCAAAAAAAGAAAAAGAAAAGAAAGGCGTGAGGCTGTGACACGTGCTATAGTGTGGATGGACCTTGAAACACGGTGCCGAGTGAGGAAGCCAGACTCGGAAGGCCATGGAGTGTGTGATTGCAGTCACATGAAAAATCGAGAATAGGCAAATCCATAAAGACAGAAAGGAGATTACTTGGTGGGGGGACAAGGAACAGGGAAGATTGTGGGGAGATGGTTAAAGGGTGTGGGTTTTTTTGGGAGGGGGGCTATGCAAATATTCAAAAATTGATTGTGCTGGTTGCACAGCTCTGTAAATATACTAAAAGCCATTAAATCGCACACCTTACGTGGGTGAATGGTAGGGTATATTAATTATATCTCAAAGTGGTTGCCAAAAAAGAGCTGGCTGGACGTGGTGGCTCACGCCTGTAATCTCAGCACTTTGGGAGGCTGAGGTGAGTGGATCACCTGAGGTCAAGTGTTCCAGACCAGCCTGGCCAACATGGTGAAACTTTGTCTCTACTAAAAATACAAAAATTAGCTGGGCGTGGTGGCGGGTGCCTGTAGTCCCACCTACTTGGGAGGCTGATGCAGGAGAATCGCTTGAACCCAGGAGGCAGAGGTTGCAGTGAGCCGAGATCACACCACTGCACTCCAGCAAGGGCAACAGAGCAAAAACTCCATCATAAAAAAAAAAAAGAAAAGAAAAGAAAAGAAAAAAATGAATAATCATAACCCTACATACAAAAGCTAAAACTGGCCCATGCCTATAATCTCAGTACTTTGGGAGGCCAAGGCAGGAGGATTGCTTGAGCCCAGGAGTTCAAGACCAGCCTGGGAAACACAGTGAGACCCCATCTCTACAAAAAATGTAAGAATTAGCGGGGCATGGTGGCACATGCCTGTGGTGCCAGCTACTGGGGAGGCTGAGGTGGAAGGATCCCTTGAGCCCAGCTGTGATCAGACCACTGGCACTCCATCCTAGGTGACAGAGTGAGAACCTGTCTCAAAAAACAAAAGCTGAACTCTCCAGCTTGACACGATAGTGCAGAGGGAACATTCTCAAGGCAAGACATGAAAGCTGTTAGTTCTTTAAGTCCTGGGCCAGAAATGGACACAATTTCACTTGCACTATATTAAAGTGGTCAAGGCAGTCATGGGCCCGCCCAGATCCAAGGGAAAGGGAGTCCAGGAGTCTGTGGTGGCTTGAACCCACCACACCCACTAATAGTATCAGGAAACGCTTAGCACTTATCAGTGCAGGGGT
This sequence comes from Homo sapiens, assembly GCF_000001405.40. Classification (NCBI taxonomy): domain Eukaryota; kingdom Metazoa; phylum Chordata; class Mammalia; order Primates; family Hominidae; genus Homo; species Homo sapiens. The sequence goes on from NC_000019.10 coordinate 48,678,400, forward strand.
GTGGCAGCCCCATTTCTTGGAGGAGGAGAGGAGGAGTTAAATAACACCTCCAGGTCACCAGCCTGCAGAAGGCAGAGCCTGTCCATGAACTTGGGCCCACCTGTGCTCTTTCCCAAACTCTGCACGGGCACCAAAGATTCTTACCTGTTTTTTCCTCTGCTGGCTTCCTGGCCCTGAGCACCGTGCCTGGCATTGTAATAAATACTCTGCAAGTATTGATTTTATTTATGTTATTTTTATTTTTTTTGAGACAGTCTCGTTCTGTCACCCAGGCTGGAGTGCAGTGGCACAATCTCGGCTCACTGCAAACTCCACCTCCTGGGTTCAAGCGATTCTCCTGCCTCAGCTTCCTGAGTAGCTGGGATTACAGGCACCCGCCACCATGCCCGGCTAATTTTTGTATTTTTAGTGGAGATGGGGTTTTGCCATGTTGGCCAGGCTGGTCTCAAGCTCCTGACCTTAGGTGATCCGCCCACCTTGGCCTCCCGAAGTGCTGGGATTACAGGTGTGAACCACCGTGCCCAGCCACTGCAGGTATTGATTTTCCAACACATACAGGGCATTTCCTGTGTGCGAGGCACTGCTTTACAAAATCATCACATTTAATCTTCAAGCAACCCCATGAGGTAGTTCTGTGAGGTAGAATCATAGAAATGGCCGTGAGTAGGCCAGGCACGGTGGCTCATGCCTGTAATCCCACCACTTTGGGAGGCTGAGGCGGGTGGATCACGAGGTCAAGAGTTCGAGACCAGCCTGGCCACCATGGTGAAACCCCGTCTCTACTAAGAATACAAAAATTAGCCAGGGTTGGCAGTGCATGCATGTAATCCCAACTACTCAGGAGGCTGAGGCAGGAGAATCGCTTGAACCCGGGAGGCGGAGGTTGCAGTGAGCCAAGATCGTGCCACTGCACTTCAGCCTGGGTGACAAAGCAAGACTCCATCGCCAAAAAAAAAAAAAAAAAGAAATGGCCATGAGTGTAGGTAAAATCGGGTTAAATATTGGCACTTTCAAATAGTTCCATCTACTCATCCCCATTTAACAGGTGAGGAAACAGACTCAGAGAAACTCAGTAACTTCTTGTTGTTTTTGAGACAGGGTCTTGCTCTGTTGCCCAGGCTGGGGTGCGGGGGCACAATCACAGTTGACTGCAGCCTCAACCTCCTGGGCTCAAGCAATCCTCCCACCTCAGCCTCCCAAGTAGCTGGGACCACAGGTGCATGCCACCATGCTTGACTAATTTTAAAAAAAATTTTTTTTTTTTGTAAAGATAGGGTCTCACTTTTTTTGCTCAAGCTGGTCTTGAACTTGGGCTCAAGTGATCCTCCCATCTCAGCCTCCCAAAGTGCCAGGATTACAGGCACAAGCCGCTGTGCTCAGCGAGGTGCAGTAACTTGACTGAAGTCACAAGGTGCTGGTGAGGCTGGGACTTCCAGCAGGAACTCAGCCTCAGGTGGAAAGACCCCAGGGTCTGTGCTCTGAGGCCTCTCCCATGCACTGTGGTGCTCAGGACAGAGGCTTGGATGGATTGAGTGAGTGAATGAATGACTTTGGCAGGGGGTGGGTGAAGAGACTCCTGTCCCCCCAGCCCTGCCTCCTGACCATGTCCTCTCTCCTCCCCACAGCCGTCAAGGGATTCTGGGCCACCCGCCCTTCCTTCTCCACCTTCTACTTCGTCTTTGCCATTTTTGTGGTGTCCACCATCTTTCACTGCCACCAGCACCTGGCTCTGGTGCCTGCGCCCTGGGCATACTCAGCCCGTGTGGTCCTGGCCCCCAGACACCTGCCCCGGGAGGACCTGTTCACTATCAACTCCAAGGGCCGCCTGGGGAACCAGATGGGCGAGTACGCCACGCTGTACGCCCTGGCCAAGATGAACGGGCGGCCCGCCTTCATCCCGGCCCAGATGCACAGCACCCTGGCCCCCATCTTCAGAATCACCCTGCCGGTGCTGCACAGCGCCACGGCCAGCAGGATCCCCTGGCAGAACTACCACCTGAACGACTGGATGGAGGAGGAGTACCGCCACATCCCGGGGCGCTGTGTCCGCCTCACGGGCTACCCCTGCTCCTGGACCTTCTACCACCACCTCCGCCAGGAGATCCTCCAGGAGTTCACCCTGCACGACCACGTGCGCGAGGAGGCCCAGAAGTTCCTGCGGGGCCTGCAGGCCAAGTGGGCAGGGCAGGCGACCTTCGTGGGGGTCCACGTGCGCCGGGGGGACTATGTCCGTGTCATGCCGCGCGTATGGAAGGGGGTGCTGGCCGACCGGCTACCTGCAGCGGGCCCTGGACTGGTTCCGGGCCTGCTGCCGCCTCCCGGTCTTTGTGGTCACCAGCGATGACATGGCCTGGTGCCGGGAGAGCATCAACAGCTCCCTTGGGGACGTGGTGTTCGCTGGCAATGGCCTCCAGGGCTCACCTGCCAAGGACTTCGCACTGCTCACACAGTGCAACCACACCATCATCACCGTGGGCACCTTCGGGGTCTGGGCCGCGTACCTCGCGGGCGGGGACACTGTCTACCTGGCCAACTTCACCCTGCCCAACTCCCCTTTCAACGTGGTCTTTAGGCCGTAAGCGGCCTTCCTGCCAGAGTGGGTGGGCCTTGCGGCTGACCTTGGACAGGCTGGACAGAACGGCCTCTAGCCAGCCCTGCATGTGCCTGGTCCTCATCCTGTGACCCGAGGGGCAGTGAGTGGGGCGTGCGGGGCATGGACTCACGGTCCCTCATGCAGTTTGGATCCAGGCTTATCTACTTCATAGCTGAGTGAGTTTGGACAACTGACTCAACCTCTGTGCCTTAGTATGTCAACCACAAAATGCACAAACCACAGAACTAAACACCAGTAGCAGCTGGTGGGAGCTGAGCAAATTCGCTTAGAGCCAGTGCCTTGTGACCGTGTGGGAGGTGTCGGCTGCTCACATGTATGCAGCACGTCAGGAACACTGGCATTGCTTTCCAATGGAAACGCAGTTTTGCCCTCTCCTTCCTGGCAGCACTGGTAGCACAGAGCCCAGATATTTTGCACTCACGTCCCAGGACGAAGCCATCCCTGCCCTGAAGGATAGGGGAACTCGATTTTCTGGGCAACTAGGAATTTTGGCTTTGGAGTTAGTGGGCCTTATCACAAAAGAATGTGAGGGAAGGGCCGGGTGCGGTGGCACGCCTGTAATCCCAGCCCTTTGGGAAGCCAAGGCTGGTGGATCACTTGAGGTCAGGAGTTCGAGACCAGCCTGGCCAACATGGCGAAACCCAGTCTCTACTAAAAATACAAAAAGCCAGGCACGGTGGTGCGTGCCCCTAATCCCAGCTACTCCGGAGGCTGAAGCAGGAGGATAGCTTGAATTGGGAAGCAGAGGTTGCAGTAAACCGAGATCATACCACTGCACTCCAGCCTGGGCCACAGAGCGAGACTCCATCGCAAAAAAAAAAAAAAAAATAGAATTCCAGGGAAGACAGGATTTGCAGGGACACACCTATGAGGAGGGATTCCCCTGCGATGGACAGGGGAGGGGTTTAGGTGCAGGTAGCACCCTGGGCGCAGGGAAGAAGGCGTCACAGTGAGGGCAGAAAAGACACTCCTCAGATCCTGGAAGCAGCAACCTGACCCCCAGGGGCCACTAAGACCAAATCATGGCCATCTCAGCAGCAGCGTGTGTGACAGTTACTGGAAAAAGATACCTCACACCTGGCACTGCCTAACCCCCGAGAACCTAATGCCACTCTGAGAAAGCTCAGTACGGGTGCAAGTTGGATTAAGTAATTGCAGTGCGAGTTTTCCTGTGTTTTATTGGTGTAATGCTCCTTTTGGACATTAAAAAAACTTGACATATACAATGATCATTTACATGCATTAAACATTTCCACCAAATGTAGGTGCAGTGGTTTAGAAAACATTCCAATCACATCTCTTTCCCATTTGAAACCTTTTCAAGGTTGGGTGCAGTGGCTCATTTCTGTAATCCCAACACTTTGAGAGCTGAGTTGGAGGGGGATCCCTTGAGCCCAGGAGTTCGAGACCAGCCTGGGAAACATATTGAAACCTCATCTCTACAAAAATTAGCTGTGCCTGGTGGCACACACCCATGGTCCCAGATAATCAGGAGGCTGAGGTGGGAGGATCACCTGAGCTTGGGAGGTTGAGGCTGCAGTGAGCCATGATCACACCACTGTACTCCAGCCTGGGCAACAGAATAAGACCCTGTCTCAATAAAATTAAATAAATAAATAAATAAATTGCTTGCAGCTGGTGCCAAGGAATGGTAGTCTCCCAGTAGACAGAAAACACCCGAAGCTGGCCAGGTGTGGTGGCTCACGCCTATAATCCCAGCACTTGGGGGCCCGAGGTGGGCGGATCACCTGAGGTCAGGAGTTCAAGACCAGCCTGGCCAACGTGGCGAAACCCTGTCTCTAATAAAAATACAAAAATTAGGCCGGGCACGGTGGCTCATGCCTGTAATCGAGCACTTTGGGAAGCCGAGCCTGGCGGATCACGAATTCAGGAGATCAAGACCATCCTGGCTAACAAGGTGAAACCCCGTCTCTACTAAAAAAAAGAAAAAATACAAAAAAATTAGCCGGGCGTGGTGGCGGGCGGGCTCCTGTAGTCCCAGCTACTCGGGAGGCTGAGGCAGGAGAATGGCGTGAACCCGGGAGGCAGAGCTTGCAGTGAGCAGAGATCGCGCCAGTGCACTCCAGCCTGGGCGACAGAGTGAGACTCCGTCTCAAAAAAAAAAAAAATTAGCCGGTGTGGTGATGCGCGCCTGTAATCCCAGCTATTTGGGAGGCTGAGGCAGGAGAATCGCTTGAACCTGGGAGGTGGAGGTTGCAGCGAGCTGAGATCGCGCCATTGCACTCCAGCCTGGGCAACAAGAGAGAAACTCCATCTCAAAAAAAGAAAAAGAAAAGAAAACACCCGAAGCTGGTGATCAGCAGCTTCCCAATAAGATCTTGGGAGTTCGGCGAGTGGGCACAAGCATGTGCACTAAGAGGCAAAATAGCAGAGTTTAATTGGTACATGACCTCCTGGGGACATTCAGTGGGTAAGGGAAGAACGCTTCAAGTGAGCACGCGTATAACTTCAGTAAACACACTGCGCATGCTCCCCACCCAGGCGCTGGTAGGCCACCGCCTAAGTGAACAGCCCACCCCAAGGGAGGAACTGGGGAGAAGGGACGCAAGACCCCAGAAGTGTGCCAACATATAAAACCCCAACTCAAAAGGTCAAACTGCACACTTGTCTTTCATGTCGCCCGCTTAGCCCTCTTCCAAGTGTACTTTCATTCCTTTTGTCCCTGCTCTAAAGCTTTTCAATAAACTTTCTCTCCTGCTCTAAATGAGAGCCTATTGCCCAGGCTGCCTTGGTCTTTCCTTCTGCCTATTCCCCTCAGTCGAATTCTTTCTTCTTAGGAGACAAGAATTGAGGTTGCTGCAGACCCACACGGATTTGCTGCCAGTAACAGGGTTTGGGCTTGGGAGGTGTTAAAGAACACAGGAGGGGCCAGGCACGGTGGCTCATGCCTGTAATCCCAGCACTTTGGGAGGCCCAGGCGGGTGGATCACCAGGTCGAGAGATCGAGACCATCCTGGCCAACACGGTGAAACCCCGTCTCTACTAAAAATACAAAAATTAGCTGGGCGTGGTGGCAGGTGCCTGTAATCCCAGCTACTCAGGAGGCTGAGGCAGGAGAATCGCTTGAACCCAGGAGGCAGAGGTTGCTGTGAGCTGAGATCGCGCCACTGCACTCCAGCCTGGTGACAGAGTGAGACTCCGTCTCAAAGAAAAAAAAAAAAAAACTCAGGAGGAGGGCTGAGTGCGATGGCTCTTTCGCCCAGGCTGGAGTGCAGTGGCGCCATCTCAGCTCACTGCAACCTCCGCCTCCTGGGTTCAAGCAGTCCTCCCACCTCAGCCTCCCAAGTGGGATTTTAGGCACCCGCTGCCACATCCAGCTGATTTTTGTATTTTTAGTAGAGATGGGGTTTTGCCATTTTGGCCAGGCTGGTCTGACCGCAAGTGATCCTTCCACCTCGGCCTCCCAAACTTCTGGGATGACAGGCGTGAGCCACTGTGCCCAGCCAACAGCTTTCACATTACAAAAGCCCAAGCAGAAGCTGGCAAGCTGCCAACAAGCTGCACTAATTCATCAATAAATATTTACTGAGTTTCTTACTGCATTTGCAAATTCCAAAGCAGAAGTTGGACAGACACCTAAAAGCCCGCCCTGTCCCTCACCAGAAGGGGACAAAAGGAAGCTGAGCAGGACAGGGGCCACTTAAGTCCCCTAAAGAAGGGGATTGCATACCCCAGCACCTCAGACAGTATCCAGTGCACAGCACATGTTCCTTATGGTTTGACTTGTGACGAGTCCCCGGCCAAGTTTCCTTGTTTCATTTTTTTGAGACAGAGACTCTCTCTGTCACCCAGGCTAGAGAGCAGTGGTGCGATCTCAGCCCACTGCAACCTCCGCCTCCCAGGTTCAAGTGATTCTCTTGCCTCAGCTTCCTGAGTAGCTTGGACTACAGGCACCTGCCACCACTCCCTGCTAATTTTTGTATTTTTAGTAGAGATGGGGTCTCACCATGTTGGCCAGGCTGGTCTCGAACTCCTGACCATAGGTTATCCTCCTGCCTCAGCCTCCCAAAGTGCTGGGATTACAGGCGTGAGTCACTGCACCCAGCCTCCCTTGGCCAAGTTCATATATTAAAGTCCTAGCCCCAAGTAGGACCTCAGTCCGTCACCCAGGCTGGAGTGCAGTGGCACAATCTCGGTTCACTGCAACCTCCGCCTCCCAGGTTCAAGTGATTCTCCTGCCTCAGCCTCCTGAGTAGCTGAGATAACAGGAGCACACCACCATGCCTGGCTAATTTTTTGTATGTTCAGTAGAGATGGGGTTTCACCATGTTGTCCAGGCTGGTCTGGAACTCCTGACCTCAAGTGATCCGCCCACCTCGGCCTCCCAAATTGCGGGGATTACAGGCATGAGCCACCGTGCCCAGCCCTGGTCAGTCTTGAGGTCTGTGTTGATGTTAAACACTGGTCAGCTGAGCCTGAATTACAATGGCAGGAGGGTATAATGAGGCATGTCCAGCCACCCAGTCCCATCCTGGGCTGAACTAGTGTTTCAGGTTTACTTTAGAATGCCCTTGGTCTAGAGGGAGGGTCCATTCAGTTACCTGGGGGACTGAGAATTTTATTTGTGGTTTACAGTAAGATAATTGTAGGTGTAACTGGTTAAGTCCAGGTTATACTGGAGTAGGGTGTGTGGTGTCCCTAATCCGTTATGACGGGTGACCACACAGACACCAAAGAAAGGAAAGCCACATGATGACAAAGGCAGAGATTAACTCTGGGCCTCCAGAACTAAGGGAGAACGGGCTGGGCGTGATGACTCACACCTGTAATTCCAGCACTTTGGGAGGCCGAGGCAGGTGGGTCACCTGAGGTCAGAAGTTTGAGGCCAGCCTGCCTAACATGGCGAAACCCCATCTCTACTAAAAACACAAAAATTAGCCGGGCGTGATGGTGTATGCCTGTAACCGCAGCTGCTTGGGAGGCTGAGGTGGGAGAATTGCTTAAACAGGAGGCGGAGGCTGCAGTGAGCCAAGATCACTCCAACCTGGGAGACAGAGTGAGACCCTGTCTCAAAAAAAAAAAAAAAAAAAGAAAAAAGAAAAACTAAAGGAGAATGATTTTCTTTTGCTTTGAGGGACCCAGTTGTGTGTTACCTTCTTAGAGCAACCGGGGAAACACATAGAACGTCTAATGCATATTAATTGAATGGATTGTACAAACAGAGCGAAAAGAGAACCCCATGGCTTAGCAGGAAAGCAGCTTAGAGATGAAAGGTTTCAGTGTCCTTGGCACAGGGCTAGTAGTCCTGGAGATGATTTCATGGACACTGTCCCAGGAAGTAAAATTCTGGAAATACTTTCATTCATTCAACAATATGGTCATGGGTCACTTAACAATAGGGATGTGTTCTGAGAAATGTATTATTAGGCAATTTCATGTTGTATGAACATCATAGAGTATATTTACACAAACCCAGATGGGGTGTGTGTGTGTATATATATATTAAATTCATTTTTTTTAATATGGAAAACGAAATCTCCGAGCACCATTATTGAATATCAGTCATCTCCTGTACTTCATCTGCAATGCCAATACAAAGTGCCAGAGATGAGGTTTCTATATATGCTCTATTATAATATTTTATTCGTTTATTTTTGAGACACAGTCTCGCTCTGTCACCCAGGTTGGTGTGCAGTGGTGCAAACACAACTCACTGCAACCTCTGCCTCCCGGGCTCAAGTGCTCCTCCTGCCTCAGCCTCCCGAGTAGCTGGGACCACAGGCACTCACTGCCACACTTGGCTAATTTTTGTATATTTTTTTTAAAGATGGGGTCTCACTATGTTGCCCAGGCTGGTCTTGAACTCCTGGGTTTAAGGGATCCTCTTGCCTCAGCCTCCCAAAGTGCTGAGTTATAGGCGTGAGCCACCGCACCCAGCCTATTTATTTATTTTTGAGACAGAGTCTTGCTCTGTCACCCAAGCTGGACTGCAGTGGCTCGATCTCAGCTCACCGCAACCTCTGCCTCCTGGGCTCAAGAGATTCTTGTGCCTCAGCCATCTGAGTAGCTGGGATTTACAGGCGTGCTCCACCATGCCTGGCTAATTTTTGTATTTTTAGTAGAGATGGGGTTCACCATGTTTCCCAGGCTAGTCTCAAATTCCTGGCCTCAAGTGATCCACCCTCCTCTGCCTCCCAAAGCGCTGGGATGACAGGCGTAAGCCACCGGGCCCAGCCAAATTTTAAAGAAAACAGGATATCAATTTATATCTCAAGGCAAAGAGAAAGAATGTAAGTTCTTTTGTTGTTTTTGAGATTGGTTCTCCCTCTGTTGCCCAGTCTGATCTCAAACACCTGACCTCAAGAGATCCTCCCACCTCCAGCCCCCAAAGTGTTGCGATTGTAGGCGTGCTGGCCTACTTTCTGTTCTGGTTTTCTTTCTTTTCTTTTCTTTTTTTCCTTTTTTTTGAGACAGTTTCACTCTTTTTGCCCAGGCTGGAGTGCAATGGCACGATCTCGGCTCACCACCACCTCCGCCTCCCGGGTTCAGGTGATTCTCCTGCCTCAGCCTCCTGAGTAGCTGGGATTACAATCACCCACCACCATGCCCGGCTAATTTTGCATTTTTAGTAGAGATGGGGTGGTGGGGGGGCAGGGGGTGTTTCTCCATGTTGGTCAGGCTGGTCTGGAACTCCCGAACTCAGATGATCCGCCCGCCTCGGTCTCCCAAAGTGCTGCGATTACAGGTGTGAGCCACCGCTCCCGGCCCTACTTTCTGTTTTTTAACTGGATTACTGAGTCCATTTACAGATAAAGCCGAGAAAGCACGTGGAGTTTCCAGGACTGGCCTAAGCCTCACCTATAGAAAAAGCAGGCACAGCTGGAAGGCAGAGCTCTTGGATCCCAGAAATCACGGATCCCATTCCTAGGCTGAATCCCTGATCCCCTAGACCAGTGGCAAAGCCCAAGAGGGAAATGCCCAGGGACAGGCTGTTAAAAGCTCCCACACTCAGCCTGGGCTGCAAGGCACACTTTACTGTCAGTTCTGCTTGGCTCAGTCAGAAATCTGAGTTTTTTCTTATCTCAATGCATGAAGAAATGAGGAGGATAAAATTTGCCCACTGTGGTAATAACCATTCATTCCAACCTTGTCAGTTATCTTCAAAATTGTAGCTATTGACAGTAACTACTTAGTTATCCCATGACCAAAGGTCAAGTGTTTTCTTACCTTAGAAAGTAACCCTCCTGGGCCCGGTGTGGTGGCTCACGTCTGTAATCCCAGCACTTTGGGAGACCAAGGCGGGTGGATCACCTGAGGTCGGGAGTTCAGAACCAGCCTGACCAACATGGAGAAACCCCGTCTCTACTAAAAATACAAAATTAGCCGGGCGTGGTGGCACATGCCTGTAATCCTAACTACTCGGTGGGCTGAGGCAGGAGAATCGCTTGAACCCGGGAGGCGGAGGTTGTAGTGAGCCGAGATTGTGCCATTGCACTCCAGCCTGGGCAACAAGAGCAAGACTCTCTCTCAAAAAAAAAGAGAAGAAAGTAACCCTTGGACCTTCAAAAGCCAAAGAGATCAGGGAGTTTAGTGCAAAAGAGAGCAGAGGATTAGACCCCACCCTCGACTCTTGGGGCTCCGTGAGGAAGACAGAAGACCCCAAAAAGGAAGTCTGTGGTGCTTTGGCTGAGCTCCTCAAGGAGGCTCAGAATCACTAAAAGTCTCTTTTTTATTTTATATATATTTTTTATTATTATACTTTAAGTTCTAGGGTACATGTGCACAACGTGCAGGTTTGTTACATATGCATACATGTGCCATGTTGGTGTGCTGCACCCATTAACTCGTCTCTTTTAAATCTCTTCATGTGCTATTGAAGGAGACAAAAGGAAGAAAGAGTGGAGGTAGATGGGGAAACAAGTCTTTTTTTTCTTTTTTTGAGACAAGGTCTTGCTCTGTCGCTCAGGCTGGAGTGCAGTGCCACCATCGTGACTCACTGCAGCCTCTATCTCCTGGGCTCAAGTGATCTTCCCACCTCAGCCTCCAAAGTAGCTGGGACCACAGGCATACACCACCATGCCCGGCTATTTTCCACATTTTTAGAAGGCTTGGCGTGGTGGCTCATGCCTGTAATCCCAGCACTTTGGGAGGCCAGGACAGGTGGATCACCTGAGATCAGCCTGACCAACTTGGTGAAACCCCCGTCTCTACTAAAAATGCAAAAATTAGCCGGGCGTGGTGGCGCACGCCTGTAATCCCAGCTACTCGGGAGGCTGAGGCAGGAGAATCGCTAGAACCTGGGTGGCAGAGGTTGCAGTGAGCCGAGATTGTGCCATTGTACTCCAGCCTGGGCAACAAGAGGGAAACTCTGTCTTGGAATAAATAAATAAATAAAAATAAATAAAATAATAATAAATAAAATTTTGGCAGAGATGGCTCTTGCTGTGTTGTCCAGGGTGCTCTTGAACTCCTGGCCTCAAGCGATCCTTCAGCCTCAGCCTCCCACAGTGCTGGGATTACAGGCATGAGTCACCACACTCGGCCCATCAATTTATTTTATAAGCAAACTGGTTCACATACGTTTTTTCCCGTTAATCCAGTTTTGGAAAGGGAAAAAAACCAAGACTTTTACCACCTTTACTGGACCGGGTCCCACAGGCAGAGATCCAAGGAGCTGGTAAGAAATCTCACCTTTTTCTGCCAGCTATTTATCATTTGTCCCAGAAAACCATCTGTAGGCTCCGAAACAAGAGTGATTTGATTTGCATCCTGCTCACAGTGCCAGAACTGCGGGGAAGTTAAAATGTTTCCCCTGGAGGTTAAAACATTTGAGTCTATATAAATCAAACTAATAATAGCCAGATAGCAGGAGAAAGGAATACACATTTTATCATGTGCACACAGGACTCACAGAAAATACGCAAACTCAGAGAAAGGGCCAGATAGCTGAAGTTGTTTTTTGAGACAGAGTTTCACTCTTGTTCCCCAGGCTGGAGTGCAATGGTGCGATCTCGGCTCACCACAACCCCTGCCTCCCGGGTTCAAGCGATTCTCCCTCCTCAGCCTCCTGAATAGCTGAGATTACAGGCATGCGCCACCATGCCCGGCTAATTTTGTATTTTTAGTAGAGATGGGATTTCTCCATGTTGGTCAGGCTGGTTTCGAACTGCCGACCTCAAGTGATCCGCCCGCCTCAGCCTCCCAAAGTGCTGGGATTACAGGCGTGAGCCACCGTGCCTGGCTGAGCCACCGTGCCCGACGAAGTTTTTATATCACTCTGAGGTTAAAGAAGAATCAGGACTTGGAGACTGGTGAGACAGGTTATGGAAGAGAGAGAAGAAAGGCCTGGCTACGGAGGGCTGTCTTTTAATGCAGATGAAACCCTGATGGGTAGGGGCTCTCAGAAAGAATAAACTTTCTTTTCTTTTTATTTGAGATGGAGTTTCCCTCCTGTTGCCCAAGCTGAAGTACAGTGGCATGATTTCAGCTCACTGCAGCCACCCCTCCTGAGTTCAAGCGATTCTCCTGCTTCACCCTCCCAAGCAGCTGGTATTACAGGCGCATGCCACCAAGCTCGGTTACTTTTTTGTATTTTTAGTGGAAGACAGTTTCACCACGTTAGCCAGGCTGGTCTTGAACTCCTGACCTCAGGTGATCCGCCTGCCTCGGCCTCCCAAAGTGCTGGGATTACAGGCATGAGCCACCGTGCCAGGCCTTTAAAAACATTTTTTTTGAGACCGAGTCTTGCCCTGTCACCCAGGCTGGAGTGCAGTGGTGCGATCTCAGCTCACTGCAACCTCTGCCTCCTGGGCTCAAGTGATTCTCATTCCTCAGCCTTCTGAATAGATGGGATTACAGATGTGCACCACCATGCCCAGCTAATTTTTGCATTTTTTGTAGGCACAGGGTTTTACTATGTTGCCCAGGCTGCTCTCGAACTTCAGCCCTCACATGATTCACCTGCCTCGGCCTCCCAAAGTGCTGTGATTATAGGCGTGAGCCACCTCACCCCGCCCGTCCAGAAAGAGTAAATTTCTTTCTTTTTTCTTTTTCTTTTTTTTTTTTTTTTTTTGAGACAAGTCTCGCTCTGTAGCCCAGGCTGGAGTGCAAGTGGCTCGATCTTGGCTCACTGCAAGCTCTACCTCCCGGGTTCACACCATTCTTCTGCCTAAGCCTCCTGAGTAGGTGGGACTACAGGCGCCCACCACCACGCCTGGCTACTTTTTGTAGTTTTAGTAGAGACGGGGTTTCACCATGTTAGCCAGGATGGTCTCGATCTCCTGACTTCATAATCTGCCCACCTCGGCCTCCCAAAGTGCTGGGATTACAGGCATGAGCCACTGTGCCCGGCCTACAATTTTTTTTCTTTTTGAGACGGAGTCTCGCTCTGTCGCCCAGGCTGGAGTGCAGTGGCGTGATCTCAGCTCACTGAAAGCTCTGCCTCCCGGGTTCACGCCATTCTCCTGCCTCAGCCTCCCGAGTAGCTGGGACTACAGGTGCCCGCCACCATGCCCAGCTAATTTAAAAAAATTTTTTTTAAATTTTTAGTAGAGATGGGGGTTTCACCATGTTAGCCACGACGGTCTCGATCTCTTGACCTCATGATCCGCCCACCTCAGCCTCCCAAAGTGCTGGGTGGGATTATAGGCGTGAGCCACCGTGCCCGGCCTTTTTTTCGTTTTGTTTTTTGAGATGGAGTCTCACCCTGTCACCCAGGCTGGAGTGCAATGGCACGATATTGGCTCAGTGCAACCTCTGCCTCCCAGGTTCAAGCAATTCTGCTTCAGCCTCCCGAGTAGCTGGGATTACAGGCACAGCCACCATGCCCGGCTAATTTTTTGTATCTAGTAGAGACAGGATTTCACCAGGGTTGGCCAGGCTGTTCTCAAACTCCTGACCTCATGATCAGCCCGCCACCCTCTCAAAGTGCTGGGATTACAGGTGTGAGCCACTGCACCTAATCTAATCTTTTATAACTGTCAATCTAATCTTATAACTGTATGTTAGCCTTTGTATGCAAAATGCTGTCATTCTGCTCACGATCTCCATTTTTTGTTGTTGTTGTTGTTGGTTTTTTGTTTGTTTTGTTTGTTTGTTTGTTTTAGACAGAGTCTTGCTCTTTTGCCCAGGCTGGAGTGCAGTGGTGCGATCTCGGAACACTGAAACCTCCACCCCACCCCGCCTCTGCCTCCCAGGTTCAAGCAATTCTTCTGCCTCAGCCTCCCAGGTAGCTGAGATTACAGGTGCTCACCACCACACAGCCAGCTAATTTTTGTATTTTTTTTTTTTTAGTAGAGACAGGGCTTCACTATGTTGACCAGGCTGGTCTCAAACTCGTGACCTCAAACGATCTACCTGCCTTGGCCTCCCAAAGTGCTGGGATTACAGGCATTAGCCACTGCGTTTGACCTCTCCATTTTTACCTGTATAAATGAGTTCCACTTTTCCCCATACTGGAAGCACTGATCACCATTCTTCGGTGTCCTTGTGTCCCTGGACAGCCACCCTCACACACTTGTGTTTAAAAAAACTTTTCTTATTTTTTTCTTGAGATGGAGTCTCGTTCTGTCACCCAGGCTGGAGTGCAGTGGCGTGATCTCAGCTCACTGCAACCTCCACCTCCCAGGTTCAAGCAATTCTCATGCCTCAGCTTCCCGAGTAGCTGGGACTACAGGTGTGCACCACCACACCCAGGTAATTTTTGTATTTTTAGTAGAGACTGGGTTACAGCATGTTAGCCAGGCTGGTCTCGAACTCCCGGTCTCAAGCAATCTGCCTGCCTCAGCTTCCCAAAGTGCTGAGATTACAGGCGTGAACAACTGTGCCCAGATTTATTTTTTAATTTTTCAGAGGCAGGGTCTTTCTCTGTCACTCAGGCTGGAGTGCAGCGTCAGGATCATAGCTGACGCTGGACCTCCTGGGCTCCTCTTGCCTCAGCCTCTCAAGTAGCTGGGACTACAGACATGTGCCACCATGTCTGGCTAATTTTCTTTATTTTTTGTAGAGAGACAAGGTCTTGCTATGTTGCCCAGGCTGGTCTTTAACTTCTGGCTTCAAGCTATGCTCCTGCCTCAGCCTCCTGAGTAGCTGAGATTACAGGTGCATGCCTCCATGCCTGGCCACCACGGCCAATTTCAAGCTACCAATATGAGATCATTGAACATGCAATTGGAAAGAAATGCACAGTATTACATTGTTCTATAGCAAGCCTATTACACAGACATAATAAATGTAAATAGGCCAGGCAAGATGGTTCATACCTGTAATCCCAGCACTTTGGGAGGCTGAGGCAGGAGGATCGCTTTGAGCTCAGGAGTTCGAGGCCAGCCTGGGTAACATAGTGAGACCCCATCTCTACAAAAAAACACAAAATTAACTGAGTGTGGTGACGGGCACCTGTAGTCCCAGCTACTCAGGAGGCCAAGGCAGGAGACTCATTTGAGCCCAGGAGGCGGAGGTTGCAGTGAGCACATACATTGATTGGCACACAGATTGGCAGATACTAACATACAGTGTGTTTTTTTCTCCAGAGAACTGGCTGGTAAGTGTTTACCATAGTAAGAAGACTTACTATAGAACAATGTATTACTGTGCGTTTCTTTCCAATTCCATGTTCAATGATCTCTTATTGGTAGCTTGAAATTGGCCGTGGTGGCCAAGCATGGGGGCGTGCACCAGTAAGGGAAAGCTGAAATGGAAAACAGAGGGTTTAGGGCAACAGTCCTGAATTCCGGAGTGCTGTCCCCCTGGGGGAGTTATGGGAATCTGTGGGGGTTGTTTTTAGTTGTCACAGTGGAGGTCCTAGGATGCTACCACAGCGTTTACGCGGCTGGGGTCAGCGACAATAAAAGTTACGCAATGAAGGTTTGTCCTGCATTCTCAGGACTTTGTTTTATTTTTGAGACAGAGTCTTGCTCTGTCACCCAGGCTGGAGTGCAGTGGTACCATCTCGGCTCACTGCAACCTCTGCCTCCCAGGTTCAAGGAATTCTCCTCCCCTAGCCTCCTGAGTAGCTGGGATTACAGGCGTGCACCACCATGCCCAGCTAATTTTGTATTTTTAGTAGAGATGGAGTTTCACTAAAAAAAAATGTTGGCTAGGCTGGTCTCAAACTCCTGACCTCAGGTGATCCTCCTGCCTCGGCCTCCCAAAGTGCTGGGATTGCAGGCATGAGCCACTGCGCCCAGGTCATTCCCATGACTTTGGAACATCTGTGGGACATTCATGGAGTTGGAAAGTCTAAGCCTCTGAGCCCCAAATCTGTTTTGCGTTTTTTTTTTTTTTTTTTTTTTGAGAGGGAGTCTTGCTCTGTCGCCCAGGCTGGAGTGCAGTGGTGTGACCTCGGCTCACTGCAAGCTCCGCCCCCGGGGTTCACGCCATTCTCCTGCCTCAGCCTCCCAAGTAGCTGGGACTACAGGCACCCACCACCACGCCCGGCTAATTTTTTTTTTATATATATTTTTAGTAGAGACGGGGTTTCACTGTATTAGCCAGGATGGTCTCAATCTCCTGACCTCGTGATCCGCCCGACTCAGCCTCCCAAAGTGCTGGGATTACAGGCGTGAGCCACCACACCTGGCCTGTTTTGCATATTTTATGACAGCTCACCTCCCCACTTCCCCGCCCCACCCTGTTTCTTTTTTCCTTGTCGCTGAATCACAGGGAAACAGGTCGTTTGTCCTGTGGACGGGCTCACATTCTGGACTGGGCTGATTGCTGCCTCATGGTGTCGTTTCACTGGGAACTTTGTCCTCCTGTTTTCTGCAAACTGGTGGTTAGAGTGGGAAGCTTGATCTGATTTTTTTGTTTGTTTGTTTGAAGGGAGCTCCGTAGCTGGTAGGTAGCCTCCTGCTGCTTAGCTGAAGCTGGGGAGTGGCTGCTGGTTTCTCTTTCCTCCTGTTAGGACTGCTGGGAGCTCTGGTGGTGCCTGCCTCTTCTCTCAGTAAAATTCCTCATCCATCTTTTTTTTTTTTGAGACAGAGTTTTGCTCTTGTTTCCCAGGCTGGAGTGCAATGGTGTAATCTCAGTTTACTGCAACCTCCGCCTCCCAAGTTCAAGCGATTCTCCTGCCTCAGCCTCCCAAGTAGCTGGGATTACAGGTGCATGCCACCACGCCCCACTGATTTTTGCATTTTTAGTAGAGACAGGGTTTCACCATGTTGGCCAGACTGGTCTCAAACTCCTGACCTCAGGTGATCCACCTGCCTCGGCCTCCCAAAGTGCTGGGATTACAGGCATGAGCCACTGTGCTGGGCCATGGCTAATTTCTGTATTCTTATAAGGACGGGGTTTCACCTTGTTGGCCAGGCTGGTCTCTGACTCCTGACCTCAGTTGATCCGCCTGCCTCGGCCTCCCAAAGTGCTAGAATTACAGGTGTGAGTCACCACACCGGGCCCATTTGTATTTAAAAATTTTTTTGAAATAGGCAGGGCGAGGTGGCTCACGTCTGTAATCCCAGCACTTTGGGAAGCTGAGGCAGGAGAATCCCTTGAACTTGTGAGGCGGCGGTTGCAGTGAGCTGAGATCACGCCATTGCACTCCAGCCTGGGCAACAAGAGCAAAACTCTCTCAAAAAGTAATACTACTAATAATTAATTAATAAATAAATATAAGACTCTGAGGGGACTCAGAGTCAGCGAGAGCCTGGCCTAGCAGGACTCTGTCCCCCGCCTCCATGCTGCCTTCCTGGAGGCCTTCCTGGCTGCCTGGAGGAGCGGAGCAGAGTGGGGGCCCCTTTCTGTTGGGGCATCACAACAGTTCCCCAAGGAAGACCCTCGGGGACCCGGATGGGGGATGCGACCTTGTCCTGCCTCTCTCCCCCACCCTTATGGCCAGGCTTGGGGTGCCTGGTGCAGGTGGAGGAGCTAAGGGTAGATAACAAGATGGACTTTGTGGCCGGCAATGGGGAGGGAGGAGGGGCTACGGGCTCACCTCCCTCCCGCAGCCCAGCCACACCTGCTCTGGAAAGCCCTGTAGCTCCTGGGCGGGGTTTGCCAGTCACCGATGCTGGAAGGGTTTCTTTGGCCCTGAGTGAAGAGAGACCCAGAGGGAACACTGAGGTGCCTGCCCAACCACTCTGTCCCGGTTTCCTTCAGCAGGACCAGGTGAGAGAAGGTGAGGGGGCTCCTCTCCCACCCTACAACACGCACACCTCTGCACACACGCCCAGGCGGAGAGCAGGGATTTGGGACGTGGACCTGTGTGCCCTCGTGGGTCCCTGGTGCCCTCTGGGAGGCACCCCCAACTCAGGACCTCCAGGAGAGGAGGGTCCCTCCCTCGGCAGCCAGGACCCCCCTCCCCAGCCAGCCGCCCTCCTTAGCTCCCTCCCCACTTCCTTCCAGGTGGATCTGTTTCTAGAGCTCCAACCACCAGCTCCCTCCCCTTCTCCACCCCGGGCCACCAGGTCCTTCCTTGTCTCCTTCCCCTCAGCAGTTTCTATGAACCACCCTGGCAGTAATGGTGCAGATGGCTCGCGCACAGCTGGTGGTGACCCGACTTTCCTGCCTCCACCCTGGGGCTCCTCAGAGGCTTCATGGAACCCAAACTGCTGGTCTCACCTCCGAGCCCTGCCGTCGCCCAGGGAGGGCGGCTCCGTCCCTCCTGCACTCCCTAATCCCGCTCTGAATCACCGCTTCTGTTCTGGGTCGGAGAATAAAGGTGGGGTTTCCAAGTGATGGCCCTACGTTATTGTCTGAAGCTCCCTTCTCCTCCCCAGGGTGGAAGTGATAATGCCGGGAATCCGGGAATCCCGGGGAGGTGCAGGAAGACAGCGAGCTCGAGGCAGTGGGGTGCGACTGAGCCGGATGTGCTGAGCTGCCCGGGGCACGGGGCGGTTGGGGTAGAGAAAGGCTTTCAGAGCTGGGGGACAGGACGGGGCCCCGGGTGAGCGGAGAGCTGGGTTATTTCACGGGAACAGCTGGTGACAAAGCCGGAGGGGTGTGCGGGGCCGGCGAGAGACTGGGATTGTGTCTTAAGAGGCATAGGGAGCCCTGAAGGGGCTGCGAGCTGGGAAGGGGCAGGGCCGGCGCTGGGTGTAGGGGACAGAGGGGAGAGGAGGAAGCCGGGCCGCAATAGAAAGACGTGGACGGGGCTGGACGTGGTGGCTGACGCCTGTAATCCCAGCACTTTGGGAGGCCGAGACAGGCGGATCACTTGAGGTCAGGAGTTCGAGACCAGTCTGGCCAACATGGAGAAACCCCGTCTCTACTAAAAATACAAAATTAGCCAGGCGTGGTGGTGCATGCCTGTAATCCCAGCTACTCGGGAGGCTGAGGCAGGAGAATCGTTTGAACCCGGGAGGCGGAGGTTGTGGTGAGCCGAGATTGTGCCATTGCACTCCAGCCTGGGGAACAAGAGCAAAACTCCGTCTCAAAAAAAAAAAAAAAAAAAAAAATCTCAGTAAGATAGACCAGGTGTGGTGTCTCATGCCTGTAATCCCAGCACTTTGGGAGGCTGAGGAAGGAGAACAGAGGACCTCCTGAGGCCAGGAGTTTGAGATCAGTGTGGGCCACATAGCAAGACCCCCTCCCCACCATCCCTACAAAAAAAGCAATTCAAAAAAAATAATGCCTTCAGGCAGAATGGGAGTGGTGCTTGGTTCAAGCCTGACATAAGTGTGAGTTTGGGGCACAAATTCTGCTCTGAATACCAGGGACAGCCCATGTAATACAGCATTTCCCTTTGTGCCCACGCAGCCCTAAGGGAGGTGTGGTTTGTTGTTGTTGTTGTATCTTTTTGAGATGGATTTTTGCTCTTGTTGCCCAGGCTGGCATGCAATGGTACAATCTCGGCTCACTGCAACCTCCGCCTCCCAGGTTCAAGCGATTCTCCTTCCTCAGCCTCCCAAGTAGCTGAGATTACAGTCATGAGCCACCATGCCTGGCTAATTTTTTGTATTTAGTAGAAATGGGGTTTCACCATATTAGTCAGGCTGGTCTCGAACTCCTGACCTCAGGTGATCCACCCGCCTCAGCCTACCAAAGTGCTGGGATTACAGGCATGAGCCACTGCACTGGCTCTTTTTTTTTTTTTTTTTTTTTTTTGAGACGGAGTCTCACTGTGTTGTGCAGGCTGGAGTGCAATGGTGTGATCTCAGCTCACTGAAACCTCTGGGGAGGTGTTGTTTTTATCCCTCCCCACAACCCCCTGTTGATGGACAGACAAGGACAATGAAACACAGAGAGGTAAAAGCCCTGGGTTAAAGTCACACAGCACATAAAAGGTTCCTGATCATGCCGTGCAGGGCATCTCGCCAAACCTCAAAAATTCACAATCTCATAGCGCAGCTTGCTCTGTGAGGCCTCCCCACCTCTTCCTTCTCTCCTTCCAGGCTCCAGTCAAGGTCAGTGCCCAGCTTCCTGCTCTGGGCCACTCAGCAGCCACCTTCCTCCTTCCTGGGTAAGGAGGTAGGGAGCTACCAAGGAGGCAGGGACATCCGTGTAGAACATTCTGCTTTTCTTTTTTCTTTTTTTTTAAGATAGAGCCTGACTCTGTCGCCCAGGCTGGAGTGCAGCTGTAGTGTAATGGCACAATCGCAGCTCACCACAACCTCCATCTCCCAGGTTCAAGTGGTTCTCCTGCCTCAGCCTCCTGAGTAGCTGTGATTACAGGCATGTGCCACCACGCCTGGCTAATTTTTGTATTTTTAGTAGCGACGGGGTTTCTCCATGTTGGTCAGGCTGCTTTCAAACTCCTGACCTCAGGTGATCCGCCCCCGCTTGGCCTCCCAAAGTGCTGGAATTACAGGCGTGAGCCACTGCGCCTGGCCTAATTTTCTCTAAAATAGAGACAAGTTCTCACTATGTGGTCCAGGCTGATCTCGAACTCCTGAACTCAAGCAATCCTCCCAGCTCAGCCTCCCAAAGTGCTAGCATTACATGTGTGAGCCATCATGCCTGGTCCCTGTCTGTTTCATTCTCCCTGTCTCTCTAGTCCTGCCTCTCTCTGTGTCTTCTGGTCTTTTTCTCTATTTGTCTCTTCCTCTGTCCCTTTTATCATCTCTGTCCCTTCCCTCCCTCCCTCCCTCCCTTCCTTCCTTCCTTCCTTCCATAGGTGAGAAAAAGTAGCATCTTTTCCTCACCTATCACAAAGTTTGCAGCTGGGGCACCTACAGTAAAAGGTTAACAGACACAAGCATAACAAATGTATTTAAGGCAAGTGTTGACATGGGAGCCTTCAGAAATGAAGGCCTAAAGAAACAGGGAAACCTGGGTGGGTTTTTTGTTTTGTTTTGTTTTTAGATGGAGTTTTACTCTGTCGCCCAGGCTGGAGTGCAGTGGCGCGATCTTAGCTTACTGACTGCAATCTCTGCCTTCCATGATCAAGTGATTCTCCTGCCTCAACCTCCCCAGTAGCTGGGATTACAGGTGCGCGCCACCATGCCCAGCTAATTTTTGTATTTTTAGTAGAGAAGGGGTTTCACTATGTTGGCCAGACTGGTCTCGAACTGCTGACCTCAGGTGATCCACCCACTTTGGCTTCTGGAAGTTCTGGCATTACAGGCGTGAGCCACTGTGCCCGGCTACCTCCCGTTCTATGATCTATGGTTTAAACGCTACATTTGACCACTATCAATACTCCCAGTATCAAAACTGGGAAACCTGGGTTCTTCACCCAGAGCCTAAAACGAACAGCATTCTTTGCCTTGTGGGTGACAATAGCAAACATTTACCGCCTGTGTATATGTGCCAGACACTGTTTTAATCCTCAGAGAGGTGATGTCACTTGCCCAAAATCACACAGCTCGTGACTGTGAGTCTGAAATTGGCCAGAGCTTGTGCACCTAGCCACTGGTGGTGATGTGTCTTTGAGTCATCGAGTCCAGCATTCTGTGTTGGACTTAGTGAAAGGATATACTTTTGTAGTGATGAGAAAGGAGCTTTATCTAGAATTTGTGAGGCCAGGCATGGTGGCTCACGCCTGTAATCCCAGCACTTTGGGAGGCTGAGGTGGGTGGATCACTTGAGGTCAGGAGTTTGAGACCAGCCTGGTCAACATGGTAAAACCCCGTCCGACTAAAAATACAAAAATTAGCCAGGTGTGGTGGTGCACACCTGTAATCCCAGCTACTCAGGAGGCTGAGGCAAGAGAATTGCTTGAACCCAGGAGGCGGAGGTTGCAGTAAGCCAAGATGGCGCCACTGCACTCCAGCCTGGGTGACAGAGCAAGACTCCATCTCAAAAAAAAAAAAAAAAAAAAAAGAAAAGGAAAAGAAGTGAACTGGTTCAAAGACCATAATCATACATATCACACAAGACTGCAAGCGGACCAGGGTCAGTTAATTTAGCGGCTCCACAAAGTCATCAGTCACCTGAGCTCCATCCATCTTCACATGCTGTGCTACCATTTATTTTATTTTATTTTTTTTTTTGAGACGGAGTCTCGCTCTGTCTCCCAGGCTGGAGTGCAGTGGCGCGATCTCGGCTCACCGCAAGTTGCGCCTCCCAGGTTCATGCCATTCTCCTGCCTCAACCTCCTGAGTAGCTGGGACTATAGGCGCCCACCACCACACCCGGCTAATTTTTTTATATATATTTTTAGTAGAGACGGGGTTTCACCGTGTTAGCCAGGATGGTCTCGATCTCCTGACCTCATGATCCGCCCGCCTTGGCCTCCCAAAGTGCTGGGATTACAGGCGTGAGCCACCGCGCCCAGCCAGCTACCATTTCTTAGCTGTATCATCTCACGGTCCCAAAAGGGCTGCTACACATCCAGCCATCACATGCAGATAATTTCTTTCAAAAACAGCAGAAAGAGGCTCGTTCTTGTCTTGGTCCCTTTTGAAGAATGAATGAAACCTTCCTAAGCCTTCCAGCAACTCCCCCCACAACTCCGATGGGTAGGAATTGTCACATAACCATGTGGCCCGATAGGAGGCAAAAGAAATGAGACTTCTGGGATTAGTTTAGCCTCAGATTCTGCAGCTGAGAAGTTGATCAGCCACCTCTGAAGGACAAGCAGCTTGCAGAAAATTAGGGTGGTGTTACCAAGGAGAAAAGGGGAAATGGCTTTAGAGTAGACAACAGGGATGCCCTGAGGGGTTGTGTAGGTTGTTCACTGCACGAAGTCCCCTGGTCAAGAAGGTAAGCGGGGTTTAAACAGACCCACAGTCTACTCATCAAACCAGGTGTCCTTGGCATTGTGTCCACCCAGAGAGCTCACTATTTTCTTTTCTTTTCTTTTCTTTTTTTGAAATGGAGTCTTGCTGTGTCCCCCAGGCTGGAGTGCAGTGGCATGATCTTGGCTCACTGCAGCCTCCGCCTCCCGGGTTCAAGCAATTCTCCTGCCTCAGCCTCCCGAGTTCAAGCAATTCTCCTGCCTCAGCCTCCCGAGTAGCTGGGATTACGGGCGTCCGCCACCACACCTGGCTAATTTTTGTATTTTTAGTAGAGACAGGGCCTTGTCATGTTGGCCAGGTTGGTCTCCAGCTCCTGACCTCAGCTAATCTGCCCACCTCGGCCTCCCAAAGTGCTGGGATTACAGGCGTGAGCCACCGCGCCCGGCCACAACTCATCTTTTAGAGCCAGCCTACACTTGTCATAGGCCATGGCCGATGAATGGGAAGTCCACGGTGGAGCTGGGTGTTCCTCTCAAGTTCAACTGGCTGCGGCCAGGAGGGCAGGCAGGCCAGGTGGACAATTTCCCTTCAAAGTGGATACAGGCAGGACATGCAAAGATGAATATCTCTGGCACTGGACTCTGGCAAGTAGGAAAATAAAAACAAAAGATGAACATCTTGGGCCGGGCGCGGTGGCTCACATCTGTAATCCCAGCACTTTGCGAGGCTGAGGCAGAAAGATCACGAGGTCAGGAGTTCGAGACTAGCCTGACCAACATGGTGAAACCCCGTCTCTACTAAAAATACAAAAGTTAGCCAGGCGTGGTGGCGGGCGCCTGTAATCCCAGCTACTCAGGAGGCTGAGACAGGAGTATAGCTTGAACCTGGGAGGCAGAGGTTGCAGTGAGCAGAGATCGTGCCATTGCACTCCAGCCTGGGTGACAGAGATTCCATTTCAAAAAAAAAGAACATCTCTACAAACTGGATCACCAGTAAATAATAGCTACATATACTTGTACTCACCATATGTGGACACCCACATATGTACACTCAGTCGATAAACACCCACATTTAAACATACCATGTGGGCCAGGTGCAGTGGCTCACGCCTATAATCTGAGCACTTTGGGAGGCCAAGGTGGGAAGATCACTTGGGCCTAGGAGTTTGAGACCAGCCTGACCAACATACTGAGACCTTATCTCTACAAAAGAGAATTTGTTTTTAGTTAGCTGGGCGTGGTGATGTGCACCTGTAGTCCCAACTACTCGGGAGGCTAAGGCAGGAGGATTGCTTGAGCCTAGGAGGTCAAGGCTACAGTGAGCCACGTTCTCACCACTGCACTCCAGCCCAGGTGGCAGAGCAAGATCCTGTCTCAAAAAATAAATAAAAAATTAATAAACAAAAAATGCATACAATGTATAGATACACAAAGTGTATATATATACATATATATGTATACACATTCACATATACACACATGCTGTGTTCACAATCACCTAGATGACATATGTATGTGTATACATACTTACACATATACCCTTACATGTACACGATATATCTCTACCCATACACTACCATGTACACATGTCCATTTGTACACAGCTGTATATGTACACACACAATTTTGCACACACCTGTATATGTATACAATGTATGGATCCCCATATCCACATTACACACAATGTGTACGCATCTACCTGTGTACACACACCCACCTATGAACACAATGTAGACACATCTGTATAAACACACTTGAGATACATGCCTGTGCACATAGGCAAGTATGTGCCAAGTATTTACACACCTGAAGTAGAAGCACACACACACCCACACTATGCCTGCACACCACCGCATGGCCACGTTCACCAGCGCCCCGGGCCTCCATCTCCCAGCTAACGTGTCCCGTTTTCCTCCCCTGACAGCCATGCTGGTCGTTCAGATGCCTTTCTCCTTTCCCATGGCCCACTTCATCCTCTTTGTCTTTACGGTTTCCACTATATTTCACGTTCAGCAGCGGCTAGCGAAGATTCAAGCCATGTGGGAGTTACCGGTGCAGATACCAGTGCTAGCCTCAACATCAAAGGCACTGGGACCCAGCCAGCTCAGGGGGATGTGGACGATCAATGCAATAGGCCGCCTGGGGAACCAGATGGGCGAGTACGCCACACTGTACGCCCTGGCCAAGATGAACGGGCGGCCCGCCTTCATCCCGGCCCAGATGCACAGCACCCTGGCCCCCATCTTCAGAATCACCCTGCCGGTGCTGCACAGCGCCACGGCCAGCAGGATCCCCTGGCAGAACTACCACCTGAACGACTGGATGGAGGAGGAATACCGCCACATCCCGGGGGAGTACGTCCGCTTCACCGGCTACCCCTGCTCCTGGACCTTCTACCACCACCTCCGCCAGGAGATCCTCCAGGAGTTCACCCTGCACGACCACGTGCGGGAGGAGGCCCAGAAGTTCCTGCGGGGCCTGCAGGTGAACGGGAGCCGGCCGGGCACCTTTGTAGGGGTCCATGTTCGCCGAGGGGACTATGTCCATGTCATGCCAAAAGTGTGGAAGGGGGTGGTGGCCGACCGGCGATACCTACAGCAGGCCCTGGACTGGTTCCGAGCTCGCTACAGCTCCCTCATCTTCGTGGTCACCAGTAATGGCATGGCCTGGTGTCGGGAGAACATTGACACCTCCCACGGTGATGTGGTGTTTGCTGGCGATGGCATTGAGGGCTCACCTGCCAAAGATTTTGCTCTACTCACACAGTGTAACCACACCATCATGACCATTGGGACGTTCGGGATCTGGGCCGCATACCTCACGGGCGGAGACACCATCTACCTGGCCAATTACACCCTCCCCGACTCCCCTTTCCTCAAAATCTTTAAGCCAGAGGCAGCCTTCCTGCCGGAGTGGACAGGGATTGCCGCAGACCTGTCCCCCTTACTCAAGCACTAATGCTGGCCCATTCTTTGAGACCTTTTCTCCTTCTCTGCCTCCCTCAAGATGAGTGCCCGGGCATGAGAAGCACATGGTTCCATGAGCAGGACCCATCTCTCTTCTGTGAAGATGCGTTGGGCTGCAAGTAACAGAAATCTCAGTGAACAGTGGCCTGGCGTGGTGGCTCATGCCTGTAATGCTCGCACTTTGTGAGGCCAGGGTGGGTGGATCACTTGAGGTCAGGAGTTCAAGACTAGCCTGGCCAACATGGTGAAACCCCATCTCGACTAAAAATACAAAAATTAGCCAGGCGTGGTGGTGCACACCTGTAATCCCAGCTACTCGGGAGGCTGAGGCAAGAGAATCACTTGAACCCAGGAGGCGGAGGTTGCAGTGAGCCAAGATGGTGCCGCTGCACTCCAGTCTGGGTGACACAGCAAGACTCCATCTCAAAAAAAAAAAAAAAAAAAAGAAAAGAAAAAGAAATGAATGGGTTCAAAGACCATAATCATGCATATCACATAAGACCAGAAGTGGCCCAGGTCCAGGGTCAGTTAATTTAGCGGCTCCACAAAGTCATCAGTCACCTGAGCTCCATCCATCTTCACATGCTGTGCTACCATTTCTTAGCTGTATCATCCCATGGTCCCAAAAGGGCTGCTACACATCCAGCCATCACATGCAGATAATTCCTTTCAAAAACAGCAGAAAGAGGCTCGTTCTTGTCTTGGTCCCTTTTGAAGAATGAATGAAACCTTCCTAAGCCTTCCAGCAATTTCCCCCCAACTCCGATGGGTAGGAATTGTCACATACCCATGTGACCCGATAGGAGGCAAAAGAAATGAGACTTCTGGGATTAGTTTAGCCTCAGATTCTGCAGCTGAGAAGTTGATCAGCCACCTCTGAAGGACATGCAGCTTGCAGAAAATTAGGGTGGTGTTACCAAGGTGAAAAGGGGAAATGGCTTTAGAGTAGACAACAGAGATGCCCTGAGGGGTTGTGTAGGTTGTTCACTGCAGGAAGTCCCCTGGTTAAGAAGGCAAGTGGGGTTTAAACAGACCCACAGTCTACTCATCAAACCAGGTGTCCTTGGCATTGTGTCCACCCAGAGAGCTCACTGTTTTCTTTTCTTTTTCTTTTCTTTTTTTTTTTTTTTTTGAGATGGAGTCTTGCTGCATCCCCCAGGCTGGAGTGCAGTGGCATGATCTTGGCTCACTGCAGCCTCCGCCTCCCAGGTTCAAGCGATTCTCCTGCCTCAGCCTCCCGAGTAGCTAGGATTACAGGTGCGTGCCACCACGCCCAGCTAATTTTTATATGTTTAGTGGAAATGGAGTTTCACCATGTTGGTCAGGCTGGTCTCAAACTCCTGACCTCATGATCCGCCTTCCTCGGCCTCCCAAAGTGCTGGGATTACAGGTGTTAGCCACTGCGCCCGGCCCTAGAGCTCACTGTTTTCTAGTTAGTCCATCTGGAAGTGGAGCCTTTTTCCAGTTTGCACAAATGTGCCATATTGGCTTGTAGCTGGCATGCATCCAAGTCCATAGGTCCTGCCTCTTCAATCCTGGCTTTCTAGGGCCTGGGATGATCATTGCTAGAACTGAGAGACCAGCCTGGCTCAGTGAACTTCAGGGCGTTCCGTTCATTCTTTCAGTAAATGTTTGCAGCACATGTGTTACATGTCAGGCAGTGAAACCCCCCACAGCAGCCTTCCCTCTCAGAGGATACATTTGTAACCATTACACAGTCATCAAAGGAATAATTTTTTTTAATCACCAGTGTGCATACAGTCATGGAGTTGGGTATTCCCAGCTACCAGGGAGGCTGAGGTGGGAGGATTGCTTGATGCCAGGAGTTAGGGAATATAGTGCACCGTGATTGGACTTGCGAATAGCCACTGCACTGCGGCCTGGACGACGTAGTGATACCCTGACTCTTATAAATAAATAAATGAATAAACACAATTATGACTTTGCGGATGGGAGAAAAGGTTCTCTGAGAGCGTATTACATAAGTATCACATGAACTCCAAAATACATCTTAGGCCAGGCATGGTGGCTGTAATCCCAGCACTTTGGGAGGGTAAGGCGGGCGGATCACCTGAGGTCAGGAGTTCGAGACTAGCCTGGGCAACATAGTGAAACCCTGTCTCTACTAAACATACAAAACATTAGCCAGGGGTGGTGGTGCAGACCTGTAGTCCCAGCTACTTGGCAGGCTTAAGCAGGAGAATCGTTTGCACCAGGGAGGCAGAGGTTGCAGTGAGCCAGGATCACACCATTGCACTCTAGCCTGGACAACAGAGTGAGACTCCATCTCAAAAAAAAAAAAAAAATTCTTAAGAGTAGATGGAATCCTATTACAAGTCTGGATCAAAAAGGCAGCTTTGGCTGGGTGCAGTGGCTCACACCTGTAATCCCAGCACTTTGGGAAGCTGAGGCAGATGGATCACTTGAGGTTAGGAGTTCAAGACCAGCCTGGCCAACATAGTGAAACCCTGTCTCTACTAAAAATACAAAATTAGCTAGGCGTGGTGGTGCATGCCTGTAATCCCAGCTGCTAGGGAGGCTGAGACAGAAGAATCGCTTGAACCTGGGAGATGGAGGTTGCAGTGAGCTGAGATCACACCATTGCACTGCAGCCTGGGCAACAAGAGCGAAACTTGGTCAAAAAAAAGAACAAGGCAACTTTTACAACGATTTTTTAGATCTCAATATTACAGTATTTTCTCCAGACTACCCACAAATACATACTGTGCACCTATCATGTATCAGAAAGCAATCTAGGAGATACGATCCCTGCTCTCAAGACGGCATTAACAAATCACTTCAAAATATAATTGGTACAGGCCAGGTGCAGTGGCTCACGCCTGTAATCCCAACACTTTGGGAGGCCAAGGTGGCAGGGTCACTTGAGAGCAAGAGTTCAAGACCAGCTTGGGCAACATAGGGAGATCCTGTCTCTACAAAAAATAAAAAACTAACTGGGTATAGTGGAATACAACTGTAGGACCAGCTACTCGGAAGGCTGAAGTGGGAGGATCAATTGAGCCCAGGAGTTTGGGGCTTCAGTGAGCCACAATCACACCTGTGCATAGCCACTGCATTCCAAAGTCGCAACATAGCAAGACACCATCACTAACAAAATTTTTAAAAATCGAAAAGATACAGGCCAGGCGTGGTGGCTCACGCCTGTAATCCCAGCACTTTGGGAGGCCGAGGCAGGTGGATCACAAAGTCAAGAGATCAAGACCATCCTGGCCAACATGGTGAAACCCTGCCTCTACTAAAAATACAAAAATTAGCTGCTGTGGTGGCACGCACCTGTAGTCCCAGCTACTCGGGAGGCTGAGGCAGGAGAACTGCTTGAATCCGGGAGGTGGAGGTTGCAGTGAGCCGAGATTGTGCCACTGCACTCCAGCCTGCCAGTAGCGCGAGACTCCGTCTAAAAAAAAAAAAGATAATTGAAAAGATACAATTAGATCCTGAGGCAAGCAGGTGCTATGGCTCACATCTGTAATCCCAGCACTTTGGGAGGCCAAGGTGGGTGGATCACTTCAGATCAGGAGTTTGAGACCAGCCTGGCTGACATGGTGAAACTCTGTCTGTGCTAAAAATACAAAAATTAGCCAGGCGTGGTGGTGCACACCTGTAATCCCAGCTACTCGGGAGGCTGAGTCAGTAGAATCACTTGAACCCAGGAGGTGAAGTTTGCAATGAACTGACATATCGCCACTGTACTCCAGCCTGGGCAAAAGAGCGAAACTCAAGAGAGAGAGAGAGAGAAAAGAGAGAAAGAAAAGAGAAAGAAAGAAAAGAAAGAAACAAAGAAGGAAGGAAGGAAAGAAAGAAAGAAAGACAAAGAAAGAAAGGAAAGAAAGAAAGAAAGAAAGAAAGAAAGAAAGAAAGAAAGAAAGAAAGAAAAGAAAGAAAGAAAGGAAGAAAGAAAGAAAAAAGAAAGAAAGAAGGGGAGGGGAGGGGAAGGAGGCCAGGTGTGGTGACTCACGCCTGTAATCCCAGCACTGTGGGAGGCCAAGACCAGTGGATTACCTAAGGTTGGGAGTTCAAGACCAGCCTGACCAACGTGGAGAAACCCTGTCTCTACTAAAAATACAAAATTAGCCAAGTGTAGTGGCGCATGCCTGTAATCCCAGCTACTCAGGAGGCTGAGGCAGGAGAATCGCTTGAACCCAGGAGGCAGAGGTTGCGGTGAGCCGAGATCATGCCATTGCACTCCAGCCTGGGCAACAAGAGTGAACTCCATCAAAAAAAAAAAAAAAAAAAAAAGAAGAAGAAGGAAAGAAGGAAAAAGAGAGGAAGGAGGAGGAGAAATATTTTTTCCAGTCTACACAATGAACATGACTATATCCTTTTGGGGAGGGAGTACGTTTATAATATAAATTAGTAATTTTTGGTATTTTGATGTTGGTGGTCTTTTTCAGGCCTCATGATGTAAATATCCACCTTCTGTTGAGATCAGAGGAAAGAAGGAAGGTGCTGCTTGGGGTTCCCCATCTGATCCCCCTTGGTCCAGCCCTGGTTTTCCTGAGGCAGGAGGGAGGGATGAAGTCTTTGGAGAAGAGTTGGGTGTTGGGCGCTCGGCAGTGCCGGCAGTGCAGGAGGCAAGCCTTTCAGTTAGGCTGAAGGTTCAGACAGGCACCCCACCAAGCCGGCTTCCTGGCCCTGACTCCTTGGGGCAGTGCAGGGACCACGTGCACCCTCAGCTCAACAGAGCCCACTCTGGATGCAGGCGAGATGCGGAAGGTGCAATGGAGGCAGGTGGGGGGCCTGGCAGAAGCTGAAAGACGAGTGCCCGAGACACAGAGAGATGAGCGCAGAGACTGACAGGGATGACGGATGCAGCAGGGATAAAGGGCAGGAGGGAGTTGGAGACAGAGATAGGGAGGAGAGAACAGCCAGAGGGCAAATCAGACAGAGAACAGAGAAGAGATATGAAGACAGAACCAGGACAGAGTGACCTGAGTCAGGCAGAGATGGGGACACATTGATATGGAGAGTGATACAGTCAGAAAAGTCTCTGGGCCAGGTGTGGTGGCTCACGCCTGTAATCCCTGCACTTTGGGAGGCTGAGGTGGGAGGAGCACTTGGGGTCAGGAGTTCAAGACCAGCCTGAGCAACATAGTGAAACCCTGTCTCTATAAAAAAATGCAGAAATGGCTGGGCATGGTGGTGCACACCTGTAATCCCAGTACTTTGGGAGGCTGAGACTGGAGTGCAGCGGCGTGATGTCGGCTGACCACAACCTCCGCCTCCCGGATTCAAGTGATTCTCCTGCCTCAGCCTCCCGAGTAGCTGGGATTACAGGCATGCACCACCACACCCGGCTAATTTTGTATTTTTAGTAGAGGCGGGGTTTCTCCATGTTGGTCAGGCTGGTCTCGAACTCCCAACCTCAGGTGATCCGCCCGCCTCGGCCTCCCAAAGTGCTGGGATTACAGGCATGAGTCACTGCGCCCAGCCTGGTCTACTGTTCTTTTCCACCTGCAGTGGACAGTGCTGGTGGCGCACCCAGGTGCCTTCAGATTCCTCTTGCCAGTTCTGTGCACCCAGCCCCCAGCTTGTGTGCTTGGTGTATTAATCATGCCTTTGTATTTTCTGAACTTCTGCTGCTTTGACAAGTGCGGGCCTCGATGACTCTGGAGGGACTGACCCTCCCAGGGATAGCCAAATGCTAGAGATAGTTAACTACTCACCTTTCCTATGTAAACCAGCCAATCCAGAGCCCACACCCCATCCACACCTTTATGAGCACAGGCTCCCTGAGCCAGGCACCAAAAACTCAGGACAGCCTCTATGCTCCAGAGCCTGCTGAAATTCAAACTAGGTAATCTCAAACCCACTTACCTTGCCTCTTCTGGTCTTTTTTGTTTTGTTTTGTTTATTTTTATTATTATTTCTTTGAGACAGAGTCTCACTCTTTCGCCCAGGCTGGAGTGCAGTGGCGTGATCTCGGCTCACTGCAAGCTCCACCTCCTGGGTTCAGGCCATTCTCCTGCCTCAGCCTCCCCAGTAGCTGGGACTACAGGCGCCCACCACTGCGCCTGGCTAATTTTTTGTATTTTTAGTAGAAACGGGGTTTCACCGTGGTCTTGATCTCCGGACCTCGTGATCCACCTGCCTCGGACTCCCAAAGTGCTGGGACTACTTTTGTTTTTTTAAGATGGAGTCTCACTGTGTTGCCCAGGCTGGAGTGCAGGCATGATCTCATCTCACTGCAAGTGATTCTCCTGCCTCAGCCTCCCGAGTAGCTGGAACTACAGGTGTGCACCACCACACCTGGCTAATTATTTTTTTTTTTTGTATTTTTAGTAGATATGGGGTTTTAGCACATTGGCCAGGCTGGTCTCGAACTTCTGACCTCAGGTGATCCACCCGCCTCGGCCTCCCAAAGTGCCAGGATTACAGGCGTGAATCACTGGGCCCAATCTTTTTTTTTTTTTTTTTTTTTTTGAAACACAGGATCTTGATCTGTTGCCCAGGCTGGAGTGCACTGGTGCAATCATAGCTCACTGCAACCTCAAACTTCAAAGCTCAAGTGATCCTCCTGCCTCAGCCTCCAGAGTAGCTGGGACTACAGGTATGAACCACGGTGTTTGGCCCTGAAACCTATTTTTTTTTTTTTTTTTTGAGATGGAGTCTCACTCTGTCACCCAGGCTGGAGTGCAGTGGCGCGATCTTGGCTCACTGCAACCTCCACCTCCCAGATTCAAGCAATTCTCCTGCCTCAGCCTCCTGAGTAGCTGGGATTAAAGGCGCATGCCCAGCTAATTTTTGTATTTTTACTGGAGACTGGGTTTCACCATATTGGTCAGGCTAGTCTCGAACTCCTGACCTCATGATCCACCCGCCTCGGCCTCCCAAAGTGCTGGCATTACAGGCATGAGCCACCGCGCCCGGCCAAAACCTACATTTTAAAACATTTTGCTGCTAACAACTTACCCTATGACGTTCTTCCCAGGACTGCCCTTGGGCTGGAGGTTCCTGGGAGTTTATGTCATTCCTCCCTCCCTCTGTGACCCATGGCTCATGGCTGACTAGGGGTGGTATAGTGGCAAGTCTCCAGATGTAGCCCCTAGTGAGCATGTCCCTGATATTCACAGATTTGTATAGTGCCCTCCCGTATTTAACGTGGGCTTGCCTGACTTGCATTAATTATAAAATACAGTGGAAGAGAAATTGTGCCAGTTTCAAGCCTAGTCTTTAAGAGACTGGTAGCTTCTGCTCCTGGCTCTTGGAATACTCACTCTTGGGAGCCCTGAGCTATCATGCAAGAAATCTAGTTATCCCGGGGGAGAGGCCACAGAGGAATAGTGCTGACACTGCATGGAGTGTCACACTGCACAACCCAGCTGGGCCCAGCCTTCATGCTATCCCCACCACGGTGCCACACACATCTGATGTGCCATCTTGTATGTGCTAGCCCAGGTGGGCCCTGAGATGACTGCAGCTCTAGCCAACATCACATGGAACTGAAGAACTGCCCTGCTGAGCCCAGTCAACCCATGCATTTGTGAGCAGTCATAGATAGTTATTGTTTTACAACTCTAAGTTTTGGGGTGGTGTGGGTTTTTGTTGTTTGTTTGTTTGTTTGTTTGTTTGTTTTGAGATGGAGTAGCACTCTGTTGCCCAGGCTGGAGTGAAGTGGCATGATCTCAGCTCACTGCAGCCTCCACCTCCTGGTTTCAAGTGATTCTCCTGCCTCGGTCTCTCACGTAGCTGGGATTACAGGCTCCCACCACCATACCTGGCTAGTTTTTTTTTTTTTTTTTTTTTTTTGAGACGGAGTCTCGCTCTGTTGCCCAGGCTGGAGTGTGGTGGCACAATCTCAGATCACTGCAAGCTCCGCCTCCCGGGTTCACGCCATTCTCCTGCCTCAGCCTCCCGAGTAGCTGGGACTACAGGCACATGCCACCATGCCCAGCTAATTTTTTTGTATTTTTAGTAGAGACAGGGTTTCACCGGGTTTCACCGTGTTAGCCAGGATGGTCTCGATCTCCTGACCTCGTGATCCGCCCACCTTGGCCTCCCAAAGTGCTGGGATTACAGGTGTGAGCCACCGTGCCCGGCCCAGTTTTTATGTATTTTTAGTAGAGATGGGTTTCACCATGTTGGCCAGGCTGGTCTTGAATTCTTGGCCTCAAGTGATCTGCCTGCCTCAGCTTCCCAAAGTGCTGGGATTACAGGCGTTTGCCACTGAGCCTGGTTTGTTGTTTGGCTATAATAAGCTCAAACAGGGAGATACAAAGGCCCAGTTCCATGTGTCCCAAGACAGGAAAGACTCCACAACTTAATTTGTGCTCTGGAGCTCCCTGCAGGATTAGGCTGAGGTTGGAACTTCACCTGAAGTCACCTCTTGCTCCTCTTCCCCTTTGCTGTCCTGTTTTCCCCACTCTTCTGCTGGTTTCTCCTGGGAACATTTCTTTCTTTTTCTCTCTCTCTTTTTTTTTTTTTAAGATGGAGTTTAGCTCCTGTTGCCCAGGCTGGAGTGCAATGGAGCGATCTTAGCTCACCACAACCTCCGCCTCCCGGGTTCAAGCGATTCTCCTGCCTCAACCTCCCAAGTAGCTGGGATTCCAGGCATGTGCCACCATGCCCAGCTAATTTTTTTTTGTGTGTGTGTGTTTGGTAGAGACAGGGTTTCACCATGTTGGCCAGGCTGGTCTCGAACTCCTGACCTCAGGTGATCCACTTGCCTCAGCCTCCCAAAGTGCTGGGATCGCAGGCGTGAGCCACCGCACCCAGCCAGAACACTTCTTTAATAAATGACTGGCATTTATATCTTGTCTCAGGCTCTGCTTCCAAGAGAAGCTGATCTTAGACCTGATGCTTCTAATTTTTTCATCTCCAACCAGAACCCAGGGAGGTCAGGGTCCGGCTCCCCCATTCTCCCTCTCCACTCTTTCTTGCTCCTCTCCTGCATCCAAAAGGCATAACCACCTTCCAGGCTCCCCAAACAACAGGGAGCCATCTACCGGGGTCGGGGGCATGTAAGAACATCCATGAGGTCTCTGAAGGAAGCAGCAAGCAGCTTGTTTGCCGTGGCCAGCAGCAAAAGAAGCCCCCCAACCATACCACGCCGGAGGGGGATCATAAGGAGGCCAGGTAGGCAAAGTTAAGGCAGTTGCATGTCAGCAGCACTTCAGGAGGCAGGTGGGGTTGGAGGTTGTCTCCGATCCTGTGTCTGCGGTAGGAGGGGCTCTGCTGGTAGTTCCCTCTCCTCCCACAAGGAGCTTCTCTCCACCCCCATCAGTTCTCTGTCTCTGTAAATCCTAGAATCCATCACCATGGATCCTCCAGCAGGTCCCACAGCCGGCTGCTGCTGGAGTCAGATAAGTCAGCGGAGAAGATGCTGGGGGGTGGGGGACCAGAACCCAGAGGAGGACCCCCGCTCAGGGCCTCCAGCCAGTCCAGGGAGTCCGTGGGGTCCCTGGGAGAAGGGGAGGAGGAGTTCGTGGGAGACGGGAGTGAAGAGGAGAAAACAGATGAGAGGCCTTCAGAGTCCGGGGAGGGGGACAGCACGTCGAAGGAGCCAGGGAAGTCCAGGGGAATAGGGGGCAGGGGGTCTGCGGGATAAAGAATGGTACATGAGCTTGGAAAGTCAGGGGTCCGGGCGCCAGCCCCCCATACCCCATTTCCAGGATCCAGCTCCCCAGCTCACGCCTCCCTTGGACGCAGGAGTCCAGAACCTCAGCCCCCACCTCCCCTAAATCTAGCAGTTTGGATCCTACCATCAGGCTCCACCTGATCCTCCAGGATGTCATCGATGCCCCGGTTAGGAAGCAACTGCGGATGGAGAAATTTGGCGTGAACTCGGGACTGCGACCTGGACCTGACTGGAGAACCCTAGCCGGATTCAACCCACACCCTCTTACCTGCGCCCTCCGGATCGCTTCCTGCAGCTCCTCCTCCAGAGTCAGAGCCGCTGAGCCCGGCCCTGAGGAAGGGGTCAGGGCTGGAGCTGCAGCAGGAGCCGGAGTGGGAGTTGGAGCCGGAGCCGTCCCCGGGGTATCCGCGGCACGTGGAAGAGGTGGCCTGTGAGATGCTGCGCTGGGCTTGACCTAGAGCAGCCAAGAGGGCGAGCGCCCATAAGCCATGCCCACAGGGCGCAACCCCACCCACTCGCAACGTGTGGCTCCACCCCTTGATCCTCTCGCGACCCCTCGCTCATCAACCCCTTTGGCCTCGCCCCCTATTCTTTCATTGGCTCCTCTTCTCTAAAGATCCGCCCCCTGTTAGTCTGAACCACGTCCCCTCGCCTTCAAGGCTTCCTACCGCTGGTCCTCGCCCCCACACTTCATTGGCTAGTTTTTTCGACACCCCGCCCCGGCCCACTTTGCTTTCTCTTCATTGGTCCGCAAGCTCATAGCCCCGCCCTCACCGAGCCCTGACGCCGGGCGGCTGCCAGGGCCTTGGGCTTGAGGCGCGGCCAGGGAGCACCCGCGGGACTGTCCTCGCGCCGCGGCTTCGGCCGCTCGCGGGGCGGCGCGCCGCCGCGCATGCGCTCCAGGAGCATAGACTTGGTCCCCGACACTGGGAGGCCCCGCAGGCGCAGCTGCTGCCGGAGCTCTGAGACCTGGGGAGGGGCGGGGCGTGGGAAGAGGCAGTGCTGGGCGGGCTCCCGGGCGCAGGCAGGAGCTGGACAGGATATTTGGAAACCGAGAAAGGAGGCACTGGGGGTCCGGACTCCTGGGACCCTAAAACAGGATGGGACTGGGTACCCGATCTCCTGGATTTCCAGAGGGCAGAGGCTGCGGGGTTGGAATTCTGGGACCCCACCGAAGGAGAGAGAAGGCCTGGAAAGTTACACCCCAAACTCACCGTCAGCTCCTCCAGTTTAAGGGTCTGAAGTTCCAACTTGTGTGGGGGGGGCGAGGGGCTAGGGACTCCTGGTGGGCAGGGAGTGAGGGGAGAGGGCTTCATCCTGGTGATAATCGTGAGGGGCGAACAAAGGTTAGAGAGGTAGAGGGGGAAAAGGCGTTCTGGGGTCCTCAAAGACGGGGAGCTGGGGAAGATGCAGAAAAGTGAGGGTCCAGAATTCTGGGTCTCCAAGGGCGCAAACATGGGGCTAGATTTCTGTGCATGGGGGAGGAGGAACTAGGCGTTCAGACTCGGGTCTGAAGGGCGAAGGGAGGGGCTGGGATCCTGGACTCTTAAACCCTGGGAGAAGAGAGGGTTGGGGGCCCCAATCCCCTAATCTTGGACTCGAGGTTTGAGGGAGGAGGATGCTGGGACCTGAATTTCTGGGTCCCGGGAGAACAGAAGTGGGTGTCATACCTAGGATGTGGCTGCTGCGAGTCTGTCCCTTCCCACAGAGATGGCCCAGGAGGACCCAGGGCGGACCCCTCGGCTTGGGGGTCCGCCCTGGATCCCTGTCTCGGCTCTGGGGGCATGTACTGGTGGTATGTCAAGTTCCCCCTGGGCTTGGACTCCCTCCAACGTTGGGAGATCTTGGGAGACTCCTGAAAGAGCAGGTGTGATGTTTTAGGCTTCAGCGCGGCTCCCACCTTCCGGCCCCAGGACTACATGCAAAGTATGGGGTCAGCTCGGTGCCACCGAAGAGGAGCAAAAATGGCAGCAGCAACAAGGGAGACAAAGACTAGGCTCTCAGAGGGACCTCTCCCTCCAGTCGAGACTCACCTTCTTTGGGGACCTCCAAGGAGGACAATATTCTGGCTCGGGGAGCAGGACCCCAGGGCTGAAGAGGAAAGGGGCCGTGCCCGAGGGCAAGGCCGGGGCCAGAGGAGGGTCTGAGGCTGAGATCCACGGGTCCGGATCCGAGACTGGAGAGACGGTGAAGGACCCTGAGAGGCCTGCAGGCAGCAAGCCAGGCCGGGAGGAGCAAGGCTGTGTGGAAAGCGGGGCTCCAGGGTGCCGGAGGGCAGGCCAGGGAGCAAGACTTGATTGCTGGGAGATGGGCGCCTGAACTGGATCTGAGGGCGGAGGTGTGGGGGGGCTCCGGTTGCTACATTCTCA
The DNA here is from genome assembly GCF_000001405.40 of Homo sapiens. Taxonomy (NCBI): domain Eukaryota; kingdom Metazoa; phylum Chordata; class Mammalia; order Primates; family Hominidae; genus Homo; species Homo sapiens. Next base: position 48,715,961 of record NC_000019.10, read on the forward strand.
AGTAAAGCAGGAATTTTCTATCACAAAGGGGTGTGGTAGCTGAGGATCACAGATGTCTGAGGTTTTGCTAGGACAGGGGTGGGGCCTGCACTCCTGGTTCTTGGGGAGAGGGAGAGGCTGAAAGCTACATCCAGGCCGGCCGCGGTGGCTCACGCCTGTAATCCCAGCAGTTTGGGAGACTGAGGCGGGCGGATCACTTGAGGTCAGGAGTTCAAGACCAGCCCGGCCAACATGGTGAAACTCCGTCTCTACTAACAATACAAAAATTAGCCAGGCGTGGTGGCACGTGCCTGTAATCTCAGCTACTCAGGAGGCTGAGGCAGGAGAATCGCTTGAACCTGGGAGGTAGAGGTTTCAGTGAGCTTAGATTGAGCCATGACACTCCAGCCTGGCGACAGAGCAAGATTCCATCTCAAAAAAAAAAAAAAAAAAAAAAGCTATATCCAGAGCTTCTCATGTATACCAAATGTGGAGACCAGGATGCCTGTCTTCTCCAAAGAAGCAGGATCCAAGTTCAAGCATCTCATTAGGGTGGAGAAGCAGGAAGCAGAGCTCCTAGGGGTGGGGTGGCCAGAGACCTGGACCCTGGATCCTTGGGAAAGGACAGGATGGGATTTTGGTCTGTCCCAGGGGATGGAGACTGAGCTGCAGGAACCAATGAGGGGTATCTGGCAGCTGTATTCCAGGATATCCCAGTGGGGAGTGGGGGGTCACCATCCCCTCCCTTTTGGGGCCCATACTTACTCTGCTCCTGATTCCGTCTGTGGATCCGAAGCTGGAGGACTGTGGAGGGAGGAGGGAGGTGGGAGGAGGAAGGCGGGAAGGGAGTGTCCAGGAGCCTGGCCTGGCAGGCTGGTGGGAGCTGCAGTTGTTGGCGGGATATGCGTGCCCAGCCCCCTTACACAGCCTGTGCAGGCGGGTGGGCGGGCAGCAGGCTCCCTTCCTCGGGCCTCCCGCCTGCTCCCTGCCAGCGCAGCGCCGCGGGCCAGCGCCATTCTGGGGCTACGAGCCAGCCAGCGTGCAGGCTGGAGGCAGCCCTGCCCCCGGCTCCACCTGCCCCCTCCATGAGCAAGCGTGTGCCCACCCCACCCCCTGCGCAATCGCTATCTTGGCAGCCTGGCCCCTTTGCACCTCGCCTCCCTTTATCCATGCACTCCTGCTACTTTCTGTGCTATCTCGGGGCCTTCCCACAGTCAACACTCTCCGCATATCCACATTTTCAGTATGCATCTCTCTGGGCTCTAGTTTTGCACACATGCCATTTTTACGCACTTGCATGTTTTTGCAGACTCTTCATCCTTGACTCACTCTGCCTCAGCATCCATGTTAACACTGTTTTTTTTTCCTTTTTTTAATTTGTTTTATTTTTTTAGAGACAAGGTCTCACTCTGTAACCCAGGCTGGAGTGCAGGGGTGTGATCATAGCTCACTGCAGCCTTGAACTCCTGGGCTCAATCCATCCTCCCACCTAAGTCTCCTGAGTACCTGGGACTACCTAAATTTTTTTGTTTTGTTTTTTAATTTTTTGTAGAGACAGGGTCTTGCTGTGTTGCCCAGGATGAATGTTAACTATCTTTTTTTTTTTTTTTTTTGAGACAAAGTCTCGCTCTGTCACCCAGGCTTGAGGACAATGTCACAATCTCAGCTCACTGCAACCTCTGCCTCCCAGGTTCAAGCGATTCTCCTGCCTTAACCTCCCAAGTAGCTGGGATTACAGGTGCTCACCACCACACCCGGCTAATTATTATTATTATTATTTTTTGAGACAGAGTATCGCTCTGTCACCCAGGCTGGAGTGCAGTGGTGCGATCTCAGCTCACTGCAACCTCCACCTCCCGGGTGCAAGCAATTCTCCTGCCTCAGCCTCCCCAGTAGCTGGGACTAGAGGTGCACGCCGCCACACCCGGCTAATTTTCTGTATTTTAGTAGAGATGGGGTTTCACCGTGTTGCCCAGGCTGGTCTCGAACTCCTGAGCTCAGGCAATCCGCCCGCCTTGGCCTCCCAAAGTGCTAGGACTACAGGCATCAGCCACCTTGCCCGGCGTCATTTTTTTGTATTTTTAGTAGAGACATGGTTTCGCCATGTTGGCCAGGCTGGTCTTGAACTCCTGACCTCAGGTGATCCACCTGCCTTGGCCTCCCAAAGTGCTGGGATTACAGGTAAGAGCCACCGCGCCCCACCTGGATGAATGTTCACTTTCTTATGTGCACAGTCAGGGTTTGTCCCCCAATTTGGGAGCAAGGATCTCTCTGCACATTTCTGCTTTTCTCTGGACATATGCGCCTTTTTGTATACTCCTTGCTCTTTGATTGCTGGTGTCTTTGTACCCATCCAACCACATAGGCACGCTCACGTGCACACTCAAGTACCCTTTGCCTTCTCAGGAACTGATCTGTAGTTCGAAACACTTGCACACTTCTTTTTTTTTTTTTTTTTTTTTTTTGAGATGGAGTTTCGCTCTTGTTGCCCAGGCTGGAGTGCAATGGCGTGATCTCGGCTCACCGCAACCTCCTCCTCCCGGGTTCAAGCGATTCTCCCGCCTCAACCTCCCAAGTAGCTGGGATTACAGGCATGCGCCACCACACCCGGCTATACTTGCAGACTTTTTGCCTGCCCTGGGACCTAAAACAAGACCTTTGACACTTTCACAGCTTGACAGCTCATTGTCCCCTCACCCAAACTCCCACACTGGTCCTCTGAGGTCCCTCCTCTGCTCTTCTGCCCCTGCGTGTGCGCCAGTATAAGCCTTTGTTTCTCTTCAGTGCTTGAGCCCTCTGCACGCCTACCCCTGGCCTCCAATCCCCATTGCTCCCCCCGTGAGCATGCTACTAGCCATTTGCACACTCGTTGATCCACCACAGCCGGACCCCTGTGCTTGGGCCTCCTTTATGCAACATGACCTTTTGCACAAAAAACACAGGCCTCATGGGACCTACCACCCCTCCCTTCCCACCCCAGAGTACAGCATTCTCAGGATCCCATCCCCCACGCATAAAGAGAGCCCTCTCTCACCAGATCGGAACTTGGAGCGAATGATTTGGGAACGCTGGGAGGAAGCCGCCAGGGTCATTGCCAAGGCCGGGATGGGGACCTGGACGGAGAGGGGGCAGGGCAGGGGCCCCATAGAGGGCTGGCTCAGAGTGGAGGTCAGGAGGCCGCCCCTGAGAGTGAATTCAGCAGGGAAAGGGCCCGAAGGAGGTGGGAATAGGAGCAGCCTTGGGCCATAACTTCCGGATCCCAGGGGCTGTAGAGGAGGGGGCTGCACACCCGGACACCTTGCTCCGAGGAAGGAGGAAGCTGGGGACCCAGACACCTGGTCTGAAAGACAGGGCTGAGGGTCTCAACCCTGGGATCCTGGGAGGGGAGGGACCTGGAATCTGGGACTCCTGGGTCCTGAGGAGGAAGGGTTGCGGGTTGGGACCCCTGTGTCTAGGAAAGGGAGGAAGCAGAGGGGCCTGGAGTCTGGAATCTTGAAGGAGAAGGAGGTTAAGGGCTGGAACTCAATACTCTTAGGAGATGAGAATCCAAGATCCTGGGTGGAGAGGGGAACGGGGCCCTGACAGGTTTCTGAGGAATAGAAGGGCCCCTGTGACCTGCATCTGAGAAGGAGTGAGTAGGGTGTCAGCCACCAGGTTCTCTGGGGAAGGGACTGGGACCAGAGAGGGGATAGAACCGTTGAGGAGTGCGCCCCCCCCGTCCACCCCAGGGGCTTCTCACCAGGTGGGCTCGGCGAAGCTGTGCTCTGGGGCGGGTTGAGTCTAGAGGCCGAGGCTGGACACCACAGGCTCCGCCCCACCAGCCTGGGACCGCCTCCAACCCACCTTCCTGGGGTGTGACGGGAGCCCCGCCGGGGACCCTGAGAAGGGGTGGGAGCACCCGCTGGGAGGGCCTGTGCGGGCCTTGGGGGATGCTGGGGGGTGAGAGCGGGGACGTCAGGGTTCCCCGGCTCGCTCCTCCTGCACGTCCTGGGGTTGTGGGGTCGGGGGGAACGGTGGCAGGCGGACTGACAGAAGCAGGTGCCCGGAGAGGGGCGCCGGGTGAGCAGCAGCGGCAGGTGGTCGTGTCCTGGCCCTACCGGCAGGTGCCACCTGTCGCCTACTTTTTCCCTGACGCAGCAACTGGAGTCAAGTTCAGGGGAGTGAAAAGTTCAAACGGGGGGCCCAGATTCCTGGATCCAAGAAAGGAGAGGGATGGGGACCTGGAGTCCTGGGTTTAAAGAAAAAGAGGCAGGGGCCTCTGGGGTGTTGGGAACAGGGACAGAGGTGTTCGGATTCGGCGGTGTGCCCGGCAGGCAGAAAGGTCCAGAGGGGGCTGGGGACTTAGATTCCTGGGTCTGAGGGAGGAGGGGGCTGGAGTATGGATTTGGGGGGGTGTCGAAGGGAGAATCGCTGGTTCCCACTGGCAGGACTGAGGGCCTTATAATCGGCAGAGCAAGCTTAGGGCCGTGTTCTGAGGGGTGTGGGAGGCTCCTCTGCTCTTGGGTTGGATTACATGCAAAAGGGCGAGCCAAGGCCGTGGCTATAAATACCTCCTCAGACTCGGCAGGGGCCCAGACAAGGGCCCTGCAACCTTGTTCTGCAGAAAATCATCATTAGCGCCCCTGAGTCTTAACAATCGAGGCGCTGCCGATACCACGGATACCTTTATTGCTCCCTGGCATTCACATCCTAAGCCCATGCTCCCACCGTCCCATCCGCTACTTCCCGAAAACTCAATCTCCCAACATTCCACGCGGGATAAGAACTACAACTCCCAGAAAGCTTTGCGCTCAGGCGGGCTCCTGTCCGTAGAAGCCCGTGACATTTCAAGGTTCGCGCGCTCGTTTGGTATTGGTTCTCAAGGAGACGTGGCCACGGGAGGCCCATGGCGATAATTGGCTGGCAGCTCCTGCTGCTCAAGATCCCAGAGGAGGCGGCGGAGCCTACGGAGTTCACGGTGCAAGGCATCGTCCGTCACTGGACCAGTGAGGCGCAGGCGCGAGCTCCCCAGGGGGAGGATGAGGGGCGGGTGCGAGGAGAAGCTTTCGAAGATGTCCCCTGTGAGGCCGAAGGCGGCGCGGTTAGAGTCTGAAAGTGGGAGTGAGGTAGTTGCATCGGGAAGAGCCGAGGCTGCGTCACACCCAAAGGAAGAAAAAAACTACAAACCCCAGCAACTCCTGGGGCGGGGTCCGTTCACACGCTACTCTAGGAGCCCCTGGGCATGATGGAAGTTGTAGTTCAGACGATGGAAGGCCACCGTTGCCTGGGAAACGGCTTCCCAAATCCCCGAGAAAGGGCTGGGAACTTGCCTTACAGATTCCTAAAGGTGGAGGAGTCAAGTTCAGGGGAGTGAAAGTCCCGAGACCTGGACTCCTAGGGGTGGTGGGTGGGTGGCTGGTGGAGGGAATGGACTAGGGATGCGAACCCCAGAGAATAAAGGGAGCTGGGGGCTTGAACTCCTGTATCTTGACGGGGGAAGGGGCTGGGTCCTGCACTTATGTCCTGGTGGGGAGGGACAGGGGTCCAGAATCTGGGGTTAGAAGGAGACTGGGGATCTGGACTCCAAGATCCTGAGAAAAGAAGAAAGGTGAGGTGGTTCACGCCTGTAATCCCAGCACTTTGGGAGGCCGAGGCGGGCGGATCACGAGGTCAGGAGTTCGAGACCAGCCTGGCCAACACGGTGAAACCCCCGTCTCTACTAAAGATACAAAAAATTAGCCAGGCGTGGTGGCGCATGCCTGTAATCCCAGCTACTCGGGAGGCTGAGGCAGGAGAATCGCTTGAACCCGGGAGGCAGAGGTTGCAGTGAGCCAAGATCGCGCCATTGCACTCCAGCCTGAGTGACAGGGCGAGACTCCGTCTCAAAAGAAGAAGAAAGCTGACAGCCCCAATGCTGTATCCCATTGCTCCTCACCTGTGTCCACAGCCTCCCGCTCTGCAGGGGGAGGGTCCCACGCGGCTGGCGGCCCGCGGCCAGGGCCCAGCTGATAGTGGCTGAGCAGATGGTGCAGCTGGGCGGGGGTCAAGGTGGGGTGGTCGGTTCTTAGGCTGCTCCATGAAGCCTGGTGGGAAGACCAGGTGAGAGGTTGATGGTCATTACGGGGCAGTTAAGAAATGAAATGGAAGGGCTTCCATAAGGGGAGTGGGTGTGGTGGGAAGATAATGGCATCTCTGCAGTGTCTTCTGGGCACTGTGAAGTCTGTTTATCACCAAAGTGATGGTGGGGAAGGGTGTGCTCCCAGCAATTTGTAAAAATGTGATGTGCCTCAGGATAATTGAGGATACAGGAAATGAGTAGGGTGGAAATAAATAAGATTGGCCATTCGTTTATATTATTGAATCTGGCGATGGTACTTGGGGATTTTTTTTTTTTTTTTTTTTTTTTGTCCTTAAAGAGACAGGGTCTCACTCCGTCGCCCAGGCTGGAGTGCAGTGGCTCGATCGTGGCTTGCTGCAGCCTCAAACTCCCGGCTCAAGTGATCCTGGGCTCAAGTGATCCTTGGCCCCAGCCTCCAGAGTAGCTGGGACTACAGGCACACGCCACCACACCTGGTTAAGTTTTTGTAGAGATGGGATCTCACTATGCTGCCCAGGCTGGTCTCAAGCTTCTCAAAGTTCTAGGATTACAGGCATGAGCCACTGCGCCCAGTTGGGATTCATTATTCTATGGCGGCCACTCTATATCTGTTTGACAATGTCTACACCTGATGTAGCTGACGTCAGAACCATCAATGTGCTTAACATCAGAGACTCCACCTAGACTGCCTGAGTTCAAAAATCCCAGGTGGGTCACTTATTACCTTCCGGCAGGTCACCGTCCCCTAGTCTCCTCATCCATAAATTTGGAGAACAGGAACTATCTAATAGAGTTGGTATGAGGATGCAATATGGCAAAATTGTAAAGTACTTGGAACACTGCCTGGGGCTTATTAAATGCATGGTAAACTTTCTTTCTTATTGTTTTGAGACAGGGTCTTGCTTTGTCACCCATGCTGGAGTACAGTGGCATGACTGTGGCTCACTGCAGCCTCAACCTCCTGGGCTCAAGCAGTCCTTCCACCTCTGCTTCTGGAGTGGCTGGGACCACAGACGTGTGCCTCCACACCTGGCTAATTTTTAAAATTTTTGGTAGAGATGGTGTCTCCCCTATGTTGCCAACTGGTGTCAAACTCCTGGGCTCAAGCGGTCCTTCCACCTCGGCCTCCCAAAATGCTGGCATTACAGGCATTAGCCACTACGCCCAGCCCATTATAAACATTTGATATAAATAAATAAATGTCTATGGGGAACAGTTTTTGTAAGATATTTAAGAAGAAAGGAAAATAAATAATTGAAATTGGCCGGCCATGGTGGCTCACGCCTGTAATCCCAGCACTTTGGGAGGCCGAGGCAGGCGCATCCCCTGAGGTCAGGAGTTCAAGACCAGTCTGCCCAACAAGGTGAAACCCTGTCTCTACCAAAATTACAAAAATTAGCCGGGTGTGGTGGCGCGTGCCTGTTATCCCGGCTACTCAGGAGGCTGTGGCAGGAGAATCGCTTGAACTCGGGAGGCGGAGGTTGGAGTGAGCCGAGATCATGCCATTGCACTCCAGCCTGGGTGACAGAGTGAGACTCCGTCTCAAAAAAAAAAAAAAAAAAAGGAAAAATAAGTGAAATCAAGCGACCTGTCCTACCTGATTCTGTTTCCTCATCCAAAAAACAGTCAGTCACCTACTTCGATGGGGCTTTGTCAGCATTAAACTAGAAGTGCTAAACAGGGTGCCTGGCAGGTAGTTCATGTTCAATGAATGTTTTAATCATCATGTTCCTTTGTCTCATACCACACTTTCTGACTCAGCATGTCTGAGTGAGGGACCCTGGAAACTTTTTTTTTTTTTTTTTTTCTGGAGACAGGGTCTCGCTCTGTCGCCCCGGCTGGAGTGCAATGGTGCAATCTTGGCTCACTGCAGCTTCTGCCTCCCAGGTTCCAGCGATTCTCCTCCCTCAGCCTCCAGAGTAACTGGGATTACAGGCGTGCGCCATCAAGCCTGGCTAATTTTTGTATTTTTAGTAGAGACAGCGTTTCGCCATGTTGGCCAGGCTGGTCTCAAACTCCTGGCCTCAAGTGATCCACCTACTTAGGCCTCCCAAAGTGTTGGGATTATAGGCGCGAGCCACTGCTCCTGGCCTGGAAACTATTTTTAATAAGTTCCACCAGGATTCAGACACAGCCGAGTTTAGTCATTGTTGGTGCTGGCTTCCTTCTACCTGCCAATGTGTTACCCACAGTGTCTGAGCTGGGGCTGGGGATGGCATGGGGTTCAAGGGGAGCTCTGACGGTGAGCTGAATATAGAAGGTGGCTGAGGGGGGTTGAGGAGTCAGAGGTCAGGGGTCAGGTATAGCTGACCAGGAGTCACCTTGAGCAGGGAAGTGCGGGGCACACAGAGCAGGTTCACAGCCATGGAGAGTTTCCGGAAGAACTCAGTGGCAATGTCGCCCAGCCCAGCTCCCTGTAGCCAGTCCAAGACGAGGTCCAGGTTGGTTCGGATTTGAACAGCTCGGGACCATTGATAGAAAGGCCGGCCTTGACCTGTGGGTGTTAAAGGTATGAGAGGCAGTTGGTTGGCTGGACTCTGTGCTCCTGCCTCCCAGACTCTTCCTATCCTTCAGCCTGGGATCTGGAGCTTGTTCTCCAGGGTACCCAAAGGTGAGGCTTGAGCCCGTGGTGTGTCTAATATGACCTGAGTCTCAGTGGCTCCTGTCTTTGCCTCCCTGACAGCTCCCAGCCAACCTTCACCTCGTTCCATCAGCGAGTTGAGAAGGGATGCGTTGGAGAAGAAGAACAAGTAGCCAAAAGTCTGAGACACGAGGTCAGGGTGCAGCTCGCACTGGCTGGTCAGCTCCAAGGCTGCCTGGAACACGCCCAGGGTAGGTCTCAATCCTGGAGGCATGGCCCCCAGCTCCGCGCCAGGCCCCGGCAGCTCTGCACCAGCTGTGAAAGGGTTACTATCCAGGAGAGCAGGCAGCGTTGAATAGAGAGTCTGAGAAAATAGAGAAGTGGAAACAAGTGATTGGACTACAACTCCCAGGAAGCTTCAGGGTAATAGAGCATGAAGATAGTGGGGAGCTCCACCAAAGTCTTCTGGGAGTTGTAGTCCATTCTACAGTCAACACCCAAAGGGTCTCCGTGAGCAAATCCCTACTTGATAGAAGGGTATACAAGTTTCTCGAGTATTTTAAGATCACCTCTTGTGCATTGTGGGACTTGTAGTTCTCAGCAGAGACAGCTCAAGGAGGACAAAGGATACTGGACAAAGAGTTCCCTTTCAGTCAAAGAATTATTCATCCTGAATTCCCAAAGGAAAGAAAAAGAATGGAGAGTCAGGAAGTGGGAGTGGGATGGCAGTTTGCCAGTGGAAAATGAGATCAGGCCAAGGACAGGAAATGAGGTCAGAAACAGAAGAAATAAACGCACACTTGGCAGGAATGTACAGGAAGTGAAGGAGGAAAGGGCTTCACAATCCAGGCTGCTAGAGGAACTTAGAGACTGATAGTTAGCTGTCCCAAAAGATCCTCTCTCATTCTTGCACATAGGGCATCAAGCCCACCATAAGCCAGAAACCCTGAGAATGCCAAGAAGTGGTGTTAAGGTCAAGGGTAATGGGGGGGAAACTGGGGCAGAAAGCAGGCCCTTCCAGGAAGGGCACTCAGAGAAAAAGATCTGTCGTTCTGAAAGGGAAGTGAATTCAGAGCTGTAGGAAGTGAGGTCAGCAAGCGAAGGAAGTGGGGCCTGATGAAAGAGGATCTTCAGTTTAAATCACAGTTCCTGGCACTATTTGATCTCTAGCTATCTATCAATCATTTATCTATCTATTATATATGAAACTTAACAGTGACTGAAGAGTAGACTTAGAAAGTGGGAGATTCAGAAGGTGGTAATGGTGATGTTACCAAGTAGTGAGGTCAGCCTGTCAAAAGTGGTGATGATTACTTTTTTTTTTATTTCGTTTAATTTTATTTTACTTTTTTGAGATGGAGTCTGTCTCTGTCGCCCTGGAGTGCAATGGTGCGATTTCAGCTCACTGCAACCTCCGCCTCCCGGGTTCAAGCGATTCTCCTCCCTCAGCCTCCTGAGTAGCTGGGATTGCAGGCACGCGCTACCATACCCAGCTAATTTTTGTATTTTTAGTAGAGACGGGGTTTTACCATGTTGGTCAGTCTGGTCTCAAACTCCTGACCTCGCGGTCTGCCCACCTTGGCCTCCCAAAGTGCTGGGATTACAGGCGTGAGCCACTGCATCCGGCGTTATATTACTCTTTTGAGACAGAGTCTCGCTCCATCTCCCGGGTTGGAATGCAGTGGCATGAAGTAATCTTGGTTCACTGCAACATCCGCCTCCCAGGTTCAAGTGATTCTTGTGCCTCAGCCTCTCCAATAGCTGGGATTATAGGCGCAGGCCACCATGCCTGGCTAATTTTGTATTTTTAGTAGAGATGGGGTTTCACCATGTTGGCCAGGCTGCTCTCAAACTCCTGACCTCAAGTGATCCACCCGCCTTGACCTCCCAAAGTGCCGGGATTACAGATGTGAGCCACCGCGTTTGCCCAGGTGATGATTACAAAGGAAAAGAAGCCAGAAAGGCAGGAAGTGATGTAAGCTCTAACAAGTGGTGTCAGAACAGCAAAGTCCTTGGGTGAGATGGGATGTCATGTCAGAGAAAAGCAGAAAATCTTGAGTCAAATAGTGACATCAGAGCCACACAGTGTAGTTCAAACAAGAAGTGATGTTACCACAAACAGGAAGTGATATTACGTGAAACAGGAAGTGATGCTATGTCAAACAGGAAGTAAGAGGCAAGGGCCAACCTTGGTGAGGTAGTAGACAGACTGCTGGAAGGTACACATGATGACCTCATCCAGGAGGGCCATGGCCTCATCACATAATTCCAAGTCATTGCAGAGCTGTGGGTCTGAGGACAGGCTTGGGGTTAAGAGGGAGAACCAGAAGTCGGCAGCCAGGAGCCCAGGTCCCCAGGTGCAGGGCATGATGGGAGACTTGGACAAGCCTGAGCCTGAGTCAGAGCTCACCCTCTTGGTCAGCCTCCTTCTCCATTTCCAGCACCTTCTCCTGCACAAAGCTAAGCAGCTCCGTGGTGTTGGCCATCCACAGCATGAGTGGCCGCAGCTCCACAGACACAGCTTCAGGAGTCAGGGGCACCTCGGGGACCCCCTCAGGGTGGCTTGAAAAAGAGGAAGGAATTTGTGATCCCTGCCCAACCCTCATCATAGTTTACAAACCCCAAGATCTAAGTCTAAGTGGGAGAGCAAGACCAACTCCCATTGCGCAGCTGGAAAAGTTGAGCGCAAGGAGAAGCAGAAACTTGCACTGGGGCATGCATGGGGTGAACACAGAACTAGACGCAAAACCCAACCCCTGCATCCCTCCAGACCACTCTGCTCAGAATTTCTCTTACTTTTCTGGCTGACGGTCTCCAATTTCCTTAATCTTTTCCTGTGGAACAGTAAGATCAGAATCAAGGTGAGGGGGATCCACTGAGGGGCTTAAGAGTTAATACCCTGGTTTTTATAGAAGCACAACTCTCATAGAGACTGGTCCTACTTTTCTTAGAGATGGGGTCTTACTATGTTGCCACCGGTGGTCTCCAACTCCTGAGCTCAAATGATCCTCCCACCTTGGCCTCCCAAAGAACTAGGATTACAGGCATGAGCCACTGCAACCGGCCTTCACTCTTCATACGGATTCTTTTTTTTTTTTTTTTTTTTTGAGATGGAGTTACCCTGTTGTTGCCCAGGCTGGGGTGCAATGGCTCAATTTTGGCTCACTGCAACCTCTGCCTCCCAGGTTCAAGTGATTCTCCTGCCTCAGCCTCCCAAGTAGCTGGGATTACAGGCATGTGCTACCATGCCCGGCTAATTTTTTGCATTTTTAGTAGAGACGGGGTTTCACCATGTTAGCCAGGATGGTCTCGATCTCCCGACTTCAGGTGATCTGCCCGCCTCGGCCTCCCAAAGTGCCGGGATTACAGGCATGAGCCACCACGCCTGGCTCTTGAGACAAATTCTAATCCCACAAGCTTTAGAATGGTCTCTCCTTACTTTTTAAAACATACACACCCTATGATTATGAGTGATCTAGCTCCTTCAGGTCCTCTTCTCCAATTTTTACCCCCAAGAAACTCCTTAAACCTCTCTGGTTAGGCCCTAGCTCAATAGGATGGAACGTTTCCCCCACTCTGAATGGTTTCTTTCTGGAACTTCCATCTGTAGGTCCAGTGGATTTGTGCTTCCTCGCCTCCAAGAATGAACTCGCTCACTGCTATCCAAGCTCCAAGCCCAATGGGCTGCGGTGAATTCTCACACTGATCTCTGTCAACTTCTCATCCAGTGGGATCTCTCCCCCACCATCTCCCATAATGGTTTCTTCCTAAGGTGAGTTCGTGCTTAGGTGAGCTCTCCTAAGGTGAGTTTGGGCTTCCCTCTAAGTGCAGTGGATCTACATCTCCCAGCATTCTATGGGGGGGCCCCTTGCTTAATAACCCCAAAACACCGGGTGTGGTGGCTCACACCTGTAATCCCAGCACTTTGGGAGGCCGAGGCGGGCGAACCACGAGGTCAGGAGTTCCAGACAAGCCTGGCCAATATGGTGAAACCCCGTCTTACTAAAAATACAAAAAATTAGCCGGGCGTGCTGGCAGGCGCCTGCAATCCCAGCTACTCGGGAGGCTGAGGCAGAAGAATCATTTGAACCCCGGAGGTAGAGGTTGCAGTGAACCAAGACCGCCACTGCACTCCAGCCTGGGTAACAGAGCGAGACTCCGTCTCAAAAACAAAAGCAAACAAACAAACAAACAAAACCCAAAACCCCAAATCCTTCCCGAGGCGTCATGGGAACAGTAGTATCCAGCCCAGCTATGAAAAGGGTTGAAGGTAGGGAAGGGAGGCTGGAGAAGGGACTTGGGGCGCTGGTGGGGCTGGACGGCGATTGGGGGGCGCTCACCCAGACGGCCTCCTTGATGAGCCGGGCCAGGCGGCCCAGCAGTCGTGGCAGGTGGCCCAGCTCCAGCTCACGGGCGGAATGCTGCACGCACAGCGCCAGCAGCGTGGCGGGCCCGAGGGGCGGCAGGTCTCCCGAGCCGGCGGCTGCGGCGCGCACGATCTCGCCCAGCAGCGCCTCCTCCTCGCGCGGCCGGAAGCGCAGGACTGGCTCACGGCCGTCCAGGTAGGCGGCCAGTGCCTCGCCGCGCTCCTGCAGGCCGCGGCCGCACAGGCGACAGGAGAAGGCCCAGCCAGGGCCTGGCGGCGTGGCCCCGGGGCGCGCGGGCAGCCACGGCGGCCTCGCAGGCCCCGAGCCCCCAGTGCGGGGGTCCTTGTACATGAACAGGAAGTGCTCGCCCAGCCCCAGGAGGTCGCCCGGGTGCAGCTCAGCCTCCCGCAGCAGGAGGCACCCGTTGTGCGTGACTGGGGCGCCCCGGGACGGGCGCACCATGGCCGGGTGCTCAGGGCCCGCGCGCACTGTGCAGTGACGCGGCAGGATGTCCGGGGCGTTGAGGAAGGTGTCCACATAGGGAGCCGGGGACCCCCCGCGGCCAGACGAGTTCCCACCTCGCCCAAACACGTGCTGCTCTCGCGTCATCACATACACCACAAAGTCCTGGAGGGGAAACGAGGATGCACTAAGGACATCACTTCAATCCATATCTTCAGATCTGTTCTCTCTGTTTTCTACAACAACTTTTCTATTCCCACCAACTTTTTTTTTCCTTCTTCTTCTTTTTTTTTTTTTTTTTTTTTTTGAGATGGAGTCTCGCTCTGTCCTCCAGGCTGGAGTCCAGTGGCACGATCTCGGCTCACTGCAACCTCTGCCTCCTGAGTTCAAGCAATTCTCCTGCCTCAGTCTGTTGAGTAGCTGGGAGTACAGGCGCCTGCCACCACACCCGGCTAATTTTTGTATTTTTAGTAGGGAAAGGGTTTCACCATGTTGGCCAGGCTGGTCTTAAACTCCTGATCTCAGGTGATCCACCTACCTCGGCCTCCCGAAGTGCTGGGATTACAGGCGTGAACTATCGCGCCCGGCCCCCCACCGACTTTGAATAGACACTCCAAGGAGATCTGGATCTCAAAGGACTCTCTAAGCACCCGCAACGCCACTGAGTGGACTCTTCCCAGGCACTTTGTATGGTGGATGGTCCCATAACACCCATCCCGAAGACCGGCTATGTACAAGGAGACCCCCCTTTTTTTCTTTGAGACAGAGTCACGCTCTGTTGCCAGGCTGGAGTGCAGTGGCACGATCTCGGCTCACTCCAACCTCCGCCTCCCGGGTTCAAGCGATTCCCCTGCCTCAACCTCCCGAGTAGTTGAGACTACAGGCGCGCACCATCACGCCCAGCTAATTTTTGTATTTTTAGTAGGGACAGGGTCACCATGTTGGCCAGGATGGTCTCGATCTCTTGACCTTGTGATCCGCCTGCCTTGGCCTCCTAAAGTGCTGGGATTACAGGTGTGAGCCACCACACCCAGCCAGAGACCCATTTCTTAACATGGGCTCTACCATTTCTTTCCCTCAAGCATTAGATGCTTTCAAGGAGATCCCTATTTCTAAAATGAACTGTGCAACTACCCTCACCCTCAAAGAATGGACCTTTCCAAGGAAATCTCCTTTTCCCCATCCCTGGTCCCACCTGTCCATTATTTCACCCCCACCCCACCATGGTAAAGGCTTCCAGATATATTTCCCCTTCCAATAATAGTTTTTCTCAATATTCCTCAAGCAATGAATGGGTACTTTTAAAGAGATTCCCTTGGACTGGGCATAGTGGCTGACACCTGCAATCCCAGCACTTTGGGAGGCCGAGGCAGGTGAATCACCTGAGGTCAAGAGTTCAAGACCAGACACGGTGAAACCTGTCTCTACTAAAAATACAAAAATTAGCCAGGCATGGTGGCGCATGACTGTAGTCCCAGCTACTTGGGAGGCTGAGGCACAAGAATCGCTTGAACCCAGGAGGCAGAGGTTGCAATGAGCCAAGATCAGGCTACTGCACTCCAGCCTGGGCAACAGAGTGAGACTCAAAAAAAAGAGGCCGGGCGCAGTGGAGACCAAGGCCGGCAGATCACCTGAGGTAGGGAGTTCGAGACCAGCCTGACCAACGTGGAGAAACCCTCTCTCTACTAAAAATACAAAATTAGCCAGGTGAGGTGGCTCATGCCTATAATCCCAGCTACTCGGGAGGCTGAGGCGGGAAAATCGCTTGAACCTGGGAGGTGGAGGTTGCAGGAGTTAAGTCCTGCAATGGACTCACCTATTATTCCCACCCCCCTAACAGAGGATTTCAAAGAGATAATCCCCCTTCCATCAATGGATGTTCTCAATATTCCTACAATGGACTCCTACAATGGACTCACCTATTACTCCCACTCCCCCAACGGAGGATTTCAAAGAGATAACCCCCCTTCCATCAATGGACGTTCTCAATATTCCAATCCCCAAAAAGGACATCTCCAAAAAGATCTCCATACAGTGGGCTCTTCTGGTCATTCCACGGATAAATAAATGCCTTCACGGACAACCTCTTACCATGGAGTGTTCCATCTCATTTATCAAATGAAGACAGGCATTCCAGAAGACCTCGTCCTAAAAAATGGACTCTCATCTCCATTCCATAAATGTAGAACCACTCAATCTGACCCCCTTCCATTCGCCAACCATGTCTGAGACAACAGGCATCTTGATATGCATAGATCCCCCTTCTACACTAAATTCTACCATTACCCCTACCCCATGAATGGGTGTTTCCAAAAAGACTCCTACCTCCAAAAGATTTGCTCATCTACCCTTGTAGAAAAATGGGTCTTTCCAGTCTTACCACCTTCTGAAGGTAGACTCTCCTGTTCTTCATTCCTGTCTGAAGGAATGGGATGACCCAAAATAAAAGCCCCCTTTCTACAATGGGCTCTCCTGCTCCCTAACCCAGGAAGGGATGCTTTCTTGGCACCTACAGTGAACTTTCACTTCACAGCCACTCCATGAATCGGCAAACCAAATGAATTCCTACAATAGATTCACCTGGTATTCCTGCCTCCAAGGAATGAACAATTCAAATGAAACCTTTTTTTTTTAATCTCTTTTTTTTTTTTCTTTTTTGAGACAGGGTCTCTCACTCTGTCATCAGACTGGAGTGCAGTGGCATTATCTTGGTTCACTGCAGACTTGCAGACTCCACCTCCTGGGCTCAAGTGATCCTCCTACCTCAGCCTCTCAAGTAGCTAGAATGACAGGCATACACCACCACACCTGGCTAATTTTTGTTTCTGTTTTTCTTTTTTTTTTTTTTAAGACGGAGTCTCTCTCTGTTGCCCAGGCTGGAGTGCAGTGGCGCGATCTCGGCTCACTACAAGCTCCGCCTCCCAGGTTCCCGCCATTCTCCTGCCTTAGCCTCTTGAGTAGCTGGGACTACACGTGCCCGCCACCACGCCCAGCTAATTTTTATATTTTTAGTAGACATAGGGTTTCACCGTGTTAGCCAGGATGGTCTCGATCTCATGACCTCGTGATCCGCCTGCCTCAGCCTCCCAAAGTGCTGAGATTACAGGCATGAGCCACCGCGCCCAGCCTGTTTTCCGTTTTTTATACAGATGAGGTCTCACTATGTTGCCCAGGCTTACTTTGAACTGCCACCTGGAAGAATATGTCCTTCCAATTTGACCACCTTCCCAAAAGAGACCTTCGTGTTCTCCAGCCTTGTCCAGAGGAATGGCTGTTATAATATATGCAATCCTCTTACTACAGTGAGCTCTCCCCATCTCCTTGCCCCCACAAGGAGGAATGAATTCTTCCATACAAGCTCTTTCCTGAAGAGAGTCTTACCTTCTCACCCATATACACAGTCAAGCTGCCTAACCCAATTGGATCTTTCTGTGACCGTAAAAATGGAACTGTCGAATAAGCTACACCACCTTCTTTTTGTTTTTCATTTTTTATAGAGACAAGGTTTTGCCATTGGTCCCAGCTGTACTTGTTTAGCTTGGCTGTACCATTGTTAACCATCAGTTGGCCACACCATAAGGATAATTCACCCGATCACTGCACATAAATGAATATTTCCAATAACACATTACTCACTCTCCCTCCTGGAGTGCAGTGGTGTGATCACAGCTTACTGCAGCCTAGACCTCCCTGGGCTCAGGGGATTCTCCTGCCTCAGCCTCCTGGGTAGCTGAGACTACAGATAGGTGCCACTACATCTGGGTAATTTCTTGTCCTTTTTTGTAGAGACAAGATTTCACTGTTGCCCAGGCTGGTCCCAAACTTCTGGTCTCAAGTGTTACTCCTGCTTTGGCTTCCCAAAGTGCTGGGATTACAGGAGTGAGCCACTGTGCCCAGACAACATGTTACATTTCTATTAGTGCAGTAACTTCCCACTGATCCTCAACCACCAATCCTTTCTTCCTCTTTTGTACCAATCAAGTTCTGTTGGTACCCAGCTATGTAAAATAGATAGAAGGATCAATACCACCTGCCTCCATCAATAGTGGTCAAATTGTTCCAATGTAAAGCATCACCTTCTAAAAATGGGTCAGTGCTGGCCGGGAGCGGTGGCTCACGCCTGTAATCCCAGCACTTTGGGAGGCCAAGGCAGGTGGATCACTTGAGGTCAGGAGTTCAGAGACCAGCCTGGCCAACATGGCGACACCCTGTCTCTACTAAAAATGCAAAATTTAGCTGGGCATCATGGCAGGCGCCTATAATCCCAGCTACTCAGGAGGCCGAGGCAGGAGAATTGCTTGAACCTGGGAGGCAGAGGTTGTAGTGAGCCAAGATCGCACCACTGCAGTCCGGCTGGGTGACAGACTGAGAATCCATCTCAAAAAAAAAAAAGTGTGGGGGGGAGGGGGCAGTGCACTCCTACGAAGAAAACACAGGCTTATCCAGAACGTGATCCCAGGCAACAAATGACTTCCCTGCCCTAGAAGGTGGACTCCCCTGTTACTCCCTCTCAAGAAATAGATTCAAGAAATAGATATTTCCAAGGGGATCTTTCTTTTAAAAAATTTTTCATTAAAAAATTTTTTTAGGCCGGGCACAGTGGCTTACGCCAGTAATCCCAGCACTTTGGGAGGCCGAGGCGGGCGGATCACGAGGTCAAGAGATTGAGACCATCCTGGCTAAACGGTGAAACCTCATCTCTACTAAAAATACAAAAAAATTAGCTGGGCATGGTGGCGGGCGCCTGTAGTCCCAGCTACTCGGGAGGCTGAGGCAGGAGAATGGCGTGAACCCAGGAGACAGAGCTTGCAGTGAGCCGAGATCGCGCCACTGGAGTCCAGCCTGGGCGACAGAGAGAGACTCCGACAAAAAAAAAAAAGTTTATTAAAAAAATTTATTTTGGAGACAGGGCCTTTGTGTGTCACCCAGGCTGGTGATGGTACAGTGGTGCCATCATAGCTCACGGAAGCCTCGACCTCCTGAGCTCAAGAGATCCTCCTGCCTCAGTCTCCCGAGTAGCTGGGACCACAGGTGCACACCACCACGCCCGGCTTTTTTTTCTTTCTTTTTTTTTTTTTTTGAGACAGAGTCTTGCTCTGTCTCCCTGGCTGGAGTGCAATGGAACGATCTTGGCTCACCGCAACCTCTGCCTTCCGGGTTCAAACGATTCCCCTGCCTCAGCCTCCTGAGTAGCTGGGATTACAGGCGTGCGCCACCACACCCGGCTAATTTTGTATTTTTAGTACATACAGGGTTTCTCCATGTTGGTCAGGTTGGTCTTGAACTCCCAACCTCAGGTGATCCACCCACCAAGGCCTCCCAAAGTGCTGGGATAACAGGCGTGAGCCACTGCGCCAGGCCTAATTTTTGGTAGAGACAGGATCTCACTATGTTGTCCAGGCTGGTCTCGAACTTTTGGCCTCAAGCAATTCTTCCACCTTGACCTCCCAAAGTGCTGGGATTATGAGAGTCAGCCGCACGCCTGGCGGGGATCTTCTTTCTACAATGGAATCTCCTTAATGAAGACAGTGCTTTCCTCCAACTTTGAATAAAGTGAACTATTCCCTATTTCCTCCTCCATTGGACTCTTTCTCAGCCATCTACTCTCCCTCTCCTGTGAATCTCTACTCTGGAACCTTGAGGGACCACGCCCCACTAGAGTACTTGAGGCTAGCGCGCCCCGGGCCTTCTGGGAGTTGTAGTTTTGTTGCTCACCCACCAACAGATGGGGTATAGGGCTCTGGGCGTGCGGGGCTGGGGCGGCGGTTACCTGGGCGTCCTGGTAGCCCTGGAGCAGCAGGAAGTAGGGGCGGTTGCTGGGGGCCTGGATGAGGCACTGAGTCAACTGATCGAAGTCCCCGGGGTCTGCAGTTCCGATTTGGGCGTCGGCTGCCCCTGGGGCCATGCTAAGTGCCTGCTGTCTCCGCTCCTGCTGCCGCCGCCGCCGCCCCTGAAGGCTAAGCTCCGACACGCTGCGCCGCAAAGACAAGTTTTCTGAGCGCTCCTTGCCTCCAGACCCAGCTGGGGCCCCTGATCCGGTCCCCGGGCCAGGACTGGCCAGCGCTGCCCCACCCGACGCCGCCCGGGAGCGGTTCTTCTGTGGCCGCCACGAAGGGGCGCCGGTGCCTGCGGAGAGATGGAGAACAGTGAGGCTGAGCCTGGAAAGACAGGGATAGACACAGAGCTGCAGATTATGAGACAAAGAACTGGTTGCAGAGAGGTGAGGCTGCTTCCCACATTTAGGATTTAGGCTTTTGCATATTCTGTTCCCTGTGCGTGGAACACCTTTCTGTCCTGATTAATACCCATCTTGCAGTTTTCAGCTCAGGAATTTCATTCATTCTTTTCCATTGAATCATTTGTTCTTCTTTTTTTTTTTTTTTATTTCAATACGTAGTCTCGCTCTGTCGCCCAGGCTGGAGTGCAGTGGCACGATCTCGGCTCACTGCAACCTCTGCCTCCCAGGTTCAAGCAATTCTCCTGCCTCAGCCTCCCAAGTAGCTGGGATTACAGGCGCGCACCACAACGCCCGGTTAATTTTTGTATTTTTAGTATAGATGGGTTTTCACCATGTTGGCCAGGCTGGTCTCGGACTGGTCGGTCTCGAACTCCTGACCTTGTGATCCTCCCGTCTCAGCCTCCCAAAGTGCTGGGATTACAGGCATGAGCCACAGCGCCCAGCCCATTTGTTCTTTTAACAAGTATTTAGGCCGGGTGCGGTGGCTCACGCGTGTAATCCCAGCACTTTGGGAGGCTGAGGCGGGCGGATCACAAGGTCAGGAGATCGAGACCATCTTGGCTAACACGGTGAAACCCCGTCTCTACTAAAAATACAAAAAATGTGGCAGGTGCCTGTAGTCCCAGCTACTCGGGAGGCTGAGGCAGGAGAATGGCGTGAACCCGGGAGGCGGAGCTTGCAGTGAGCCGAGATCGTGCCACTGCACTCTAGCCTGGGCGACAGAGCAAGACTCCGTCTCAAAAAACAAAACAAAACAAAACAAGTATTTATTGACTACCTACTACATGCTTAGAACTGTTCAAGTCACTGGATAACAGAGAAGACCCTGCCCTCCAGGAGATTGAAACCACCTCTTCCTAAACACCCTTCCCTGACAGTCCAAGTTGAAGCAGGTGACTGCACCACTGGGTACTCTGAGCTTTTTCTGGACCCAGCTGGAACCCTGGCACACAGTAGGCACCAAGGGGAAATGAGCTGAATGAATGGACTGATGTGTTTCCCACTAGGCTTGTGAGATATGGGAGGGTGGAAACCTCATCTGTCAACGTCCCCACTGTATTCCCCAGTGCCCCGAAAACTGTGTGGCCAGGCTGGGCGCGGTGGCTCACGCCTGTAATCCCAGTACTTTGGGAGGCTGAGGTGGGTGGATCACTTGAGGTCAGGAATTCGAGACCAGCCTGACCAACATGGCGAAACCCCCATCTCTACTCAAAATACAAAAAATCAGCCAGGCGTGGTAGTGGGCACCTGTAATCCCAGCTATTCGGGAGGCTGAGGCAGGAGAATTGCTTGAACCGGGAGGTGGAGGTCGCAGTGAGCCATGATCGTGCCACTGCACTCCAGCCTGGGCAACAGAGCAAGACTCCATCTCGAACAACAACGACAACAACAACAAAAAAACAAAAAGGAAAATGTGTGGCCTACACCAGGTGCTCAATGGATACTTTGTCGAGGGGGTGGCGGAGACAATGCTTATAATCGTCATTCTTTATTAAGCACCTACTCTGTGCCAAGCCCTGTGCTAGGCCCTTTATATACATTGAATATATTATCCCATTGAATCCTCACCTAGGATTTTACTGAGATTAACTGGCACAGAATGGGTTGGAATTCAAACCCCAGTTCAAAGCCCATCAGTTGAATTGCTACAACATTCTATCTCCCAAAAGGAAGCTCAGATACAGAAAAGCGTTTAGAAGGCTCCCTGAGCAGACCCGTGCTTTCAATGCGCCAGGCCCCACCCCTGCCAGGCGCGGTCCACCACCAGCTGTTTGACCATTGACTCTACCTTCTGTTCCAGGCCTTCCTTCGCCTCTACAGTGATATCTTCCTTCAGCCCCTTCCTTTCCCATGTGATCCCACTTGGCAGCCAACCCAGCCTAAGGCCGTCTTATCCAAGGCCGGCCCCTCAGCGGCTCCGCCCATCTTAGTCCCAGCAGGCCTGATCTAGGAACCTGTATTCACTCACTCTGCAGGTGTCGCCCCCTTCTATACTCCACCCACATAGGCCCTGCTCAGTAGCCACCTCAACCTACTTGGCAGAGCTGCCTCCTACCACAGAGACCCATGCTCACCACATGCCACCACTCCTCGCGGGACCCAACAGTTTTTGCCCCAGACCACGCTTTTCCACAAGCCCCGCCCCACCACAGGCCCCGCCCCACAACATGCCCCGCCCATCTGCTCTGCATCGCTCCCAAGAACATTGTCCGTGCTTACTCTTCCGGCTCCTAGGTCTCCAATTCCTTTTTCTTTTTCTGGAGGACAGTTTTTTGTTTGTTTGTTTGTTTGTTTTTTCGAGACGAAGTCTCGCTCTGTCCCCCAGGCTGGAGTTCAGTGGCGCGATCTTGGCTCACTGCAGCCTCTGCCTCCTGGGTTCAAATTATTCTCATGTCTCGGCCTCCCGAGTAGCTGGGATTACAGGCATGCGTCACCACGCTCGGCTAATTTTTGTATTTTTAGAAGAGACAGGATTTCACCATGTTGGCCAGACTGGTCTCGAACTCCCAACCTCAGGTGATCCGCCCGCCTCAGCCTCTCAAAGTGCTGGGATTACAGGCGTGAGCCACCACGCCCGGCCAGGACTAGTTCTTTAATTCAAAAAGACCCTTGTCAATATTCAGTATCAAAACAGTTGCACTATTGATTTCTCTTTCTCCTAATTGGCCCCAAGAGACCACATCAAAGGAGAGTACAGTTTAAGCCATTAAGCTGCAGGATGTACACCTAACAGACCTCGCAGAAACCTTACCAGAAAGTGGGGATTGGTTAGAGAAAGGAACTTTCAAAGATCAGCAAATTGCTAGTGTCCTCTAACCTACCACACAGGGCGAATCCCTTAGGCCCCTGCGGACTCCTGCCCATTCCACTGGACTCCACAAACGCTCCTCAGGATCTACTACTCCGCAGACCCCGCTACACACCCCACCTCCTCCAAGGCAGTCTGAAATGCCTGCAGAAGGCCCTAACCCCAATTCGGAGCCACTTCAGGCCACTCCAAGCCACCACCAGCAACCAGCCCCCGTCCCGCCTAAGCCCCAAGCTTGGCCCCTGTAAAACTCCTGCTCAATCAACAAGCCCCACCCAACTCTCAGGCCCGCCCATCTGGCCGCCCCCGGCCCTGCTCTAGCTCTGCCTAGAGTCCAACACGCACCGTCCAGTCCCCTCCCAGTCCCCTCCCGCGGGCCCCGCCCCCAGCCAGCCCGCGAGTCCCACAAGCCCCGCCCAGGCCCCGCCCCACGGACCCCGCCTCTCTGGCACCGAGTCCCCGCCCCAGAGCCCCGCCCGCCGCTCACCTTCGCTGTCCGCGGCCCCGAAGGCCTCCTGCTCCAGGCGCCGCGCCTCCTCGCGGCCGCGCAACTCGAAGCGCCGCGCCCAGCCGGGCCGCGCCCGCCACAGCTCCTGCACCAGCAGCGGGCGCTCGGAGTCGCCCAGCACGCGCAGGTGCTCCGCCCGCCACTCGCCGCTTCCCACGCCCGCCGCCGCGGGCCGGCCCAGAGCGTCGCACAAAGCGAAGGCGTCCACGCAGCTGCTCTCGCCGGGGCCACCGCCGGGGCTGCCTGCTAGGCCGTAGCGCTCTAGCGCCTCGGCCACGAGCTCGCGCGCCGTGGAGCGCGCCGTGGCCAGCACGCTCTTGTAGTTGGCGCCCGATGCCAGTCCGGCGCCGAAGATCTTGAGGACCCCCGGAGGCGCCGTGGCGCGGGTAGCCAGCGGGGGCTCGGGGGCCACGCCCGCCGCCAGCTCCGGCAGCTTCTTCTCGCTGGCCCAGCGCTGCGCGCCCCCCGGGGTCCCAGGGCCTCCTGCGCCGCTGGACCCCGTGGTCCCGGTCCCCGAGCCCCGGAAGAGCTGGGAGATGCGCTTGGCGCGGCTACCGGAGGCTCCCCCGGCCGCCTTGACAGCGCCCACTCGCCGCAGCTCCACGTGCGGCGGGGGCGGAGGTAGCGGCTCGCTGCTGCGGCTCCCCGTGTCCGACGAAGAAGACCTGGGAGTCCGCCGGGGAACAGAGTCGCGGGAGAGAGACCCAGGACGACACGCCAAGACGGGGGTGGGGGCATATTAGGAGGGAAGTGGGCAGAGACCCAGAGGGAGGACAGGGACCCAGGGTGGATGGACGGGGCGGGGGTGAGGGTGGGGACAGACGCGAGGCAAAGAGAGAGAGAAAAAATAAATAAATAAAGGCAAGTCCCACAGTAGGAAATTCCAAGAGGTGAGCAGGGAGGGGAGGAAGGAAGGTGAATCAATCCCCCTGCTCCTTCTGTCCCCGTCCCCGTGCCCATCCGGCCTCACTCCACCTCCTAGCCTAGCTCTTACTCCCACCGCGCCCTGGTATCACTGTGCCCCACCGTCTCCCCCTGCCCACCAGCTCGTTTGCCCAATTCAGGATGAGGACCGGAGCCAACACTTTGCAGGGACTGGGCAGTGAACAGGGACAGATGGGAAGCAGGTGTGCAGGGGCAGGAGTCCTGCAGAGATGGCACTCACTTGACAGAGGCTGCGCTGGGCCAGCGCCGCCCCAGCTTCGCCAGCTGCTTCCTGGGGGAATTGATCCACAGGCCCACGGGGAGATGAAGCTTCCCGAAGCGGGGGCTTCCGCCCTCCTTCCGTTCACCAGACAGCATGGCCCTAAGGGAAGGCGGGTAAGGCCCCAACTCCTAAGGCATTCTTGTGGGGATGGGGTGGAGGGAACCTGGACTCCGAGTCAGAGGGAGGAGGGGGCTGGGGCTCAGACTTGCGAGTCCAGGGGGAGGAGAGGGATGGTACCCTGGATTCCTGGGTCCTGGGATGGAAGATGGCTGGGGGACTGAGTCTTGGGGCCCAGGGAGGAGGGGTTTGGGCTGCTGGGTCCCTGGCTCTTACCCTGCTTCGGGTCCGGCACACCCGGAGGCCCTGGCTCCACTGGCCTGGGTCAGTTCCACTGCTCTTGCCTCTGCCACGGCTCCCAGCACTGGGTGGGGGACAGGAAAAGGCAAGAGGAAACCCGGCAGGAAGAGCGGGGAGGGGGCGTCCTGTGAGGAGACCAGGCCTGGGGGAGGAGATCTGGGTAGGGTTGGCCCTGCCCCATTCCTTGATTCTGGAATTACATCGCAGTCAGTTGGTCCCCTCCAGGACCCAAGGGTCCCGGTTTTCTGCCCTTCCTCCCTCAGGCCGGAGCCCATCCCCAGACCTCTCCTCTCGGGGAACCAAAGGCTAGAATCAGTCCCGTCCCGGGGAGTGAGTCAGATGCTTAGACAACAAGATAAATCTTTATTGTTGCCTCGAATCTGTGGCCTTTTCTTTTGGGACCTGGGTTTGCTCGGCCGCTCCACTGCCAAGGCCAAACAGTGAGGATTTGATGAAATCGATCACCTTCCTTCGACGAAATATCCTAGGGGTGGGAGTGGGGTGCAGATCATGGAACCGGTTTGGGTACTAATTGTGTGGGGGACACCCCTCCCAACCTCCCCCTTTGTGACCTTATTCTAGCAATTACCTAAGCCTCGCCCTTCGAAGTCCTCCTATTCAAGCCCCCCGCACTCCATCCCCAGGAAAGTCCTGCTCTCAGGCCTCAGTAGCCCCCAGACCAGCTTCTGTGTTGGGTTCCTGGAAGCCCCGCCCCTTACTCCAAGCCAAGCCTGTCTTCTTCAATGGGTTGCTTACGCAAAGGTAAGGCCGGTTATCAGTGCTAGGGAGCCGCAGATCAGCAGCCCCAGAAGGCGGCTTGCCAGCATTTTCTCGGGCTGCAGAGGCTGGAGGCTTATGGACGACTCCGTGGTCGCCTCCCCCGGGGTTACGATATTTGGAGAAGGTTTTTCCTCCTTGATCATTTTGGGCAACACTGTTAGAGAAAGCGTAAAGAGCAGTCCTGGCAGGGCGTGGAGTTCCTGCCCTGGCAAAGACAAGCCCGTCCCAGTAGCCGGCCATCCCAGAGATAATCACGCCTTCAACAGTGTCAAGCCTGAACACACCCAAGGGAACCCCTGTCCTCGGGGCCAGAGGCCACGCCCCCGGCAGGAAGCCACACCCCGTGCCCCGAAACCACACCCAACAGGAAGTCACGCCCCCATCGCCAAGGCCACGCCCCCGCCGCGGACCCCAGCTTTCCTGGGCCCTGAATCCTACACTTCTCTCAGCCCCACAGCACTGACCTGTGACGTGAAAATTGATGATCGTGGCTGGGCTGGAATTCACAGAGCCCAGCTCGCAGCGGTAGCTGCCTGCATCCTCTGGACCCACCATGGGCTTGGTCAGGGTGGCCTCTTTCCCCTTGGACACCAAGGTCTCCGTATTGTTCCCCCAAACCTAGACCCAAGCTCAAGGGGTCACTGAGGCCTGAGGAATTCAGGGGTTGGGGGAGTACAGGGGTGAGAAGATCACAGGGCCTCAGTGTGGGAGGTGAGTGTCCAGGGTGTCACTGGTCAGGGCACGGGGTCCCCAGAGGTCTGTAGAGACCACACCTAATAGACCACCCTCCTGGGTCATGAGAATCGTGGGTGCAGGCCCATAGATCCAGAACACAAGTATTGTAGTCTAGGGAGTTCAAGGGTTACAGAAGTTGAGGCCCTCACCCTGTAAAAGCTGTAATCAGTGAGGCCTTCCGAAGCCTGATGCCAGTTTAACTCACAGTCCAGGATCATGTCTTCCATTTGAGGAACTTCCACATTCCGCTCTGGGGGTGGGGGATGACCATGGGACACTCATGATTCTGTTTTTGTTTTTGTTTTTGAGATGGAGACTCGCTCTGTCGCCCAGGCTGGAATGCATTGGCGCGATCTCGGCTCACTGCAACCTCCGCTTCCTGGGTTCAAGCGATTCTCTTGCCTCAGCCTCCTGAGTATCTGGGACTACAGGCGCTTGCCACCACGCCTGGCTAATTTTTGTATTTTTAGTAGAGATGGGGTTTCACCATATTGGACAGGCTGGTCTGGAACTCCTGACCTCAGGTGATCTGCCTGCCTCAGCATCCCAAAGTGCTGCGATTACAGGCATGAGGCACTGCGCCGGGCCTCCTTCACGGTTCTTTACCCTCCCCTAATCCTTTACATTTGTTGTAACCTCGTCTTTTCTCTTTTCTTTCTCTCTCTCTTTTTTTTTTTTTTTTTTTTTAGATGAAGTCTCACTCTGTCACCCAGGCTGGAGTGCAGTGGCGCGATCTTATCTCACTACAACCTTCGCCTCCTGAGTTCAAGCAATTCTCTGCTTCAGCCTCCTGAGTAGCTGGGATTACAGGTGCCCACCACCATGTCTGGCTAATTTTTTTGTATTTTTAGTACAAAAACGATGGTTTCACCATCTTGGCCAGGCTGGTCTTGAACTCCTGACCTTGTGATCCACCTGCCTCGGCCTCCCAAAGTGCTGGGACTACAGGCGTGAGCCAGCGCGCCCGGCCTCTTTTTTTTCTTTTTAGACAAGGTCTCACTCTTTTGCCTGGGCTGGAGTGCAGTGGTATGATCATAGCTTACTGCAGTCTCCAACTCCTGGGTCCAAGCAATCCTCCTGCCTCAGCCTTCCAAGTAGCTGGGACTACAGGAACGCAACACCACACCTGACTAATTTTTAAATTTTTTTGTAGAGATAGAGTCTCGCTATGTTGCCCAGGCTGGTCTCAAACTCCTGGCTTCCCAATCCTCCCGTCTCAGCCTCTCGAAGTGCGAGACTATAGGTGTGAACCACTGCACCTGGCCTAAACCCTACCTTTTCTTGTCTACTGCCCCCACACCCCCATCTAGGCTCTCTCTAGACTGCCTCTCCTCTCGCCCCACCCCACCTGCACCAATTCCTCCTGCTGGGTCCAGTTCTCTCACCCCCGCAATCGTAGGACTTTCGACAAGCGTGAACCTCCTTTTTGCAGTTCTTGCACCAGATCAGAGTTTGCAACATCACACCTGGAGGGGCAGGGTCAAGGCTTGTATTTGCCCACTAAGGGGCATGGCTAAAAGGAGAGGTCAGGGCTAAGGGCTGGGGCCAGATCATCTATGACATTCCTAGATGGTCAGACGAAGGCACAGGACCAGGACGCAGGTAAGTAGTAAGTGGGCTCCAACAAGGCTCAGTAAAGATTGTAAGTAGAGGCCGGATGCGGTGGCTTACTCCTGTAATCCCAGCACTTTGGGAGGCCGAGGCGGGCGGATCACAAGGTCAGGAGTTCAAGACTAGCCTGACCAACATGGTGAAACCCCGTCTCTGCTAAAAATACAAAAATTAGCTGGGTGTGATGGCGGGCACCTGTAATCCCAGCTACTCAGGGGGCTGAGGCAGGAGAATAGTTTGAACCTGGGAGGTGGAGGTTGCAGTGAGCCGTGATCGTGCCACTGCACTCCAGCCTGGGTGACAGGGTGAGACTGTCTCAAAAAAAAGAGTGTAAGTAGAATATGACCTGCTCCCCAAGAAATCCATGGTGCAGAAAGAATACTGGAGACCCAGGAACCTCTCCAAGGCAGAGAATGACAAAACCACCAGGATCCAAAAAGGCGAGTGGGGAGGTTGACTATTCAGAGGGCAGGATGAGGGTTAACTTCTGTAATCCAGACTCACCACATTTGTTGGGACAATAAGCTGTGTCAAAAGAGAAAAAAAGAGAGCAAGAAAGAGATGACAGAGTCAGATTTCTAAATGAAAGACGATGGAAGAGGGGGTTGGGGGAAGAGCTGGGCTTTGGGCTTTTGGGTTCGAGGGAGAAAAGACTTGGGTCTGAAGGAGGAGGCAGTTGGGGAAGCTGAGGAACTGGGCTTGGAGAAGTAAGGGGCTGGAGACAAGGACTCTTGGATAGTGGAAAGAGGAGCTGGGGGACACCGACTCCCATCTTCTCTCACCCTCTTTTTGGAATCGAGCAACATAGGTGGCAAAGGTTTCCTTTTGCAAGTGCAACATCCAAAATAGCTCCTTCACGAAGAGATCGCCTGGGAAGACACAGGAACCCCCAATCCCACGTGTGAGGTGTTGGAAGTTTACTTCTGCCTGCAGAGTCTGGCAGTCTACTTCCTGGCCTTCTCAGGAAAGGGCGCTACAACTGACCGTCTAACATAATGCCAGCTGCTGGGCTAGGCAATGCATATTTTGGGGGATGGGGGAGGGTCTTACCCTGCCACCCAGGCTGGAGTGTGTGGTGTAATCGTGGCTCACTGAAGCCTCAAACTCCTGGACTCAAGCAATCCCCCCGCCTCAACCCCCCAAGTAGCTAGGACTACAGGCACACACCACCATGCCCAGCTAATATGTATACATATGTCTATTTTTTGTAGAGACAAGGTTTCACCATGTTGGCCAGGCTGGTCTTGAACTACTGAGCTCAAGTAATCTGCCTGCCTCAGCCTTCCAAAGTGCCAGGATTACAGGCCTGAGCTACCGTGCCCGGCCAGCAATACACATTTAAACTGAACAACTGAGGAAGCATTTTAGAGCCAAGGGAGCTTCAAAGTCCTTTGCTCAAGGCCGTACAGCTAGGAAGTGGCAGAGCAGGCATTGGAATCTAGGCGGTCTGGGTCCACAGCCTAGTATCTGACCAAGAGACCAGGCATCACTAACGCTGGCTTCTCTGAGAGATTCGGGACTCCCACCCCCTTGATGCATTTACCT
The DNA here is from genome assembly GCF_000001405.40 of Homo sapiens. Lineage (NCBI taxonomy): Eukaryota > Metazoa > Chordata > Mammalia > Primates > Hominidae > Homo > Homo sapiens. Next base: position 48,745,216 of record NC_000019.10, read on the forward strand.
TTTACATCACTGTCTGTGATGCGTTTCAGATCCTTCAGCAAACTCCAGGACCCCTTTTGCAGTGTGGCCTCATCTGTCAGAGGAGATATAACCCCAGATTCCAGCCTTACTGTCTCATTGGCGCGCCTAATCTTAGAAACTACAATACCCATGAGGCCACTGGGCAAAGATAGGCCTGGTTAAGGACTCAGCCGCCCGTTGCCTTCTGGGAGTTGTAGTTTTATTACATAAAATTGCCAGCCGAGGATAGGGAAAACGGTATTTACTAGCCTCGGGGAACCTCGGAATCTGCATCTCAGCCTTCTCCATTCCCGAATCCCGGAGACCCTGCTGTCAGCCTCTTCCTTCCCCTGGTCTTATCTCCCTCCTTTCCCAGGACCCAGGGGTCCGTGGTCCCCCCTGCCCTCACCAACGACCCCCATATAGGCATCCTCATTAAGCGACAGTTCCTGGAAATCCTTCACGGCATTCTCTACCCTTTCCATCATGGCTTTGTGATGCTTCGCATCCAGGTGGCCAGGCAGGTAATCTTTCTCCAGGGACTTTAGCGCCAGCACGACAGACGGGTCACATATAACACACCCCTCGGCAGGAAGCAAGCAACCGGCCAGCGCCGCACACAGGAGGGTAAAATGCGGCCCCATTGCAGCCGGCGCGCACAGTTCCCGAAGACCGTTAGGAAGGGTGCTCTCACCCCAAACCGAGAGCAGGAGAACGCTAAACGGAGAAAAGCCAAAATCCATCTTAAGAAATCCCACTGGGCCGCCTATCCATGGGGTCCGCAAACCTCGAAAAGAGGATCTTCAGGAAATCTCCAAATAAAGAGGACCTATGTCCTTCATCAAATGCCTCCGAAGTGTGAAACTGAGCCCCAATCCAGGGGACCCAAAATTTAGGGTTCTCACTGAATCCCCCAACTGAGAGATCAGAAAAACTATTAAACAGGAATCACTCATAAGTCCCCAAACTCAGAACCTGGAATCTCCCAACCCCATGCGCCCCTTCCCAAAATCCCAAACTGTGGAATTTTCCAAGTCCCCAGATTGACGTGAGCCTGAACTCCAACCCTTAAGAGCAACACCGAGGCACTCCCCCGCCAGCCCCCCAAAACCTGTTGAACCTCAAGCTGAAGATTCAATGCCCAAACCAATAAACATCTAACACAGACCCAACCACGATATTATCAAACTCGGAACTCCTTCAAAACCAAAACACATACCAGATTCCTAGAACTGAGGACCCCACTAACACTTAAGCGAGACTCCATGCGGTCCTCTAGACCTAGGGGGCCCTTGTTCACCCTTCCCCAAAACTAACGGGCTCCCAATTTGCAGGGCGCACCCTTCCGCTTAGAAAAAGGAGCCCCGATGCATCCTGAACAGTGATGCACCCTAAACAGCCGCTCCCCGACCTTGGTTCCCGATTTGTGGCCTCTAACACTAGGGTTCATTGAGGAGCCCGGTCCAGGTTCTGAGGGCTTTTAAAGAGGAAGCCGGGGTCATGACCACCTACGCTAATTTTCCCAGGGGTAAAATCAAGGATTGTGTTGGGGACGAGGGTAAGGTTGGTTGCGTGAAATCGAGAGCTTTTCGACGGGGTCTGAGTCACGGACGATCCCCTCTCCACAAGGAACTCCTGAAACCACCCCCTCCGAGCTTCTCACGTAGGGGCCCGAATTCCTTTATAGATATTCCTTGGGGTTTTCCTCGGCCCCACCCAGAAACTCAACTCTGTCTGATTGGACTGCAACAAAGGGAGGTCCCGCCCATCGCTCCATGACGTCACAGAGGCTGCAGCCTTTTTGGACTAGAATTTTCCCAGCATCTAGGGAAGAGGAAGCCTCCTGACTACTCTGGCTTCCAGAGTCAAGGACCGGACTCAGGCCTTCAGTTTCCTCCCCTCCCCTTGCCCCAGGACCCAGGCTTTGGGCTAGATCCGGCCCCCCAGGCCGCTGCCGCCCCCACCGCGGTCCTTGGAAACGGCTGTCGAGCCACGAAGTGGACATTTTAGCCCTAAGACTACAACTCCCAAAATGCCCTGGGGCCTCTTTCTCTGTAGCTGACTGACGCTGCCAACCTCATAGCTTTCCGGGAAATGTAGTTCAGTGATAATCCGCTCCCTCCTCCGCCTCTTCTGCCCACGCGGAGGTCCCAGTGGGAGGAGAGGACTGGGGGCCAATACTGACAGTCCAGGAGTGAGCAACTGGGGGCTCAGACGTTAGGGTCCTGGAAGGTCTCTCTCTCCTGTGTGATAGAAACAGGGAACCAGAAAAACAGGGACCACAACTCACACAAGTCCAGCAACAAGGGGCTGTCAGATCTAAGTAGGGACAGTACTCCCAATCACGAGTAATAAAAATCCTCAGGGCCCGGCGCGGTGGCTCACGCTTGTAATTCCAGCGCTTTGGGAGGCCGAGGCGGGCAGATTGTCTGAGGTCAGGAGTTCGAGGCCAGCCTGGCTAACATGGTGAAACCCCGTCTCTACTAAAAATACAAAAATTAGCTGGGCATGGTGGCGAACGTCTGTAGTCCCAGCTACTTGGGAGGCTGAGGCACCAGAATCCGAGAGGTGGGAGTTTGCAGTGGGCCGAGATCACACTACTGCACTCCAGCCTGGGCCACAGAGCAAGACTCGATCTCTGAAAAAAAATAAATTAATTAAAAAAAAATAAAAGTCTTCAGAAGTACCCCACCTTTTCCTCCACTCTCTTACACACACACACACACACACACACACACAAACCCACACACACATACACAGTGGCTCTGGCTCCAAAAAAGCTACAGAGACACGGGTTAGTGCTGTAGACTTTTAATTCATACCTCCTGCTCTCTCACCCGTGGCAGCTGAGTTGGGAACAGTACTGTAACAATTGTAACTGTAACTCCCTGATAAGCCTACAGGCATGGGGTCTGGATGAGTAGACAGGGGATGTGATCAGAGCTGACTATGTTTAAGGTTTCTTCTTTCACCCTCCAAAAAACAGCAAGGGGCTCCTGAGATCTCGACAACCCCGTCCACCTTGGCCAGACCTCGTGCTCCTGCCTGGATCTGAGGCTGGGTCCAGGGTCTGCCTACCTTTAGATCGTTTTATCTCAGACCTGCCCAAAGCCAGATGTAGTGGTTCTGGGAGTTCAGGGACAGACAGTGGTTAGCAATGAGCACGGTACCTGCCAGTTTGTCACAAGCACAGAGGGTGTGTTTATACCTGCACACTTCCAGAAAACAGATCCCAGACCCTCAGCAGCCCACCTGCAGACAAAGACCAACTTCCTTCATTGTGAGAGGCAACCTGAACTCACACCCAATATATGGAGCTCTTGGCAGTTTATGAGCTTTAAAAAAAAGTGTCCCTGGATCCCTGGAAAGTTCTGCTCCAGAAGCTGTACCATTTTGGCAGTGATCCCTCACCCCACGTTCACATTTTAGCCTGTCTGCTCAAAACAAACAAAAAAAAGTCTTTGAGGGGCTGTGGGGCTTGTTGGACAGAGTCCCGCTCTGCTCACCAACTACCCCAGCTTTTCCAGAGACTGTGAACAGAGCAAGACGCTGGCCAACTAGAGATGGTTTGTTTTCCATCTCAATTTTTCCAGCAATGGTGGAACATTCATTAGATGCTACAATTAGGTTGCACATTCATTAGATTCTTCACTTGGCCCGGTGTGCTGGCTCACATCTATAAACCCAGCATTCTGGGAGGCCAAGGTGGGAGGACTGCTTGAGCCCAGGAGTTGAAGAACAGCCTGGGCAATATCACAAGACCTCGTCTCTACAAAAATTAAAAAAAATTATCCGGGCCAGGCATGGTGGCTCACGCCGGTAATCCCAGCACTGTGGGAGGCCGAGGTGGGCAGATCACGAGGTCAGGAGATCGAGACCATCCTGGTTAACACGATGAAACCCCGTCTCTACTAAAAATACAAAAAAAATTAGCCGGGCGTGGTGGCGGGCGCCTGTAGTCCCAGCTACTCAGGAGGCTGAGGCAGAATGGCATGAACCCGGGAGGCAGAGCTTGCAGTGAGCTGAGATCGCGCCACTGCACTCTGGCCTGGGCTACAGAGCAAGACTCCGTCTCAATAAATAAATAAATAAATAAATAATTAAAAAAAAAATATCCGGGCTGGGCACAGTGGCTCATGCCAGTAATCCCAGCACTTTGGGAGGCCAAGACAGGTGGATGACAAGGTCAGGAGATCGAGACCATCCTGGCCAACATGGTGAAACCCTGTCTCTACTAAAAATACAAAAATTAGCCAGGCATAATGGCCTGTGCCTGTAGTCCCATCTACTCAGGAGGCTGAGACAGGAGAATCGCTTGAACACAGGAGGCGGAAGTTGCAGTGAGCCAAGATCACGCCACTGCACTCCAGCCTGGGCAACAGAGCGAGACCCTGTCTCCAAAAAAAAAAAAAAAAAACTAAAAAGATTCTTCACCTTAGTTATCTGGATTTCCAGAACCCCATCCTGTCCATAAGGGCCCTGCAGGGTTCTTCACAGGCATCAAACCTGGTCCTCTCTAGAACAAGTCTCCCTCTAGAATCACTCCAGAAACACAGAAGGGGACTTGGTGAATGCTTGCTCTGGAGCAATCATATGCTCCTTCAGTCTTTGGAGGACCCAGGGGAGAAGTAACCCCTCTTCTAGAGTAGACCAGAGGGAGAGTTCCCCATTCCTGGGGGCAGCCATCTGGAAGTACTGTAGATATGGGCTGGGAAGAGCAGGTGGGCACTGTGGCTTCTAGAACTGCCTGCCAGCCATCAGGAAAAGATGTTTTGCTAGTTCTAGAATATTCAGACAGTTCCAGAAACGTCCCCCTTCTCTCCAACTCTCCCAACTAGAATCACTCTGGATACGGGCACCCATTTGCTTCAGGAACACCACAAGCTTCTCCAGAAGATGCCAGGCCTCTGAAGCCACGTACTGCTGGCTCTAGAAAGATCAGGCTACTTCAGAAAGTCTCCCTGGCTCTCAAGGCTTAGCCAATGTCCAGAGTGGAGACAAGTCTGCATTAATGCCCACCCACTCGGGCAGGAAGGCCGCCTCCGGCTTAAAGATCTTCAGGAACTCAGAGTCTGGCAGGGTGAAGTTGGCCAGGTAGACAGTGTCTCCGCCAGCCAGGTAGGCAGCCCAGAAGCCGAAGGTGCCAATGGTCATAATGGTGTGGTTGCACTGTGTGAGCAGGGCAAAGTCTTTCCACGGTGTAGCCTCCTGTCCATCGCCAGCAAACGTCACATCGCCCTGGGAGGTGTCGATGTTTTCTTTACACCACTCCATGCCGTTGCTGGTGACCACGAAAACGGGGGCTTCGTGCCGTGCCCGGAACCAGTCCATGGCCTGCCGGAGGTAGGCGCTGTCGCCCACCACACCCTTCCAGCGCTGAGGCATAACCTGCAGATAGTCCCCACGGCGCACGTGGACGCCGACAAAGGTGCGCGGGCGGTCCCCTGTGCGGCCCAGGCGGAGCTGACCCAGCACACTCTGCGCCTCTTCCCGAAGGTGGTCGTGCAGGGTGAACTCTCTGCGGATCTGTTCCCGGAGATGGTGGAAGAAAGTCCAAGAGCAGGGGAAGCCAGAGAGCTTCAGGAAAGGATCTCTCAAGTCCGCGTACTCCTCCGACATCCAGTCGTGAAGCTGCAGCTCCCGCCACGGCGTGCGGCTGTCCACTTCTGGGGCCAGCACGGGCAGGGTGATGCGGAATACCGGGGCCAGGGCGGCATGCATGGCAGGCAGGATAAAGGCCCGGCGGCCGTTGAGCTGGGCCAGAGCCAGCAGCGTGGCATACTGTCCCATCTGATTACCAAACCGGCCATTGGGGTAGACAGTCCAGGTGCCGGAGAGGGAAGCAGGGTGCTGGGGACAGGAAGAGGAGGCGTTGGGGCCCATCGCAGTACCCGGCAGGCAGAAGATGGCCACTGGGGGTGTCACCAGGCGGCGGTCTGGACACAGGATCGACAGGCCTAGGCCATGTGGAAAGCTGTCTTGATGGATATGGAGGAAGAAGATTACAGAGAGGACACAGACTAGCAGGAAGGCCAGGCAGAGCTGACGATGGCTCCGGAGCCACATGGCTGCAGGGGAGGAAAGGCGAATTAGCAAATGCTCTGAGGCTGAGGAGGGGAGGCTGAGGAGGGATGTGGGGTAAGGGAGGCGCCTGGGGTGCAGCACTCCTTAGTCCCAGGGAAAGAGGAAGTTAAAGGTTTAGACTCCTGGGGCTGAGGTAGGGAGAGCCTGAGTCCTAGGTTTCAGGGATGAGAGCCTTGGAATTTCGGGGCATGGGGACTGGAAGACAAGTGGTTTTCAAGATAGCCATGGTTTGGCTGGGCACTGTGGCTCACACCTGTAATCCCAGCATATTGGGAGGCTGAGATGGGAGGATCCCTTGAGCCCAGGAGTTCAAGATCAGCCTGGGCAACAGAGCACTCTTACAAAAAAATTTTAAAATTAGCTTGGCATGGGCCAGGCGCGGTGGCTCACACCTGTAACCCCAGCACTTTGGGAGGCCAAGGTGGGTGGATCACCTGAGGTTGGGAGTTCGAGACCAGCCTGACCAACGTGGAGAAACCCTGTCTCTACTTAAAATACAAAATTAGCCGGGCATGGTGGCGCATGCCTGTAATCCCAGCCACTCGGGAGGCTGAGGCAGGAGAATCGCCTGAACCCGGGGGGCGGGAGTTGCGGTGAGCTGAGATCATGCCATTACACTCCAGCCTGGGCAACAAGAGTGAAACTCCGTCTCCAAAAAAAAATAAATAAAATTAGCTTGGCATGGTGGCACATGTCTGTGGTCTCAGCTACACCGGATGCTAAGGCGGGAGGATCCCCGGAGCTCACAATGAGCCGCGATAGCACCGCTGACTGCACTCCAGCTTGCGCGACAGAGAGGGACCCTGTCTTAAAAAAAAAAAAAAAAAAAAAAAAAGAAAGTGGTCCAGGTTCCTACACCTTTCCTGAAGGAATCTCGAGTCTCCCCTCCTGTAAGTTCCGCTGATACTGGACTCTTCCACCAGCCTGTTTCTCAGGAGTACCTGTCTGTGAGGCGCAAAATCCACCACAGAGGTGGTGATGGGAAACGATAGTTCAAGTAAAACAAGAGAGGCTGGAGGGTCAGGAGCGGAAGGAGCATCTTGGTTCCTGGAGGAGTAATGGCTGGGGAGGTGGCGGAGATTCCTAGGGCCTTAGGAAGACCTGGAGAAGAGGTTGGGGGTGCACCTCCTGGTTCTGAAGGAGTTGTTCCTGGGTCCCAGGAACAACTGAGTGGGGCAGTCCCCACTTACCCGAGCTGCTTGCAGGTGGCAGATCCACAGTCCGCTTTTCGTGGCCGGAGCGCACCCTCCGCAAAGGCAGGCCACATCCGGCCGCCCCTGGAACGCCAGGCGTCCGGCTATCCGGCCCGGCAGCCCTCCCCTCCGCGCAGCCTGTCCGGACTGGCAGCGAGGGCTTGGGGAGGAGAGGAAGGAGAGGGCGCGGCCGGGAGTCTCGCAGCGTCCGCCCTCCCGGGCCGGGCGGATGGCTGGAAGGTGGAGCCCCGCCCGTCACTTGGCGCCGAGCCCCAGCGCCAGGGGCTAAGGCGATGGCCCCTGGGCCCACCGCTCCCCAGATCGGGGATGCAGGGGACCGCGCCCTGCCCCTCCGCCCCGTCATTGACCTGCGCGAAGGCTTCACCCAGGGCAGGCTACCTGGCTTCTGAGCAGCCGCAGCATCATTGCGTGGACCAGGAGACGGAGCGCCCAGTTGCAATGCTGGAGCCGGGAGGTCCAATCCGCCGCCCTCTCTCTTCCGGTGCCAGGGCTTAGAGTCGGCCCCCGACACCTGGGTGCTTCGAGCCTGGCCACGCCCCAGCGGCTGGGCAGGGCCCCCGCACCTGGTCCCGGCGAGTGGAGCGATCGTCCGCCCTCTGCCGCGTCCTCCTGGGGGATGGAGAACCTGTTTGCCAGGCTGCCGCCGGAGCGCGCGAGGGCCTCCAGCCTGCAGGTGCTCCCGCGCCCACCAGGGTCTCCGATCTCCCACACCCCCCGCCTCACCGTCCACACTCAAATTCCAGAATCCCAGCCCCTAGTCACTCCTTTTGGGGAATTCTAGGGTCCCGTGCCAAACTGCTACTTTCCAGACCTGCACTGCACGAAGGCAACCATTCCAAGGCTGGAGACCGGAGTGGAACAGGGTCTGTTTCCCACGCCGTCAGCGGGGGCCGTGGCTGCCGGCGCCAGAGACAAAGGCCTCTGCCCGCTTGTCACCTAATTAAAGCATTTTCTCTGGTCCAAGGCCCACCTCCAGCATCGCCAACCCCGAGCAGGGCAGGCTAACGTAGGGTCCAGCCCTACGGGGCTTTGCGGGTGGGTGTTCTTCCCCTGTGAGGAGAGGAGAGATTGTAAGAAATAAAGACACAAGACAAAGAGATAAAGAGAAAACAGCTGGGCCCGGGGGACCACTACCATCAAGACGCAGAGACCGGTAGTGGCCCCGAATGGCTGGGCGCGCTGATATTTATTGTATACAAGACAAGGGGGGGCAGGATAAGGAGGGTGAGTCGTCCAAATGACTGATAAGGTCAAGCAAGTCACGTGATCATGGGACAGGGGGCCCTTCCCTTTTAGGCAGCCGAAGCAGAAAGAGAAGGCAGCATATGTCAGCGTTTTCTTCTCTGCACTTATAAGAAAGATCAAAGACTTTAAGACTTTCACTATTTCGGGCGGGCGCGGTGGCTCACGCCTGTAATCCCAGCACTTTGGGAGGCTGAGGCGGGCGGATCACAAGGTCAGGAGGTGGAGGCCATCCTGGCTAACACGGTGAAACCCTGTCTCTACTAAAAATACAAAAAATTATCCGGGCGCGTGGTGGAGGGCGCCTGTAGTCCTAGCTATTTGGGAGGGTGAGGCAGGAGAATGGTGTGAACCCAGGAGGCGGAGATTGCAGTGAGCCGAGATCACGCCACTGCACTCCAGCCTGGGGGACAGAGCGAGACTCCGCCTCAAAAAAAAAAAAAAAAAGGCTTTCACTATTTCTTCTACCGCTATCTACTACGAACTTCAAAGAGGAACCAGGAGTACGGGAGGAAAATGCAAGAGGACAAGGAGCGTGACCATTGAAGCACAGCACAGCAGGATGACTGCGGGCAGGCCTAGATAATACCCAGCCTCCCACAAGAAGCTGGTGGAGCAGAGTGTTCCCTGACTCCTCCAAGAAAAGGAGATTCCCTTTCGTGGTCTGCTGAGTAACGGGTGCCTTCCCAGACACTGGCGTTCCCGCTTGACCAAGGAGCCCTCAAGAGGCCCTTATGCCGGTGTGACAGAAGGCTCACCTCTTGCCTTCTAGGTCACTTCTCACAATGTCCCTTCAGTACCTGACCCTATACCCACCGGTTGTTTCCTGGTTATATTAGTTATACAACAAAGAATAAAAGTAATAGCTAATGATTAATAATGTTTACACTAATGATTGATACTGTCCATGATCATCTCTATATCTAATTTGTATGATAACTATTCTTATTCTAACTATTTTCTTTATTATACTGAAACAGTTTGTGCCTTCAGTCTCTTGCCTCGGCACCTGGGTAATCCTTCCCCACAGACTGACCCTCCCATTCAAGATACATCAATGTCAAAGACTCAGGAGTTTGACTTGATTCCCAGAAGTTTAACCATCATCTCCCCAGGCTCGGGACTCCCAGCACCCAGACCCTTCTGCTCACACCCAGCAGTCCAGGCCCCCAGACCCTCCTCCCTCAGACTTAGGAGTCCAGGCTCCCGGCCCCTCCTTCCTCAGACCCAGGAGTCCAAGCCCCCTGCCCCTCCTTCCTCAGACCCAGGAGTCCAGGACCCCAGCCCCTCCTTCCTCACACCCACGAGTCCAGATCCCTAGCCCCTACTCCCTCAGACCCAGGAGTCCAGACCAAAGCTCCCTCCTCCCTCAGACCCAGGAGCCCAAGTTCCCCAGCCCCTCCTCCCTCAGATCCAGGAGTACAGGCCCAGACCCTCCTCCCTCAGACCCAGGAGTCCAGGCCCCCCACCCCTCCTCCCTCAGACCCAGGAGTCCAGAGCCCCAGCCCTCCTCCCTCAGACACAGAAGGCCTACCCTTGCACCCTTAGGGGCTCCAGGAAATTAGCCAACCTGTCTTCCCTCTGGGTGCCCACTCCAGGGCCTGGCTTGGCTGCCAACTCCAGTCAGGGACTTTCAGCCACCCCTCCCCCCAGGTTATTTCAGGAGCACCTGCCTGGGCCTGGGATGGCTTCTCTGGTGAAAGAAACACCAGGATTGCATCAGGGAGGAGGAGGCTGGGATGTCCAGGGTCTGAGCATCTGAGCAGGGACAGATGAGGTTGAGGTTGGCCCACGGCCAGGTGAGAGGCTTCCAAGGCAGGATACTTGTGTCTCAGATGCGGTCGCTTCTTTCATACAGCAATTGCCGCCTTGCTGAGGATCAAGGAACCTCAGTGTCAGATCACGCCCTCCCCCCAAACTTAGAAATTCAGATGGGGCGCAGAAATTTCTCTTGTTCTGCGTGATCTGCATAGATGGTCCAAGAGGTGGTTTTTCCAGGAGCCCAGCACCCCTCCTCCCTCCGACTCAGGTGCTTGAGACCCCAGATCCTTCTCTCTGAGACTCAGGAATGTGGGCCCCCAGCCCCTTTCACCTGGGTCCCAGCTAACCCGATCCTCCCCTCCCTCATCCCCTAGACCCAGGAGTCTGGCCCTCCATTGAAAGGACCCCAGGTTACATCATCCATTCAGGCTGCCCTTGCCACGATGGAATTCTGTAGCTCCTGCCAAATGGGTCAAATATCATGGTTCAGGCGCAGGGAGGGTGATTGGGCGGGCCTGTCTGGGTATAAATTCTGGAGCTTCTGCATCTATCCCAAAAAACAAGGGTGTTCTGTCAGCTGAGGATCCAGCCGAAAGAGGAGCCAGGCACTCAGGCCACCTGAGTCTACTCACCTGGACAACTGGAATCTGGCACCAATTCTAAACCACTCAGCTTCTCCGAGCTCACACCCCGGAGATCACCTGAGGACCCGAGCCATTGATGGACTCGGACGAGACCGGGTTCGAGCACTCAGGACTGTGGGTTTCTGTGCTGGCTGGTCTTCTGCTGGGAGCCTGCCAGGCACACCCCATCCCTGACTCCAGTCCTCTCCTGCAATTCGGGGGCCAAGTCCGGCAGCGGTACCTCTACACAGATGATGCCCAGCAGACAGAAGCCCACCTGGAGATCAGGGAGGATGGGACGGTGGGGGGCGCTGCTGACCAGAGCCCCGAAAGTGAGTGTGGGCCAGAGCCTGGGTCTGAGGGAGGAGGGGCTGTGGGTCTGGATTCCTGGGTCTGAGGGAGGAGGGGCTGGGGGCCTTGGCCCCTGGGTCTGAGGGAGGAGGGGCTGGGGATCTGGACTCCTGGGTCTGAGGGAGGAGGGGCTGGGGATCTGGGCCCCTGGGTCTGAGGGAGGAGGGGCTGGGTCTGGACCCCTGGGTCTGAGGGAGGAGGGGCTGGGGGTCTGGACTCTTGGGTTTGAAGGAGGAAGGGCTGGGGTCCTGGACTCTTGGGTCTGAGTTGGGAGGGGGCTTTGGCTTGGGCTTCTCCTGGGTCTGAGGGAGGAGGTAGGCTGTGGGCTTGGACTCCCAGGGCTGGGACAGAGCCGGATGGTGGGACAGAGTCGGGTGGTGGGACAGTCCCGGGTGGGAGAGGTCCTCGAACCACCTTATCGCTTTCACCCCTTAGGTCTCCTGCAGCTGAAAGCCTTGAAGCCGGGAGTTATTCAAATCTTGGGAGTCAAGACATCCAGGTTCCTGTGCCAGCGGCCAGATGGGGCCCTGTATGGATCGGTGAGTTTCCAGGACCCTCCTCACCACCCACCATGCTCCTCCTATATGTCGCCCTCACAGCCTGGGGTGCCTTGTCTTGCTCATCCCCCCCGGAGCCAGACTTGATTCTATTTGCTCTGCACGCCCCCAGCTGCAACATTTGGAGGTTGAAGTTGTCATCAGTGTTTGCAAGATGAGGAAACTGAGGCCCAGGCCGGGGCGCCAGTGACCTCAATCATGTGATGTGTGGATGCTGGAGCGGCCTGAGGCTCAGGTTATTGGGAGTCTCGTGATTCAGTAACCCCTGCTCCTGCCCACACGGCCCCTGTGTGCACGGCTCATGCTGGGCACAGGGACACTCGGGGAAGCCATGGCCAGTAAAGTGACCAGGACCTTGAGTGCTAGGGAGACACCCCGCCTGGCCTGAGAGAGCACTGATGGCTCCGAGGGCTGGAATGTTCTCTGTGAAGTCTGAACTGGGAGGCAGGTCCCTGCAGGAGAGCCCTGGGGTAAAAAACAAAACCTGCCTTGCTGTTTTGTTTCCTAGAGGAGGGGCTGGGGGCCTGGACTCCTGGGTCTGAGGGAGGAGGGGCTGGGGGCCTGGACCCCTGGGTCTGAGGGAGGAGGGGCTGGGGCCTGGAACCCCGGGTCTGAGGGAGGAGAGGCTGGGGCCTGGAACCCCGGGTCTGAGGGAGGAGAGGCTGGGGCCTGGAACCCCGGGTCTGAGGGAGGAGGCGCTGGGGGCCTGGACTCCTGGGTCGGATGGAGGAGAAACTAGGGTCTGGACCCCTGGGTCTGAGGGAGGAGGCGCTGGGGGCCTGGACCCCTGGGTCTGAGGGAGGCAGGGCTGGGGCCTGGATCCTGGGTCTTACATCAGGAAAACAGAGGAACCCTGTCTCTGATCCTGTTTTTGTCCCCTAGCTCCACTTTGACCCTGAGGCCTGCAGCTTCCGGGAGCTGCTTCTTGAGGACGGATACAATGTTTACCAGTCCGAAGCCCACGGCCTCCCGCTGCACCTGCCAGGGAACAAGTCCCCACACCGGGACCCTGCACCCCGAGGACCAGCTCGCTTCCTGCCACTACCAGGCCTGCCCCCCGCACTCCCGGAGCCACCCGGAATCCTGGCCCCCCAGCCCCCCGATGTGGGCTCCTCGGACCCTCTGAGCATGGTGGGACCTTCCCAGGGCCGAAGCCCCAGCTACGCTTCCTGAAGCCAGAGGCTGTTTACTATGACATCTCCTCTTTATTTATTAGGTTATTTATCTTATTTATTTTTTTATTTTTCTTACTTGAGATAATAAAGAGTTCCAGAGGAGGATAAGAATGAGCATGTGTGAGTGTCTGAGGGAAGACATGGCAGCTGTTTTGTCTCCCTTGGCCCGGACAATCCCCTCTACACCTCCCCTCACGTGGTCCGAGGGTCCTGGCTTCCCACTGGGCCTCACTTTTTTCTTTTCTTTTCTTTTTTTTTTTTTGAGACGGAGTCTCGCTCTGTCACCCAGGCTGGAGTGCAGTGGCGCGATCTTGGCTCACTCCAACCTCCGCCTCCCAGGTTCAAGCAATTCTCCTGCCTCAGCCACCCGAGTAGCTGTGATTACAGGCGTGCGCCACCACACCCAGCTAATTTTGTAATTTTAGTAGAGACAGGGTTTCGCCATGTTGGCCAGGATGCTCTCCATCTCTTGACTTCATGACCTGCCTGCCTTGGCCTCCCAAAGTGCTGGGATTACAGGCTTGAGTCACTGTGCCCAGCCCAGCCTCACTTTTCTACTCTGCTAAAGTGTCCCCAGGGACTGTGGACTATCCCTGCTCTCTGAAAGGACAAGACTGGCCGGGAGTGGTGGCTTACGCCTGTAATCCCAGCACTTTGGGAGGCCGAGGCAGGTGGATCACGAGGTCAGGAGATTGAGACTATCCTGGCTAATACGATGAAACCCCGTCTCTACTAAAAATACAAAAACAAAATTAGCTGGGCGTGGTGGCGGGCGCCTGTAGTCCCAGCTACTCCGGAGGCTGAGGCAGAATGGCGTGAATGCGGGAGGCGGAGCTTGCAGTGAGCCGAGATCGCGCCACTGCACTCCAGCCCAGGCCACAGAGCGAGATTCCATCTCAAAAAAATAAATAAATAAATAAATAAATAAATAAATATAAAAATAAAATGAAAGAGCAGGACTTCTTTCTACAACCCCTCAACTTGTGTGAGCGTTGTGTAACTATTTCATAGAGCTACCTCGATAACAGGGGAGCTTTTACGAGGTGACACAGCACACTCACATCCTCATGGGAGATGTAGTTTTCTGGCATCATTTAGCAGCAGGAATGAGATCTGTTGGGCCTCAAATCTGGGACAAGGACTCCTGGGTCCTGGAGTAGGTTTGGGGCTAGTGTAACACCCAAGTTCTGGGGAATCAGTGGGCTGGACATCTGGACACCTGGATCACAGGAGAACTGGGGACTGCAGACTTAGGCATCCTGGTCTGAGAAAAAAGGGGCTGGAGGGTGGGAGTTTGGGTTCTCAGGAAAAGGAGCTGAAACCTGGAATTCTTCCATCTGGGTCCTTATGAACTTTTTAATATTTATTTATTTATTTATCTTATTTTGTTTTTTTTCTGAGATGGAGTCTCGCTCTGTCACCAGGCCCAAGTGCAGTGGCACAATCTCGGCTCCCTGCAACCTCCGTCTCCTGGGTTCAAGCGATTCTCCTGCCTTAGCCTCCCGAGTAGCTGGGACTACAGACAAGCGCCACCACACCCGTTTGTTTGTTTGATTGCTTGTTTGTTTGTTTTGAGACAGAGTTTCCCTCTTGTTGCCAAGGCTGGAGTGCAATGGCACAATCTCGGCTCACCACAATCTCCGCCTCCCGGCTTCAAGTGATTCTCCTGCCTCAGCCTCCCGAGTAGCTGGGATTATGGGCATGCGCCACCATGCCCAGATAATTTTGTATTTTTAGTAGAGATGGGGTTTCTCCATGTTGGTCAGGCTGGTCTCGAACTCCCCACCTCAGGTGATCCGCCCGCCTCAGCCTCCCAAAGTGCTGGGGTTATAGGCGTGAGCCACCACGCCTGGCTGCTTGTTTTTTGAGACAGAGTCTCGCTCTGTTGCCCAGGCTGGAGTGCAGTGGCACAATCTTGGTTCACTGCCACCTCTGTCTCCTGGGCTTAAGCGATTCTCAGCTCTGGAGTAGCTAGGATTACAGGCACCACCACTATGGCCAGCTAATTTTTGTGTTTTTAGTAGAGACGGGGTTTCACCATGTTGGTCAGGCTGGTCTCAAATTCTTGACCTCAAGTGATCTGCCCACCTTGGCCTCTCAAAGTGCTGGGATTACAGGCGTGAGATACTGCACCCGGCGTTTACTTTTATTTATTTGTTTGTTTGTTTGTTTATTTTTGAGACAGAGTCTCTCTCTGCCACCCAGGCTGGAGTGCAGTGGTGCAATCTCAGCTCACTGCAACCTCCACCTCCTGTATTCAAGCGATTCTCCTGTCTCAGCCTCCCAAGTAGCTGGGATTACAGGTGTGTGCCAACCCTCCCGGCTTGGACTTCAGCTGGGACTCCTTCCATGGGGGTCCTTATGTAATGAGCGTCATAGATTCCAGTCCCGGCAAGCAAGTTGCCCGGTCTCGCTCCCCTCACGCAACCGAGATTTCCATATTGTTCTTCAAGCCACTTCCTGGTAGGAAGGAAGCTGGCCTGGGCCAGCCCCAGTTGCTGCAGCCGGGTGGGAGTTGTCATCCTGGACCCTTCATTTTAAGTCCAAAGTTCAAGTGAGAGAAATATCACAGTCAAAAGGACCTAACTGTGGGTGGCCGAGGGTCACTGGAGGGACTTGATGCCCAGAAAAAATGAAAGTCACCATTTGTAGAAAGGGTAGTTTTCAACTCTGATCACACAAGCCTGGCTCAGTCAAGGGAAGGAAATAGAATTTGAAATTTCACAAAGCTCCCGAGCAGTGGTTTAGGTCCTGGGGGTGACTCAGGTGACACGTAAGTTCCTTGTCAGAAGAGACCGCATACTGCTGTCAAGGAAAGGCGAGGTGGCCAGTGTGGAAAGAGGAGGGAGCACTGGGCACCATCCTGACCCGGTTCCCACCCGCCCGCCATGCCAGGCTGGAGACCAGGAGACACAGACCCAGAGGGAAGGTCAGAGCCCAACATCCAGAGAGAAGGGGGGACAGGGACCTGATGGGGGGGTCAGAGACCCAGAGATAGGGAGACAGAGACCCAGAGAGAGAGGGAGAGTCCCAGAGAGAGGGAGACAGAGACCCAGAGAGAGAGGGCAACAGAGACCCAGAGAGAGAGGGGGACAGAGACCCAGAGAGAGAGGGAGACAGAGACCCAGAGAGAGAGGGGGACAGAGACCCAGAGAGAGAGGGGGACAGAGACCCAGAGAGAGAGGGGGACAGAGACCCAGAGAGGGGGACAGAGACCCAGGGAAAAAGGAAGACAGAGACTCAGAGAGAGAAGGGGACAGAGACCCAGAGAGAGAGGGAGAGTCCCAGAGAGAGGGAGACAGAGACCCAGAGAGAAAGGGGGACAAAGACCCAGAGAGAGAGGGGGACAGAGACCCAGAGAGAGAGGGGAACAGAGACCCAGGGAAAAAGGAAGACAGAGACTCAGAGAGAGAAGGGGACAGAGACCCAGAGAGAGAGGGGGACAGAGACCCAGAGAGAGAGGGGGACAGAGACCCAGGGAAAAAGGAAGACAGAGACTCAGAGAGAGTAGGGGACAGAGACCCAGAGAGAGAGGGAGAGTCCCAGAGAGAGGGAGACAGAGACACAGAGAGAAAGGGGGACAAAGACCCAGAGAGAGGGGGGGACAGAGACCCAGAGAGAGAGGGGGACAGAGACCCAGAGAGAGAGGGGGATAGAGACCCAGAGAGAGAGGGGGACAGAGACCCAGAGAGAGGGGGGGCAGAGACCCAGGGAAAAAGGAAGACAGAGACTCAGAGAGAGGGACAGAGACCCAGAGGAAGGGGGGGGACAGAGACCCAGAGAGAGAGGGGGACAGAGACCCAGAGAGAGAGGGGGACAGAGACCCAGAGAGAGAGGGGGACAGAGACCCAGAGAGAGAGGGGAACAGAGACCCACAGAGAGGGGGGACAGAGACCCAGAGAGAGGAGGACAGAGACCCAGAGAGAGAGGGGAACAGAGACCCACAGAGAGGGGGAACAGAGACCCAGAGAGAGGAGGACAGAGACCCAGAGAGAGAGGGGGACAGAGACCCACAGAGAGGGGGACAGAGACACAGAGAGAGAGGGACAGAGACCCAGAGAGAGAGGGGGACATAGGCCCAGAGAGAGGGGGGACAGAGGCCCAGAGAGAGGGGGACAGAGACCCGGGGGATGACAGAGGCCCAGAGAGAGAGGGGGACAGAGACCCAGAGAGAGAGGGGGACAGAGGCCCAGAGAGAGGGAGACAGAGACCCGGGGAGTGGGGGACAGAGACCCAGAGAGAGAGGGGAACAGAGGCCCAGAGAGAGGGGGACAGAGACCCAGAGAGAGGACAGAGACCTAGAGGGAGGAGAAGACCCAGGGAAAAGGGAGACAGAGACCCAGAGAGAGAGGAACAGAGATCCACAGACAGAGGGGGACAGAGACCCAGAGAGAGGAAAGGCAGGCAGGGAAGCTGAGAAATGTGTTCAAATGGGGACACTTCACTGTACCTGAGGACCTTGAACTCCCAACCCTGTTGTACCCACTTCCTGTAGAAGGAGCCGCTTTCCTCATCTGGACAGTCTGGGGTCCCCTGTCTGCAAAGCCTGTCCTAGGTTGCTGTCTCGCAGGGAACCACGGATCCTCCGCAGGGTCAAGCCCCCCAGCTCTGGATGCTTCCAGACCTGCGTCCAGACTCAGCTCCCGGCAGGTTGTACAGGATGAGCTGCAGGGTGTGGGCGGTGAGGGCTGCCATATGCACCCGGAGAACTGCAAGACCTTGCTCACTGATATTGACAGAACCCACACTGAGAAGCCGGTCTGGGACGGGATCACTGGGGAATGATGGGGCATGATGGAAGCAATTGAATGTTGAATTGGGATGAATTTATTGACAGAGATTCCACACTCAAGCATTGGCTATAGGGGCTGGGAGTGACTCTAGTTCGCTCTTTGGTTGAGTGAAATCTGCATCCCAAATCCTTTGCAAACGTTGGCCAGGTGCAGCGGCTCACGCTTGTAATCCCAGCACTTTGGGAGGCTGAGGCAGGAGGATAACTTAAGGCCAGGAATTTGAGACCAGCCTGGGCAACATAACGAGACACCATCTCTACAAAAATTAAAATTTCGGGCCAGGCACGGTGGTTCAAGCCTGTAATCCCAGCACTTTGTAAGGCCAGGGTGGGCGGATCACAAGGTCAGGAGATGGAGACCATCCTGGTCAACATGGTGAAACCCCGTCTCTACTAAAAATACAAAAATTAGCTGGGTGTGGTCGCGTGTGCCTGTAATCCCAGCTACTTGGGAGGCTGAGGCATGAGAATCGCTTGAACCCAGGAGGCAAAGGTTGCAGTCAGCCGAGATCGTGCCACTGCACTCCAGCCTGGCGACACAGCGAGACTCCGTCTATTTAAAAAAAAAAAAGAAAGAAATTCAACTACCCTGGAGCCTGAGGTGTGAGGATCACCTGAGCCTGGAAGATTGATGGTGGCTGTGCCACAGCACTACAGCCTGCACGACACAGTGAGATCTGTCTCTAAAAAATAAAAAATTAGACCAGGCATGGTGGCTTACACCTGTAATCCCAGCACTTTGGGAGGCTGAGTGGGGAGGATTGTTCGAGACCAGGAGTTTGAGACCAGCCTGGGTAACATAGCGAGATTCCCGTCTCTACAAAAAATAGAAAAATTAGCCAGGTGTAATCCCAGCTACTCGTGGGGCTCAGGTGGGAGGCTCACTTGAGCCCAGGAGGTCAAGGCTGCATGAGGTATTACGGCTCCACTGCACCCCAGAACAAGCAGGCTACAGAGCAAGACTCCACCTAAAAAAAATTTTTTTTTCCTCTGTTGTGTCTATTTCCTCTCATGCTCTTTCTAATAGAGCCTTCACTTATGATTTTTTTTTCTTTTTTTTTTTTGAGATGGAGTCTCACTCTGTCGCCCAGGCTGGAGTGCAGTGGCATGATTTCGGCTCACTGCAACCGCCGCCTCCCAGGATCAAGCAATTCTCCTGCCTCAGCCTCCCAGGTAGCTGGGACTACAGGCGCGCACCACCACACCTGGCTAATTTTTGTATTTTTAGTAGTGACGGGGTTTTGCTTATTGACCAGGTTGTTCTTCAACTCCTGGCCTCAGGTGATCCGTCCACCTCAGCCTCCCAAAGTGCTGGGATTACAAGCGTGAGCCACTGTGCTTGGCCCTGGCTAGTTTAACTTTTACTTTTGTACAGACAGGGTCTCACTATGTTGGCCAGGCTGGTCTTGAACTCCTGGGCTCAAGCCATCCTCCCACCTCGGCCTCCCACAGTGCTGGGATTATAGGTGTGAGCTACTGCGCCTGACTCTTTGTCTTAATTTCCCTCTTCCTATAAGGACGCCAGTCACATAGGATTTAGCACACACCCCAACCCAGTATGAGCTCACCTGAACTTGATTCCATCTACAAAGACCCTATTTCCCAGGAAGATCACATTCAGAGGTTCCAGGTAGACCTGAAGCTTCCAGGACACTATTTTCCCTCAGTGCACAGCTCTACATAAATTTGGTCACACTCTTCTTCTTCTTCTTCTTCTTTGCAGACAGAGTTTCACTCTTGTTGCCCAGGCTGGGGTGCAATGACACAATTTCGGTTCACCGCAACCTCCGCTGCCCAGGTTCAAGCGATTCTCCTGCCTCAGCCTCCGGAGTGGCTGGGATTACAGGCATGCACCACCAAGCCTGGCTAATTTTGTATTTTTAGTAGAGATGGGGTTTCACCATGTTGGTCAGGCTGGTCTCGAACTCCCGACCTCAGGAGATCCGCCCGCCTCGGCCTCTCAAAGTTTTGGGATTACAGGTGTGAACCACCACGGCCAGCCTCACACTCCTCTTCTTTTCCTCACATTTAAGTGAGCTGTACCCTTAGGAGAAAGTTGCACAGTTAGCACTAGGGTGGGCCAGGATAGCTTTCTGAGCCTTAAAAATCTTAAAGTTTGGCTGAGACCAGCCTGACGAACATGGAGAAACCCCGTCTCTACTAAAAATACAAAAGTAGCTTGGTGTGGTGGTGCATGCCTATAATCCCAGCTACTCGGGAGGCTGGGGCAGTAGAATCGCTTGAACCTGGGAGGCAGAGGTTGTGGTGAGCCAAGATTGCGCCACTGCACTCCAGCCTGGGCAACAAGAGGTAAACTCCATCTCACAAAATTAAAAAAAAATTTCTTTTAAGTTTGGCCAGGCACGGTGGCTCACGCCTGTAATCCCAGCAGTTTGGGAGGCTGAGGCAGGTGAATCCCCTGAGGTTAGGAGTTCAAGACCAATCTGGCCCACATGGTGAAACCTGCCTCTACTAAAATTAAAAAAATTAGCTGGGTGCAGTGGTGTGCACCTGAGGTCCCAGCTACTCGGGAGGTTGAGGCACAGGAATCTCTTGAACCCAGGAGGCAGAGGCTGTAGGCAGCTGAGATCGTGCCACTGCATTCCAACCTGGGCGACAGAGCAAGACTCTGTCTAAAAAAAAAAAAGAAAAGAAAAAGAAAACTCTCTGGGCATGGTGGTGGGCACCTGAGGTCCCAGCTACTCAGGAGGCTGAGGAAGGAGAATCGCTTGAACCCAGGAGGCGGAGGTTGCAGTGAGCCAAGATCATGCCACTGCACTTCAGCCTGGGCGACAGAGCGAGCCCGTCTCTCTCTCTGTCTATATATATATATACACACACACACAATAAATAAATAGGTTGGCTCTTTGCTGTTTCCCCACAGTACTGTATTCAATATATAACCACTCAGCACAGCCACCTCTCCAATGTTCAGGAGCAAACTCTTATCTCCTTGGTTCTTGCCCCCACCATTATCAGAACCTTCCCTCTGTTTTACTCTCTGAGCGCCTGCCAAGATCAGTTTGGGTTTTGTTTCTCTATTAGTTTTCACCCGTGTGGAGCTTCGTCCTTCCAAGAGGGAGGTTCTACTGAGTGAGCACTTCCCAGATCCCTGGGGAGCCAGGCTATTTAGCATCTTTCAGCTTCTCCACCGCACCCTATCCTCACCTACTCACTGGAGCCCCTAGAGATTTGACTACTGTTCTTGTTTTCTTTTCTTTTTTTGGGGGGGTGGGGGAGGGGGACAGGGTCACTGTCGCCCAGGCTGGAGTGCAGTGGCATGATTTTGGCTCACTGCAACCTCTGCCTCCCAGGTTCAAGCAATTCTCCTGCCTCAGCCTCCTAAGTAGCTGGGATTACAGGTGCCCCCACCTCGTTAATTTTGGGGGGTTTTTGTTTTGCTTTTTTTTGAGAGAGAATCTCGCTCTGTTGCCCGGGCTGGAGTGCAGTGGGCTCACTGGAACCTCTGCCTCCCGGGTTCAAGAGATTCTCATGCTTCAGCCTCCCAAGTAGCTGGGACTTCAGGTTTGCGCCACCATGCCCAGCTAATTTTTGCATTTTTAGTAGAGACAGGGTTTCGCCATGTTGGCCAGGCTGCTCTCCAACTCCTGACCTCAAGTGAACTGCCTGCCTTGGCCTCCCAAAGTGCTGGGATTACAAGCGTGAGCCACTGCACCTGGCCCTGGCTAGTTCTTTTAACTTTTACTTTGGTACAGACAGGGTCATGTTGGCCAGGCTGGTCTTGAACTCCTGGGCTCAAGCAATCCTCCCACCTCGGCCTCTCAAAGTGCTGGGGTTATAGGTGTGAGCTACCACGCTTGGCTCTTTGTCTTAATTTCCCTCTTCCTATAAGGACACCAATCATATAGGACTTAGCGCACACCCCAACCCGGTATAACCTCACCTGAACTTGATTTCATCTACAAAGGCCGTATTTCCAAGTAAGGACACATTCAGCGGTACCAGGTAGACATGAAGCTTCCAGGACGCTATTTCCCCAATGCACACCTCTACACGGAGTTAGTCACACTCCTCTTCTTCTTCTTTTTTTTTTTTTTTTTAAGACAGTTTCTCTCTTGTTGCCCAGGCTGGAGTGCAATGGCATGATTTCGGCTCACTGCAACCTCTGCCTCTCGGGTTCAAGCAATTCTCCTGCCTCAGCCTCCCAAGTAGCTGGGATTACAGGCATGTGCCACCACATCTGGCTAATTTTGTATTTTTAGTAGAGACAGGGTTTCTCCATGTTGGTCAGGCTGGTCTCGAACTCCTGACCTCAGGTGATACGCCTGCCTTGGCCTCCCACAGTGCTGGGATTACAGGCGTAAGCCACCGCACCTGGCCTCACACTCCTCTTCTTTTTCTCTCATTTAAGTGAGCCGTACCCTTAGGAGGAAGTTGCACAGTTGACATTAGGGTGGGCCAGGATAGCTTTCTGAGCCTTAAAAATCTTAAAAGTTTTGCCGGTCACAGTGGCTCACGCCTGTAATCCCAGCACTTTGGGAGGCCAAGGTGAGCGAATCCCCTGAGGTCAGGAGTTCCAGACCAGTCTGCCCAACAAGGTGAAACCCTGTCTCTACTAAAATTACAAACATTAGCTGGGCGTGGTGGTGCACACCTGCGGTCCCAGTTACTTGGGAGGTTGAGGCACAGGAATCTCTTATTTATTTTTTATTTTTTATTTTTTTTGAGATGGAGTCTCGCTCTGTCGCCCAGGCTGGAGTGCAGTGGAGCGATCTCGGCTCACTGCAAGCTCCACTTCCCGCGTTCACGCCATTCTTCTGCCTCAGCCTCCCGGGTAGCTGGGACTACAGTCACCCACCACCACGCCCAGCTAATTTTGTTTTTGTATTTTTAGTAGAGACGGGGTTTCATCATGTTAGCCAGGATGGTCTCGTTCTCCTGACTTCATGATCCGCCTGCCTCGGCCTCCCAAAGTGCTGAGGCACAGGAATCTCTTGAACCCAGGAGGCAGAGGCTGCAGTGAGCTGAGATCACGCCACTGCACTCCAACCTGGGCAACAGAGCAAGACTCCATCTCAAAACAAAACAAAAAAACTATCTGGGCATGGTGGTGGGCACCTGTAATCCCAGCTACTCGGGAGGCTGAGGCAGGAGAATCGCTTGAACCCAGGAGGCGGAGGTTGCAGTGAGCCAAGATCACACCACTGCACTCCAGCCTGGGTGACAGAGCGAGCCCCTGTCTCAAAAAATTAAATATATAAATAACAAATAAATAAATAGGCTGACTCTTTGCTGTTTCCCCACAGTATTGTATGCAATATATAACCACTCAGCACAGCCACCTCTCCAACGTTCAGGAGCAAACTCTATCTCCTTGGTTCTTGCCCCCACCATTATCAGAACCTTCCCTCTGCTTTACTCTCTGAGCGCCTGCCAAGATCAGTTTGGGTTTTGTTTCTCTATTAGTTTTCACCAGTGTGGAGCTTCGTCCTTCCAAGAGGGAGGTTCTACTGAGTGAGCACTTCCCAGATCCCTGGGGAGCCAGGCTATTTAGCATCTTTCAGCTTCTCCACCACACCCTATCCTCACCTACTCACTGGAGCCCCTAGAGATTTGACTACTGTTCTTGTTTTCTTTTCTTTTTTTTTCGGAGGGGTGGAGGGGGACAGGGTCACTGTCGCCCAGGCTGGAGTGCAGTGGCACAATCTCAGCTCTCTGCAACCTCTGCCTCCCAGGTTCAAGCAATTCTCCTGCCTCAGCCTCCTAAGTGGCTCAGATTACAGGTGCCTCCACCTGGCTAATTTTTTGGAGGTTTTTTGTTTTTGTTTTTGTTTTTTTTGTTTTTTTTTTTTGTTTTTTTTTGAGAGAAAGAATCTCGCTCTGTTGCCCGGGCTGGAGTGCAGTGGGCTCACTGGAACCTCCGCCTCCCGGGTTCAAGAGATTCTCGTGCTTCAGCCTCCCAAGTAGCTGGGACTTCAGGTTTGCGCTACCATGCCCGGCTAATTTTTGTATTTTTAGTAGAGACAGGGTTTCACCATGTTGGCCAGGCGGCTCTCAGAACTCCTGACCTCAAGTGATCTGCCCGCCTCGGCCACCCAAAGTGTTGGATTACAAGCGTAAGCCATTGCACCTGGCCGAAAACCAATCTGTATCATAACCCCACGGCACCTGAATCATTTCTAAGTGTACAGTTAAGTCGCGTTAAGTATATTCACATTGTTGCACAACCAATCTTCAGAATTTTTTCATCTGATAAAATTGAAACTCTCTGCCGCAATTAAATCCCACTTCCCCAATTCTCCTCCCTTCAGCTCCTGGCCACTTTTTCCAGCCCCATTTGTTGAAAACATGGTGGTGAGCTCCTTGAATGACTGAGAAGCTTTTGTACATGGACAGGAAAATTCACAACAATTTGTTTTTTTGTTAATGATCAATGAATTTTTAAACAATTATCTTTCCTTTAAACATTCACAGACTACTTCTACAGCTAAAAATAACAAGCCACAAATTTCACAATTGTAGATTTCGCCTAAATATTTGAACAGTGATTGCACATTTAATCAGTGAACTTTTCACAAATCTGATATTGT
Source organism: Homo sapiens (assembly GCF_000001405.40). Lineage (NCBI taxonomy): Eukaryota > Metazoa > Chordata > Mammalia > Primates > Hominidae > Homo > Homo sapiens. The sequence goes on from NC_000019.10 coordinate 48,769,566, forward strand.
GGTTTCCCTTAAATGCCATGAATAGGAGAAAAACAGTAATACACTCTGTCATACTTTTCACAAGTCTGATATACCAGATTCTTACAAATGCTTTAAATATTTTCGAGAAGGCTGGGCAAGGTGGCTTACACCTGTAATCTCAGCACTTTGAGAGGCCAAGGTAGAAGGATCACCTGAGCCCAGGAGTTCTAAACCAGACTGGGCAACATAGCAAAAGCCCATCTCTACCAAAAAAAAAAAAAAAAAAATTAGCCAAGTGTGGTGAAGCGCACCTGTAGTCCCAGCTAGTTAAGAGGCTGAGGTGGGAGGATCACTTGAGCTGGGGAGGTCAAGGCTACAGTGAGCTGTGATCACACCACTGCACTCCAACCTGGGTGATAGAGAGAGACCTTGTCTCAAAAATAAATAAATATGGCCGGTGTGGTGGTTCACGCCTGTAATCCCAGCACTTTGGGAGGCCGAGGTGGGCAGATCACCTGAAGTCATGGTGAAACCCCGTCCCTACTAAAAATACAAAAATTAGCCGAAAGTAGCCCAGTATGGTGGCGCATGCCTGTAATCCCAGCTAATTAAGTGGCTGAGGCAGGAGAATCACTTGAACCTGGGAGGCGGAGGTTGCAGTGAGCTGAGATCACGCTATTGCACTCCAGCCTGGGCGACAAAAGCGAAACTCCGTCTCAAAAAATACCCTCCCAGAGAGCTCCCTTACCCTTTCACCAAGTGGAAACACAGCAAGAAGGTGCCAGCAATGAACAAGGAAACTGGCCCACACCAGACACAGAATATGCTGCTGCCTTGATGTTGGACTCCACACCCTCCAGAACTATGAGAGATACATATTTGTTCCTTAAGCTACACAGTCTGTGGTATTTTTGTTACAACAGCCTGAATGCCCTCTTCCAAGTCAATTCTCACCAAGCCGACATTCCAGGGCAAAGCCCGTGTTATCTTAGAGTTTGTCGTAACCACATGAATTGGGTTATTTATTTATTTATTTATTTATGAGACGCAGTTTTGCTCGTCACCCAGGCTGGAGTGCAATGGCAAGATCTCGGTTCACTGCAACCTCCTCCTCCTAGATTCAAATGATTCTCCCGCCTCAGGCTCCCGAGTAGCTGGGATTACAGGCACCCGCCACCACGCCCAGCTAATTTTTTTGTATTTTTAGTAGAGACGGGGTTTCACTATGTTGGCCTGGCTGGTCTCAAACTCCTGACCTCAGGTGATCTGTCCGCCTCGGCGTCCCAAAGTGTTGGGATTTCAGGCGTGAGCCACCGCGCCCAGTCGACTCAGAGTGTCTTATTTTTATAATACAGCCTGAAAAACTTGTTCTAAGTCATAGTATTGTAATAGGTTGGGACATGAGATGATTTCACGGCTGTTTGTTCCAGGACCTTCTCCGGGAAACGTGTGGGGCATTTCCTCTTTGTTACACACTCAGGGTGAGCCCATTTTTCCTCTACTTGTTTGGGTGAAGCTTCGCCGCTGTCTCTGCCACAAAGCTGACCCTCCAGCTCTGTGACCCCCTTGGCAGCTGGCACCAGCAGCACGGGGCCCTGGCAGGGCGCTGGCTGGCAGGAGGAGGGGTGTAGGGATTTCTCACAAGACCCTAGTTCCACACTGCGTCTTGCCAGGAGCCAGGGACAGCAATGGCTCCAGCTTCCTGTTACTTTCTGCTCTTCCGGAAGTAGATTTCCAGGCCCCTCAGAGAGAGGTCCCAGACTCCATTAGGCCACACCCTCTTGGAGGTGAGAGACCCGCTGCCTGCAGCCCACTCCCTAGAGGTCTATTTGGTTTGCATAGTCGCCGTTTTTTCATAATAAAACTTAAAAAAAAAAAAAAGACCAATTAAAACCTGTAAAACAGGTGGCAGGTGATCAGGATTAGAATGCTTTGAAATCTTTTGTTATTCTGGAATATGACAGAATGATTATATTTAGATTTGGTCACTTTAAGGATGCATGTTAAAATTTCAAGAGTGGGCCAGGCGCTGTGGCACACCCTTGTGATCCGAGCACTTTGGGAGACCGAGGCAGGAGGATCGATTCCTTGAGCCCAGGAGTTCGAGACCAGCCTGGGTAACATGGTGAAACACCGTCTCTAAAAAAACATACAAAAATGTGCCGGGCATGGTGGCACACACCTACAGTCCCAGCTACTTGGGAGGCTGAAGTGGGTGGGTCGCCTGAATTCAGGAGTTTGAGGCTGCAGTGAGCTATGATTGCACCATTGCACTCCAGCCTAGGTGACAGAGCAAGACCCTGTCTCTAAAAATAAATAAATAAATTTTCTTAACTTGGAAACAGTCACAAACATTTAAAAATTTGGAAGTACAGTACAAGCAATTCTTATTTTCCAGAACCATTTGAAAGTCACATGTGCCCTTGAAACCCCATCACTACATTAACACATACTCCAGTGTGTACTTTCTGCAAACAAGGACATTCTCCTACACAACCACAGCAGGGCCGCCAAAATCAGGAAAGTAGCCTTGACCCACGACTACTCTGGAATCATCAGACCTCCTTCATGTTTGCCACATGTCCCAGTGATGCTTTTTATGGCAAAAGAATGCAGTTCAGAGCCGGGAGCGGTGGCTCACGCCTGTAATCCCAACACTTTGGGAGGCCAAGGCGGGCGGATCACCTGAAGTCAGGAGTTCGAGACCACTCTGGCCAACATGGCAAAACCCCGTCTCTACTAAAAATGCAAAAATTACCAAAAATGGATGCCTGTAACCCCAGCTACTCGGAAGGCTGAGGCAGGAGAATCACTTGAACCCTGGAGGAGGAGGTTGCAGTGAGCCGAGATCGTGCCACTGCACTCCAGCCCAGATGACAAGAGTGAAACTCTGTCTCAAAAATAATAATAATAATAATAATAATAAAATAGCCGGGCGTGGTGGCGGGCATCTGTAATCCCAGCTACTCAGGAGGCTGAGGCAGGAGAATCTCTTGAACCCGGGAGGTGGAGGTTGTAGTGAGCCATGATTGCACCACCGCACTCCAGCCTGGGCAACAAAGCGAGACTCTGCTCTCCCCACTGCCAAAAAAAGAATGCAGTTCAGGGTCATGCACTGCTTCTGAGGGCAGGTCTCTTTGAAAGTCAGGAAGGACAGTTCCTCAGTCTTCCCTGGTGTTCATGACCTTGGCATTTGGAACATTACAGGCCGGTTATCGAGTCGTCTCTCCCTCCATGTGGATTTATTTGATGTTTCCTCGTGATCGGATTCTTTGGCAGCACAACGACTGAGATCATGTTGTGTGTTTCTCACTGGAAGTCAGGTCACTCGCGGCGTCCACCTCTCCAGTTTCTGATGACATTTGCTTCAGTCACATGATGCAAGTGGCATCAGCCGGACTTGTCCTTGCCAAGCAATGAGAGCTTTGAAACTATACTAATATCACATTCCTCAGGAAATCTTCAGGATTTTTTGTTTTCTTTTTTTTTTTTTTTTTTTTTTTCAGACAGAGTCTCACTCTGTCGCCCAGGCTTGAGTGCAATGGCGCGATCTTGGCTCACTGCAACCTCTGCCTCCCGGGTTCAAGCAATTCTCCTGCCTCAGCCTTCTGAGTAGCTGGGATTACAGGTACATGCCACCACAGCCAGCTAATTTTTGTATTTTTAGTAAAGATGGGGTTTCACCATGTTGGTCAGGCTGGTCTCGAACTCCTGACCTCATGATCCACCCGCCTTGGCCTCTCAAAGTGCTGAGATTACAGGCGTGACCCACTGCGCCTGGGCCATTTTTTTTGTTTTTTTTGAGATGGAGTCTTGCTGTGTCGCCCGGGCTGGAGTGCAGTGCTACAATTTGGCTCACTACTTCAGTCTCCCAGCCTCAAGCGACTCCCACCTCAGCCTCCCAAGTAGCTAGGACCACAGGCACACGCTATGACACCCAGCTAATTGTTTGTCTTTTTGGTAGAGACGGGGTTTCATCATGTTGCCCAGGCTGGTCTCGAACTCCTGACCTCAAGTGATCCACCACCTCGGCCTCCCAAAGTGCTGGGATTACAGGTGTGAACCACCGTGCCTGGCTCAAGTTATTATTTTTTTAATTATATTTTTTAGAGACAGGGTCTTGCTCTATTGCCCAGGCTGGAATGCAGTGATGCAATCACAGCTCACTGCAGCCTTGACCTCACTGGACTCAGTGATCCTCCCACCTCAGCCTCCTGAGTAGCTGGGAACAGAATGCCATCACTGCAGGATGCCATGCCTGGCCCTTCCAGTTATTAATGGATTTATTTATGTCTGTGTGGACTCATGGTTTCCTATTTTATTCCATGAGTTATAATCAGTTATATCATTCTCTATTTTTGGTGTTCAAACTCATTTATTTTGATGCTCTTTTTATTTACTTTTTTTTCTTTCAAGACAGAGTCTCCATCTGTCACCCAGCCTAGAGTGCAGTGGCGCGATCTCGGCTCACTGCAACCTCCACCTCCTGGGTTCAAGTGATTCTCCTGCCTCAGCCTCCTGAGTAGCTGGGACTACAGGCGTGCACCACCACACTCGGCTAATTTTTTTGTATTTTTAGTAGAGACGAGGTTTCACCATGTTGGTCAGGCTGGTCTCAAATCCCTGACCTCGTGATCTGCCTGCCTCAGCCTCCCAAAGTGCTGGGATTATAGGCGTGAGCCACCGTACCCGGCTCTTTATTTACTTTTTGGGGTACTCTGTATTTAGTCCTCTATTTTCCCAATGGGAGCCCCCTCAAGCTGGTGGCTATGTGCTTTGTTTGTTTGTTTGTTTTTGAGACAGGGTCTTGCTCTGTCACCCAGGCTGGAGTGCAGTGATGTGATTCGGCTCACTGCTACCTCCGCCTCCCAGGCTCAAGCCTTCCTCCCACTTCAGCCCCCCAAGTAGCTGGGATTACCAGGCATGCGCCACCACGCCTGGCTAATTTTTGTATTTTTAGTAGAGACGGGGTTTCACCATGTTCCCCAGGCTGGTCTTGAACTCCTGGCCTCAAGTGATCTGCCTGCCTCAGCCTCGCAAAGTGCTGGGATTGCAGATGTGAGCCACCGCGCCCAGCCTGTTTGTTTGTTTTAATCAGCTCTCAAGGGCTTGGAAACCATGCGTTTTTGACAGGCCTCCATTAGTCACACTTGAGTCGTTCCTGATTTCTGGTACAGCAAAATGTTCTAGGCTCATTTTTTTTCTTTCTCTAAACCAGCTCTAGAATCAGCTGTTTCTCCAAGGAGCCCTGGTTCCTTTTAGAATGGGAAGCCAAGATCCAAACACTAACAGGGCTCGTTGCTTTTGTTTTTGAATTTTGTCTGCTAATGGATCCTCTCAGGGGACGGATTACATATACACACACACACACACACACACACACACACACACACACACACACCACGCACATATGTGGGGCCAGGCACAGTGGCTCACACCTGTAATCTCAGCACTTTGGGAGGCTGAGGCAGGAGGACTGCTTGAGCCCAAGAGTTTGAGACCAGCCTACGCAACATAGTGAGGCCCAGTCTCTACTAATAATTTAAAAATTAGCCAGGCGTGGTGGTGCACACCTGTGGTCCCAGCTACTCAGAAGGCTGAGGATGGAGGATCGCTTGAGCCCATGAGGCAGAGTCTGCAGTGACGCATGATCGTGCCACTGCATTCCAGCCTGAGCAACAGAGAGACACTCCATCTCAACGAACAAATATATACATGTATGTGTGTAGTATATTGTATATATCACATTGTACCTCATATATTACATTATATACTACAGATATCACATTGTATATTATATATCCACCATGTAATATGTCTATTATATCTATTTTGTGCATGTTATGTATATATGTGTATATATATCTACATAGGAGGTATGTATACATAGACACACATATATTAGGTATGTATACATTTGTATATTTCCATATCTATTTCTGCATATTGAGAACGACACATCCAATTCAAATCCAATATCTGGCCAGGCATGGTGGCTGATGCCTGTAATACCAACACTTTGGAAGGCCGAGGTGGGTGGATCACTTGAGGTCAGGAGTTTGAGACCAGCCTGGCCAACATAGCAAAACCCCATCTCTACCAAAAATACAAAAATTAGCTGAGTGTGATGGCAGGCGCCCACAATCCCAGCTACTCAGGAGGCTGAGGTGGAAGAATCACTTGAACCTGGGAGGCAGAGGCTGCAGTGAGCCAAGATGGTGCCACTGTACTTCAGCCTGGGAGACAGAGTGAGACTCCATCTCAAAAAAAAAAAAAAAAAGAAATCCAACACCTAGACTGGGTGCCGTGGCTCATGCCTATAATCCCAGCACTTTGGGAGGCCAAGGCGGGCAGATCACTAGAGGTCAGGAGTTTGAGACCAACCTGGCCGATATGGTGAAACGCTGTCTCCACTAAAAATACAAAAATTAGCTGGGTGTGGTGCTGGAGGCCTCTAATCCTAGCTACTCGGGTGGCTGAGGCAGGAGAATCGCTTGAATCCAGGAGGTGGAGGTTGCAGTGAGCCAAGATTATGCCACTTCACTCCAGCCTGGACAACAGAGTGAGACTCTGTCTCAAAAAAATAAATAAATAAAGACAAATTCAATACCTCTAGTTCTCTCCCTTTCCATATTTATATCTGCCTTTTCTGACAGTGAGAAATATGACTTCATTTTCTTAATTTCCTTATCGGTCAATTCTCCTCTATGTTAGCCATCTCTCATCTCCACAGCTGTCCCCTCCTTCCACCTCCCCTGTGCCCTCTGCACCCAGCTTGGGCTGACTTCCCGAGCTACAGCCCCCCATCCTATTAGCCTAGGGGACTTACGTTTCCTACTTGGGTGCCCCCCACTGTGCTGAGCTGCTCACATCAGTAAATGCCTCCTTCACCCCACTAAGGCCCTGACACCCCACTTCTGGGCCACTGTGCCCCCAACACCCCAAGCTGGCCTTGCCTGCCCCACCTCAAACCTTAGAACTTTATCGTTCAGGAAGACAAATTTAGGGAAGGGGAAGAATGCCGATTTCTATTTAATGTATTTGACCATATCAATGTTTTCTTTTCTGGCCTCTGAAGTTTGAGTCACGGTCATGCCCATGTTATAAAATAATTTTCCAATGCTTACTTCTCACTCGTTATGGTTTCCTATCTGATACTGAAGACTTTGATCCATCTGGAGTTTATTCAGTGGGTTATTTTTATTTTTTTATTCCTTCCTTCACTTGGATTGAATGGGTTTTCTGTATTCCCGCTTTTTCATATTTACTTTTTTAATCAAAGTTATATATGTACACAGTAAAGTCACACAGTGCTACGTGTTCAGTTTAACCTTCCCCATGCTGTCCCATTGGTAACTGATCTCTGAATTAGTTATAGCAATGTGAAACACTGGGACGGACCCACACTAAAATATCAGTGGTTTGAACAATTGTTTTTTTTTTTTTTTTTTTGAGACGGAGTCTCACTCTTTCATCCGGGCTGGAATGCAGTGGTGCGATCACTACAACCTCTGCCTCCCGGGTTCAAGCGATTCTCCTGCCTCAGTCTCCGGGGTAGGTGGGATTACAGGCACCTGCCACTATGCCCAGCTAATTTTTTGTATTTTTAGTAGACACAGGGTTTCACCATGTTGGCCAGGCTGGTCTGGAACTCCTGATCTCGTGATTTGCCGGCCTCGGCCTCCCAAAGTGCTGAGTGGCCGTGAGCCACCGTGCCTGGCCTAATTGATTTTTTTTTTTTTTTTTTTTACAGAGAGATGGGGTCTCACTATGTTGCCCAGTAGTCTCAAACTCCTGGGTTCAAGCAACCCTCTTGCCTTGGCCTCCCAAAGCACTGGGATTACAGGTGTGAGCCACTGCACCTGGCCCTACAGTTGATTTTTGTTTCTATTCATGTAAAGTCTAACTAGTAGAAAGACAGAGGGTCAAGGACTCAGGCTGATAGCAGCTCTGTCATTTTCTTTTTTTTTTCTTCTTCTTCTTCTATTTTTTTTGGTGAGATGGAGATTTACTCTTGTTGCCCAGGCTGGAGTGCAATGGCGCGATCTCGGCTCACCGCATCCTCCGCCTCCCGGGTTCAAGCGATTCTCCTGCCTCAGCCTCCCAAGTAGCTGGGATTACAGGCATGTGTCACCACGCCCGGCTAATTTTGTATTTTTAGTAGAGACGGGGTTTCACCGTGTTGCCCAGGCTGATCTCGAACTCCTGACCTCAGGTAATCCTCCCGCCTCGGCTTCCCAAAGTGCTGGGATTACAGGCGTGAGCCACTGCGCCCGGCCAGCTTTGCCATTTTCACACGTGGCCTCCAAGGTCTCTCTGGATGTGGGACGCAGGCTCCCAGGTGAACCGCAATGATCCCCACCTCTTGGTATCTATGCCATGTGCATTCCTTTCCCACATTACACTAGGGTTGGCCTTTGTGATGGATATCACAGGGCAGAAGTGGTGGGATGGGCCAGGCAGTCGCTCACACCTGTAATCCCAGCACTTTAGGAGGCTGAGGCAGGAGGATCACTTGAGCCCAAGAGGTCAAGACCAGCCTGAGGCCCCCATCTCTACAAAAAATTTAAAAATTAGGCCGGGCGCAGTGGCTCATGCCTGTAATCCCAGCACTCTGGGAGGCAGAGGTGGGCGGATCACCTGAGGTCGGGAGTTCGAGACCAGCCTGACCAACATGGAGAAACTCTGTCTCTACTAAAAAAATACAAAATTAGCCGGGCGTAGTGGGATGTAATCCCAGCTACTTGGGAGGCTGAGGCAGGAGAATCGCTTAAACCCGGGAGGTGGAGGTTGTGGTGAGTTGAGATCGCACCATTGCACTCCAGCCTGGGCAATAAGAGCAAAACTCCGTCTCAAAAAATTAAAAAAAAATTTTAATTGGCTGGGTGTGGTGGCGTGTGCCCATGGTCCCAGCTACTTGGCAGGCTGAGGCAGGAGTATCACTTGAGCCTAGGAAGTTGAGGCTCCAGTGAGCCATGACCGCACCACTGCACTCCAGCCTTGATGACAGAGGGGGACCCTGTCTCAAGAAAAAAAAAAAAAAGGAATGGTGGGATATGACATCTGAGACTAGGCTACAAAGACTGCGGCTTCCATCGTGGTCTCTCTCTCACTCTCTCTTTCATCACTTGCTCTGGGAGAAGCTAGTGGCCAAGACACGAGGAATGCCCAAGCAGCCCATGCAGACATCAACAGCCAGCGAGGAACTAAGGCCTCCAGCCAACAGCCCTGTGAGTGAGCTCGGATAGGCCAGGCTCAGTGGCTCACACCTGTAATACCAGCATTTTGGGAGGCCAAAGCAAGTGGATAACTTGAAGCCAGGTGTTCGAGAACCAGCCTGGCCAACATGGTGAAATCCCGTCTCTACTTAAAAATACAAAAAATTAGCTGGGTGTGGTGGCACGTGCCTGTAATCCCAGCTACTCGGGAGGCTGACGCAGGAGAATCACTTAAACCTGGGAGGCAAAGGTTTCAGTGAGTGGAGACTGTGCCACTGCACTCCAGCCTGGGCAACAGAGTGAGACTCTGAGACTCTGTCTCGAGAGAAAAAAAAAAAGAGGGTTCTCCAGCCTCTGTCGAGCCTTCACATGACTGCAGTCCTGGCTGACAAGCTTGACTGAAACCTGAACCAGGAACACCCAGCCGAGCTGCTTGGGATTCCTGACCCTCCAGAAACTATGTGAGAAGGCCAGGCACCATGGCTGACACCTGTAATCCCAGAACTTTGGGAGGCCGAGGCAGGCAGACCACTTGAGGTCAGGAGTTCAGGGCCATCTCTACTAAAAATACAAAAATTGGGAGGCCGAGGCAGGTGGATCACGAGGTCAGGAGATCGAGACCATCCTGGCTAACACGGTGAAACCCCATCTCTACTAAAAATACAAAAAATTAGCCAGGTGTGGCAGTGGGTGCCTGTGGTCCCAGCTACTTGGGAGGCTGAGGCAGGAAAATGGCGTGAACCCAGGAGACAGAGCTTGCAGTGAGCAGAGATCATGCCACTGCACTCCAGCCTGGTGACAGAGCGAGACTCCGTCTCAAAAAAAAAAAAAAAATTAGCCAGGTGTGGTGGTAGGTGCCTGTAATCCCAGCTACTAAAAAAAAAAGAGAGAGAGAGAAGGGAAAAAAAAAACTATGTGATACAATAAATATTTGTTGTTTAAGCTGTGAGGAATTAACTCAGGGGTAATTTGTTAGACAGCAATAGATGACTACTACACTGCTATCTGCATCCAACCGGCAGGTAGAGAAAAGAGAGAGGGCACATTAGAAGTTCCCTAATGGGTGTGGCTGGAAGTGAGGCAGGGCTCTTCTCATTGGCCAGAACCACTCACATAACCCCAGTGACTTGCAAGGGGTGCTGGGAGATATAATCCCCCCAGGGGCACTGTCACACAATAACAAATATATATTTGGTCTCTGTCCCCCCAGTTTCTGGGACAGAGCTTTGAAACCCCTTATAATTTCCCCAGTGTTAGGGATGCCAGCAGCATCTTTTGTTCTAATATTTGATCTTTGACCCCAGTTCCCGACAAAGGGCTCCTAAATCCCTTGGAATTTCCTGAGTAATGGGAGCATCATTTTTTCTTTTTTCTTTTTATTTTCTTCTTCCCTTTTTTTTTTTTTTTTTTTTTTTTTTTTTTGTTTGAGACAGCGTCTTGCTCTGTCACCAGGCTGGAGTGCAGTGGTGCAATCTCCACACACTGCAACCTCTGCCTCCTGGGTTCAAGCAAGTCTCCTGCTTCAGCCTCCCAAGTAGCTGGGACTACAGGTGCCCGCCACCATGCCTGGCTAATTTTTGTATTTTTAGTAGAGACGGGGGTTTCACCATGTTGGCAAGGTTGGTCTGGAACTCCTGACTTCAGGTGATCTACCCCCTTGGCCTCCCAAAGTGCTGGGATTACAGGCGTGAGCCACCACACCCAGCTGAGAGCACCTTTTTTTCTAATGAGGTGACTCTTGGTGGGCTCCTGATGGGGGCTGATCACCAGCAAGACTCAGTCAATATTAGAAGCATGGAACCTGTAGCCCCATCCCACTCCACATCTTTCCGGAAGAAGAGGGAACTGGAGCTGGAATTACTAATCTATCCTACTTATGCGCTGAAGTCTCCATAAAAGTCCCTAAAGTATGGGGGTGGGAGAGGTTCCTTGTAGCGTCCAGCCCTACAGGGCCTTGTGGGTTTTCTCTTCGTGTGTGGAGATGAGAGATTGTAGAAAGAAAGACATGAAACTAAGAGAGAGTATGAAAGACAGCTGGGCCCAGGGGGCCACTACCACCAGTGCATGGAGTCCATTAGTGGCCTCGAATGCCTGGACTGCTGCTATTTATTGTATACAAGGCAAGGGGGCAGGGTAAGGAGTGTGAGTCATCTCAAATGATTAATAAGGTCAAGCAAGTCACGTGTCCATGTGACAGGGGGCCTTTCCCTTTTTGGTAGACGAAGCAGAGAGGGAAGACAGCATACGGTCAGCATTTTTTCTATGTACTTATCAGAGAGATCAAAGACTTTAATATTTTCACTATTTCTGCTACTGCTATCTCCCAGGAACTTAAAAGAGGAACCAGGTGTACAGGCGGAACATGAAAGTGGACAAGGATCATGACCACTGAAGCACAGTACCACAGGGAGATGTTTAAGCCTCCGGATGACTGTGGGCAGGCCTGGCTAATGTCCGGCCTCCCACAAGAGGCTGGTGAGGCAGAGTGTTCTCTAACTCCCCCAAGGAAGGGGAAACTCCCTTTCCCGGTCTGCTAAGTAACGGGTGCCTTCCCAGGCACTGGTGCTACCACTAGACCAAGGCGTCCTTAAGCCCTTATCTGGGCGTGGCGGAGGACTTTCACTCTTGTCTTCTGGTCACATCTCACCATGTCCCTTCAGCTCCTGACTCTGTATCGCCTGGTTTTTCCTCAGTTATAATAATAAAACAGAGATTAATACTAAAACTAATAATTGATAATATCCATATATAATCATCTCTATATCCTATTGCTAGTATAACTTTTCTTATTCTAAGTATTTTCTTTATTATATTGAAACAGTATGTGCCTTCAATCTCTTGCCTCAGCACCTGGGTGGCTCTCTGCCCACAGTTCCGGGCGGGGAAGCACCCCAACTCCATGGAGACGCCCAACCTGGAAGCTCCCCCAAACCCATCCTTTGCTCCCGTGCTCGGGAGGCGTTCAGATGTTGCCCTTTGCACCTCTTTATCTGACAGGTTTTATTTAATTATATGATAAACTGATAAATGTGTTTTCCTTAGTTCTGTGAGGCATTGTAGCAAATTTCTGAGCCTAAGGAGGGAGTCATGGGAACCCCCATTACTAGCAAGTCAGAAGCTCGGGTGAGACCACGTGGACTTGTGATTGGCATCTCCCAAGGGGCAGCCTCGTGGGACTGAGCCTTTCACCTGTGGGATCCGATGCTATCTCCAGGTAGATAATGTCAGAGTTGGATTGAATTGTGGGACACCCAGCTTGGGTAGGAGAATTTGTCAGCGTGGGAAAAACCCCACACACCTGGTCACAGAAGTGTTGAGTGTGAGCCTGAGAAAAACAGGTGTTTTTTTCTAGATAAGATCCATGGAAGGGGAACACAATTTTTTTTTTTTTTTGAGACAGCTCTCTGTCGCCTAGGCTGGAGTGCAGTGGCGCGATCTCGACTCACTGCAAGCTCCGCCTCTCGGGTTCACGCCATTCTCCTGCCCCAGCCTCCCTCCTCCCGAGTAGCGGGGACTACAGGCGCCCACCACCACGCCCGGCTAATTTTTTGTATTTTTAGTAGAGACGGGCTTTCACCGTGTTAGCCAGGATGGTCTCGATCTCCTGACCCTGTGATCCTCCCGCCTCGGCCTCCCAAAGTGCTGGGATTACAGGCGTGAGCCACCGCGCCCGGCCAGGGAGCCTTTAATGAGTTTAAAAGTTGTTGCATTCTTTCCTTTGCTAAATTTGGTTTCACGGGGAACACATTTCCTGGCCCCTGGGATTTGGGTGTGTATCCTGGTCTGTGACGCAGGCCAGGGGCTGGCATGTGACGCGAACCGGGGGCCACTTCCCGAAGCAGGTCAGCGAGAGGCACTCTGGAGCTGTTGCCCAGCCACTAGTGACGTCATGGGCTTTCAGTCATTCCTATTGGGTGCTCTTAGTGCTCTATCCTCAAACTCCGCAACCGGCCCTTGGAAAAGACTCTGAACTGAGGCTTCTGGAAAAAAGAATCCGAGCTTCCACGTCATTTCAGAAATACCCCCCTCACCTTATTTATTTATTTATTTATTTATTTATTTATTTATTTATTTATTTATTTATTTATTGAAACAAGGTCTGACTCTGTCGCCCAGGATGGAGGGCAGTGGCGCGATCTCTGCTCACTGCAACCTGGAACTCCTGGACTCAAGCGATCCCCCACCTCAGCCTCCCGAGTATCTGGGATTACAGGTACTCGCTACCACGCTCAGCTAATTTTTAAATTTTTTGTAGAAATGGGGTTTTGCCATGTTGCCCAGGCTGGTCTCGAGCTTCTGAGCTCAAGCGATCTGCCCGCCTCGTTCTCCCAAAGGGCTAGGATTACAGGCGTGAGCCACCGCGCCTGGCCCCCAAATTCTTTTATGTTTATAAATTTAAACTGTACGCCGGGCGTGGTGGCTCACGCCTGTAATCCTAGCACTTTGGGAGTCCAAGGCAGGTGGATCACCTGAGGTCAGGAGTTCAAGACCAGCTGACCAACATGGTGAAACCCTGTCTCTACTAAAAAATACAAAAAATTAGCTGGGCGTGGTGGCACACGCCTGGAATCCCAGCTACTCGGGAGGCTGAGGCAGGAGAATGGCATGAACCCAGGAGGCGGAGGTTGCAGTGAGCCAAGATCGCACCACTGCACTCCAGCCTGGGCGACAGAGCGAGACTCCGTCTCAAAATAATAATAATAATCATCATCATCATCATCGTCATCATCATCGTCATCATCAGCCAAGGGAAAACGTGGATGGGGCAGAGTCCAGGAGACACCAGGCGTGAGCTTTCAGATGTCCTCCCCCAGTGGAGTTCTAGACAGTGCTCAATTCTCCCGGTAATGACGTGTGCCAAAACGCATGCAGTATTGCCAACCAGGGAGTCTCACCCCAGATCTTAGGATGAAAAAAAAATTTTTTTTTTTTTTTTGAGTCTTGCTTTGTCACCCAGGCTGAAATGCAGTGTCATGATTTCGGCTCACTGCAGACTCAACCTCCCAGGTTCAAGCTATTCTCATGCCTCACGAGTAGCTGGGATTACAAGGGTACGCCATCACACCTGGCTAATTTTTTAATTTTTATTTATTTATGTATTTATTTATTTTTGAGACGAAGTCTTACTCTGTCACCCAGGCTGGAGTGCAGCGGCGTGATCTCGGCTCATTGCAGCTTCCGCCTCCTGGGTTCAAGTGATTCTCCTGCTCCAGCCTCCCAAGTAGCTGCAACTACAGGCGCCCGCCACTCTGCCTGGCTAATTTTTGGTTTTTGTTTTTTGTTTTTTTTGAGACGGAGTCTCGCCCTGTTGCCCAGGCTGGAGAGCAATGGCGCAGTCTCGGCTCACTGCAACCTCTGCCTCCTGGGTTCAAGCGATTCTCCTGCCTCAGCCTCCTGGGTAGCTGGGATTATAGGCACCTGCCACCATGCCGGGCTACTTTTTGTATTTTTAGTAGAGATGGGGTTTCATGATGTTGGCCAGGCTGTTCTCAAACTCTTGGACCTTGTGATCCGCCTGCCTCGGCCTCCCAAAGTTCTAGGATTACAGGCGTGAGCCACCACCATGCTGGGCCTAATTTTTGTATTTTTAGTAGAGACGGGGTTTTGCCATGTTGCCCAGGCTAGTCCCGAACTCCTGGGCTCAAGGAATCTGCCCGCCTCGGCCTCTCAAAGTGCTGGGATTACATTCGTGAGGCACCGTGCGCAGTCCGGGGGACAAAATTTTAAACAAGTGTTGGTCATGTAAGCATGGCAGACTGCACGTGTGACTGACCTCAGATACTCCAGCTGCCTCCTCCTGAGGGGTGGACTAGAACAGGGACTGGTAACCAGGGGTTAAAGGATCGGGACCTGACGCCTAAATCTTTTGAATTTACATGCAAAATATGGGCATATAACATGAGCAGTGGTTCAGGATGTGGGCAATGAAGAGAGAGAGCCTGAGTTCCCCCACCTCTTACTACTGGAGTAACCAGGGGCAGGAGACTTCTGAATTTCAGTATTCTTATCTGCACAAGTGGAAACGAGAGAAATACTGTAGGGCAGTGCCTTCTAGCGGGCTTAGAGGAAGCCTCTGGACATGGTAGCTATTACTTATTTGCTTAGTCTTTAGCATTCTGCACGTTTTGTTTGTTTGTTTGAGATGGAGTCTCTCTCTGTCACCCAGGCTAGAGTGCAGTGGTGCGATCTCAGCTCACTGCTACGTCCACCTCCCGGGTTCAAGTGATTCTCATGCCTCAGCCTCCCAAGTAGCTGGAATTACAGGCATCATCATGCCTGGCTAATTTTTGTATTTTTAGTAGAGACGGGGTTTCATCATGTCGGCCAGGCTGGTCTTGAACTCCTGACCTCAGGTGATCCGCCCACCTCAGCCTCCCAAAGTGCTGGGATTTACAGTTGTGAGCCACCCCGCCCAGCCAGATGTTCAAATTTTGATATGGATTAAATTCAGTTACTAGATCACTTTTTTTTTTTTTTTTTGAGACAGGCCCTTACTGTGTTGCCCAGGCTGGAGTGTGGTGGCACGACCCCATGGCTCACTGCAACCTCGACCTCGTGCTCAAGCAATCCTCCCACCTCAGCCTTCTCAGTAGTTGGGACTGCAGGCAGGTGCCACCATACCCAGCTAAGTTTTTGTTGTTGTTGTTGTAGAGACCAGGTGCATGCTGTTAAAACTAACTACCCGAGACTGGGTAATTTATAAAGAAAAGAGGTTTAATTGACTCACAGTTCCACAGGGCTGGGGAGTCCTCAGGAGACTTACAATCATAGCAAAAGGGGAAGGGGAAGCAAGGCACGTCTTATATAGTGGCAGGAGGGAGAAAGAGCTAGAGGAGGGAACCACCACAGTTTCAAACCATCAGATCTTGTGCGAACTCACTCATGACTACGAGAACAGCATGGGGGAAACTGCCCCCACGATCCAGTTACCTCCCACCATGTCCCTCCCTGGACCCGCTGAGATTATAATTCATAATGAGATTTCAGTGGGGACACAGAGCCAAACCATATCAGTTGCCAAGGCTGATCTTAAACTCCTGGGCTCCAGCAATCCTCCTGCCTCAGCCTCCCAAAATGCTGGGATTATAGGCATGAGCTACCGTGCCCAGCTGCATCGTCATCTTAATACTATTGTCTTCCAGTCTATAAACTTGGGATGTCTTTCCATTTATGTCTGTTACGAATTTCTTTCTTTCTTTTGTGTATTGTCAGTCTTTCACCATTGAGTAGGATGTTTGCTGTGGGTTTTTCATAAATGCCTAAGCCAGTGTTTCTGTTTTGTTTTGTTTTCTTCTTTTTTGAGATGGAGTCTAACTCAGGCTGGAGTGCAGTGGTGTCATCTTGGCTCACTGCAAACTCTGCCTCCTGGGATCAAGCGAATCTCTCGCCTCAGCCTCTCAAATAGCTGGGATTACAGACACCTGCCACCAAGCCTGGCTAATTTTTGTGTTTTTAGTGGAGGCAGGGTTTCCCCATGTTGGCCAGGCCGGACTCGAACCCCTGACCTCAAGTGATCTGTCTGCCTCGGTCTCCCAAAAAGCTGGGAATACACATGTGAGCCACCGCGCCCTGCCTAAGCCAGTGTTTCTATTTTTTTTTTTTTTTTTTTTTTTGAGATGGAGTCTCACTCTGTCGCCCAGGCTGGAGTGCAATGGCACAATCTCGGCTCACTGCAACCTGTGCCTCCGGGGTTCAAGTGATTCTCCTGCCTCAGCCTCCTGAGTACCTGGGATTACTGCCCACCACCACACTGGGCCAATTTTTGTATTTTTAGTAGAGACAGGGTTTCACCATGTTGGCCAGGCTGGTCTCCAACTCCTGACCTCAGGTGATCCACCCGCCTCGGCCTCCCAAAGTGCTAGGATTACAAACTTGAGCCACTATGATCAGCCAGCCAGTGTTACATCACCTCAGGGGAGTCTTTCCAAACACTCATCCCTTGAGATGTTTGTAAACTTGTATAATGCCCTAAAAATGGTTTTAACCACTCACACATTTGTTAGAAATGCTTATTCCTTGGTGCCATAAAGAAATAGCACTTGAGGCCGGGCGCGGTGGCTCACGCCTGTAATCCCAGCACTTTGGGAGGCCGAGGCGGGTGGATCACAAGGTCAGGAGATAGAGACCATCCTGGCTAACACGTTGAAACCCCGTCTCTAATAAAAATACAAAAAAAAATTAGCCAGGCGTGGTGGCAGGTGCCTGTAGTCCCAGCTACTTGGGAGGCTAAGGCAGGAGAATGGCGTGAACCTGGGAGGCGGAGCTTGCAGTGAGCCGAGATCGTGCCACTGCACTCCAGCCTGGGCAACGGAGTGAGACTCCGCCTCAAAAAAAAAAAAAAAAGACATAGCACTTGAACATTAATTTCCTCAGCAAGGCCATTTTTATTTTTATTTTTATTTTTTGAGATGGAGTTTCGATCTTGTTGCCCAGGCTGGAGTGCAATGGCACAATCTCAGCTCACTGCACCCTCGGCTTCCGAGGTTCAAGCAATTCTCCTGTCTCAGCCTCCCGAGTAGCTGGGATTACAGGCATGCACCACCACGCCCGGCTAATATTGTATTTTTAGTAGAGACGGGGTTTCTCCATGTTGGTCAGGCTGGTCTCAAACTCCTGACCTCAGGTGATCCGCCCGCCTTGACCTCCCAAAGTGCTGGGATTACAGGCATGAGCCACTGAGCCCGGCCAGCAAGGCCATTTTTACTTTCTGCAGAAAAGGTACACTCGCCAGCAGTTTTGCCACAAGAGTACAACGAACAAAGGAGACAGGGTCATTTATAACCTGACGCATCCACTCTACTGCCGTGTCGGGTTTCCATTGGCTGGAACGGGACCTCACATTCTGTATTTGTCCCAACTGGCTAGCAACTTGGAACTTTTTAAAAGAGGCAAAGGCAGAGGAGAACAAAGGAAGGGGGAAGTGACTTGTGGAATGCTGAGAAAGGTAAAAACACCTTCAAATAAGGAAGAGGAACAGGCTGTGACCTAATGCTTGCTTGGACCAGTATAAGCATGCCAGGGCAAATATTTAGGGTAAATTGTGGGAGCTAAAAACATAAAGTACACTGATTTCTTTATTACGGCTAGCAGATATTTAAGAATGTTAGCACAGGTCTTTGAATACATTTTGCGTCTAAGAGAAGTTACTATTTATTCCTAAGTAGACGAGGAGGAAAGTCTCTTTGAAGAGGAAGCTCTACTTTAATTTTTACACATTGCTAACTGATGAAATTGTATTTGGAGACTCACTCTGTAAATTGCCTCTTTCCTTAGTTTTCCATTTTTTATTTTTAGTTTACTTATTTATTTATTTTGAGACACAGTGTCACTCTGTCACCCAGGCTGGAGTGCAGTGGCTCAATCTTAGCTCATTGCAAACTCTGCCTCCCGGGTTCAAGGGATTCTCCTGCCAGGCTGGCTTCACTATGTTGGCCAGGCTGGTCTCAAACTCCAGACCTCAAGTGATCTTCCCGCCTCGGCCTCGGAAAGTGCTGGGATCACAGGTGTGAGCCACTGCGCCCGGCCTTCTCCTCTTTTGGCCTTTGACTTTATACTCAACACTGACCACCAGATGGTGCTGCAGGCACACCACAGCGTGGCCTGACACACAGCACGCTGTGGCTGGGTTATTACAGCTGAGATGTATTTACCTGGATTTATTATTTTATTTATTTATTTATTTTTCAGTAGGAAAGGTAGGGCCCGCTATTTACCAGGTTTTTTTTTAAGTGACAGAGAAAGACTGTCTTAAGCACACACACACACACACACACACACACACACACACACACACACACAGAGCTTATAAAACAGTTTAACGGCCGGGCGCAGTGGCTCATGGCTTAATCCCAGCATTTTAGGAGGCTGAGGCAGGAGGATGACCTGAGATCAGGACTTCAAGATCAGCCTGGCCAACATGGTGAAACCCCGTCTCTACTAAAAATACAAAAATTAGCCCGGTGTGGTGGCTCACACCTGTAGTCCCAGCTACTCGGGAGTCTGAAGCAGGAGAATTGCTTGAACCTGGGAGGCGGAGGTTGCAGTGAGCCGAGATCACGCCATTGCACTCTAGCCTGGGCGGCAGAGCGAGACTCCATCTCAAAAAAAAAAAAAAAAAAAAACAGTTAAAAAAAAAAAACAGTTTTTAGGCCCCATTATGCCTGTGTGATTCTTTGTGTCCTAATCTTGGGCGCACACACACACACACACACACACTTATTTATTTTTCTTGAGACAGAGTATTGTTCTGTTGCCTAGGCTGGAGTGCAGCGTTGTGATCTCAGCTCACTGCAGCCTCCACCTCCCAGGTTCAAGTGATTCTCCTGCCTCAGCCTCCAGAGTAGCTGAGATTACAGGTGCCCGCCACCACACCCGGCTAATTTTTCTATTTTTAGTAGAGACAGGGGTCTCGCCATGTTCACCAGGCTGGTCTCAAACTCCTGGCCTCAGGTGATCCACCCACCTCGGCCTCCCAAAATGCTGGGATTACTGGCGTGAGCCACGGCGCCTAGTCCTGTTTGTTATTTTAAAATGAAGACATCCTTAAGCATGAAAATGTCTTTAAATATTTTGAAAAATGTTTTCTAAAGCCATGAAGGCCTATAGTACCCTAAGTCTTATATAATTAAATTATAATTAAAGATTTAATCTGGCTGGGCCTGGTGGCTCACACCTGTAATCCCAGCACTTTAAGAGGCCGAGGCTGGAGGATCACAAGGTCAGGAGATCGAGACCATCCTGGCTAACATGGTGAAACCCCGTCTCTACTAAAAATACAAAAAATTAGGCAGGCGTCGTGGCGGGCGCCTATAGTCCCAGCTACTGGGGAGGCTGAGGCAGGAGAACGGCGTGAACCCGGGAGGCGGAGCTTGCAGTGAACCGAGATGGCGCCACTGCACTGCAGCCTGGGTGACAGAGCGAGACTCCATCTCAAAAAAAAAAAAAAAATTATTCTTTGCAGATATTCATTTTCTCACAGAATTGGACTCTTTTTTTTCTTTTTCTTTCTTTCTTTCTTTCTTTTTTTTTTTTTTTTTTGAGACAGGGTCTTGCTCTGTTACCCAGGCTGGAGTGCAGCGGCATGAACACAGCTCACTGCAACCTGGAATTCTTGGCCTAAACCCATCCTCCTATCTCAGCCTACCGAATAGCTGGGACCATAGGCACACGCCACCACATGCAGCTAATTTTTTTATTTTTTGTAGAGGAGGGGGGGTCTCACTATGTTGCCCAGGGTGGTCTCGAACTCCTGGGCTCAAGTAATCCTCCTGCCTTGGCCTCCCAGAATGCTGGGATTACAGGCATGAGGCACCAACACAAAGTTATTTTCCAAAGTGAGCTGCAGCGCCAACACTCACACCTACTCACTGTGTGCCCAGCACTGCTCATGGATAGCAGTTCTTGAACCCTTTGGTCCCAAGACCCCTTCACATTCTCAAAAATCACTGAGGCTGAGCACGGTGGCTCACGCCTGTAATCCCAGCACGTTGGGAGGCTGAGGCGGGCGGATCACCTGAGGTCAGGAGTTCCAGACCAGCCTGGCCAACATGGTGAAACCCCATCTCTACTAAAAATACCAAAAAAAAGGCCGGGCGCGGTGACTCACGCCTGTAATCCCAGCACGTCGGGAGGCCGAGGCGGGTGGATCACAAGGTCAGGAGATCGAGACCATCCTGGCTAACACGGTGAAACCCCGTCTCTACTAAGAATACAAAAAATTTAGCTGGGCGTGGTGGCGGGCGCCTGTAGTCCCAGGTACTCGGGAGGCTGAGGCAGGAAGAATGGCGTGAACCCTGGAGGCGGAGCTTGCAGTGAGCCGAGATGGCGCCACTGCACTGCAGCCTGGGTGACAGAGTGAGACTGCATCTCAAAAAAAAAAAAAAAAAGAAATTAGCCGGGCTTGGTGGCGGGCACCTGTAATCCCAGCTACTCGAGAGGCTGAGGCAAAAGAATCGCTTGAACCCAGGAGGCAGAGATTGCAGTGAGCTAAGATTGCGCCACTGCACTCTGGCCTGGGTGACAGACTGAGACTCCATCTCAAAAATCATCATCATCATCATAATAAATTGATGGCCAGGCACGGTGGCTCACGCCTATAATCCCAGCACTTTGGGAGGCCGAGGCAGGTGGATCGTGAGGTCAAGCGATAGAGACCATCCTGGCCAACATGGTAAAACCCCTTCTCTACTAAAATAACAAAAAAAAAAAAATTAGCTGAGTGTGATGACACACAACTGTAGTCCTAGCTACTCGGGAGGCTGAGACAGGACAATTGCTTGAACCCAGGAGGCAGAGGTTGCAGTGAGCCAAGATCATGCCTCTGCACTCCAGCTTGGTGACAGAGCAAGACTCGGTCTTAATAATAATAATAATAATTGATTACATTGTACCTGCTCTAGAAAAGAAAAAAGAAAAAAAAATCATTGATGATAGTCTCTTAGGCTGGGGGTGGTGGCTCGTGCCTGTAACCTCAACACTGGGAGACCAAGGTGGAAGGATCGTTTGAGATCAGCCTAGTGGGACCTTGTCTCTACAAAAAATAAAAAATAATAAAATTAGGCTCAGTGCAGTGGCTCATGACTGTAATCCCAGCACTTTGGGAGGATAAGATGGGCGGATCACTTGAGCGTAGGAGTTTGAGACCAGCCTGGGCATTATATTGAGACCTTGTCTCTACAAAAATAAAAATAAAAAATTAGGCAGGCATAGTGGCACATGCCTGTGATTCCAGCTGCTTGGGAGGCTGAGGTGAGAGAATTGTTTGAGTCTGGGAGGTCGAGGCTGCAGTGATTACTGCAGTACACTGAATGCGTCACTGTACTCCAGCCTATAGATATACATGTGTGTATATATATATGTAGGGGTGACGCTTGTGAATTCTTTTTTAATTTTATTATTTTTATTTTCTTTTTGAGATAGAGTCTTGCTCTGTCACACTGGCTGGAGTGCAGTGGCACGATCTCATCTCATTACAACCTCTGCCTCCTGGGTTCAAGTGGTTCTCCTGCCTCAGCCTTCCAAGTAGCTGGGATTACAGGCATGCGCCATGATGCCTGGCGATTTTCTGTATTTTTATTTCATTTATGTATTTATTTAGAGATGGAGTTTTGCTCTTGTTGCCCAGGCTGGAGTGCAATGGCGTGATCTCGGCTCACTGCAACCTCTGCCTCCCGGATTCAAACAATTCTCCTGTCTTAGACTCCCGAGTAGCTGGGATTACAGGCATGCGCCACCACGCCCGGATAATTTTTGTATTTTTAGTAGAGATGGGGTTTCACCACGTTGGCTAGGCTGGTCTCGATCTCCTGATCTCGGCTTCCCAAAGTGCTGGGATTACAGGCGTGAGCCACCTCACCCAGTCTATTTTTTGTATTTTTAGTAGAGACAGTGTTTCCACATGTTGGCCAAGCTGGTCTGGAACCCCTGACCTCAGGTGACGAGCCTGCCTTGGCCTCCCAAAGTGCTAGGATTACAGGCATGAGCCACCAAGCCCAGCCTTAATTTTATTTTAAGTTCTGGGGTACATGTGCAGGACATGCAGGTTTGTTACATGGGTAAACGTGTGCCATGGTGGTTTGCTGCACCTGTTAACCCATCACCTGGTATTAAGCCCCGCATCCATTAGCTATTTATCCTGATGCTTTCCCTCCCCACCACCCTGCAACAGGCCCCAGTGTATGTTGTTCCCCTCCCCGTGTCCTTGTGTTCTCATTGTTCAGCTCCCACTTATAAATGAGAACATGCGGTGTTTGGTTGGTTTTCTTTTTTTCTTTTTTTTTTTTTTTAGATGGAGTCTCGCTCTGTCACCCAGGCTGGAGTGCAGTGGCACGATCTCGGCTCACTGCAAGCTCCACCTCTCAGGTTCACACCATTCTCCTGCCTCAGCCTCCCGAGTAGCTGGGACTACAGGCGCCCACCACCATGCCCGGTTAATTTTTTTTTTTGTATTTTTAGTAGAGACAGGGTTTCACCATGGTAGCCAGGATGGTCTTGATCTCCTGACCTCGTGATCCACCTGCCTCAGCCTCCCAAAGTGCTGGGAGTACAGGTGTGAGCCACCGCGCCCGGCTTCTTTATTTTTTTGAGAGAGGGTCTCACTCTGTCACCCAGGCTGGAGTGTAGTGGTGTGATCTTGGCTCACTGCAACCTCCATTTCCCAGATTCAAGCAATTCTTGTGCCTCAGCCTCCCGAGTAACTGAGAGTACAGGTGTGTGCCACCATGCCTGGCTCATTTTCATATTTTTAGTAGAAATGGGGTTTCACCATGTTGGCCAGGCTGGTCTCGAACTCCAGACCTCAAGTGATCTGCCCACCTCGGCCTCCGAAAGTGCTGGGATTATAGGCGTGAGCCACTGTGCTCAGACCGGTGTTTGGTTTTCTGTTCCTGTGTTAGTTTGCTGAGGACAAAAAAATATGGAATGCTTTGCGAATTTGTGTGTCATCCTCGCACAGGGGCCATCCTAGTCTTCTCTGTATCATTCCAATTTTAGTATATGTGCTGCCGAAGTGAGCACATGGATTGTTTTATCAAGGGAAGAAAGCTTCCCAGAGGCCTCCAGGCAAGTTTCCCTTAGGATCCCCTTGGCCTCTAACCTTTCCTTGAGGGATCATTGACAATGGGAAATGAGAGGATGTGGTAATGGGTCTGCTGACGCCGTAAAAAACTGGACTTTCAGTGTCAACGCCGATGGCTGCTGGATAGGCCACAGATCATGTTTGCCAGAATAGTCCCACAGGGTGTCCCTCCAGCAAATTGGATCAAGGAGATTAAGCACCACACCTGAGGTCACACAGCCAGCCGATAACCAAGGCAGTCTGTGAATTCGAATCTGCAAGAGGATGTGCCTCGTCCATCCGAATGCCTGGCTTTCTCTACACCTCCACATAACAATTATAATATGAAAAGGTATATGTGGGCCAGGTTGGGTAGCTCATGCCTATCATCCCAGCATGTTGAGAGGCCGAGGCAGGTGGATCACCTGAGGTCAGCAGTTTGAGACCAGCCTGGCCAACATGGCAAAACTCCCATCTTTACTAAAAATACAAAAATTAGCTGGGCATGGTAGTGCACGCCTGTAGTCCCAGCTACTGGGGAGGCTGAGGCAGGACAATCGCTTGAACCCAGGAGGCAGAGGTTGCAGTGAGTCGAGATCATGCCACTGCACTCCAGCCTGAGCGACAGAGCGAGACTCTGTCTCAAGAAAAAAATAAAATAAAGTGTGTGTGTGTGTCTGTGTGTGTGTGTGTGTGTGTGTGTGTGTGTTGGAGTGCAGTGGCATGATCTCTGCTCACTGCAACCTCTGCCTCCTAGGTTCAAGCGATTCTCCTGCCTCAGCCTCTCAAGTAGATGGGATTACAGGCACCCTCCACCACGTCCAGCTGGTTTTTTTGTATTTTTAGTAGAGATGGGGTTTCACCATGTTGGCCAGGCTGCTCTTGAACTCCTGACTTCAGGTGATCCGCCCACCTTGGCCTCCCAAAGTGCTGGGATTACGGGCATGAGCCACAGTGCCTGGCCTTTTTTTCAAGACAGTCTTGCTCTGTCACCCAGGCTGGAGTGTAGTGGCACAATCACAGCTCACTGCAGCCTCAACCTCCCGGGCTCAGGCAATCCTCCCACCTCAGCCTCTGGAGTAGCTGGGACTATACTCACATGCCACCTCACCTGGTTAATTTTCTGTATTTTCTGTACAGATGGGATCTCACTGTGTTGCCCAGCCTGGTCTCAAGCAATCCTCCCGCCTCAGCCTCCCACAGTGCTGGAATTGCAGGTGGGAGTCACCATACCCAGTCTAAACTCTTCCACGTTTAATCCCTCCAGCAGGTGAGAGTATCGTGCCTCACTCCACACCCACTAGGGTCCCGTGACTACAGTCCTGGCTGAGGGCACTGGGCCACGTCTGGGTGTAGAAAAGACCCTTTGGGCCAGGTAGCAGACTGCAGGCTGGAACAAGGGTGCCAGTAGAAGACAGCAGCTGAGCTGAGGCCAGGGCCTAGGGGACAAAGAGGCGGGGGAACGGACAGCAGAGTCGGGGGCAGGAGGAACAGGGATCGGGGCCTCGTGGGCTTTGAGAGAAAAGGATGCAGCACCTAGGGGTCCGGCCTAGAGACTGGGAGACGGGAAAGTAGGGGAGGAGCTGGTTGGTGGGGGGCAGATAGTAAGTTCAGTGCCGGAGACATGAAATGCTCCCCCAGGTTGGAGAAACCATCAGAACACTGGGGGCTCGGATGACTGAGTCCTTCAGAATAAAATGGGCTGAGGAAGCAGGATTCCTGGGTTAAAGCCCCAGAGTCACGTCACTGAAGAAGCCCGACAATGTGTGTTCTTTGGCATTTTATTTCAAAATTGCAGCAAAGACAGAGAAAAAAAAATCAACGGCAGCACCAGGGGTCTGGCCTGAGAACGGAGAGATCCGGAATCGGGGCCAAGGTGTATCCTTGACCGCACGACAAGGAGTAATGGGCGGACCTGAACCCGCGACGAGGGGCTGGGGGCCAAGATGCCTGGGTCGGCCCTTACGGCTTTGGGAGTGTCGCAACCACATGGGGGCGCCAGAGACCCAGACGCCGCCCGCTGGCCTTTTATTTCGTATTGCACTTCAGGTGAGTCATTGGTAGGGAGGCGAGTGCTGGCGTGACGAGATGCTACGGGTCGGTGGATCTGGAGCACAGCCTGCAGCTTCACACCGGGAACATCCACTCGTGGGCTCTGATTCCGTACTGCGGAACAACGGAGGCAGTGCGTGAGGTGGAAGCTGCACTACAACTCCCAGTAGGCCCTGGGGTGTTCCAGGCCGAGTGCCTACGGAGCTGTGCCCCAGCGGCTCACGGGAAATGTAGTCCACTTCCCAGAGGGCCCCAACAATGATGGGAACGGGGAATCAAGGCTAAGGCGGCGCAGAGGCTTCCGGGAGATGTAGTTCTGAAGACAGGAATTATGGCCAGGCCTCTAAGGCTCTTGGAAAAAGTCACTTTCAGCTCAGAAAGCCCAGATAGTCAGAGGATGTGTAGTTCTAGGTCCTGATGCACAAAAGTTTACAGAAATGTAGCTCTAGGTCTGGGAAAGGAGCCCAGAGATTCTTGGGAAAGAGATCTTGGCCCAGAAGATGGGAATACCCCCAGAGATTTATGGGATTAAACAGTCTGGTGCCAGAGAGGGGCCAAGGTCCAGAGGCTCATGGGAGGAAGCTTTCTCCGGCCAAAGGGATAGCCCAGGGCTCCAGGGAATCTTGGGAGGCCAACCTCTGAGATGGCCAGAGGGCTGGCTAAGGTCTCAGTGATTCATGGAAAGGGCCTTTCTCCCACCAGGGCACCCGGGGCAGCAGAGGATCACAGGGAGGGAGTTTCTCCCACCAGGGCACCCAGGGGCCTCAGAGGCCCACGGAGAGGGGGTTTCTCCTACCAGGGCACCCAGGAGCCGCAGAGGATCACAGGAAGGGGTTTCCAAAGCTGAAGACATATCCAGGGCTCCGGGAGCTCCCAGGAAAGGGTGATTTAGCCCCAAGGGGTTTTCCAGGCCACAGAGCAGCACAGAAAGCCCACTCTCCAGGGCCTCAATAAGAAAGGCCATTATCTGTTCCTGGTACTACTGAAGGAGGCTGGCTGTTAGTCCAGGGGCTCATGGGACACCAACTTCTCCAGGGAACAAGCTCCCAGCCCATTCCCCAGCTCCCTGCAGCTCACCTGGATCTCCTTCAGCTCCTTCTGGAAGCGGAGGATCAGCTCAGGCCCATTTTCCATGGTGGGAATGTGGAGGTTCTGGGACAGAAGGTGCGGTGAGGACCAAGCCCCTCCCCTCCTTCCCTCCCACCCACAATGGCAGCCCCGCCTCACCCTGTCTTTGTACAGGATTCGGTGCACTGGGCAGACCTGGCAAGCGGTGCCCGAGCCAAAGACTTCCCGCACGCGGCCCTCCTCCAGGGCCCGCAGCAACTGCTTCATGGTGATCGTGCGCTCCACCACCCGGAACTCACCCTGCAGGGCAGTTGGCAGAGACACGTGTCCCCAGAGGGTTGCCCTGCTGCAGACCTCCACCTCTCCCTCCCTGAGGATAGTGAGAAAGACAGAGGCCCAACGGGAGAGACAGACCCAGGAGAAGGGGCAGAGACATGCCAGTGTGCCCCAGTCCCAGCCCTCTGATGCCCTGGCCCCTGGCACATGGCGCCCATCACCAGAAGATGCCATGTCCTCACCCAGGTCTGAGCCATGTCCAGTAGACTCTGTCTGACCACTCCAGGCAGGATAACACCATTCAGCGGGGGCGTCACCAGCTCCAGCACTAGGGCAGGTGTAAGGGGTGGAAGATGTTACCTCTCACCCCCTAGCACCGCCGTCTTAAGAGCCACCCCCTTCCCCCATCCCAGAATCCCTGGGGCCTGTAACCTGCCAGGAATGATGGTGCCACCCACTTCCACCAGGGTTCGGGCTGGGTCATGGGTGGGCTTACCCCCATCTTCGTGGGTCCAGTAGACAAAGATGTTCATGGTTCCCACCTCGGTGAGCTGGTGGTCGGGCCCATACAGCCAGAGGACCTGTTCACAGCCCCGCTTGAGTGCCTCCTGTTGCACTAACACGGTGGGCCCATAATTCCTGGTGGAGGGCAGTCTGGTTGGGTGGGGCAAGGGAGCCCCATCCTTCCCCAGCCCAGCCCCAGAGGAGGCTCATCCTACTCTCTCCCGTCTCCCTGCTCACAGCTCTCACAGGGCTCCCCAGTTCCCCTGAGATGGAATCCTTGACTTTTCATTTGGCATCAGGACCCTAAATGGTTATGTCCCCTCTCTCCTGTCTCTTCCCACTTTTCTTTCTTTTCTTTTCTTTTTTTTTTAAGACGGAGTCTCGCTCTGTCACCCAGGCTGGAGTGCAGTGGTGCGATCTTGGCTCACTGCAACCTCCGCCTCCCAGGTTCAAGAGATTCTCCTGCCTCAGCCTCTCTTGACCTGGTGATCTGCCCGCCTCAGCCTCCCAAAGTGCTGGGATTACAGGCGTGAGCCACCGCGCCCAGCCCTCACCCATTTCATACTGACCAAATCCTCAGCTGTCATTCAAAACCATTTCTTTTTTTCTTTTTTTCTTTTTTTTTTTTTTGAGACAGAGTCTTGCTCTGTCGCCCAGGCTGAGGCTAGAGTGCAGTGGTGCGATCTCAGCTCACTGCAACCTCCGCCTCTCGGGTCCAAGCGATTCTCGTGCCTCAGCCTCCTGAGTAACTGGAGTAACTGGGGCATGCAGCACCATGTCCGGCTAATTTATATTCACATTTATATTTATATGCCCGCCTCAGCCCCCCAAAGTGCTGGGATTACAAGAGTGAGCCACAGCGCCCGGCCTTACTTTTTATATTTTTAGTAGAGACGGGGTTTCACCATGTTGGCCAGGCTGGTCTCAAACTCCTGACCTCAAGTGATCCGCCTACCTCGGCCTCCCAAAGTGCTGGGATTACAAGCGTGAGCTACCGCGCCTGGCTCCAAAACCGTTTCTGTTGTCACCTCCTCGAGAGGTGTTTCCAGACCTCCAGGCTGGGTGCTGGACCTTCCCTGGACTCCCCCAGTGAACTGGGCTACCTGGATGACTTTCTGAGTCTCTCTCCCAGAGATAGCCTCTCCCCTCAGCTGCTAACAAGCCTCCCATGGCTCCCCAGTGCCCCAGGACAAGACCCTAGCCTCCTTCCGGCATTCCAGGCCTGCCTGGGTCTAATGAATACTTGCTAAGCATTTTTCAAAACCCAAACTTATTTTTGTAACCTGAACATCTTCTGTGATCCTATTCCTTCTGTCCCTGTACACATGGTTCCCAGGACTGGAAACAGTTTGCTGACTTTTGTACCCAGGAAACCCCCTCCTCCCTCCTCGTCAGACCTAGTTGAAGGGTCGCCTCCTCTGCGAAACCTTTCTTTTTTTTTTTTGAGATGGAGTTTCGCTCTGTCGCCCAGGCTGGAGTGCAGTGGCGCGATCTCGGCTCACTGCAAGCTCTGTCTCCTGGGTTCTCGCCATTGTCCTGCCTCAGCCTCCTGAGTAGCTGCGACTACAGGCGCCCGCCACCAAGCCCGGCTAATTTTTTTTTTTTTTTTTTGTATTTTTAGTAGAGATGGGGTTTCACTGTGTTAATCAGGATGGTCTCGATCTCCTGACCTCGTGATCTGCCCGCCTCAGCCTCCCAAAGTGCTGGGATTACAGGCGTGAGCCACCGCCTCTGGCCTCTGTGAAGGCTTTCACAATGCCCTGGGTCACCTCACCAGAGAACATGCAGCTCCGAATACTGGGGCTCCCACCAGCCTGGGAGACCCAGGAGAGCAGGGCTCGGGGCTGACTCATCTGTGTCCCCAGCTTCTGCCAGCACAGGGCCTGGCCCTCAGGAGACCTCACAGGATGTGGCTGAAAGGACCTGAATGCACCCCCAGCTGGGGCCACATTCCTGTCCCAACACGCCAGTGCCCACCCTCTGCCTTGGTTGCCCAGGAGACCCAGCTGTCTCCTTCCTGCCCTGCTGAGCTGAGGCCACTGGGAGACAGATTTACACAGAAAGTCCACACGGGGGTGAGGGGCTTTGGAGGCTCAAACGACTGTGGGAGCTGGGTATGGGGAGCGCAGCCCAGCCTGGGGGATCAGGGGAGGCTTCTGGGGCGAGAAGCCAATGAGCTGAGTGTAAGCTTCACTCCTGGAGGCTTCCAGGGACCAGTCCTGGTTTCCCCACTGACCTCCACCCAATGCCTTCCCATCTGTGAGCCTTTTTGTCCATCTGAAAAATAATCCCCTCCTCCTTCCTTCCATGGTTTGTTTTCAGGGACCAGGGAGGTCACTTAGCACTGAGCCCTGCACGGTGCTGATGATGTCACCTTCATGTGACATCCAGAGGCATGGCCGAAAGCACGCACGCTGGTCCCTGTGTCTCCAACGCCCAGTGCGCCAGTCGTTCTGGGGATGGGGGTGCTACTTACCCACCTAACTTGTAGTTGCCGACCCCGCCCACCCAGGCCCGGATGAAGGCTGGGTCGGCCAGGAGGGAGACCGGGGTCACGGAGCCTCCAGGGAAGTAGGCACCCACTGGGCAGAGAATGACGAACAGGAGCGCGCGCGTGGGCTGGCTGACACCCAGCGAGGGCTGCGACGGGCAAAGGGACAGCGTCAGGAGTCCAGGCCCCCAGTCCCTTCCCGTCCCCAGGCCCAGGCCTCCAGGACCCCACCCCTGCCCTGCAGAATCCAACCCCCGCAGCCCAGCTTCCCAGCCCTGGAGTTGGGCCCACCTCGTTCCCAATGAGCACAGGCCGCACATAGAGGCTGGTGCCGGCGGCATCGGGGACCCAGTCCTTGTCCACTTCGATGAGCCGGCGGATGCACTCCAGCAACTCCAGCTTGTCGAAACTCTGGGTGGGATTCTGAATGAGTCAAGGGGCCCTTGCTGCCCCGGCCCCAGCCCTCCTCCCCACCCCGGTGGACCGGGACCCCTCACCGGCAGGCACAGGCGCATGGCTGAGCGCAGCATCCGGTCCATGTTGAGCCAGGGGCGGAAGAGGCGCACCTGCTGGTCTTTGCCTTTGAACGCCTTCATGCCCTCAAACAGCTGCGGGGACACGCGGGTGGGGAGGCTCAGAGACTTCTCCAGACAGTCATGAGAGACACCAAGACAGACAGAGACAGATACACAAAGACACAGACAACTGAAAGATGGAGGCCAAGAGGAGAGCACCGGGGAGATTTAGCAGCTGGGTCAGAGAGATGGAGAAAAAGAGAGACAGATATAGACAGGGAGACAAACAGGTAGAGACACACGGAGACTCTAGAAAGCAAAGGACACGACCGGGCTCAGTGGCTCACTGTAATCCCAGCACTTTGGGAGGCCGAGGCAGGAGGATCACTTGAGTGTAGGAGTTCGTGACCAGCCCAGGCATTATAGCAAGACCCCATCTCTACCAAAAAATACGAAAATTAGCCAGACGTGGTAGCACGTGACTGGAGTCCCAGGTATTTGGAAGGTGGTGGGAGGATCACTTGAGCCTGGGAGTTTGAGACTGCAGTGAGCCACGATCATGCCACTGCACTCCAGCCTGGGACCTAGTTTTTTTTTTCTGGAGACTCTGTCCCTGATCACTGCCCCATGGTTCCAAGTTTGCTTGTTCAGCATCTGCTCCACTGCAGAGTGGAAGAGCCTGGAAGGCAGGGATTACCCTTGACACGTTTACCAGACAGCCTCTCCTGCAGTCCCATGCACCAGGGTAGGCAGCGCTTGGCACAGAGTGTTTTTTTGTTTTGTTTTGTTTTGTTTTGTTTTGAGACAGGGTCTCACTCTGTCACCCAGGCTGGAGTGCAGTGGCGTGATCTCTGCTGATTGCAACCTCCGCCTCCCAGGTCCAAGTGATTCTTGTGCCTCGGCCTCCTGGGTAGCTGGGATTACAGGCGCCCACCACCACGCCCAGCTAATTTTTGTATTTTTAGTTGATCCACCCGCCTCAGCCTCCCAAAGTGCTAGGATTACAGGGGTGAGCCACTGCACCCAGCCAGACTTTTTTTTTTTTTCCCATAGTGGGTTTTTGATGAATGAATAGATAAATGAATGGAAGACAAGCAAAACTAGCTACAATATTTTGGGGGGATAAAAACCACCACCACAAAAATGAGGGGCAAGATGGGGCAGGGGCAGGGAGTAGCCATATCAGGTAGTAAAACATTATAAATCTACAATACTTAAAACAGAGTGACACTGCTATATGAGTGGACAGACTGAATAATGGAATAGATAACCAAATATCCATCTAGAGAAAAACTACGTTGAATCTCTATTTCACACCTCACACCAGAAAAAATTCCAGGTGCATTAAAAGTCTAAACAAAATATATATATATATATTACACCATAAAAGCTATAGAAGGAAACAAAAATAACTGTTTTATATCTTGGATTGGGAATTTTATTTTTTATTTTATTTGAGATGGAGTCTCACTCTGTTGCCCAGGCTGAAGTGCTCTATCTTGGCTCACTGCAACCTCTACCTCCCAGGTTCAAGCAATTCTTTTGCCTCAACCTCCCAAGTAGCTGGGATTACAGGTGCCTACAACCACGCCCGGCTAATTTTTGTGTTTTTGGTAGAGACGGGGTTTCACCACGTTGGCCAGGCTGGTCTTGAACTCCTGACCTCAGGTGATGCGCCCACCTCGGCCTCCCAAAGTGCTGGGATTACAGGCGTGAGCCACCACGACTGGACTTTTTTTTTTTTTCCAATTTCTTGTACAGATAGGGTCTTACTATGTTGCCCAGGCTGGTCTTGAACTCCTGAGCTCAAGCAATCCCCCTGCCTCTTCTTCCCAGCCCCAGATGAATTTTTTAAAACCTAACCTGATAGAAAAATCAGCCTAGCAAATGGACAGTTCACACAAAAGGAAATACAGGTGGCCCTTAAGCTCGTGAGAAGATAGTCAATTTCATTAATCACTAGGGAGAAAAATGCAAATTAAAATTAGTTTGAGATACCTTTAAAACCACATGGGAGATTGGAAAAGATCTAAAACTTGGACAAGGGTTGTCCAAGGTATGGAAACAGGCTCTGCTGGTGGGTGTGGAAACTGACACACCCTGTAGATGTAGATGTGGCGATACGTATCAAGATTACAAGCATACATATCCTTTGACCTACAGTTCCCGAAATTGAGCCTCTAGATACATTTGCACTTAAACAAGTGACTAAAGAAGGGACGTGTGTACTGGATTCCTTTTTTTTTTTTTTTTTTTTTTTTGAGATGGAGTCTCACTCTGCCACCCAGGCTGGAGTGCAGTGGCGCAATCTCGGCTCACTGCAACCTCCGCCTCCCGGGTTCAAGCAATTCTCCTGCCTCAGCCTCCCGAGTACCTGGGATTACAGGCACCCGCCACCACACCCAGCTAATTTTTGTATATTTAGTAGAGATGGGGTTTCACCATGTTGGCAAAGCTGGTCTTGAACTCCTGACCTCAGGTGACCCACCTGCCTCAGCCTCCCAAAGTGCTGGGATTGCAGGTGAGCCATCACAGCCGGCCCTGTACTAGATTCTTTATTGCAAAATTGTTTATAATAGACTGGAAACAACCTAAGTGTCCAACAGTAGGGGATTGCCTAAGGAGGTGCATTGTTAGGATGATACAGCATGAGGCTGCAAGAAAGATGGAAAAAGCTCTTTAAGCTTTAAGGTATAGAGAAGAATTTCCAGGCCCAGTATGATGGCTCATACCTGTAACCCCAGAACTGGGAGGCTAAGGTGGGAGAATTGCTTGAAGCCAGGAGTTCGAGACCAGCCTGGGCAACAAAGTGAGATCCTGTCTTTGCACAAGATTTAAAAATTAACTGGGCAAGGTGGTGTGTGCCTGTAGTCCTAGCCACTCGGGAGGCAGAGGCAGGAGGATCACTTGAGCCTAGGAGGCGGAGGTTGCAGTGAGCTGAGACCATGCCACTGCACTCCAGCCTGGGAAACAGAGCAAGACACCGTCTCAAAAACAAAACAAAACAAAACCCAGGTAAAAGAGCCCGGATACACCGGATATAGTGGCTCATGCCTGCAATCCCAGGACTTTGGGAGGCTGAGGCAGGAGGATCACTTGAGCTTAGAAATCTGAGATCACCCTGGGCAACATAACAAGACCCCATCCCTAAAAAAAAATAAAATAAAATAAAAATTAGCTGGGCATGGTGGTGCACACCTGCAGTCCCAGCTACTTGGAAGGCTGACGCAGGTGGATCGCTGGAGCCTGGGAGGTCAAGGCTGCAGTGAGCCAAGATCGTGCCACTGCACTCCAGCCTGGGCTACAGAGCAAGACCCTTTCTCAAAAAAAGAGTCATAACAACAACAACAAAAATGCAGGTGGCCAGGCTTGGTGACTCACGCCTGTAATCCCAGCACTTTGGGAGGCCGAAGCAGGTGGATCACTTGAGCTCAGGAGTTCAAAACCAGCCTGGGTAACATGGTGAAACCCCATCCCTATTATTTAAAGATAATAAATAAACAAATACAGGTAGACAAAGACAGAAAGCAGACTAATGGTTGTCATGGGCTGGGGTGAGGGACAATGGGTACTGATTAATAGGTATGGGGGATTAAACAGTTCTGAACCTTGATGGTGCTGATGGTTGCATAACATTGCCTGCCACTGAATTATGGGCTTTAAAATGGTTGGAGGCTGGGCGCCGTGGCTCACGCCAGTAATCCCAGCCCTTTGGGAGGATGAGGCGGTGGATCATCTGAGGTCGGGAGTTTGAGACCAGCCTGGCCAACGTGGTGAAACCGTGTCTCTACTAAATATACAAAAATTAGCCAATAGTGGTGCATGTCTATAATCCCAGCTACTCAGGAGGCTGAGGCAGGAGAATCACTTGAACCTGGGAGGCAGAGGTTGCAGTGAGCCAAGATTGTGCCACTGCACTCCAGCCTGGGCAACAAGAGTGAAACTCTATCTCATAAATAAATAAACAAACAAACAAACAAATAAAATGGTTGGAATCCCACATTTGATGCTGTGTGTTATTATGTATGCGTATTAGTACCACAATAATAAAAAATAAGGCCAGGCATGGTGGCTCACGCCTGCAATCCCAGCACTTTGGGAGGCTGAGGTGGGCAGATCACTTGAGGCCAGGAGTTCGAAAACAGCCTGGCCAACATGGTGAAACCCTGGCTTTACTAAAAATACAAAAATTAGCCGGGTGTGGTGGCGGGCGCCTGTAATCCCAGCTACTGGGGAGGCTGAGGCAGGAGAATCACTTGAACCCGGGAGGCGGAGGTTGCAGTGAGCGAGATTGTATCATTGCACTCCAACCTGGGGGACAGAGTGAGACTCTGTCTCTAAATAAATAAATAAGAAAAAATAAAATAAAAAATAATACACGTGGTCGGCCTGCAATCCACACATGCCCTGGAGTGTGGGTGACATAGGGACAGCATTGTCCTACTCCCTCATCCTCCCCCTTCCGCCCCCTGGACCCGCGGGATCACAGCAGTGCGTTCTGTCTGCCAGGGCCACAGGCTTCCTCTGCTCTCACTCAGCTGAAGAAAAAGTACTGGGTCCCCAGCCAGAGGACAACTGCTGTGCTGGGCTGAAGGGAGAAGTGTGTGGTGGTCTCCAAGTAACCAGCTTCCTGGGGGCTCAGCAGGCGGAATCCTGCCCATCACGCTTATGTACTGGCAGGAGTGTCTGGCTGTGATTGGAGGTGTGTGTGCTCTGTACAGAATCGACTGGTGTTGCTTAGATGTCCAGAGTGGGAGGGGAGAGGGGAAAAAACAAAACCTTAAAATTCTGGAAAGGAAGGAAGAAAGGAAAAAACAGAGGGAGGGAGGGAAAGGAAAGAAAGGAATGGAATAAAAGTCTTCATGCCACAGAACTGTGCCCTGGAGGACTAAAATCAGCCAACCTGCTAACCAGTTACTGGAGCTGTAAGATGCTCACTTAAATCTTGTCTCAACCAAAGTTTCCTTCTGAAGACCTTGCTTTCAGCCGCAGCTATAAGTCCTAAAACCAAATGCCTCCTGGATCTGTCTCCTAGAAACTTCACAGTATCTCAGGCTCACCAGGTGCCACAAAGCCGCTCCTCCTCCTGGGTCCCCATGTGGGGACAGGCCCAAGGTCTACCTGGTCACCAGCCCGGCTTCCTAGCCTGCAACTCTTGCCCTCCACATGGCCTGAGAGGGCTCTTACTATACCCAGACATGGCCCTGCCCCTCCCTTCCTCAGAGCCCTCAGTGGCTCCCAGCACCCTTGGACAAGGCCCCAGCCCCTCAGCTCCTCCATGGCCCTGACATTTTCAGCCTCCTTAACCATGCTCCAACACCGCAATTTCTCCCAAATGTACCAGGCTCTACTCCCGTTTGGGGTTTGGATTGGCTGTCTCCACTCCTGCCATCCCCCACCGACTGTCCCCCTTCCCGCCATCTCCAACTGTCCCCTCTCCCGCCATCCCCCCTGGGCTGTCTCCTCTCCTGCCATCCCTCCCCCGGCTGGCCCTCTCCCACCATCACTTCCCCGGCTGTCCCTCTCCCGCCATCCCTCCCCCGGCTGTCCCTCTCCTGCCATCCCTCCCCCGGCTGTCCGTCTCCCGCCATCCCTCCCCCGGCTGTCCGTCTCCCGCCATCCCTCCCCTGGCTGTCCCCTCTCCCACCATGCCTCCCCTGGCTGTCCCCTCTCCCGCCATCCCTCCCCTGGCTGTCCCCTCTCCCGCCATCCCTCCCCTGGCTGTCCCCTCTCCCGCCATCCCTCCCCTGGCTGTCCCCTCTCCCGCCATCCCTCCCCTGACTGTCCCCTCTCCCGCCATCCCTCCCCTGGCTGTCCCCTCTCCAGCCATCCCCCTGGCTGTGCCCTCCCCCACCATCTCCCCCCCCAATGGCTGTCCCCTCTCCCGCGATCATCCTGGCTGTCCCTCTCCCGCCAGCCCCCCGGCTGTCCCCTTTCCTACCATCACCCTGTCACCTCTCCCACCATCCCCCTCTAAGCTTCCCTCTATGCCAGAAGAAGCCATGCTTTCTTTCAAGTGAGGCTGGGGGTCTCTACTGGCCTCCACAGGGCCTCCATCAGAGCACAGATCATACTGAGTTATGCCCACAGCATGGGGTTTTCCAAGTGAAGGAACCGGGTCTGCTCATCTCGGGGAACCCAGCATCACCAAGCATGAGCCTGGAGCATGGAAGGCCTCAGAAAACAAATGGTGAATGCACAGAAAGGAGAAACACACAACAAACAAACCAAGAGAGGTACACCTGGCAAGAGACACAGCAAGGAGGAGGAGATGCAGACAGGGACAGGGAGAGAGGCCGGCCGCCATGCCACCTGCAGGGAGTAGTGGAGGCTGGAGGAGGCTGGGTGCAGCGTGAGGTTCTGGAAGGGCTGGATTCGGGGCTGGCCCCAGCCCTTGTCATTCCATTCCACCATCAGCATGTGGTCGGTAAATGTCTTCCCAAACACCAGGGGCTCGCCGGGGCCAGGCTTCTTATGAGGCTTCTGTGTCATTTCCAGCTGCAGGTCTGCAGCCTGAGGAAAGACAGGGGTATCCTAGAATCTGGCCACAACCTCCCAGCTGAAAAACTACAACTCCCATGAAGCCCTGGGCCTCAGACCCATAGAGAAGAAGGACCTGTCACCCTGGAGGATTCTGGGACATGCAGTTTCATCCCTTGTCTGCGGCCCAATGGCAGGCTGTTAAGCTACCACCACTCACTGCCATCTCTGGGCTGTGGACCTTTTGGAGATGCCCAAAACCAGCTGCCAGCCCCCTCCTCTCTCAGAGCCAAGCATCGAGTTCCCTCCTTTCACCTTGAAACTGGAGGAGGCATATCTTCTGGGACCACACAGAAGCCAAGGGACAGAGAGAAGCTTTCGTGCCCAGATCTGGGTGGAGAAAGAAGTGAGAGAGGGGGTGAGTGGGGCACAGCAGGGGCCCTGGCAGCTCGCTCGCCACCTCCTGCACTTGGAGGTCCCACTGGCCTGCCTGTTCTGTCCCAGTTTCAGTCCATTCTAGACGGGGCAGGTGGTCCTGAAGGAGGCCAAGTCCCCTCCCTGCCCTGACGAGGGCTCGCTGGAAAGAGCTGAGTCAGCTCCCGCCCCCTCCTCCATGCTGCGGCAAAGTCAAACGCAAGCGCCTCCCACCCCAGAGACCTTTGGTCGCAGCCTGGAGATCAGCTCAGACAAGAAAACAACCAGGGAAGGCACACAGGTAAGTGAAGGCCTCCGGGTACCCAAGTGCTGACAGGCCTTAGAAGACCAAGGACCGACAGGTCCTGCTCCCCCAGAGCTCAGGGGTGCAGACCCCAGGCCCGCCTCCCTCAGACCTAAGTAAGAGTCCAGACTCTAGCTGCCTCCTCCCTCAGACCCGAAGTCTGGGCCCCCAGCCCCTCCTCCCTCAGACCCTGGAGTCCAGGCCTCAGACCCTCCTCCCTTACATCCAGGAGTACAGGCCCCACCCCTCCTCCCTCAGACCCAGGAGTCCAGTTCCCCAGCCCCTCCTCCGCCAGACCCAGGAGTACAGGTGCTTATTCTCTGAAGGTATTCGATCAACTGGGCTCTGATTACCTGAAATACAAACCCATTTTGGCAGTGACTCCAATTCCCTTCAGCCCCTGGGGCTGAGGGGCAGCTACAGGGGCCTGGGGAGCCACTGCAGTCCTCACTGCATGAGGCTCAGGCGGGTCCTCCCAGAGGGGAGTAGGAAGAGCAGGTCTGGCTGTGTCCAGCAGGCTGGGCCCTCTCTGGTGACCTTTGACCTCACAAGGCCTCTTTCCCCAGCCCTGTGGGGAGGCGTTGGGGCGTGAGGTTGAGAGAGACAGAGTGGCCTGGCCTGGCCTGCCCTGTGAGCTGGGTGAGTTGGCACTGATTCTGGAAGATGGACGTGAATGGGCGTGGTCACTTGTCGCTAGGTGAGTTGCTGGGAGATGGGCCTGCAGCGTGGTCTTGCTGGTGTGAGGCTCCAGGGATTCCGGGGTGATCAGAGCGTGGGTCCCCAGATTGCCTTTGGGTGGCGACATCTAGACTGCTCAGCCTTGCAGCCATGCTTCTGCCCAGAGGGATAGGACACCCACAGTATGAGAGACACAAACACAGTGCGACAGCCAGCCTGTGGGCAGGAGAGCTGCCCTCAGAGCCAAGATGAAAAAAAGAGAGTAAGAGATGGAAGAGGAAGGATGAGAAAAAGAAACACAGAAAGGGGCGCACAAACAGAAAAAAAAAAAAACAAAAACAGAAATTGACGCCAAGAAACAAGAGATGCCAAAATAGATCTAATCATAGAAAGAGGCCACACGCAGTGGCTCGCGCCTGTAATCCCAGCACTGTGGGAGGCCGAGGCAGGAGGATAGCTTGAGGCCAGGTGTTCAAGACCAGCCTGGGCAACATAGGGAGACCCTGTCTCTACAGAAAATACAAGTTAGCTGGGTGTGGTGGCGGGCGCCTGTAGTCCCAGCAACTTGGGAAGCTGAGGCAGGAGAATTGCTTAAACCCAGGAGGCGGAGGTTGCAGTGAGCCGAGATGGTGCCACTGCACTCCAGCCTGGGCGACAGAGCAAGACTCTCTGTCTCAATTAAAAAGAAAAAAAACAAAGAAAGAAAGTAGGCAGCTGGCTCAGTAGCTCATGCCTGTAATCACAGCACTTTAGGAGACAGAGGTGGGAGGACTGCATGAGGCCAGGAGTTCAAGATCAGCCTGGGCAATATAGCAAGACCCTGTCTCTACAAACAATTTAAAAATTAGCCAGGTATGGTGGCACACACCTGTAATTCCAGTTACTCAGAAGGCTAAGGTGGGAGGATCACCTTGACCTACTGGTCAAGGCTGTGGTGAGCTACGATCACACTGCTACACTCCAGCATGAGTGATAGAGTGTCTCTCAAAAAAAAAAAAAAAAAAAAAAAAAAAAAAGACCAGCATGGTGGCTCATGCCTGTAATCTGAGGCAGGTGGATCGCTTGAGCCCATCTACTCGGGAGGCTGAGGCACCACAGTCACTTGAACCCATGAGGCGGAGGTTACAGTGAGCCGAGATCGTGCCACGGCACTCCAGCCTGAGCAACAGAGCAAGACTCGGTCAAAAAGAAAAGACGAGACAAAGAAATAAAGTACGTTTGGGGGTTCACAGGGCAGGTCTCTATAATGTGATAGAACCTCCATTATGTCCCATACAGCCCAGGAGTATCACCATCAAAGACCAGGAGTGTCACTGTCAAAGCCCAGCAGTGCCCTCCATACTCCAGGACTGTCCCCATATCACGGCCCCGGAGAGACCCCATCATACCGCAGTCTGCCCTTGTCACAGCCCACACATGACCCCATCACGTCTAGAACTGCCCCCTTTATAGCCCAGGACTCTCCCCCATCACAGACCAGGGCTGTTCTATGATGGCCCAAGATGCTCCACATCACAAGTCCAGATTGTGCCTGTAACTTATCAGAACTGGTCCCCAGCAGAGCCAAGTACTGTCCCAAACAGCTCAGGAATGTCCCCTATCCAAAGCCCAGCACTTTTCCCCATTATAACCAGCATTGTCTCTGCCAAATATCAGGGCTTATTTCCTATTCACCAGGTCTGAAATTAAAAAAAAAAAAAAAATCCCATTGTTGTCTTTTTCAATCCCCAGGACTATCCCTATGTTGCTGTCTAGGCCAGTACCTTCCAGACTGTCCCTACCATGGTCCAGCACTGTCCTCTCCACACCCCGGGACTGTCCCCATCACAGCTGAGGACTCAGCCCAATTATCTCCATTACAGGATATCTCTATCTTCATCAGAGCCTAGGAATGTCCCATCATGAGTTCAGGGCCATTCTATGACACCAGAACTGTGCCATGATGAGACGGTCCACATCAGTCCCAAGTGGACCTGTCAAAGCCCAGTACTGCCCCACCACAGTCCAGGAGTGTCACCACTAAAGCCCAGATTGCCCACATACCCCAGGTATCCCAGGACTATCCCTATCAGTCACTAAGAGCCGAAAAAAGTGAAATTCTGCCCTGACATTCATCAGCTAGGATAAGAGACTCAAATAAAGTCAGGTGTAAAGTTAACAGACAGTTCTCCCAAGGTTACACCGCAGCTGTGAAGGCTTGTAATGACCCCTTTCTTTGGCTGTTTCCTTCCTCACTGAGAAACCTTGTTCTCTGAAATCATAGACTCTGGGAAACGCTGCTGCTGTTTGACATCGCACAGTCAGAAGGGATCGTCTCAGCCAGCCTGCAGCATCTGTCACTTTGACCATGAGACGCTGCCTCGATTTCCAATCCAGGTGCAAAGCTTCAGATAGGAGTTTGGGAAGCACAGCAATCCCCATCTCTTATTTTTTTCAACTTTCATTCCAAGAAAATAGGACCTTGAGTCCAATTCCCAGAGCTGAGACTTGAGGTCCAACTCTGCCTTCACCTGCACCCGGCCCTGGAGGTCTGGGCCCCTTTATTCCAGCTCCCGCACAGGCTGATGCCCCACCGCACCCCAGGGCTCCGCTCCCCAAATCACAACCTCCCCACCCCCACGCCTCCCTCATTACAGGGTCCTCCACCATGTTTCCCTTTTTTTTTTTTTTTTTACCTCCCCGCCAATTACTTGCCCCACCTCATCCGCGTCTACCTGCTCCCCCTCACCCCATTAAAGCCTCGTGCTCCTTTCCAAAGGGCGCCATCCTCCTCCGCGCCCTGCAGCGGAACCCCAGGGCGGGAGGAGCGGCGCCGAGTCGGACCGGCTGCAGGCCAGTGGTCTTCCCGGAAGTGCGCCTCCCCCGGTTATTTCCCAGACCCCGGCGCGGGGCTGCGAACCCACCTGCCCCAGAGCGGCTGCGGCCATGATCCGTGCGGCGCGTAACTGTGCCCGCCCGGGGCGCGGCTCCGAAGAGAGACGTTCCGGCCACGCCCCGCTCACGCCTCCTTCTGGGGGAAGGCGGCCGACCAGCGCCCCAGGCCGTCCCAGCTCCAGGGCGTCGGCAGGGAGCCGGACACTGCTGCGGGGCGCAGGCGCTGGTGGGAGGGCAGGACTTGAAATACGGTCCCTGCCAGGCGAAGTGGCTCAGGTCTGTAATCTTAGCACTTTGGGAGGCCGAAGCGGGCGGATTACCTGAGGTCAGGAGTTAGAGACCAGCCTGGTCCAACATGATGAAACCCCGTCTCTACTAAAAATACAAAAAATTAGCCGGGCGTGGTGGCGGGCGCCTGTAATCTTAGCTACTCGGAAAGCTGAGGCAGGAGAATTGCTTGAATCGGGGAGGCAGAGGTTGCAGTGAGCCGAGATGATGCCACTGCACTCCAGCCTGGGCGACAGAGTGAGACTCCGTCTCAAAAAAAAAAAAAAAAAAAAGTCCTGGCTTGGTGGCTCACACCTGTAATCCCAGCACTTTGGGGGCCAAGGCGGGTGGATCACCTGAGGCCAGGAGTTCAAGACCAGCCTGGCCGACATGGGGAAACCCCGTCTCTACTAAAAATACAAAAATTAAGGCCAGGCACGGTGGCTTACGCCTGTAATCCCAGCACTTTGGGAGGCCGAGGTGGGCGGATCACAAGGTCAGGAGTTCAAGACCCGCCTGACCAACATGGTGAAACCCCGTCTCTACTAAAGATACAAAAATTAGCCGGGTGTGGTGGTGTGCGCCTGTAATCCCAGCTACTAGGGAGGCTGAGGCAGGAGAATCATTTGAACCCTGGAGGCGGACGTTGCGGTGAGCCGAGATCGCGCCACTGCATTTCCAGCCTGGGTGACAGGGTGAGACTCCGTCTCAAAATAAATAAATAAATAAAAATAAATACATAAAAATACAAAAATTAGTCGAGCGTGGTGCCGGGGGCCTGTAATCCCAGCTATTCGGGAGGCTGAGGCAGGAGAATCGCTTGAACCCGGGAGGCGGAGGTTGCAGTGAGCCGACATTGCACCACAGCACTCCAGCCTGGGCGACAGAGTGAGACTCCGTCTCAAATTAAAAAAAAAAAAAAAAAATCGTATCCCTCGGCCATCGTGTCTCGGCAATCCTACCCTGGGACACTCTGTCTCCAAATTCTACCCCCACAGTGCCCCCAAGTCCTGTCCCCGGGTCACTATCCTGCCACCCCTAACAGCCACAGGCCCAAACAGCCAAACCGCGGGACCCTTCCCTCACAGGGCGTCGCCCTGTTTTTCTGCGCTCCGCCCCAGTCCTCCTGCCCCACCCGCCAGCCCCGGGCTGTAGGGTCGGGGCCCACTGACAGCTCCCGCCCCCGCCGCGGCCAATCAGCGGTTGGTGCACACGCCCCCCCGGCCACAGCCAATCCGCAGCAGCCCTGCAGCTCCACCCCTCACCTGGGGGACGCCAGCGCACCCGGGCCCTGCCCCCCCCCTGGGTCCAGCTGGGGAGTCTGCGTCCCCCAGTGCCCTGCGGACCAAAACCCAGGAGTTTCAGCCCCTCCTCCCTCTGATCCAGATGTCTCAACCCCCTACTTTCTCTTCCCTTTGGACTTTTCTTGCCAGCCACCTTCCTATTCTACAGGCAGTGAGAGGAAAACTCCTTTTCCCTGAGGGCCAAGAGTAAGAGGGCCTTCTGCGTCTCCCCCTCCATTACCTCCTAATTAGCGCTTAATTTACTCTCCCCTGCGGGCCTTTAGTTAGCGCGCTGGTGAAGCCAAACCGCTCTACCCTTCCCAGGAGCCCCTGGCGACAGCGACAGGGCTAGCAACATCAGGCACCTGCTTGCTGCAAGGCCTGGGGTTGGGGGGCGGGGGGAGCTGCAGTCCTTCAGGGTCGAGGCAACTTGTGGGTCTGGGGTGCAAGGGCTAAGTGGGGCAGAAGGACTCGTCTAAAGGATGGGAAATAAATATAACGATATCCTCCTCCTTCTGGCTGCAAATCGTTTTTATGGGAACCTGCAGGGTGACCCGGCACCTTGCTAACTGGGCTTAGAGTCTAAGGGCTTGGGGGCTGCATCTGATACAGGTTGGAGTTTGGGGTGGGAGAGTCCTAGGAAGGGGGCCCCAAGTAGAAATGAGAGAAATCAGGAAGGGATATCGGGGGCGTCCACGGGGGTGCTCCGACTGGCCTTGCACCCGTACCCCAGCTCTGCACCCCCCGTCACGAGCAGTTCAATGCCCGTGCAGAAGTTGGCTTCGGAGGCCAGGAACACTGCCGCAGCCCCGACCTCAGCGGGCTGGCCCATGCGGCCCAGTGGCTGGGGAGAAAAGAGGGGGGAAGGAGGTCAAGAGGAGCCCCACTTGATCGCCATGCCCCCCACCCCCATGCCACCTTCTACCACCTGGATCTGAACCCCACTTCTACCTGGGCCAGCATGCCCTCTCGGATTGTGGCCCTAGGGTCTGGCATTAAGGCTGCCAGCTCCTCCCACAGCGGGGTCCAGATGTTTCCTGGGGAGATACTAGAGGAAGGGAGAGGGGGGATCAAAGCAATCTGTCTCGAACCACTTGGGATCACTCCCAGTCACCCCAGTCCCCCCAGGAGGCTCTCCGCCTGCTCAGAGCAGCTCACCAGTTGACTCGGACACCATATGGACTTTCATCCAGGGCCAAAGCTTTGGTCATGGCTGTTACTGCCCCCTGCAGGAAATGGAGCGGGGAAGAAAGTTCAGTCCCCGGGACATGGGGTCCCTGCCATCCATTGTCTCCTGCCAGCCAGGGGGGCATCAGAATGGGGAAGTCATGCCCTCCTTGAAGGCTGCCTTCAGAGGCACCAGGCTTGGTTTCTTGGGAGAAACTTGGCATAGAAATCTGTCACAGGAAGGCCAGGTGCAGTGGCTCACACCTGTAATCCCAGCACTTTGGGAGGCCGGGATGGGTGGATCACTTGGGCCAGGAGTTCGAGACCAGCCTGGCCAACATGGCAAAACCCCATCTCTGCTAAAAATACAAAAATTAACCGGACATGGTGGTGCACGCCTGTAATCCCAGCTACTGGGGAGGCTGAGGCGTGAGAATCGCTTGAACCCA
Organism: Homo sapiens; assembly: GCF_000001405.40. NCBI lineage: Eukaryota > Metazoa > Chordata > Mammalia > Primates > Hominidae > Homo > Homo sapiens. Next base: position 48,814,121 of record NC_000019.10, read on the forward strand.
TGAGGCAGGGGTTGCAGTGAGCTGAGATCATGCCACCACACTGCAACCTGGGTGACAGAGTGAGACCCTATCTAAAAAAAAAAAGAAGAAAAGAAAAGAAAAGAAAAAAAGAAAGTTAGCCGGGCACAGTGGCTCATGCCTGTAATCCCAGCACTTTGGGAGGCCGAGGTGGGTGGATCACCTGAGGTCGGGAGTTCGAGACCAGCCTGACCAACATGGTGAAATCTCGTCTCTACTAAAAAATACAAAAATCTAGCTGGGCGTGGTGACAGCCACCTGTAATCTCAGCTACTTGGGAGGCTGAGGCAGGAGAATCACTTGAACCCGGGAGGCGGAGGTTGCAGTGAGCCAAGATCACACCATTGCACTCCAACCTGGGCAATAAGAGCGAAACTCCATCTCAAAAAAAAAGAAAGAAAGAAAAGAAAAAACAGAAATCTGCTGGGTGCGGTGGCTCATGCCTGTAATCCCAGCACTTTGGGAGGCCAAGGCAGGCAGATCATGAAGTCAGAAGATCGAGACCATCCTGGCTAACATGGTGAAACCCCGTCTCTACTAAAAAATACAAAAAAAATTAGCTGGGTGCGGTGGCATGCGCCTGTAGTCCCAGCTACTCGGGAGGCTGAGTCAGGAGAATCCCTTGAACCCAGGAGGCAGAGGTTGCAGCTGAGATTGCACCACTGAACTCCAGCCTGGTGACAGAGCGAGACTCCATCTTTAAAAAAAAAAAAAGAAAAGAAAAGAAAAAACAGAAATCTGTCACAGGCAGTTATGCCTGGGTGCTGCATCTGGGAGTTAGGTGTGAGACTTTCTAGGGCCAAGATCTTGCTAGGTCTGGCTCCTAAGTTGTCTGGACTCAAAGCCAAGGCCCATGGGAAGGAGTAGGGAGGGAAGGAAGGGGTAGGGGCTGCCATACCTTGGTGGCCACATAGGGAACTGCCTGGGCCTGGCCGATTGCCCCCACCAGGCTGGAGATGTTGATGACATTCCCTTGACTCTTCCGCAGGTAGGGGAGGGCGAGCTAGGGAGACAAGAGGCCAAGTAAGCTACACAAGCCCTGCATCTTCGCAGACCACTGAAACACAGCCACAGCCATCCTGATGTCTGGGATGACGGCCACCTCCCTGGCATGTTTCTAGTTGATCTCAGTGACTGCTAGAGACGGCATCTAACATAACACCCTCTCTGGTTTGCCCTGGGGTCGCTGGGTCTCAGCACTCAAGGAGTCTCTCCTTGGTGGGAAGGGATTTCTCTCTCTTCTCCTCGGTCTCTGACTCTGTCTTTGTCTCTACCTCTGTCCCTTCTCCCTTGGTCTTTGTATGTTACTCAAATTCCTGTCCATATCAAGACAGGAAAATGGATGAGAGATCCAGAAGGCTGCATATTTTTCAAAAATGGGATGAAGTTATTTTCCGGTGAAGTCTCTGTGGCCCAGGCTGGACTGCAGTGGCACGATCATAGCTCACTGCAGCCTCGAACTCCTGGGCTCAAGCAATCCTCCCCGCTCGGCCTCCCAAAGTGTTGGGATTACAGGCACGAGGCATCACACCCAGCCAGGAAGTTCTTTTATCCATGGAGGGGGAGATGGTTTCTATGAGGCCTTCATGAAAGGCACTCTAGACCAGGCACAGTGTCTCACACCTGTAATCCCAGCACTTTGGGAGGCTGAGGTGGGTGGATCATCTGAGGTCAGAATTTTGAGACCAGCCTGGCCAACATGATGAAACCCCATCTCTACTAAAAATACAAAATTAGCCAGGCATGGTGGTGCATTCCTGTAATCTCAGCTACTTGGGAGGCTGAGGCAGGAGAACTACTTGAACCCGGGAGGTGGAGGTTGCAGTGAGCCAAGATTGCGCTACTGCACTCGAGCCTGGGCAACAGAGCAAGACTCCGTTTCAGAAAAAAAAAAAAAAAAAAAAAGAAATGCACTGTTTCCTGCCACCGTTTCTCCTGCAATTCAACTCCCTGGCCACCTGGGAAGTCCCTAAATACTCTCTCTGTGTGTGTGCGTGTGTGTTCGTTGACTACACATGACCTTGGATAAACTCAAATTCTATCTTTGATCTCGCTTGCCTTAGAAAGCTGAGCTGGCCAGGCAAGGCCTGTCCCTGCCACTTAAGACTAATTGGTACAAGGCAGCACCCCTAGCAGGCTCTCCGAGTGGGAATCTAAATGAGCTCCCTGCCCGGTTCCCCCCACCAACTCTTTCAAGCCATTTCTGCTCCCCTCCCAAACGACCTCCACCCTTTTCCGTGCTGTATCTTCGACACACCCTGCGTGTTCAAACCTCAGGGCCTTTGAACTTGCTGTTCCCTCTGCCTGGAGTGCCTTTTCCTAAGAGAGCCACATGACCCACTCTTAGGGTGGCCAGCCATCCCAGTTTGCCCAGGACTGAAGGGTTTTTGGGGACATGGTATTTTCAGTCCACAGTGTCAATGCTAAACGGGGACTTTCCTGGGTAAACACTCCCTCAGCTCCCTCAAACCCTGATCCGAGGTCACCTCCTCAGTGAGGTCTTCCCTGGCTATACTGTTTAAAGCTGCAAGCCAGGATCACTAGCTCACACCTGTAATCCTTGCACTTTGGGAAGCCGAGGAGGGAGGATTGCTTGAACCCAGGTGTTTGAGGCCAGCATGGGCAGCTTAGCAAGACCCTTTTTCTTTCTTTCTTTCTTTCTTTCTTTCTTTCTTTCTTTCTTTCTTTTCTTTCTCTCTCTCTCTCTCTTTCTTTCAGATAGGGTATCACTCTGTTGTCTAGGCTGGAATGCAGTGGTGCAATCTCAGCTCATTGCAACCTCCACTTCCCAGGTTCAAGCAATTCTCCTGCCTCGGCTTCCCGAGTAGCTGGGACTACAGGCATGTGCCCCCACACCAGGATAATTTTTTTTTTTTTTTTTTTTTTTTAGTGGAGACAGGGTTTCACTATATTAGCCAGGCTGGTCTCGAACTCCTGATCTCACATGATCTGCCTGGCTCGGCCTCCCAAAGTGCTGGGATTCCAGGCTTGAGCCACTGTGCCTGGCCTGTCTTTATTTTTTTTAACAACAAAAAAATATTTTTTGTTTTATTTTTTGAGACAGAGTCTCACTCTGTTGCCCAGGCTGGAGTGCAGTGATGTCATCTTGGCTCACTGCAACCTCCTCCCCCCAGGTTCAAGCCCTTCTCCTGCCTCAGTCTCCTGAGTAGCTGGGACTACAGGCATGTGTCACCATGCCTGGCTAATTTTTGTATTTTTTAGTAGAGATGGGGTTTCACCATGTTAGCCAGGCTGGTCTTGAACTCCTGAGGTCAAGTAATCTGCCTGCTTCGGCCTCCCAAAGTGCTGGGATTACAGGCGTCAGCCACCACGCCTGGCCCCAAAAAATAAAATAATAAAATAAAACTGCAGTTCCCACACCCCTGGGTCCCCTTCCCTCTTTCAGATGTCTTTTCTCTGTGTCACACACTCCCTTCTGACAGGCCATATATATTTTACTTGTTTGTTCATGTTCTGTCTCTCCCACCAGCATGCAGAAACCTATGAGGGATGGTCAAGATTTCTTATTTTGTTTCTTCCCCAGCACTAAAGGTGCCTGGCACATAGCACATGCTTCATAAATATCCTTTGAATGAATGAATGGGTGAATTAATGAATGAATGGAGGACCTGGTATGTGTCCAGCCCTGTCCTCAGCAATTTACATGGATTAGCTCATTTCATCCCTCTAACATTCTCCTGTACCTACAAGAAGGAGGTACAGCTGAGAGTCCCATTTCACAAGCGAGGAGACTAAGGAATGGAGGGATGATTGACGCCCGCAGGGCATCACGTGACACCTGACAGCACCAGCATTTGCTGCTGGACAGGCTGAGACCCAAACCCATAAACAAACAACAATTTCTCACAATTCTAAGTATTAAGAACTTTAGGCCAGGCACAGTGGCTCACACCTGTAATCCTAGAACTTTGGGAGGCTGAGGCGGGCAGTCACCTGAGGTCAGGAGTTCAAGACCAGACTGGTCAACATGGCAAAACCCCATCTCTACTAAAAATACAAAAATTAGCCGGGTGTGGTGGTGCGTGCCTGTAATCCCAGCTACTCGGGAGGCTGAGGCAGGAGAATCTCTTGATCCCGGGAGGCAGAGGTTGCAGTAAGCCACAATCGCACCACTGCACTCCAGCCTGGGCAGCAGATAAAGACTGTCTCAAAAAAAAAGAAAAAAGAAAAAAGAAAAAGAGAAACCATGCTCTAATATGAACGTGAATGATGTGGGCATTGACCAGCCTCTGCCCTCCTCCTCAGGGAACCTCTCATCCTCGCCTCCTCTCACTCCCACCAGCCGTGACACCCTCCCTCCCTCCCAGTGCCCACCCCACCTGCCTTGCTCCATTTCTCTCTCAGTCTGTGCACCTGCCCTGCTGTTTAATCTCCTCCCCCACCTGACCCTGCAAACATGAGTCTCACCAGGGCTGAGACACGGATCTTGCCACCCTCACCCCAGCACGAGGCACACAGCTGGAGCTCAGTAAATATTTGTCCCACACTCCCTGAGTGTCCTTCTCCCCACACCCCTCAAGGTTGCTAAGCACCTGCTCTATATCAAGGACCCGCTGGGGGCCAGGTGCAGTGGCAGGTACCTGTAATGTCAGTGCTTTGGGAGACTGAGGTGGGAGGATCGCTTCAGTCCAGAAGTTCAAGGCCAGCCTGGGCAACATACTGAGACCCCAGTTCTTAAGTGCCAAGGTTCTGAGACAGGAGCAGGCCTGTTGTGTTTGGGAGCAATGAGGCCAGTGTGGCCGGAGGTGAGGTCAGAGAAGAACAGGGGCCAGATCACGAGGCCTTGAAGGCCCCCACTTCTCCCTTGGACAAATGCAATCAACTCCTTTTTTTGTTTGTTTGTTTCAGAGACAGAGTATTGCTCTGTCACCCAGGCTTGAGTGCAGTGGCACGATCTCGGCTCACTGCAACCTCCACCTCCCAGGTTCAAGCAATTCTTCTGCCTCAGCCTCCCGAGTAGCTGGGATTACGGGCGCCTACCACCACGCCTGGCTAATTTTTGTATTTTTAGTAGCAACGGGGTTTCTCCATGTTGGCCAGACTGGTTTCGAACTCCTGACCTCAGGCAACCTGCCCACCTCGGCCTCCCAAAGTGCTGGGATTACAGGCGTGAGCCACCATGCCCAGCTCAAATGCAATCAACTCCTAATACTGGTTCTCCCACTCTCACGCTTAACCCTCAGATTTGTCCCTCATACCTACAGGAGCCAGAGCCTATGATCTGTTAATAATACTAACAGGATCACATCACTCCCTTGCTCAAATACCTGCCACAGCTCCCTATTGCTCTTGACATAAAGACCAGATGATTCAGCATGCCCTTCAAGGCCCTGCCTGATCTGGTTCCCACCCCAATCTCTTCTTGCAACATCCCGTTCTCTCACTGGGCCCAGCTGGCAGCAGCACCAAACCCTGTCTCGCTGCCAGGCCCTCGCCCTGCCATCTCTTTCTCCACCTCCTCCACTGGTCAATGCTGCTCAGATTTCATTACTTCCAGGAAGTTTGGCTACATTCCCTGAACGGGCCAGCCTCCAGGTCACACTCTCCCAGAACCACACCCATCCCCCTCATAAAGCAAAACACACTCTTCTGAACTCATGTCTCTGTTTAGGAAGACCTGGCTGCCCAGGACTGTAAACTCCCCAAGGACAGAGCCTACATGTACCTGGCTCCCTGCCCTATCTCCAGCACCTATAACACTGCCAGGGCCAGGTGTGGTGGCTCACGCCTGTAATCCCAGCATCTGGGGAGGCTGAAGTGGGAGGATCACTTGAGCCCAAGGAGTTTGAGACCAGTCTGGACAACATGGTGAGACTCCCTCGCAGCCATCTCAACAAAAATACAAAAATTAGCCAGGCATAGTGGTGTGCGTTTATGGTCCCAGGTTTTCGGGAGGCTGAGGTGGGAGGATTACTTGAGCCTGGTAGGTCAGGGCTTCAATGAACTATGATCACACCATGGCACTCCAGCATGGGCAACACAGCAAGACCCGATCTCTAACAAAAAACAAACCGAAAAAGAACGTTGCCTGAGGCTGGGTGCAGTGGCTCCCGCCTGTAATCCCAGCATTTTGGGAGGCCAAGGCAGGTGGATCACCTAAGGTCAAGAGTTCGAGACCAGCCTGACCAATATGGTGAAACCCTGTCTCTGCTAAAAATACATTAGCCAGGCGTGGTGGCACATACCTGTAATCCCAGCTACTTGGGAGGCTGAGACATGAGAACTGCTTGAACCTGGGAGGTGGAGATTGCAGTGAGCCGAGATTGCACCACTGCACTCCAGCCTGGGTGAAAGAGTGAGACACCATCTCCAAAATAAAAGAATGTTGCCTGGCTTGGTCAGTACTTGACTAAATAGAGGACTGAATGGATAGATTTTTTTTTTTTTTGAGATGGAGTCTCGCTCTGTCTTGCCCAGGCTGGAGTGCAGTGGCGCAATCTTGGCTCACTGCTACCTCCGCCTCCCAGGTTCAAGCAATTCTCCTGCCTCAGCCTCCCGAGTAGCTGGGATTACCACCATGCCCGGCTAATTTTTATAATTTTTTAGTATAGACAGGGTTTCGGCCGGGCGCAGTGGCTCACATCTGTAATCCCAGCTCTCAGGGAGGCAGAGGCGGGAGGATAGCTTGAGCCCAGGAGTTCGAGACCTGCCTGGGCAATATGGCGAGACCCCATTCTCCACAAAAAGTAAGAAAAAAAAAGACAAAAATAAAAAAAAATAAATAAGTAGAGACAGGTTTTCACCATATTGGCCAGGCTGGTCTCAAACCCCTGACCTTGTGATCTGCCTGCTTGGGCCTCCCAAAATGCTAGGATTACAGGCGTGAGCCACCCCACCCAGCCAGGATGGATAGATTTTTTTTTTTTTTTTTTTGACAGAGTCTCACTCTGTCACCCAGGCTGGAGTGCAGTGGCGCGATCTCAGCTTACTGCAACCTCTGCCTCCCAGGTTCACTCTATTCTCCCATCTCAGCCTCCTGAGTAGGTGGGACTACAGGCGCCCGCTACCACGCCCAGCTAATTTTTTGTATTTTTTAGTAGAGACGGGGTTTCACCATGTTAGCCAGGATGGTCTCGATCTCCCGACCTCGTGATCCACCCGCCTTGGCCTCCCAAAGTGCTGGGATTACAGGCATGAGCCACCGCGCCTGGCCTCAGAATGGATAGATCTTTAAGGAACAATCCAGCTCTGAGAGACTACAACTGAAACCCCTGTGTTCAACACCTTCTGTGGATCCCTACTGCCCACAAAATATAATTTCCTTGACTATCTAAATATCCTTAATCCCGCCCTTGTTTTCCCTAGCCTAGGGAGTCACAAACTTTGGCTTGTATCAGAATCCACCAGGAAGGCCAAAGACCTGGAGATTCTAATTCAAGGGATCTGGGCAGGGGCCCCAGAATCAACATTTAAAGAGCTTCCAAAGTCACGTGGCTGAGAGAGAAGAGAAAAAAAGAGAGCTTCTATGGGATTTTGATGGTGATGGTGATGATGGTGATGATAGTGATAATGATGATGATGGTGATGATGATAATGGTGGTCATGATGGTGATGGTGAGTATGGTGGTGATGAGGATGGTGATGGTGAGGATGGTGATGAGGATGATGATAAGGATGACGGTGAAGATGCTGATGATCGTAGTGATGATGATGGTGACGGTGATGGTGAAGATGGTGATGATGGTGAGGATGATGATGATAATGATAGTGATGATCATGATGGTGATTTTGGTAATGATGATGGTGATGATGATAATGGTGATGTTGGTGAGGATGGTGACGTGGTAATGATGGTTACGATTGTGGTAATGATGGTGATGATTGTGGTAATGGTGATGATGATGGTGATACTGGTGAGGATGGTGATGGTGGTGATGGTGATGATTGTGGTGATGATGGTGATGATTGTGGTAACAATGGTGATGGTGATGATGGTGGTGATGATGGTGGCAATGATGGTGATGCTGATGTTGATGGTGATGGTGATGATTGTGGTAATGACAGTGTTGATGGTGATGATGGTGGTAATGATGGTGATGATGATGATGGTGAGGTTGGGGATGGTAATGATGGTGGTGATGTTGGTGATGGTAAATTTTAGTAATGACGGTGGTGATGATGATGAGGATGGTGATGGTGGTGATGGTGATGATTGTGGCAATGATGGTGATGGTGATGATGGTGGTGATGATGGTGGCAATGATGGTGATGCTGATGTTGTTGATGGTGATGGTGATGATTGTGGTAATGATGGTGGTGATGATGGTGATGGTAATTGTAGTGATGGTGGTGATGATGGTGAGGATGGTGATGACGGTGGTAATGGTGATGGTGATGATTGTGGTAATGACGATGGTGATGGTGATGACTGTGGTAATGATGGTGGTGATGTTGGTGATGGTAAATTTTAGTAATGACAGTGGTGATGATGATGAGGATGGTGATGGTGATGATTGTGGTAATGATGATGGTGGTGATGGTGATGATGATTGTGGTAATGATGGTGATGATGATGGTGGTGATGATGGTGGCAATGATGGTGATGCTGTCATTGATGGTGATGCTGTCATTGATGGTGATGGTGATGATTGTGGTAATGACAGTGTTGATGGTGATGATGGTGGTAATGATGGTGACGATGATGATGGTGAGGTTGGGGATGGTAATGATGGTGGTGAAGATGGTGTTGATGGTGATGGTGGTGATGGTGAAAATGGTGATGGTGAGGATGACGGTGAGAATGATGGTGAGGGTGGTAACAATGGTAATGATGGTGATGGAAATAACGATGGTGATAATGGCAGCGACACAAGTGTTCACAAGATTCCTTTGCAACAAGTGCATGAACAAGCAGACAAAAGTCTTTGCCCTCAGGGAAAACAAAGGCAATATGCAAATGTTGTCGGGATCCTGGTGTGAACAAATCAGCTGTAATAAAACATTTGGGAACTTCTGGGTGTATTTAAATAGAGTTAAATATGAGATGGTATCAAGACATTTCTGTTAATTGTATTAGGTGATATAATGGTATTTTTGTTATGTAAAAAAGGCCTGAGCCTGGACAAAATGGTGAGACTCTGTCTCTACAAAAAAATAAAAGATTGGCTGGGCGTGGTGGTGCATGTCTGTTGTCCCAGCAACCTGAGAGGCTGAGGTAGGAGGATCACTTGAGCCTAGGAAGTCGGGACTGCAGTGAGCCATGATCATTTCACTGCACTCCAGCCTGGGTGACAGAGCAAGACACTATCTCAAAATAATAATAATAATAATGCTTTATTTTTAGGAGATGCTTACTAACGTGTTTGGAAATGAACTGTCATTGTGTCGTAATATACTTTATAATACTTTGACAAAAAGAAATATATACATTTATGTATATACAGACACATATATATGGTGTACAAAATGTGAATTAATGCTAATACAAATGATGGGCATATAGGTATTTATTATACTACTATATTTTTCTTTTCTTTTTTCTTTCTTTTTTTTTTTGAGACTGAGTCTTGCTCTGTTGCCCAGGCTGGAGTACAGTGGTGCAATTTCAGCCCACTGCAACCTCCACCTCCCTGGGTCCAAGTGATTCTCCTGCCTCAGCCTCCCGAGTAGCTGGGATTACAGGTATGCGCCACCCTGCCCCGCTAATTTTTTTTGTATTTTCAGTAGAGACGTGGTTTCACCATGTTAGCCAGGCTGGTCTTGAACTCCTGACCTCAGGCAATCCGCCCGCCTAGGCCTCCCAAAGTGCTGGGATTACAGGCATGAGCCACTGCATCCGGTCTATTTTTCTTTTTTAAAAATGTTTAACATTGAGGCCAGGCATGGTGGGTCACACCTGTAATCCCAGCACTTTGGGAGGCCGAGGCGGGCAGATCACTTGAGGTCAAGAGTTCAAGACCAGCCTGGCCAACATGGTGAAACCCTGTCTCTCCTAAAAATACAAAAATTAGCCGGGCATGGTGGTACATGTCTGTAGTCCAGCTACTTGGTAGGCTGAGGCAGGAGAATGGCTTGAACCCAGGAAGGCAGAGGTTGCAGTGAGCCAAGATCATGCCATTGCACTCCAGCCTGGGCAACATAGCAAGACCTCCTCTCTACTGAAACTAAAAAAAAAAAAAATTAGTCGGGTGCTGTGGCATGTATCTGTAGTCCCAGCTACTCGGCGGGCTGAGAGGATGAGGTGGGAGGATCCCTTGAGCCCAAGAGTTCAAGGCTGCAGTGAGCTGTGATGGCACCACTGCTCACCAGCTGGGAAGACAAGGAAAGGAGGAAAGAAGGAAAGAAAAAAGGGAGGGAGGGAGGAAGGAAGAAAGAGAGAAAGAAAGAAAGGGCCGGGCGCAGTGGCTCACACCTGTAATCCCAGCACTTTGGGAGGCTGAAGCAGGCGGATCACGAGGTCAGGAGATTGAGATCATCCTGGCCAACATGGTGAAACCCTGCCTCTACTAAAAAAAAAATTAGCCCGGTGTAGTGGTGCGTGCCTGTAATCCCAGCTACTCGGGAGGCTGAGGCAGGAGAATAGCTTGAACCCGGGAGGCAGAGATTGCAGTGAGCTGAGATCGTGTCACTGCATGCCAGCCTGGCGACAGAGCAAGACTCTAAAGAAAGACAAAAAAAAAAAGAAAGAAAGAAAGAAAGAAAAGAAAAGAACAATGGGGAGTTTCAGTACACATGAATTATCTGTACTATTCTAGGAATATTTTGTAAGTCTTAAATTATGTCAAAATAAAAATAAAAAGCATTCTAATACACTGGTGGTATGGTACGCATGAAGTTCCTACTGATAAAATTGTATGATCTGGGCTGGGTGCGGTGGCTCACGCCTCCCAGCACTTTGGGAGGCCGAGGCAGGCGGATCACTTGAGGTCAGGAGTTCCAGACCAGCCTGGCCAACATGATGAAACCTCATCTCTACTAAAAATACAAAAATTAGCCAGGTGTGGTGGCGTGTGCCTGTAGTCCCAGCTATTTGGGAGGGTGAGGCAGGAGAATCACTTGAACCCAGCAGGTGGAGGTTGCCATGAGCTGAGATGGTGCCACTGCACTCCAGCCTGGGCGATAGAGCGAGACTCCGTCGCAAAAAAAAAAAAAAAAAAAATTGTATGATCTGGGTGGTGGTGGGGGGCAGGAGTCAACGGGTAGAGCAAGTTATTCTTGCTTTGTTTTGTTTGAGACAAGTTCTTACTCTGTTGCCCAGGCTGGAATGCAGCGGCACAATCATAGCTCACTACAGCCTCAACCTCCTGGGCTCAAGTGATCCTCCTCAGCCTCTTGAGTAGCTGCGACTACAGATGTGTGCCACCCTATCTGGCTAATTTTGTTTATTTTTGGTTGAGATGGGGTCTGGTGCTATGTTGCCCAGGCTGGTCTTGAGCTCCTGAGCTCAAGTGATTTTCCCACCTCAGCCTCCCGAAGTGCTGAGATTGCAGCATGATAAATATTGATAAGAGTTTCATGGGTATTTAATCTAATCTCATTAAATCCTCAGAACAACTCTGTCACAATTGGCCCCATTTCACAGGTGAGAAAACAGAGGAGCAGAAATGTTGCGTAACTTGCATGACGTTGCAGGTAAGAAGTGGCAGAGAATTTAGGCAAACAAGCCACTTGTTATTTCTGCCTCCCTGCCCCGCAGGTCCTGTTGACCAACTTGACCAACTTTATTTATTTATTTATTTTGAGATGGAGTCTTGCTCTGTCACCCAGGCTGGAGTGCAGTGGCGCGATCTCGGCTCACTGCAAGCTCCGCCTCCTGGGTTCACGCCATTCTCCCACCTCAGCCTCCCGAGTAGCTGGGACTACAGGCACCCGCCACCGCGCACAGCTATTTTTTTGTATTTTTAGTAGAGATGGGGTTTCACCGTGTTAGCCAGGATGGTCTCGATCTCCTGACCTCGGGATCCGCCCGCCTCAGCCTCCCAAAGTGCTGGGATTACAGGCGTGAGCCACCGTGCCCAGCCCAACTTGACCAACTTTCTAAGAGAAACAAGAAATGTGGTGGTTTATGTGAAATCTGCCTTGTGAAATGTTGGCAATGAATGAAAAAAGATAGGCCGGACATGGTGGCTTACGCCTGTAATCCGAGCACTTTGGGTGGCCGAGGCAGGCAGACCGCTATAGCTCAGGAGTTTGAGACCTGCCTGAACAACATAGTGAGACCCCCAACTCTACAAAAAATACAAAAATCAGCTGGGCGTAGTGGTGGGCACCTGTAGTCTCAGGTCCTCGGGAGGCTGAGGCAGGAGAATTTATTGAGCCCAGGTAGTCAAGGTTGTGGTGAGCCGAGATCCTGCCACTGCACTCCAGCCTGGGTGATGGAGCAAGATTGTCTCAAAAAAAAAAAAAAAAAAAGTAAAAGAAAAGAAGAAAATATATATATATATACACACACACACACACACACACACACACACACATATATTAACTCTTCATGGGCTGAGGTGTAGGTGTGTTTTATGTGTGGAGGTGTTTTTAGTGTTGGGTTAATCCTAGAAAGTCAACACAAATTTGGAACAGGAGCCAGGGTTCACTGGTTAAGCAGGGGATTGCCCAACCTCCCGGGAACATTTCACCTGGATCTTGGATGCGACCTCAGAGTCAGCACCTGAAGCTCCCTGGACACTGGGCCCGCCCCCAGGCCTCTCCCCTCTTTGCCTACTCTTGCTCCCCTGAGTTCCTCCAGCCTCAAACTGGTCAGCTGCAAGCTGGTATCTCCAGAGCCCCACCTCCACGATCTCATGCCCAATGCCCATTCCCACCAGGACGTCCACCAGGCAGTTCATGTTCAACAGCGCCCCCGCCAGGCTTTCCTGCCACAGTGAATGGCAGCTCTGTCCGGTCAGTTGCTCAGTTGCTGGAGGTGGGGAGAACAAACCTAAAACCCCACTTTTTTTTTTTTTTTGAGATGGAGTCTCGCTCTGTCGCCCAGGCTGGAGTGCAGTGGTGTGATCTCAGCTCACCTCAACCTCTGCCTCCTGGGTTCATGAGATTGTCCTGCCTCAGCCTCATAAGAAGCTGGGATTACAGGCGCCCACCACCACGCCTGGCTAATTTTTGTATTTTTAGTAGAGACGGAGTTTCACCATGTTGGCCAGGCTGGTCTCGAACTCCTGACCTCATGATCTGCCCGCCTTAGCCTCCCAAAGTGCTGGGATTACAAAGACATGAGCCACCGTGCCTGGCAAGGACAGGGATTTTCTTCTGTTGTGTGTTCATAGCTGTATGCGCAGGGCTCCGCATGTTGCTGGTGCTATATAACTATTTGTTGAGTTAATTAATTAAAAAGTGCTATGCGGAGAATAAAGATGTTATGGAGAGTGGATGTTTGTGTGCAGCTGTTGCATAAGCAAGGGTGAGGGAAAGGCTTTGATGTGTGTTCTTCTCCTTCGTTTTTTTTTAGATAGAGTCTTGCTCTGTTGCCCAGGCTGGAGTGCAGTGGTGCAATCTCAGCTCACTGCAACCTCCATCTCCCAGGTTCCAGCAATTCTCCTGCCTCAGCCTCACGAGGAATTGGGATTACAGGTGCTCACCACCATGCCCAGCTAATTTTTTGTGTATTTTTAGTAGAGACGGGGTCTCACCATATTGGACAGGCTGGTCTTGAACTCCTGATGAGTGATCCACCCGCCTTGGCATCCCAAAGTGCTGGGATTACAGGTGTGAGCCACCGTGACCAACCCTTCTCCTTCCTTTTTTTTTTCTTTTTTTTTTTTTGAGACGGAGTCTCGCTCTATTGCCCAGGCTGGAGTGCAGTGATGCAATCTCGGCTCACTGCAACCTCCGCCTCCCGGGTTCACGCCATTCTCCTGCCTCAGCCTCCCAAGTAGCTGGGACTACAGGAGCCCGCCACCGCGCCCAGCTAATTTTTTGTATTTTTAGTAGAGACGGGGTTTCACCGCGTTAGCCAAGATGGTCTCGATCTCCTGACCTCGTGATCCGCCGGCCTCGGCCTCCCAAAGTGCTGGGATTACAGGCATGAGGTGCCGCGCCCGGCCAAAGGCTCAACTTTTTAAAGAAAAAAGGACGAATCAAGAGAGGCGGTGATTACAAAAGTTGTTCATCAGGAATTGTCATTGGTTTACAGACATCACATTGATTAGTGATTGGCTATACATGTTTGAACTATAGAGTGTGTGACACTCTAGAGCTACTTGGTATCAGGTCGTCTAGAGTCCAGAAACCAAGTAGCCTCAAAAGGTAATTATTGGATGGGTGCAGTAGCTCATGCCTGTAATCCCAGCTTGAGGCAAGGAGTTCGAGACCAGCCTGAGCAGCATAGAAAGACCCTGTCTCTACAAAAAAGTTAAAAATTAGTCAGTCATAGTGGTGCACCCCTGTGGTCCCAGCTGCTCAGGAGGCTGATACAAGAGGATCACTTGAGCCCAGGGGTTCGAGGCTGCTGTGAGCTATGATGGTACTCCAGCCTGGGCAACAGAGTGAGTCCCTGTCTCAAAAAGTAATTAAAATACATTTTTATAAAGTCCCTCTGAGCCAGGTGCGGTGGCTCACACCTGTAATCCCAGGAGTTTGAAAGGCTGAGGCAGGAGAATCACTTGAGCCCAAGAGTTTGAGACCAGCCTGGACAACATAGTGAAACCCCACCTCTATTAAAAAATAAAAAGGCCAGGCACAGTGGCTCATGCCTGTAATCCCAGCACTTTGGGAGGCTGAGGTGGGTGGATCACGGGGTCAGGAGTTCAAGACCAGCCTGGCCAACATGGTGAAACCTCGTCTCTACTAAAAATACAAAAAAATTAGCCAGGCGTGGTGGTGAGTGCCTATAATCCCAGCCACTAGGGAGGCTGAGGCAGAGAATTGCTTAAACCTGGGAGGCAGAGGTTGCAGTGAGCCGAGATTGTGCCACTGTACTCCAGCCTGGGTGACAGAGTAAGACTCTGTCTCAAAAAATAAATTAATTAATTTTTAAAAAAGTTGTTAAAAAGCCCCTCTGGGCCTGATCCTGATCATCTAAAGGGGCTCTCCTTTCTCAGATAAAAAAGTTTGTTTTCTTTCTCATTCCCTCCCCAGCTCTCCCCCAATTCTTGTTTAAGACAAGGACTCGCTCTGTTGCCCAGGCTGGAGTGCAGTGGCACAATCACGGCTCACTGCAGCCTCCAGCTCCCAGGTTGAAGTGATCCTCTCACCTCAGCCTCCCGTGTAGCTGGGATTACAGGAGCACCACCATACTCAGCTAATTTTTTTTTTTTTTCTGAGAAAGAGTTTCACTCTGTCACCCAGGCTGGAGTGTAGTGGCACAATCTCAGCTCACTGCAACCTCCACCTCCCAGGTTCAAGCAATTCTACCGCCTCAGCCTCTTGAGTAGCTGGGATTACAGGCACCTGCCACCACGCACAGCTAATTTTTGTATTTTTAGTAGAGATGGGGTTTCACCATGTTGGACTCCTGACCTCAAGTGATCTGTCCGCCTTGGCCTCCCAAAGTGCCAGGATTACAGGCATGAGCTACCAGGCCTGGCTTTTTTTTTTTTTTTTTTTTTTGTGAGACGGAGTTTCCGCTCTTATTGCCCAGGCTGGAGTGCAATGGCACGATCTCAGCTCACTGCAACCTCTGCCTCCCAGGTTCAAGTGATTCTCCTGCCTCAGCCTCCTGAGTAGCTGGGATTATAGGCATGTGCCACCACACCCGGCTAATTTTGTATTTTTAATAGAGATGGGGTTTCTCCATGTTGGTCAGGCTGGTCTCAAACTCCCGACCTCAGGTGATCCGCCTGCCTCGGCCTCCCAAAGTGCTGGGATTACAGGCGTAAGCCACCATGCCTGGACTCCATGCTCTTTTTAAAAATTAATTAATGAATTATTTTTTTTTTGAGACAAGGTCTCACTCTGTCACCTAGGCTGGAGTGCAGTTGCACGATCTCAGCTCACTGCAACCTCCGCCTCCTGGGCTCAAGCTGTGATACCCTAACCTTGTTTTAACCTGAATTGACTCTCCCTTAGGTGAGCGAGCCAGACAGACTCCATCCTGGCTCCTTCACTTGCAGCCCCTTAACCCAACCCCCCTTTCTTCAAGGACTTAACTTGTGCAAGCTGACTCCCAGCACATCAAAGAATGCAATTACTGATAAGATACTGTGGCAAGTTATATCCGCAGTTCCCAGGCAGTCGCCCGATTAATAGTACCCTAAGCCCCCGCGTTTCTGTCTGGTTGATAGCGCCCAACGTCCAGCGTCTATCACCTTGGGATGTGTTTAAAGCCCCTGCACCTGGAACTGTCTGCTTTCCTGTAACCATTTATCTTTCTAACTTTTTTTGCCTGCTTTACTTCTGTAAGATTGTTTTAACTAGACTCCCCCCTCCCCTTTCTAAACCAAAGTATAAAAGAAAATCTAGCCCCTTCTTCGGGGCCGAGAGAATTTTGAGCGCTAGCCGTCTCTGGGCTGCCGGCTAATAAAGGACTCCTGATCTTGTCTCAGAGTGTGGCGTTTCTCTATAACTCGCTCGGTTACAACAAAGCAATCCTCCCGCCTCAGCCTCCCAAGTACCTGAGGCGCACCACCATGCTCAGGTAATTTCCGTATTTTTTGTAGAGACGAGGGTTTCACTATGTTGCCCAGGCTAGTCTCGAATTCCTGGGCTTAAGGGATCCTCTTGCCTCGGCCTCCCAAAGTGCTGGGATTACAGCTGTGAGCTACTGGACCTGGCCTATTTATTTATTTATTTATTTATTTATTTATTTTTGAGACAGCATCTTGCAATGTTGCCCAGGCTGTATGCAGTGGTGTGTACATAGCTCATGGCAGCCTTGACTTCCTGGGCTCAAACGATCCTCCCACCTCAGCCACCTGAGTAGCTGGGACTACAAGGGCACCACTACGCCTAATTTTTTAAACTTTTTGTAGAGATGGGGGGTTTCGCTGTATTGCCCCAGCTGTCTTGAACTCCTGACCTCAAGTGAACCTCCCACAAGGACCTCCCAAAGCACTGGGATTAAAGGTGTGAGCCACTGTGTCTGGCCCCAATATGTTCTTAACATCCCCTCCTACCACCACCAGTCTGGAAGGTTCTAGAAGGTTCCTAAGACTGGGCTATGTAGCTACAAAGGTAGATTTGCTGGATGTAGAGATTCGCAGTCATTTATCTTCCTTTTGGAATAAGGAGATTAAACTAAATAACAGAAAATAGATGGCCAGGCGTGGTGACTCAAGTCTGTAATCCCAGCACTTTGGAAGGCCAAGGCAGGCAGATCACTTGCAGTCAGAAGCATAGCTACCAAAAATTATGAAATTTAGCTGGTTTTGTGGCCCGCACCTGTAATCCCAGTTACTCAGGAGGCTGAGGCACGAGAATCGCTTGAACCCAGGAGGTGGAGGTTGCAGTGAGCTGAGATCACACCACTGTCCTCCAGCCTGGGCGACAGAGAGAGACCCTGTCTCCAACAAACAAACAAATAAAAAGAACGGAAAACATTTTGCTCTTAGACAAAATGCATCACACAATCCACCTATCAGGAGGCTGCTCGGGCCTGGCGGCAGGGTCGCCAGCCCTCACCTTGGTCAAGGTGTACGTCCCCAGTAGGTTCAGCTCCAGCAGCTGGCGGAATCCCTGGGCAGAGGTCTCCTCAGGCCTCTGTGGGGGTGGGTCTAAAGTGGGGGGTGAGAGAGAGAGGAAAAGTGACGGGGGCTGGACACAGTTGCCCACGCCTGTAATCCCAGCACTTTGGGAGGCTGAGGCAGGCGGATCATGAGGTCAGGAGTTCAAGACCAACCTGGCTGACAGGGCAAAACCCTGTCTCTACGAAAAATACAAAAATTAGCTGGGTGTGGTGGCGGGTGCCTATATTCCCAGCTACTCAGGAGGCTGAGGCAGGAGAATTGCTTGAACCTGGGAGGTGCAGGTTGCAGTGAGCCTAGATCGAGCCACTGCACTCCAGCCTGGGCGACAGAGTGAGACCCCATCTCAGAAAAAAAAAAAAAAAAAAAGCCGGGTGCAGTGGCTCATGCCTGTAATCCCAGCATTTGGGGAGGCCGAGGTGGGCAGATCATCTGAGGTCAGGAGTTCAAGACCAGCCTGGCTAACATGATGAACCCCATCTCTACTAAAAATATAAAAATTAGCCTGGCGTGCTGGTGGGCGCCTGTAATCCCAGCTACTTGGGAGGCTGAGGCAGGAGAATCGCTTGAACCCAAGAGGCAGAGGTTGCAGTGAGCTGAGATCACACCACTGCACTCCAGCCTGGACGACAGAGTGCGACTCCATCTGAAAAAAAAAGAAAAGAAAGAAGAGAAGAGAAGAAAAAAGAAAAGAAAAGAAGAGAGACATGGCCAAGTGAGGGCACAGCCCTGGGGACACACAGGAGGGATGGAACAGGGCCACAGTTTCAGCACAGGCCTGGGGGGCTTCCATTGCTTTACTCTCCTGTCCAAGTGGCTAGAAAGAGGTATGAGGCAGGATGAGGGAATCAGGGGCAGGGAGTGGGGAAACTGACGTGCAGGAAACAGAGTTGGGGGGCAGGAGGTGGAGAATGGCCCTGGGGTCTCACAACTCACGGTGGCCAGCGTTGTTGACAACACAATCCAGGCGGCCAAATCGGCGGATGGTCTCAGAAACCAGGGTCTGAGGAGAAAGGAAATGTCCTTTGTTTTTTTTTTTTGGAGACGGTGTCTCCCTCTTGTCACTCAGGCTGGAGTGCATTGGCACGATCTTGGCTCACTGCAACTTCAGCCTCCTGCGTTCAAGCAACTCTCCTACCTCAGCCTCCCAAGTAGCTGGGATTACAGGCGACTGCCACCACGCCCGGCTAATTTTTGTACTTTTTAGTAGAGACAGGGATTCACTAGGTTAGCCAGGCTGGTCTCAAACTCCTGAGCTCAAGTGATCCACCCGCCTCAGCCTCCCAAAGTGCTGGAATTACAGGTACCACGCCCAGCCCAGGAAATGTCCTTTGAATGAGCAGTAGATGGGGTGTCCAGCCATAAAGAAGACAGGGCTCCCAAATGCAAGGCAGGAGGGGGAAGCTGAACTCCCAGGTCAGGGGACAAGAGCTAGAGGAAGAGGGGACTCCGAGATCAGCAGACACAGCAGGCAAGCAGGAGACAGGAAGGAGACAGGGGGCTGGTCAGAGCCACACTGCAGTCGTCACACCCAGGGTCAGGGGGTGGGGCAGGGGGGTGACAAGGATTCAGAGAGCGCGTAGGGGACAGTTGCCCAAGGGGGGCAGATAACAGAGAGATACTGATTAAAAGGAAGAAATAGGAACCCAGAAATAATGGAGAAAAAATCAGTTACATACAGGCCACGTGCAGTGGCTCACACCTGTAATCCCAACACTTTGGGAGGCTGAGGTGGGCGGATCACCTGAGGTCAGGAGTTCGAGACCAGCCTGGCCAACATGGTGAAACCCTGTCTCTACTAAAACTACAAAAATTAGCCAGACACGGTGGCTCATGCTTGTAATCCCAGCACTTTGGGAGGCTGAGGCGGGCGGATCATCTGAGGTTGGGAGTTCGAGACCAGCCTGACCAACATGGAGAAACACCGTCTCTACTAAAAATACAAAATTAGCCAGGTGTGGTGGCACATGCCTGAAATCTCAGCTACTCGGGAGGCTGAGAGAGGAGAATCACTTGAAGCTGGGAGGCAGAGGTTGCGGTGAGCCGAGATCACACCATTGCACTCCAGCCTGGGCAACAGGAGCGAAACTCTGTCTTAAAAAAAAAAAAAATTAGCCGGGCATGGTGGCGCACACCTGTAATCCCAGCTACTCGGGAGGCTGAGATAGGAGAATGGCTTGAACTCGGTAGGCTGAGGTTGCAGTGAGCCGAGATCACACCACTGCACTCCAGCCTCAGTGACACTTACAAAAAAAAGAGACAGAAAAATCAGTTCCAGTTGACCCACTTTGAGGGACTTATTCATTTCCATCCACATGTTAAATGTGCTAAGAGCCTTGGAGAGGTGTGACAGAAGGAACATGTGACCTGCCCATCAGTCACAGAAGACCTTGTGTGTGGAGTGACACTGGGTGGAAACCTTTGACGAGTCCAGCGGAGCCAGGAGAGGAAGGAAAAGTAGAGGGAAAGGCATATGCAAATGGCTGGAGGAGAACAAAGAACTGGTCATTAGCGGAGATGGGGGTAGGAACAGGAACTCGGCTTACCTTCACATCATCTTCCTGAGTCACATCACAGAGGATAAAGACAGCTCCAGGGAGCTCCTGCTCCAGGGCCCGGCCCCCAGACTCTGCAGGGAGAGAAGAGCTGGGAGCCTGGACCCCTGGGTCTCAGGGAGGAGGGGTTGGGGACTTGGACTCCTGGGTCTGAGGGAGGAGGTGCTGGGGGCCTGGACTCCTGGGTCTGAGGGAGGAGGGGCTGAGGTCTGGACTCCTGGGTCTGAGGAAGTAGGGCCTGGGGGCCTGGACTCCTGGGTCTGAGGGAGGAAGGGCTGGGAGCCTGGACTCCTGGGTCCGAGGAAGTAGGGCCTGGGGGCCTGGACTCCTGGGTCTGAGGGAGGAAGGGCTGGGAGCCTGGACTCCTGGGTCCGAGGAAGTAGGGCCTGGGGGCCTGGACTCCTGGGTCTGAGGGAGGAAGGGCTGGGAGCCTGGACTCCTGGGTCTGAGGGAGGAGGGGCTGGGAGCCTGGACTCCTGGGTCTGAGGGAGGAGGGGCTGGGAGCCTGGACTCCTGGGTCTGAGGGAGGAGGGGCTGGGGGCCTGGACTCCTGGGTCTGAGGGAGGAGGGGCTGAGGTCTGGACTCCTGGGTCCGAGGAAGTAGGGCCTGGGGGCCTGGACTCCTGGGTCTGAGGGAGGAAGGGCTGGGAGCCTGGACTCCTGGGTCTGAGGGAGGAGGGGCTGGGGGCCTGGACTCCTGGGTCTGAGGGAGGAGGGGCTGAGGTCTGGACTCCTGGGTCCGAGGAAGTAGGGCCTGGGGGCCTGGACTCCTGGGTCTGAGGGAGGAGGTGCTGGGAGCCTGGACTCCTGGGTCTGAGGGAGGAGGGGCTGGGGGCCTGGACTCCTGGGTCTGAGGGAGGAGGGGCTGAGGTCTGGACTCCTGGGTCCGAGGAAGTAGGGCCTGGGGGCCTGGACTCCTGGGTCTGAGGGAGGAGGTGCTGGGAGCCTGGACTCCTGGGTCTGAGGGAGGAGGGGCTGGGGGCCTGGACTCCTGGGTCTGAGGGAGGAGGGGATGGGGGCCTGGACTCCTGGGTCTGAGGGAGGAGGGGCTGGGAGCCTGGACTCCTGGGTCTGAGGGAGGAGGGGCTGAGGTCTGGACTCCTGGGTCTGAGAAAGTAGGGCCTGGGGGCCTGGACTCCTGGGTCTGAGGGAGGAGGTGCCAGAGCCTGGACTCCTGGGTCTGAGGGAAGAGGGGCTGGGAGCCTGGACCCCTGGGTCTGAAGGAGGAGGGGTTGGGGACTTGGATTCCTGGGTCTGAGGGAGGAGGTGCCGGAGCCTGGACTTCTGGGTCTGAGGGAGGAGGGGCTGGGGACCTGGACTCCTGGGTCTGAGGGCAGAGGGGCTGGGGGCCTGGACTCCTAGGTCTGAGGGAGGAGGGGCTGAGGTCTGGACTCCTGGGTCTGAGGAAGTAGGGCCTGGGGGCCTGGACTCCGGGGTCTGAGGGAGGAGGTGCTAGGGGTCTGGACCTCTGGGTCTGAGGGAGGAAGGGCCAAGGTGAGGGCTGAGGGACCGTCACTCACCATCCTTGTCGCAGATAACCACTCGGGCCCCGCTGTTCACTGAGAATAGGAAGGGAACAGGTTACTCTCCGAGCCTTGGTTAAAGCCTCTGCCGCCCTCTTGTGGCCACCTGGATTGGGGCTGATCTCCCTCTCCCCTCGTGACCCCAGTCTCATGATCACCCATAGGACAGAGGGCAGACGCCTTGACACATACTCTCCTTGCCTTGTTTCTGCTGAGGCTCCTGAACCCCCGTTCGTGGCTTCCGGAGCAAACTCCACGACTGACAGAGCCATTCCTCAAACCACTGGTTTTGTAGCTACACCAACAGACCCAGAGAAAGGGGCCACTGCCTTCGGAGACCCTGCCAGACTCAGCCCTAGCCTACAGCGCCACACGCTTACTTTAGCCTGCAAATTGGCTTTTATAATATCAGAATCCTGGCTGCAGTACTGGAGTCCCTATTTTCCGCCCCCATCACCCCGCCCCCATCCTTCCTTTCTCACACTCCACAGCTCCCAGCAGTCAGACCCGGCTCACCGAAGGCGCGCACGATCCCAGCTCCGATGCCGCGCCCGCCCCCGGTCACGACCACCACCTTCCCGGCATAGCGCGTTCCCGTAGCCATCCCGTGTACGTCGGTCTCTCTCTCTCTCTACTCTGGGCCTCTTTCACCTCCAAAGCCCCGTGAGGCCGTCGCATCAAATCCTCAATAGAGGCTGGATCCTGGAAGTCCGGCCTCGGGGGGCGTTGCCAGGAAGGCTAGAGACCTGGAAGTTTGTCCCCAGCCCCTCCTCCCTCAGACACTCCTCTCTTCCCACAGACCCAGGAATCCAGGAGCCCCAGTCCCTCCTCCCACAGACCCAGGAATCCAGAAGCCTCAGTCCCTCCTCCCTCAGACTCGGGAGTCCAGGCCCCCAGCCCCTCCTCCCTCAGACTCGGGAGTCCAGCCTCCCAGCCCCTCCTCCCTCAGACCCGGGAGTCCAGCCTCCCAGCCCCTCCTCCCTCAGACCCAGGAGTCAGGGTCCCAGCCCCTCCTCCCTCAGACCCGGGAGTCCAGCCTCCCAGTCCCTCCTCCCTCAGACCCAGGAGTCAGGGTCCCACCCCTTCCTCCCTCAGACCCGGGAATCCTGGCCCAGCCCCCTCCACTCTCAGACCGAGGGATCAGGTTCTCTATCCCTTCTTCCCAGAGACCTATAAGTCCAAGCCCCCTGTCCCTTCCTCTCTCAGGACCCAGGAGTCCACGACTCCAGCTCTGCCCCTCAGAGACACCAGTGCCACAACCCCAGACAGACAGAAAGAAAGCTATTGACTAAAAGTTCAAAGTTTTAATCCAAATTTAGACAGTGTTGAGAAAACCAAACTTTGGCCATAGAAACCATTCCCCTCCCGGGCCCGCAATGGGGACCAGACCACGCCCCCTGATGCCCTGAGTGGTCCCAGATCTCCGGCGGTACCTCCAGACCACGTCCTCGCGCTCCGATTGGCTGCCGCTTTTGGGCGGATTAGAAGCTGGATTGTAGCAGAGTGACTCGCAGAGGCCATGCCCCCTCGTCTTGTGGCAGGACCGGAGGGGCGATCCCGGCATCCCACGCGGGCCCCCAGGGGGTGGGACCTCCTCCACGCCCACTCCCTCGGCGAGAGAACCCCGTGGAACCCGAATTAGCCACCGGGGGAGATCTGGGGGGAGGGGTCTCCTGGCGCGTGGGGTCCGAAGGAGGCAGCGGCACACCGGGAAGAGGGTCTCCCTGGGAGTCCAAATTTCCACCTGGAGAGGATGAGTGGGACATGAGAATGGCAAACCTCAGCGCTAGGACCCCGGATTCCCAGCCCCTCCTCCCTCAGACCCAGGACTCCGGATTCCCAGCCCCTCCTCCATCAGACCCAGGAGTCCAGGCCCCCAGCCCCTCCTCCCTCAGACCCAGGAGTCCAGGCCCCCAGCCCCTCCTCCCTCAGATCCAGGAGTCTGGATACGCCAGTCCAGTCCTCTTTGAGACTCAGTTGTCGGCCCTCTCCCCGCCCCCTGACCTCTTCCTCCCCTCCTCCCAAGTGTCCCGGACCCCAGTCACCTCTTGCCTGAGACCTAAAACTCCCAAACCCTGCCCAACTCTTTACTCACCAAGATAAAAAATTCTCACCGGCCCCCAGACCCCTCCTCTCCAGGACCTGGGATTCCAGGTCTCCAGCTCTCTCCTCCCTAAAACCCAGAAGTCCAACATCCCCAGCCAGTCACCTGTCATCATTCTGTGCCACTGCGACGCCTCAGTAGCCAGGGCTTGGGAGAGGCTGAGAACCCGCTCCCGGTGACCTTCGGAAGTCGGCAAGTAAGGGGTGGTGTTCCTTGGACTAGAAAAAAAAAGAAGATTGGGGGTGGGGGTGTGTACATGGGGGAGAGGTGGGGGATGGTTAATTGGTACAAAAAGAAAAGGATGAATAAGACCTACTATTAGATAGCACAACAGAATGACTATAGTCAATAATAATTTAATTGTACATTTTTAAATAAATTAAAGGGTGTAACTAGATTGTTTATACATCAAAGGGTAAATCCTTGAAAGGGGATGGATACCCTATTCCCGATGATGTGCTTATTTCACATTGCCTGCCTGTATCAAAACATCTCAATTATCTCGTAAATATATGTATACCTAGTATGTACCAACAAAAATTAAAAATTAAAAAAAAAAAAAAAAAAGCAGGCCAGGTGCGACAGCTTATCCCTGTAATCCCAGCACCTTGGGAGGCCGAGGCGGGCGGATCACTTGAGGTCAGGAGTTCGAGACCACCCTGGCCAACATGGTGAAACCCAGTCTCTACCAAAAAATACAAAAAAGTTAGCCAGGCATGGTGGTGGGTGCCTGTAATTCCAGCTACTAGGGAGGCTGAGGAAGGAGAATCATTTGAACCCAGAAGGCGGAGGTTGCAGTGAACTGAGATCACGCCATTGCACTCCAGCCTGGGAGACAGAGCAAGACTCCGTCTCAAAAAAAAAAAAAAAGTAAAAAATAAAAATAAAAATAAAAAATAAACAGCTGGCACAGTGGGGACCCGGGTACCGCACGTGCCTTTCTGGGAGTTGTAGTTCCTAGCACGTGTCTCTAAAATACGTTAAACATGGCACCGCCCTCATACCGCCCACATGCATTACGGGATTTGTAGTCCACTCGCGCGTCACTATCACCCAATTTCCTTGATGCAGAAGTAGGATCTGCTATTGACCAAGGGAATTTGAGGAACTAAAGATATCACTACGGATCTAGGGCTTTCTGGTTTTGTTGCAGATGCCCCGGGAACTTAAGCATCTCTAGAAGGGTTGCGATTTGTACTTCCATATTCAGGAGACTTTAATAATAATGCTACTCCCCTTTGCTTTTGCAAATTTTTTTTTCCTGCTCCCTTGATACGCCCTCCAGTTCCTTACCTACTCCAGGACCCAGAGCTTCTGAGCCATTTCTGGGCTCCCGAGTGTCCTACGACAGGCTGGAAAGGAATTGGGGCATTAGAACTCCTCACCTGGAAGCCCCACGTTCTCATTTTGAGGGTGAAGTGAAGGGGGCTCCAAAAGAGAATGAAATTGCCCAAAAACACTGGCAATGTTTTGTTTTGTTTTTCCTATGCTTCTGTAGGCACTGAATTTTTAAAAATTAATTTATTTTATTTATTCATTTTTTAGAAAGGATGGAGTACAGTGGTGTGATCATAACTCACTGTAGTCTCGACTTCCCAGGCTTGGACTAATCCTGCTTCAGCCTCCTGAGTAAATAGAACTACAGGCTCGCACCACCATGCCTGGCTAATTATTTTTATTTTTATTTTTAGTAGAGACAGAGTCTTGCTATGTTGCCCAGGCTGGTCTCTTACTCCTGCCTCGGCCTCCCAAAGTACTGGTATTACAGGGGTGAGCCATAGCACCCAGTGACTGACAATGTTTAACTTTACCTGTGTTCCTATAAAGCAGCACATGAGTTCAGAAATCCCACCTCCACCACCACCACCTGTGACTTGTCTAAATCCTTTCTATAAAAGTCTAAGGGGCCGGGTCTGGTGGCTCACACCTGTAATCCCAGCACTTTGGGAGGCCGAGGTGAGCAGATCACTTGAGGTCAGGAGTTTAAGAACAGCCTGGTCAATATGGTGTAAACCCCGTCTCTACTAAAAATACAAAAAAAAAAAAATTAGCAGGGTGTGGTGGCATGGGCCTGTAATCCCAGCCACTTGGGAGGCTAAGGCAGGAGAATCGTTTGAACCTGGGAGACAGGGGTCGCAGTGAGTCGAGATTCCACCACTATACTCCATCATGGGCAACAAAGGGAGACTCTGTCTCAAAAAAAGAAAAAAAAAATCTAAGGGGAGGTTAGGTGCAGTAGCTCACACCTATATTCTTAGCACCTCCTTCCAAGGCAGGAGGATCACTTGAGCTCAGGAGCTCGACACCAGCCTGGCCAACGTGGTAAAAATCTGTCTCTACTAAAAATACAAAAATTGGCTGGATGTAGTGGCATATCCCTGTAGTCCTAGCTACTCGGGAGGCTGAGGCATGAAAATCACTTGAACCCAGGAGGTGGAGGTTGCAGTGAGTGGAGATCGCACCACTGCACTCTAGCCTGGGCGACCTTGTCCCTGAAAAAAAAAGAAAACATCTTTTTTTTTTTTTTTTTTGAGACAGAGTTTCACTCTTGTTGCTCAAGCTGGAGTGCAATGGCAAAATCTTAGCTCACCACAACCTCCACCTCCTGGGTTCAAGCGATTCTCCTGCCTCAGCCTCCCAAGGAGCTGGGATTACAGACATGTGCTACCATGCCCAGCTAATTTTCTATTTTTAGTAGAGACGGGGTTTCTCCATGTTGGTCAGGCTGGTCTTGAACTCCCGACCTCAGGTGATCCGCCCTCCTTGGCCTCCCAAATTGCTGGGATTACAGGCGTGAGCCACCATGCCCGGCCGAAAAAGGAAAACGTCTAAGGGGAAACCATCCTGAGATATCTGAGACACTCTGATGTTCAGATCTGGGACGTTCTTCCTATTGAAAGGGCATGAATAAAATCAATTTTCTTCCTGGCTTACATTTTCTTTTTTGCTTTCTTGCTATTGACAACACATAGCAACTGAGAAGAAAAACTAGGCTTCCAATCCAGATGTGTGACCCCCGCCCCCACCCACTGTCCTCCCCTCACTGCCACTCCTGTCCACCCACCACTATCCAGGCGAGGAAGCTGACTCTAGCACAAGTACAAACTGGGGTAAATTCGGAAATCCAGTTTGGAGGAAGGAGGTAGTGATTATCTCCATTTTACAGAAAGGGACTCAAAGTAGGCGAAGAGGACCTACTACCACCCCACCGCCCAGCCCCAGCCCTCCTCCCCTCACCCTTTGCTCCACGTCAGGCTGGCGTCTGGCTGGGGACAGTGTCCTTCCCAGGGTGAGAAGCCGGGGGGAGGTCGGGCGAGGGAAGGGCCGTCCACATTCCTGGTTTCTGCGCATCCGCTCCAGCTGCTCCTGGGCACTCATCCGGGGCCGGGCCACCGGGGCCTAGGGAGGCGAGAAACGTCCCAAGACCCAACCTTTAGGCCAGGCACAGTGGCTCGTGTAATCCCAGCACTTTTGGGAGGCTGAGTAGAGAGGATCACTTGAGGTCAGGAGTTGAAGACCAGCCTGGCCAACTTGGCGAAATACCATCTCTACTAAAAATACAAAAATTAGCTGGGCGTGGTGGCAGGCACCTGTAATCCTAATTACTCAGGAGGCTGAGGCAGGAGAATTGTTTGAACCCCAGAGGTGGAGGTTGCAGTGAGCCGAGATCACGCCACTGCACTCCAGCTGCACAACAGAGCAAGACTCTGTCTCAAATATATATATATATATATGTTGCTTAAACAAGGAGAGAGGGAGAAGGCCGGGTGCAGTGGTGGGTGACTGTAATCCCAGAGCTTTGGGAGGCTGAGGTGGGAGGATCACTTGCGGCCAAGAGTTTGAGACCAGCCTGGGCAACATAGCAAGACCCCATCTCTACAAAAAATAAACTTGTTAGATGTGGTGGTGGATGCCTGTCAGCTACTCAAGAGGCTGAGGCAGGGGGATCACTTAAGCCCAGGAGTTCAAGGCTTCAGGGAGCTATGATCGTGCCACTGCACCTCACTCTGGGTGACAGGGCAAGATCCCGTATCTAAAAGTAAAAAGTAAAGACAGAGAGAGCACTCATTGCTGAAGCTTCCAGTTAAACATCCCAGTGAGATAGCATGGATCTGTGCTTATTGTAGAACCAGTCCCTGCAGTTTCCTCTGCTTTGACCAATCCTGAGTCCTGTTTATATAAATGATGGCCAGTGGCCACTGTATATTACCCTATGTTGTTAATTTATTTTCTTTTTTTTTTTTTTTTTTTGAGACAGAGTCTCGCTTTGTCACCTAGGCTGGAGTGCAGTGGCGCAATCTCTGCTCACTGCAACCTCCGCCTCCTGGGTTCAAGCACTTCTCTGCCTCGGCCTCTCAAGTAGCTGGGATTGAGTAGGTGGCACCCGCCACCACGCCCAGCTAATTTTTTTGTATTTTTAGTACAGACAGGGTTTCACCATCTTGGCCAGGCTGGTCTTGAACTCCTGATCTCGTGATCCACCTGCCTCGGCCTCCCAAAGTGCTGGGATTACAGGCGTGAGCCACCGCGCCCAGCCAATGTTGTTAATTTCTTCACAGCAGGCCAGACCATTGGCCTAAAAGCTTGGTAGCAGCACACTCAGATTTCTACACATCCAATTGTTTTAAACATAGTCTTAATAAGCAGGTATTTTTAGCTATGCAGTCTGCCTGCTTTGTATACCCTGAAACTGTGCCCAACATCTGCTACCCATAGATAAGATGAGCCCCAAGCCCCTGCTGCTCTTTGGACCTCTCTGATCCAGAGAAACCTCCACATGCTGGTGGCTGGCATCACCCAGAAGTAAGCCCCTTCTCCAGTCCCTTTCTCTTGGGAGCTCCCTTGCCTTCCTCCCTTCCTGTGCAGTGGTCCTCACCCTCACACAGTAACCTCTGGAGGGTCTCACACTGGGTGTGACTCCCCCATAGACAAATCTGTCAGTGTCCACCAAATAAAGCTCCTGTGTGCTACTGCCATCTGGTGGTCATAGCTTTTTCTTTGCTAAACCCTGAAATCCCTGGAACTCACTAGACCACCCCTGTGCTCTGGACCTTGGCAGCCCCTGAAACCACCCGGTTGGGGTGAGGGAGGAGCATGTCCCAAGATAAGTGATGTTCCCAGCAGGCTCCAATCATCCATGCCCATGACACACCACTGAGAATCAAAAAGTGCCTCTCCTCTCTTCCTAGGAAAGGCTCGATTGCTTTTGTATCCATGATAACAAGTAAGCACAAGAAATGCCTTCTTTTTTTTAAATTATTTTATTTTATTTTATTTTATTTTTGAGATGGAGTTTCACTCTTATTGCCCAGGCTGGAGTGCAATGGCACGATCTTGGCTCACTGCAACCTCTGCCTCCCAGGTTCAAGCGATTCTCCTGCCTCAGCCTCCCGAGTAGCTGGGATTACAGGCATGTGCCACCACGCCTGGCTAATTTTTTTGTATTTTTAGTAGAGACGGGGTTACACTATGTTGGTCAGGCTGGTTTCGAACTCCTGACCTTGTGATCCGCCTACCTTGGCCTCCCAAAGTGCTGGGATTACAGGCGTTAGCCACCGCACGCGGTCTTTTTTCTTTTTTTTTTTTAAAGACATGGTTTCCCTCTGTTGCCCAGGATGGAGTGCAGTGGTGCAATCATGGCTCAGTGCAGGCTTGACCTCCTGGACTCAAGCAATCCTCACGTCTCAACCTCCCAAGCAGCTGGGACCACAGGTGGGCACCACCACGCACAGCTAACTTTTTATTTTTTATTTTTTTATTTTTTGAGATGGAGTCTTGCTCTGTCACCCAGGCTGGAGTGCAGTGGCGCAGTATCAGCTCACTGCAATCTCAGCCACCCAGGTTCAAGCGATTCTCCTGTCTCAGCCTCCTAAGTAGCTGGGATTACAGGTGCGTGCTGCTACACCCGGCTAATTTTTGTATTTTTAGTAGAGATGGGTTTTTGCCACGTTGGCCAGGGTGCTCTTGAACTCCTGACCTCAGGTGATCCACCCGCCTCGGCATCCCAAAGTGCTGGGATTACAGGTGTGAGCCACTGCACCTGGCCACAGCTAACTTTTTATTATTTTTTTGTAGAGATGGGTCTTGCTACGTTAGCCAGGCTGCTCTTGAACGCCTGGACTCAACTGATCCACCTACCTTGGCCTCTCAAAGTGTTGGGATTACAGGCATGAGCCAATACCACTGGCCAAGAAATGCCTTATTTATTTTATTATTATTATTATTATTATTATTATTATTATTATTATTATTATTATTTTCGAGACAGAGTCTCGCTCTGTTGCCCAGGCTGGAGTGCAACGGTGCAATCTTGGGTCTTTGCCACCTCTGCCTCCTGGGTTCAAGCGATTCTCCTGCCTCAGCCTCCCAAGTAGCTGGGATTACAGGCACCCGCCATCACGCTCGGATAATTTTTGTATTTTTGTAGAGACAGGGTTTTCACCATGTTGGTCAATCTGGTCTCAAACTCCTGACCTCAAGTGATCTGCCTGCCTCGGCCTCCCAAAGTGCTGGGATTACAGGTACGAGCCACGGTTCCCAGCCCCAAGAAGTGCTTTTAAATCTATTTGATCAAGTAATCCCAACAGGTACCCCAAAGACTTCTGAAAGCCAGCCAATCAGTGATGGAGCCAAGCTTCTGAAAATCAGCCAATCAGTGATGGTCACATGCTTCTGAGGGCTGGCCAATCAGTGATGGATCCGTACTTCTGAAAATCAGCCAATCATTGATAGCTCCATGCTTCTGAAAACCAGCCAATCAGCAACAGACACAGAGCACAGAGCTTCCACAGCTTAAAGTCAACCAATTCCTAAACATTCCTGCCACTAGAAGTCAACCAGTTTCTGAACTCCAGGGCCACATGAGATCAGCATTCTGCTCCACTCAGGGTGTCTTTTTTTTTTTTTTTTTTTTTTTTTTTGAGACAGATTTTTGCTCTTGTCGCACAAGCTGGAGTGCAATGGTGTGATCTCAGCTCACTGCAACCTCTGCCTCCCGAGTTCAAGCGATTCTCCTGCCTCAGCCTCCCGAGTGGCTGGGATTACAGGCGCCCACCACCACGCCTGGCTAATTTTTGTACTTTTAGTAGAGACGGGGTTTCACCATGTTAGCCAGGCTGGTCTGGAACTCCTGACAAAGTGCTGGGATTACAGGCGTGAGCCACCGCGCCTGGCCTCATTCATCTAGTTTTCATCTTGATGTCAGCTCTAGGTGGTAGGTTCTGCTATTAGCCCCATTTTAGAGAAGAAAAAATGAAGGCACAGAGAGGTTTAATAACTGACCCAAAGTCACACAGCTTAGAAGCGACAGAGACAAAAATCAATCTCAATGCTCTTAACAAGCAGTGCTCTCTCTGCTCTGAGTATGGCCTTAGAACGCTCTACTCCTAGCTGTTTCCCAGAAGTGTGGGGGTCCCTGATGGTCAGATGCAAGGATTACAGGATGGACCTACAGCTTACCTTGGTTCCTAGCTGTGGGGAAGGGAGGTGGCGACCCTCAGGGCTGGAAGCCCGGGAGACCCTCGGAGACCCAAGACCTGGAAAGACAGAACGGGACTTGGTGAGGACGGGAATTTCCGTAAAGTCCCACCCAACCAGGATGCTCACCTAAGTGAGGGCTGGCGAGGTCTTTGTCGCCTCCAGGAGGCCGCCCCCAGTCAGTCTCGGGGGACCTAGGGGAGCTCAGTTCCAAGGACTCTGGCAGGCTCTGCGGGGATTAGAAAAGGGGGATAATGATGATCATTATAATAATTATTATTATTACCATGTTGCAAGCATTTAGGCATTGGAATACAGTCTGAATAGGATTCAGACCATAAACCAGGCCGGGCGCAGTGGCTCACACCTGTAATCCCAGCGCTTTGGGAGGCCGAGGCAGGCAGACCACCTGAGGAGTTCCAGACCAGCTTAGTCCAACGTAGTGAAAACCCGTCTCTACTAAAAATACAAAAATTAGCTGGGCGTGGTGGCAGGCGCCTGTAATCCCAGCTACTTAGGAGGCTGAGGCAGAAGAATCGCTTGAACTCGGGAGTTGGAGGTTGCAGTGAGCCGAGATCGCACCACTGCACTCCAGCCTGGGCGGCAGAGCAAGACTCTGCCTCAAAAAAAAAAAAAAAAAAGACTATAAACCAGATCTGAGCATGGAGGCTTGTGCTTGTAATCTCAGCCCTTTGAGAGGCCAAGGTAGGAGGCTCACTTGAGGCCAGGAGCTAGACACCAGCTGGGCAACATAGCAAGACCCCTTCCCTTAAAAACTTTTTAAGGCTGGGCGCGGTGGCTCATGCCTGTAATCCCAGTACTTTGGGAGGCCGAGGCAGGCGGATCACAAGGTCAGGAGACCATCCTGGCTAAAACGGTGAAACCCCGTCTCTACTAAAAATACAAAAAAAAAATTAGCCGGGCGTGGTGGCAGGTGCCTGTAGTCCCAGCTACTCGGGAGGCTGAGGCAGGAGAATGGTGTGAACCCGGGAGGTAGAGCTTGCAGTGAGCCAAGATCGAGCCACTTGCACTCCAGCCTGAGCAACAGAGAGAGACTCCATCTCAAAAAACAAAGCAAAACAAAACAAACGTTTTAGGCTGGGCACAGTGGGTTCACGTCTGTAATCCCAGCATTTTAGGAGGCCGAGATGGGAGGATCACTTGAGACCAGGAGGTCAAGACCAGCCTAGGCAACATAGGGAGACCCCGTCTCTACAAAAAAGTTAAAGAATTCGCCGGGCATGGTGGCAGACACCTGTAGTCCTAGCTACTTGGGAAGCTGAGGTGAGAGAATCACTTAAGCCCCAGAGATGGAGGTTCCAGTGAGCTGTGATGGCACCACTGCACTCCAGCCTGGGTGACAGAGCAAGACCCTGTCTCCAAAAAAACAAAAAAACTGTAAACCAGGAGCCAGATGTCCTGGCTTCAAATCCCAACTGTGCCATTTATTAGCTGTGTGACCTTCGGCAAGCTGCTTTACCTCTCTGAGCCATATTTTATTTTATTTGAGACACAGTCTCGCTCTTTCAGCCAGGCTGGAGTACAGTGGTGCAATCTTGGTTCAGCTTACTGCAACCTCTGCCTCCCTGGTTCAAGCGATTCTCCTGCCTCAGTCTCCCAAGTAGCTGGGATTACAGGTGTGCACCACTGTGCCTGGCTCATTAACATTTTACTTTTTGATATTAGGATTGAGTCCATATATATGTGGCACTTAGAACAGTGCCTGGTGTCTAAGTGCATTATATATATAATCATATTAGGGCTGGGTGCGGTGCCTCACTCCTGTAATCCTGGCGTTTTGGAATACTGAGACTGGAGGATCATTTTAAGCCAGGAGTTTAAGACCAGACTTGGCAGCAAAGTGAGGTTCCATCTCCACAATAAACAAACAACCAAAAATTAGCCAGGCATGATGGCACGAGCCTGCGGTCCCAGCTACTCAGGAAGCTGAAGCAGGAGGATTGCTTGAGCCCAAGAATTCGAGGCTGCAGTGAGCCATGATCACACCACTGCAGTCCAGCCTGGGCGACAGAATGAGATCCCATCTTAAAAAAAAAATCCTGGTTGGGCGAGGTGGCTCACGCCTGTAATCCCAACACTTTGGGAGGCCGAGGCAGGCGGATTACTCAAGGCCAGGAGTACATGACCAGCCTGGCCAACAAGGTGAAACTCCGTTTCTACTAAAAATACAAAACTTAGCCAGGCTTGGTTGTGGGCACCTGTAATCACAGCTACTTCGGAGGCTGAGGCAGGAGAACCACTTGAACCCAGGAGGTGGAGGTTGCAGTGAGCCAAGATTGCACCACTGGACTCCAGCCTGGATGACAGAGTGAGACTACGTCTCAAAAAAACCCCCGAAAAAAAAGAAAACAAAGGCTTCCAGAGGTTAGGACACTTGTACCAGGTGGGTTAGCTGATCAAGGAAGAATTAAAGAGGTGGGTGGGGAATAGACTGAGTCAAGGACAGGTG
Organism: Homo sapiens; assembly: GCF_000001405.40. Lineage (NCBI taxonomy): Eukaryota > Metazoa > Chordata > Mammalia > Primates > Hominidae > Homo > Homo sapiens. The sequence goes on from NC_000019.10 coordinate 48,847,858, forward strand.
GGACATGAAGCTTGGGGTGGGGAGGAATTATGTGCGTCTTACCTCCCTCTCTGAGGACTCCTCGCCCTGGAGCACGGGAGATGGGGAGTCAGGCTCAGTGTGTGGGGGCGGTTTCTGGGGGCCACCCAGACCTGCCAGCGTGTCTTCCACCATCCACAGCTGCTGCTGAGCAGACACTCTGTCCTGCAGGGAGGAAAGGAATTTGTTACTTAAAGGTGGGAAAACGCAGGAGGGTTTCAGCTAATAGGCCCCTGCAAAGGTCTGAAATCAGCTGGGCTATATTTATGGAGTTGGGATTTATTTTTTTTCCCATGTGGTTATCCAGTTGAATTGAAAAAAACTGTCTTGGCTGGGCGCGGTGGCTCACGCCTGTAATCCCAGCACTTTGGGAGGCCGAGGCGGGCGGATCACGAGGTCAGGAGATCGAGACCATCCCGGCTAAAACGGTGAAACCCCGTCTCTACTAAAAATACAAAAAATTAGCCGGGCGTAGTGGCGGGCACCTGTAGTCCCAGCTACTTGGGAGGCTGAGGCAGGAGAATGGCGTGAACCCGGGAGGCGGAGCTTGCAGTGAGCCGAGATCCCGCCACTGCACTCCAGCCTGGGCGACAGAGCGAGACTCCGTCTCAAAAAAAAAAAAAAAACTGTCTTTTGGCCAGGCGTGGTGGCTCACACCTGTAATCCCAGCATTTTGGGAAGCCGAGGCGGGTGGATCACCAGAGGTCAGAAGTTCAAGACCAGCCTGGCCAACATGGTGAACCCTCGTGTCTACTAAAAATACAAAAAAAAATTAGCCGGGGGTGGTGGTGCATGCCTGTGATCCCAGCCACTCGGGAGGCTGAGGCAGGAGAATTGCTTGAACCCAGGAGGTGGAGGTTGCAGTGAGCTGAGATCGTGCCACTGCACTCCAGCCTGTGCAACAGAGCGAGACACTGTCTCAAAAAAAAAAAAAAGAAAAAGAAAAAACTGTCTTTTCTTTCTATGTTGTTTTACTGTGTTACATCTATTATAAATAGGTGACCATACGAATATGAGAGTCTGTTCTTTTTGTTTGTTTTTGGAGACAGTCCCTCCCTCTGTCACCCAGGCTGGCGTGCAATGGCTTGATCATAGCTCACTGCATCCTCGAACTCTTGGGCTTAAGCGATCCTTCCACCTCAGCCTCCTGAGTAACTGGGACCACAGGCGTGCACAACCAGGCCCAGCTAATTTTTTCACTTTTATTTTTAGTAGAGACAGAGTTTCACCATGTTGCCCAGGCTAGCCTCAAACTCCTGGGCTCAGGTGATCCACCTGCCTCATCCTCCTAAAGTGCTGGGATTACAGGTGTGAGCCACTGCAGCTGGCATGGGTCTGTTCTTGCCAAGTCTGGATTGTAGATCTAGTGGGAGCAGCTTAGAGTGAGAAGATGCATTTAAAACTAGGCATCAATGGTTTTTTGTTTTTTGGGGTTGTTGTTGTTGTTTTTTAAGATGGAGTCTCTCCCTATCACCCAGGCTGGAGTGCAGTGTCACGATCTCGGCTCACTGCAACCTCCGCCTCCCGGGTTCAAGCGATTCTCCTGCCTCAGCCTCCTGAGTAGCTGGGACTACAGGCGTGCACCAGCACACCCAGCAAATTTTTCTATTTTTAGTAGAGACAGGGTTTCACCATGTTCGTCAGATTGGTCTCCAACTCCTGACCTCAAGTGATCCACCTGCCTTGGCCTCCCAAAGTGCTGGGACTACAGGCGTGAGCCAACACGCCCGGCCGTGTCAATGTTTTTAAAGATACATGATTTAGAACTTGATGGCTAGATTTAGAGTGAAAAAGCAGGTCTGAGGCTAAGCAATGAGGTTTATATTTTAGGAGCAGAGCTTGCACTAAAGGAATGGGTTCAGAACTGGAACTCCAGAGGATAAATTTAACAGCAAAAGTCAGGATGCAGGATGCAAGAGATGAACTTGCAAGATGGAAAAAAGGCTGAGGGTTGGAGTTTTGCTGGTGAGAGCATGGCTTCAACAAGAGGAGAGATTTAGAACCAGGGGAGAGAGCAGCTCTGGATCTGAAGTAGGTATTAAAACGAAAGGCATTGGCCGGGCGCAGTAGCTCATGCCTATAATCCCAGCACTTTGGGAGGCCGAGGCAGGCGGATCAGAAGGTCAGGAGTTCAAGACCACCCTAATCAACATGGTGAAACCCCGTCTCTACTAAAAATACAAAAATTAGCCAGGCGTGGTGGCACACGCCTGTAGTCCCAGCTAGAGGCTGAGGCAGGAGAATCACTTGAACCCGGGAGGCAGAGGTTGCAGTGAGCCGAGATCACACCACTGCACTCCAGCCTGGGCAACAGAGCAAGACTCCATCTCATAAATAAATAAGAGGGCGGCCAGGCGCCGTGACTCACGCCTGTAATCCCAGCACTTTGGGAGGCCGAGGCGGGTGGATCATGAGGTCAAGAGATCTAGACCATCCTGGCCAACATGGTGAAACCCCATCTCTACTAAAAATACAAAAATTAGCTGGGCATGGTGGCACACACCTGTAGTCTCAGCTACTGGGGAAGCTGCGGCAGGAGAATTGCTTGAGCCTGGGAGGTGGAGGTTGCAGTGAGTCGAGATTGTGCCACTGCACTCCAGCCTGGCGACAGAGCAAGACTATGTCTCACACACACAAAAAAAGAAAATAAAAAATAGAAGGGCTGTGTGCGGTGGCTCACGCCTGTAATCTCAGCACTTTGGGAAGCTGAGGCGGGTGGATCACCTGAGGTCAGGAGTTCAAGACCAGCCGGACCAACATGGAGAAACCCCGTCTCTCATAAAACTACAAAATTAGCCAGACATGGTGGTGCATGCCTGTAATCCCAGCTACTCGGGAGGCTGAGGCAGGAGAATTGCTTGAACCTGGGAGGCGGATGTTGCGGTGAACCGAGATTGCACCATTGCACTCCGGTCTGGGCAACAGAACGAGACTCTATCTCAAAAAATATAATAAAATAAATAAAATAAAAATAAAAGAGTAGGCCAGGCACAGTGGCTCACACCGGTAATCCCAGAACTTTGGGAGGCCGAGGTGGGTGGATCACCTGAGGTCAGGAGTTCGAGACCAGCCTGACCAACATGGTGAAACCCCCCTCTCTACCGAAAATAGAAAAATTAACCGGGCATGGTGGTGGTCATCTGTAATCCCAGGTACTTGGGAGGCTGAGGGAGGAGAATCGTTTGAACCTGGGAGGCGGAGGTTGCAGTGAGCCAAGATTGTGCTACTGCACTCCAGCCTGGGCAATAAAGCGAGACTGTCTCAAAAATAAAAATAAAAAATAAAAGAGTATAATGGATTGTTTGTAACACAAAAGATAAATGCTTGAGGGGATGGACACCCCATTTTCCATGATGGGATTATTATACATTGCATGCCTGTACCAAAATATCTTATGCACTTCATAAATATATTCATCTGCTATGTACCCACAATACATTTTTTAAAAAGAATGTTGTAGGCCGGGCGCAGTGGCTCACGCCTGTAATCCCAGCACTTTGGGAGGCCGAGGCAGGCAGATCACCTGAGGTCGGGAATTCAAGACCAGCCTGACCAACATAGAGAAACCCCGTCTCTACTAAAAATACAAAATTAGCTGGGCGTGGTGGCGGGCACCTGTAATCCCAGTTACTCAGGAGGCTGAGGTGGGTGAATCGCTTGAGCCCGGGAGGCAGAGGTTGTGGTGAGCTGAGATCGTGCCATTGCACTCCAGCCCGGGCAACAAGAGTAAAACTCTGTCCCCCTCCCCCTCAAAAAAAAATGTTGTAAAATTATAGCCAACTTTACAGCAGAAATTAGGTCTGGCGCAGTGGCTCATGCTTGCAATCCCAGCACTTTGGGAGGCCGTGGCAGGCAGATCACTTGAGGTCAGGAGTTCAAGACCAGCCTGACCAACATGTCTCTACTAAAAATATAAAAAGTAGCTGGGCATGGTGGCATGTGCCTGAAATCCTAGCTACTTGGGAGGCTGAGGTGGGAGAATCACTTGAACCTGGAAGGCAGAGGTTGCAGTGCGCCAAGATTGCGCTACTGCACTCCAGCCTGGGCGACAGAGTGAGACTGTCTTAAAAACAAACAAATAAACAACTTTACAGCAGAAATTAGATAACAGCTCGAGAAAACGGCATTCAAAATTGAAGCTTAATTAAAATTTTAATGAGAGAATTTAAAAAAAAACCCCAAAGGGCATGGTCTTAACTAAAATAAGGGGCTTAGATTGAAAGGACAGAAAGGAGGCTAAGGGTCAACTGGGCGGGGCCTCGATTCTGTGGGCGAAGATTAAATGCTAAAAGGATTTCCAGGCAGAACTTGGAGTTGGGGGTGGGTCTTGGGGTCTCCAAGCAGCGATTTACCTGGGGAGAACCAAGGTGCAGCAGGTACTCCAGCGTCTCTCTTAAGGTGCCCAGCTCCTGCTCCAGGCCACTGTACGTGTCCCAAACCCTCTCTCGCTCCTCAGGTTGCATAAAGGGGGAGACATAGGTTAGGTCCCTCTCCCACCAGATCCTTCCCCACCCCATCATTTGTCAGCTAAGGAGGAGATAAGGGAGTTTGGTCCCTGGAGCCCTGCAGGCGTATGGACTACAATTCCCATGGGCCTCTTTGCTTGGACTACTGGGAACCCCAAAGTCTGTATGGAACCTGCAATTCCAGTACACTGCTAGTGTAGACAAATAACAGCATTCCCTGAATCCCCAGGATTACTTCTGCTCTCTCCTAGGTAGCAGAGTCTACAGATCTAATGAATTTCATTAGACAGTTAAAAGACCACAGCACCCAGCCAGACACGGTGGTTCAGGCCTTTAATCCCAGCTATTTGGGAGGCCAAGGCGGGCGGATCACTTGAGGTCAGGAGTTCGAGACCACCCTGGCCAACATGGTGAAACCCCGTCCCTACTAAAAATACAAAAATTAGCCAGGAATGGTGGCGAGGGCCTGTAATCCCAGGTATTCGGGAGGCTGAGGCAGGAGGATCACTTGAACCAGGGAGACAGAAGTTGCAGTGAGCCTGGATCCAGGCGCTGCACTCCAGCCTGAGCAACAGAGCAAGAATCCGTCTCAAAAAAAATAACCACAGCACCCACTCACCCTGGGGCAGCAGAAACTTCCTTGCCAATACCAACAATAACAATGATAATATCAGCTAACACTTATTGGGCACTGATCATGTGCTAGGCATTGTTCTCAACTCTCATTTAATTCCTATGAGGTAGTTACTATTATTGTCTCCATTTTACAGATAATAATTATAGCTGACACTTAAGTATTGCTTTACCAAGTACCAAGTACCTTAAGTGTTAAATATTCATTCATTCATTCATTCATTCATTCACTCATTTTCACGTATCACATATAATAATTCTCAGAGTTACTTAAGGCCGGGCGCAGTGGCTCATGCCTGTAATCCCAGCACTTTGGGAGGCTGAGGCAGGCTGATCACCTGAGGTTAGGAGTTCGAGACCAGCCTGGCCAACATGGCAAAACCCCATCTCTACTAAAAATACAAAAATTAGCCAGGTGTGGTGGCACATGCCTGTAATCCCAGTTACTCAGGAGGCTGAGGTTGCAGTGAGCTGAGATGGCACCACTGTACTCCAGCCTGGGCGACAGAGCAAGACTCTGTCCCCCCCAAAAAAAAAAAAATTAGAGTGGTTACAAGACAATGAGGAGAGAGAAAAAATAATAAAATTTGGAGTGTAGACTTCTGAAGAACGATCTTCCTATGAGCCCTCTGGGGCAGGTCCCCTTCGTAACGACTTGCATAGTCCTGGGGCCTCCTAGGAGGGCAGGCCCCTTCCCAGGTGCTCACCTGAGTCAAGTGACAGAGGGTGGCCCTCACACTGACCAGCCGGTCCTGCAAGAGGCGCTGGCGACCCCAGGCCCTCCCGGGAGCCCCAGCCTCCCTGGTGGCTTGGCCCAGCTGTTGCCGGGTCAACTCCAGAGCTGCTTCTAGTTGCTCCTGCACCAAGACAGAAGGTGGTTAGACTTCAGAAGCCATGCCTAGCCCCAAGAAGAAAGAAAAGATGTCCTTTCACGTCCTGGACGTCCAGTCAGCATCCTGACTTCCGCATTCAGGAAGGGCTCAGGGCAGGCAGAGAGGCCAGGCGCCCTGTCCTTGGCCCAGGGCCCCGCACCTTCTCCTCCTGCTTCTGGTCTATCTCCTCCTGCAGCCTCCGCAGAAGCCGGTCCTGCCCGCACAACTTGGTCAGCAGCGTCTGGAGAAAGGAGAGCGGGAGCTACTGATGGTCCAGATCTGGCTCTTCCCCTGCCGCTCCTCCCATCATCTAGAACATTCTCTCCCCAACTCTGGGAACTCAGCAAGGATTAGATCAGTGACAACTTACATCTGTCTCCAAGCTTTGGTGGAAAGTTGACTCCAGGGGAGGACCCGGCTGAAGAGAAGGAAAAAAGTCAGGGGTCAAAGGGGACAGGCTGGTCATTCTTGTAACTCAGTGCTGAGCCACGCCCTGTCTCTACTGATAGGTACTGCACTATTTATTTATTTATTTATTTAGAGATAGGGTCTTGCTCTGTCACCCAAGCTGGTGTGCAGTCGTGCGATCATGGTTCGCTGCAGGCTCAACCTCCTGGGCTCAAGCAATCCTCCCACTTCAGTCTCCTGAGTAGCTGGGACCACAGGCGCACACATCATGCCCGGCTAATTTTTGTAGTTTTAAAATTTTTGTTGCTGTTGGTTTTGGTAGCGATGGGGTTTTGCCATGTTGCCCAGGCTGATCTCAAACTCCTGGGCTCAAGCAATCCTCCTGCCTCGGCCTCCCAAAGTGCTGGGATTATAGGCATGCACCATCATATCATGCCTGGCCTTTTTTTTTTTTTTTTTTTTTTTTTTTGAGTCAAGGTCTGTCACCCAGGCTGGGGTGCAGTGGCATGATCATGGCTCACTGCAGCCTTGAACTCTTAGGCTCAAAGGATCCTCCCACCTCAGCCTCCCAAGTAGGTGGGACAACAGATGCCAGCCACCGGTGCCAGCTAAGGTTGTTTGTTTGTTTGTTTTCAGGGCTGGGGTCTCACTATGTCACCCAGACCAGTCTTGAACTCCTGATCTCAAATGATCCTCCTGCCTTGGCCTCCTGAAGTCCTGGGATTACAGGCATGAACCACCAAGCCTAGCGACCCCTCTCCTTATCAGCTTCCTTCTAAGCATTAGCAAATTTCAGTAGACCAACTTCCACATTCTTGGCTTCAGAAAGATCAATAATGGGCTCTTGATCAAGCAGCCATGGCAAATATTATAATTAATGGAGAAATTTAGACATTTTATTTATGACTAAGAATAAAACAAAGTGCAGGGCACAGTGACTCACTCCTGTAATCCCAAAGCTTTGGGAGGCCAAAGAGGGAAGATCACTTGAGCCCAGGAGTTAAAGACCAGTCTGGGCAACATAGGGAGACCTTGTGTCTGCAAAAAAAATAAAAATAAAAAAATAGGGCCGGGTGCGGTGGCTCATGCCTGTAATCCCAACACTTTGGGAGGCCGAGGCGGGTGGATCACCTGAGGTCAGGAGTTCGAGACCAGCCTGACCAACATGGTGATACCCTGTCTCTACTAAAAATACAAAACTTAGCCAGGCGTAGTGACGGGCGCCTGTAATCCCAGCTACTTGGGAGGCTGAGGAAGAAGAATCACTTGAACCCGGGAGGCAGAGGTTGCAGCGAGCCGAGATCGTGCCATTGCACTCCAGCCCGGGTGACAGAGTGAGATTTCGTCTCAAATAAATAAATAAATAAATAAATAAATAAATAAAATAAGCTGAGCATGGTGGTACATGCCTGTAGTCTCAGCTACTAGGGAGGCTGAGGTGGGAGTATCGCTTGGGCCCAGGAGACTGAGGCTGCAGTGAGCCATGATTGCACCACTGCACTCCAGCCTGGGTGACAGAGTGAGACTCTGTCTCAAGAAAATAAATAATTTTTTTTAATTTAAAAAAAAACAAAAAACAGCCTGGGTAACATGGCAAAACCCTGTCTCTACAAAAAGTAGAAAAAGTTAGCTAGGTGGCCAGGCGCAGTGGCTCATGCCTGTAATCCCAGCATTTTGGGAGGCCGAGGCAGGCAGATCACCTGAGGTCGGGAGTTCAAGACCAGCCTGACCAACATGGAGAAACCCTGTCTTTACTAAAAATACAAAATTAGCAGGGCGTGGTGGTGGGTGCCTGTAATCCCAGCTACTCGGGCAGCTGAGGCAGGAGAATCGCTTGAACCCAGGAGGGGAGGTTGCGGTGAGCCGAGATCACGCCATTGCACTCCAGCCTGGGCAACAAGAGTGAAACTCCTTCTCAAAAAAAAAAAAGAAAAAGGAAGGAAAGAAGGAAAGAAAGAAAGAGAGAGAAAAAGGAAAGGAAAGGAAAGAACGAGGAGGGGAGGGGAAGGGGAAGGGGAAGGGGGAAAGAAAGAAAGAAAGGAAGGAAGGCCAGTCGCGGTGGCTCACGCCTGTAATCCCAGCACTTTGGGAGGCCGAGGCGGGCAGATCACAAGGTCAGGAGATCGAGACCATCCTGGCTAACACAGTGAAACCCCATCTCTACTAAAAATACAAAAAAGTTGGGCCAGGCGCAGTGGCTTACGCCTGTAATCCCAGCACTTTGGGAGGCCGAGGCGGGAGGATCACGAGGTTAGGAGTTCGAGACCAGCCTGACCAACATGGTGAAACCCCGTCTCTACTAAAAATACAAAAATTATCCAGGCATGGTGGCACGTGCCTGTAATCCCAGCTATTCAGGAGGTTGAGGCAGGAGAATTGCTTGAACCAGGGAGGCGAAGGTTGCAGTGAACCGAGATCGCGCCACTGCAATCCAGCCTGGGCGACAGAGCGAGACTCTGTCTCAAGAAAAAAACAAAGAAAAAAATACAAAAAAATTAGCCGGGCGTGGTGGCGGGCGCCTGTAGTCCCAGCTATTCAGGAGGCTGAGGCAGGAGAATGGCATGAACCCGGGAGGCAGAGCTTGCAGTGAGCCGAGATCGCACCACTGCACTCCAGCCTGGGCGACAGAGAGAGACCCCGTCTCAAAAAAAAAAAAAAAAAAGAAAGAAAGAAAGAAAAGAAAAGAAAAAGAAAGAGAAAGAAAGAAAGAAAGAGGTTTTTGCGGATTTAAGTTAAGTTACGACGATGTCATGGGGTGTCCTAATAGGAGGAGATGGACAGCAACAAAAACACAAAGGAAGATCATCATGGGATGATGGAGGCAAAGATGTGGCCATAAAAAAAACCACAGAACCTCAGGAATTGCTGGCAACCACCAGAAGCTAAGAGAGAGTCAATAAAAGCTCCTCCTTAGAACCTTCAGTGGAAGTATAGCCCTGCCAATCCCTTGACTCCAGGCCTCTGGCCTCCAGAACCGCAAGATAATCCATTTCTGTTGTTTTCGGCCATGCGCTTTGTTACAGCCACCACATGAATCTAATACCTACCCAGGGTCTTTGAAATATCTACAGTTCTCTAGGCACCCTAGGCCAAGAGATGACATTCCTCATAGAGAAGAAAGGAAGGGAGGGGGCTCCGGTAGATTTAGGGTACTCCAGGATACCTACCAATAAAACCATGGAGGCCCGGGTCCCAGGGGGCCGCGGGGGGAGCTGGAGATAAGTGGGGGAGCCAGAGTGTGCCTGGGAGGAACGTTGAAATGGAGATGTTTAGAAACTGGCATGTCTGGGAGACTTTTCATTTTGTTCTGTACTAAGAAAAATTCTTCTGCCTTGGGATCCTGTTGATCTATGACCTTACCCCCAACCCTGTGCTCTCTGAAACATGTGCTGTGTCCACTCAGGGTTAAATGGATTAAGGGCAGTGCAAGATGTGCTTTGTTAAACAGATGCTTGAAGGCAGCATGCTCGTTAAGAGTCATCACCACTCCCTAATCTCAAGTACCCAGGGACACAAACACTGCGGAAGGCCGCAGGGTCCTCTGCCTAGGAAAACCAGAGACCTTTGTTCACTTGTTTATCTGCTGACCTTCCCTCCACTATTGTCCTATGACCCTGCCAAATCCCCCTCTGCGAGAAACACCCAAGAATGATCAATAAAAAAATAATAATAATAATTAAAAAAAAAAAGAAACTGGCATGTCTTAGTGACAAATAGTAGAGTGGGCATGTCCATAATTGAAGTGCTTTAGGAGATATTTTGAGGTTCAGAACTGGGCCCTCTCAACTTCCTCAACTACCTGCTCTCCAGCTGTGTGCCACTGTGGGGACACAGAGGGTGATAATAAATGCACCAGCCTGGCAAAACAGCCCCACAAGATGATGGAATTTGCTACTCTCATTCTCAGACTTGCAGTCAGCTGTGGATATTCTGAGCTACCGTCCCATGATGCTCAGACAAAACAGCAGGCAACCAACTTGCAAGGTGAACTGGGGACACAAGGGAGATGCAAACCTCTCACCGCACTGTCTTGGCACAGAGTATCCAGGACTACAATCCCCATGATGCTTAAAGAGCAATGGCTGGGCCAGGCGCGGTGGCTCACGCCTGTAATCCCAGCACTTTGGGAGGCTGAGATGGGCAGATCACCTGTCAGCTGGTCAGGAGTTCGAGACCAGCTTGGTCAACATGGTGAAACCTCATCTCTACCAAAAATATAAAAATCAGCCGGACGTGGTGGCAGGTGCCTGTAATCCTAGCTACTCGGGAGGCTGAGGCAGGAGAATCGCTTGAACCCGGGAGACAGAGGTTGTAGTGAGCCGAGATCGTGCCACTGCCCTCTAACCTTGGCGACAGAGCAAGACCTCAGTCTCAAAAAAAAAAAAAAAAAGCAATGGCCGAAGACCAGCCTAGAAAGACAGCCCAGACACCTGAGAGGAGCTGGACACCTGATAGGTTCAAGCTCTCTCTCACCTGAGCCCAGCTGAGATCATTATGGACTACAATACCCATGACACCCAGGGAGCAATGGCCTTGAGAATACGGAAAGACAGCCCTGAGGCCTGATGGGAAACGTAGTCCCCTCCTTCTCACCTCTCTGCTCACCTGTGTTCTGGGCTCCTGACTCCAGTGCTGGGGACTCCTGGGGGGCTTTCCTCCCCCAGCCTCAGAGGGAGGTCCTCGGCGGGGAGTAGGGGGTCGGGAGAGGGTCTGGCGTTGGGGGCCCCAATCCAGAGGAGGTCGGACATCAATGCGACTCAACGGGGTGTGAGGTCGGGCAGGGGGTGCTGTGTCTCCTGAGGGGGCAGGGGGTCGCCGCGCAGGGGCAGAACGGGGACGGGGGAGGCTCAGAGGCGAGGGAGGGCGAGAGAGGGGGGTGAACAGGCTGTGGGAAGGAGAGAATCGGGGAACTGAGTCAACTAGAGCCCTCTCCATCCACCTCCTTACCCATCAAGTCAGCCTCAAGGACATGTCTCACTTCACTGTGTCTTACTGTCCCACTGGGTTAGAATCCTCCTCTACTGTCCAAATCCTCAGTAATGTCCGCTTTGTGGCATCTTCCCCTCCAGTCTTCTCCCCGACAGGCTGTGACCCCCACGGGAGCCCCAGCAAGTCACACACACTCAAGCAGAAAGCGCTAAGGCCCGCCCCCAACCAGTTTCCGGCCCTGCCCTTCTCTTAGGCCACGCCCACAACCATGTCCTCCCTACTCACTCGGGGCTCCTCGCCCTCCGCATCTGGAGTCCAGAGTGGAGGTCGGTTGTGGGGCTGGGAGTGAGCAGCCTGGGTCTACCACGACCTCTGGAGAGTCGAGTCACTTCCGGTGATTCTGAGATGCGCCCCTCTTCCCCTCTGCTCACCTCCGGGGGACCACCGGGGCCGCCGGGGCCCTCCCCGGGCTGGGGTCGTGCAGGTGACCTGGGTTGCCCACTAGCGAGTGGACATAGACAAGATATCACTCCTTCGAACTTCATAACAGCCCTATTCTCTTGTCACAGGTGAGAACACAAGGATGCACCCAAAAAAGGAAAGTTGTGCACTATAAATCATCGTCCCCCTTCTTCAGAAGGGGAAACTGAGGCCTCCAATGTGAAACTGACCTGTGCGCCAGGCCACAACGTCTATCCAGGTTGCTGGACCCAATGCCCCGGAATATGGGATAGACTCAGCCAGGTAGTCCAGTTTCCAGCCTGATAATTGGCGCAGGCCATGTCAGAGCCTAAGAGATAGTCTGACATTTTTTTAAAATCTGATACTATCTTTTACCTGGCATTGTTTAGGTGGCAGCTCAGGGGACTTCAGAAGGAGCCAATCAGAGAGTGTGCAATATTGATCATTCCTGGAGCAGAGCTGAGTGCGTGACTGAAGGGTCAGCTTGGGGGCGGGGACGGACAAGGTGGTGGGCGGAACTTAAGGGAGAAAGACTTTTGCTGATTGGAAAAGTTCCCTGGAGGTGGGGCCTAGAAGACGAGGCGCCTTAGCTAGAAGACTGGTGATTGGACACTCAAGGGGGCAGGGCCCCAAAGGGGAGGAGTTGGGATGACGAGACTGACTCAGGGTGGAGGGTCAGGAGCATGGCTTGGACCTCTACTCACTAGTCGTCCCCCTCCGCACGGGAGGCCCGGCCCAGCGCCCGTAGCCAGCCCCGCAGGTCTTCTAAGGTGTCAGCGGCCAAAACGTAGGTCCTCATGCCCGGGTGCTCTGCCTGCGGGAAGAGAAGGCTTGGAATCCGGACTCCCGGGCCTTGTAAAAAGGAGGACAGGCCGGACCGGTGACTCATTCCAGTAAACCCAGTGCTTTGGGAGGCCGATGCGGGAGGATGGCTTGAGACCAGCCTAGGCAACATAATGAGACACCCCCCTCCACCTCCTTCCGCCCCCGTCTCTACAAAAAAATCAAAAAATTAGCCGGACGTGGTGGAGCGCACCTGTAGTCCCAGCTACCGGGGAGACTGAGGCAGGAAGACTGCACTTTGCGTCGCTGCACGCCAGCCTGGGTGACAGAGCAAGACCGTCAAGAAAGAAAGGAAAGAGGGAAAGAGGGAAGGGAAGGGAGAGAAAGAAAGAGAGAAAGAGAAAGAAAGAAAGAGAGAGAGAGAAAAAAAAAGGAAAGGAAAGGAAAAAGGAAAGGAAAGGAAAGGAAAATGGAAAGGAAAGGAAAGGAAAGGACTGGACAGACGCGGTGGCTCATGCCTGTAATCCCAGCACTTTGGGAGGCTGAGGTAGGCGGATCACCTGAGGCCAGGAGTTTGAGACCAGCCTGGCCAACATGGCGAAACCCCATCTCTACTAAAAATACAAAAAATTAGCCAGGCGTGGTGGCGTGCGCCTGTAATCCCAGCTACTCCAGAGGCTGAGGCAGGAGAATCCGTTGAACCCAGGAGGCGGAGGTTGCAGTGAGCCGAGATCGCACCACTGCACTCCAGCCTGGGTGACAGAGAGAGACTCTGTCTCAAAAAACAACAAAACAAAAAAACAAACCAAAACAAAACAAAACGAGGATGCAATTGACGCTTGTCAAGACCTTTTATCTCCAGTAATGGATATTCCAGTGCTTGTTAGGACTTGGAGTTTCCTCGACAGATATCTACCCGCCCTCATCTCCAGTTCCCATCGCCTGGTGCACAACATGGATGGATGGACTCACGGTGAAGGTGAAGCGCCGCCCTCGGGGGGCTCCCGGCCCATCTGGTCTAATATTGTAGCTGGGGAGCAGGACGCTGCCTAGGACACTCTCCTCGCGGCTGTCTGCAAAGAGGGGCTGGGGTCAAGGATCACACAGGGATCAGAAGGCCAAGATGCTAGAGAGAAGGGCAGACTGGGCGGGGGGGCCCTCCCACCCCAAGCCAGCCAGCCAGCCACTGACCCTTGTAATAAAAGAGGCAATGGCCGGAGAGGACGAACCAGCGGCGTTTCCAGAGACGGAGCCCCGAGCTGTCCTGGGGAGAGAGATGGGAGGAGGGGCCTGAGTAAAGGGAAACAGAAAAAGGGGATGAAGGCAGTGACGATGGGGACAGAGAGCCAGAGAGAGAAAGAAACTTGGAGAGAGGAGAACAGAGACATAAAGTAGGGATCAAGAGAGTGGGGTGAGGCCGAGCACAATGGCTCACGCCTGTAATCCCAGCACTTAGAGAGGCCAAGGCAGGTGGATCACTCAATTCCAGGAGTTTGAGACCAGCTTGGGTAACATGGCGAAACCCCATCTCTACTACTAAAAAAAAAAATTAGCCAGGTGTGGTGGCGCGTGCCTGTAGCCCCAGCTACTCCGGAGGCTGAGGAGGGAGGATCACTTGAGCCTGGGAGTGGGGTGGAGGCACAGGAGAAAGACCCAGAGAGACAGAAGAGACAGAGACACATGTTTGGGGCAATGGAGTGGATAAGAAGGAGAGCTGGAAGCCCTCTGAACATGATAGAATAGAATAGTAGCCCTACTTCTTTTCTTTTCTCTCTCTTTTTTTTTTTTTTTTGACAGAGTCTTGCTCTGTAGCTTAAGCTGGAGAGCAGTGGCATGATCTCGGCTCACGGCAACCTCTGCCTCCCAGGTTCAAATGATTCTCCTGCCTCAGCCTCCCGAGTAACTGGGATTACAGGCACGCACCACCACACCCAGCTAATTTTTGTATTTTTAGTAGAGACAGGGTTTCACTATGTTGGCCAGGCTGGTCTTGAACTCCTGACCTCAAATGATCTACCCACCTCGGCCTCCCAAAGTGCTGGGGTTACAGGCGTGAGCCACTGCGTCTGGCCTCCCCCACTTTCTTTTTTTGTTTTTTGAGATGGACTCTCGCTCTGTTGCCCAGGCTGGAGTGCAGTGGCACGATCTCAGCTCACTGCAAGCTCCGCCTCCCGGGTTCACGCCATTCTCCTGCCCCAGCCTCCCGAGTAGCTGGGACTACAGGCCCCCCGCCACCACACCCGGCTAATTTTGTTTTTGTATTTTTAGTAGAGACGGGGTTTCACCGTGTTAGCCAGGATGGTCTCGATCTCCTGACCTTGTGATCTGCCTGCCTCGGCCTCCCAAAGTGCTGGGATTACAGGCGTGAGCCACCGCACCCAGCCCCCACTTTCAAACTATGCTCTGGAACAAGTCATTTCCGCCTAGAATCCACCTTCATGTTTTCTCGTCTATCCGCTGGAGATTGAGAAGTTTTAGGGAGGTTTGGATGAGACATGGACCACATATGGGCAGACTTTAGCTGCAGAGACTTAGTCCAATTATTCTGGAGCCTGAGACACAGAGAGGCCAGGAAGGTGGCAATGAGCCATGACCCAAATGCAGCGTCTCCACCTGCCTGAACTACTCATCGCCTCTGCCTGAACTACTCCACTAACTATCTCCAACCTCGTGTGCCTCTTCTCCTCAACCCATTCCCATAGAAGCCCACATGATCTTTTAAAATTATAAGTTAGATCACGTGAGTCCCCTTTTCAAAACAGAGAATTAAGAACACTTGAAATTCAGTCTCAAATTCCTTACCATCACTTACTGTTTTTTGTTTGTTTGTTTTGTTTTGTTTTGAGATGGAGTCTCGCTCTGTCACCCAGGCTGGAGTGCAGTGGCACAATCTCGGCTGACTGCAATCTCTGCCTCCCGGGTTCAAGCGATTCTCCTGGCTCAGCCTCCTGAGTAGCTGGGACTACAGGTGCCTGCCACCATGCAGGCTAATTTAGGTTTTTTGTTTTTTTTTTTTTTTGAGACGGAGTCTTCGCTCTGTCACCCAGGCTGGAGTGCAGTGGCATGATCTTGGCTCGCTGCAAGCTCCACCTCCTGGGTTCACGCCATTCTCCTACCTCAGCCTCCCAAGTAGCTGGGACTGCAGGCGACCACCACCACGCCCGGCTAATTTTTTTTTTTTTGTATTTTTTAGTAGAGATGGGGGTTCACCGTGTTAGCCAGGATGGTCTCGATCTCCTGACCTCATGATCCGCCCACCTTGGCCTCCCAAAGTGCTGAGATTACAGGAGTGAGCCACCACGCCCAGCCTAATTTTTGTATTTTTAGTAGAGATGGGGTTTCACCATATTGGCCAGGCTTGTCTCGAACTCTTGACCTTGTGATCCACCTGCCTCGACCTCCCGAAGTGCTGGGATTACAGGCGTCAGCCATCGTGCCCAGCCCATGTACTGCTTTGCAGAGAGTTTTGAGTTTGAAGGTGCATAAGAATCACCAGGAAGGTGTGTTAAAACACAGATTCTGGGGCCCCATCCCCAGAGTTCCTGATTTGGCAAATCTATGATGGTACCTCATCATTTGCCTTTCTAGCAAGTCCCCAGATGACGCTGATGCTGCTGGTCTGGGACCACACTTTGAGAACCACTGCTCTGCTGCTCCTCCTGGCTTCTTCCCCTGGCCTCACTTGACACCAAGGTTTTGCCTGCTGCAGACCTTTTCCTTTTGGATGCGATCTGCCTCCAGGTCTTTTTTTTTTTTTTGACATGGAGTCTCACTCCATCATCCAGGCTGGAGTGCAATGGCGCAACCTCGGCTCACTGCAACCTCCACCTCCCAGATTCAAATTTTCCTTGTCTCAGCCTCCCAAGTAGTTGGGATTACAGGCACCCCCAAGCTGGCCCGGCTAATTTTTGTATTTTTTAGTAGAGCCAGGGTTTCGCCATGTTGACCAGGCTGGTCTTGAACTCCTGACCTCAGGTGATCCGCCCGCCTCAGCCTCCCAAAGCGTTTGAATTACCGGCATGACCCACTATGCTCAGCCAGCTCAAATGTCACCTCAGAGATAATTTTCCCTGACCAAATGTCAAATTGAAGTTCTCCTCTCTCAGCCACGTTCAAGCACATCATATTCCGTTTTTTTGTTTTTGTTTTTGAGACAGGGTCTCACTCTGTCACCCAGGCTGGTGTGCAGTGACATGAACACAGTTCACTGCAGCCTCAGCCTCCTGGGCTTCAGCAATCCTCCTGCCTTAGCCTCCCGAGTAGCTGGGACTATAGGCGCACACCACCACGCTCAGCTAGGTTTTGTGTGTGTGTGTATTTGTTGTTGAGATGAGGTTTCTTCATGTTGCCCAGGCTGGTCTAGAATTCCTAAGCTCAAGCGATCTTCCCGTCTTGGCCTCCCAAAATGCTGGGGTTACACCACTGAACCTGGACCCTATGTTACTTCTTCATAGCCCATCCTGCGATCTGAAATGACCAAGTCCATTTATTTATTTACTAATTTATTATCCACCCATGCTCCACCCAATCTGGAATGTAATATAAATACTTTTGTGTTATTTGCATGGTGTGTGCCCTGGGATTGGGAACACTGTAAGTGTTCAAGAAGTAGTCAAGAAAGAATGAATGAATGGGCCAGGCACGGTGGCTCACGCCTGTAATCCCAGCATTTTAGGGAGCCGAGGCGGGTGGATCACTTGAGGTCGGGAGTTTCAGACCGCCCTGGCCAACATGATAAAACCCCATCTCTACTAAAAATACAAATATTAGCTAGGCATGATGGTGCATGCCTGTAAGCCCAGCTACTCGGGAGGCTGAGGCACGAGAATTGCTTGAACTGGAGGCCAGAGGTTGCATTGAGCCGAGATCATACCACTGCCCTCCAGCCTGGGCGACAGAAAGAGACTCTGTCTTAAAAATAAATAAATAAACAAACAAACAAACAATGACGGACTAAGGGGAGGGGCAGTGATAGCAAGAAAAAGAAAGCCTATTTGGGGACTTGCAAGGAGAGAGACAGAGGACAGCCGGGGCACAGACTTCAGTGTCCTTTTCCTTCTCCTACTGACCCCACCTGCTTATGAAGCCAGCCTCGGATGTGCACGGGAAGGTTGGGATCCCTCCTGAGCGCATTGCCTCTCTTCCCAAAGGCGTGGATCTTGTTTACTGCCCGGGTGGGCTTCTGAGGAGAGAAGGGGACAGAAGTGAACAGGGAGAGCCTAGGATGGTCCTGGGAGGGGGTGAGGGTGGACACAGGCAACCGTAGGCTCTCGCTTGGCTGCCCTGAGAAATGGGTCAAGGACCAGCCGGGCGCAGTGGCTCACACCTGTAATCCCAGCACTTTCGGAGGCTGAGACGGGTGGATCACGAGGTCAGGAGATCGAGACCATCCTGGCTAACACGGTGAAACCCCGTCTCTACTAAAAATACAAAAAATTAGCCGGGCGTGGTGGCGGGCGCCTGTAGTCCCAGCTACTCGGGAGGCTGAGGCAGGAGAATGGCGAGAACCCGGGAGGAGGAGCTTGCAGTGAGCCGAGATCGCACCACTGCACTCCAGCCCGGGAGACAGAGTGAGACTCCGTCTCAAAGAAAAAAAAAAAAAGAAAGAAAGAAAAGGGTCAAGGTGGGGGCTGAAGTTGGAGATCAGAATTGGGAGGTGTTCTTATTGCAGAGTTAAGAGACTCTTTTTTTTTTGACAGGCTCTTTGGAGTGCAGTAGCCTAAACACTGCAGCCTTTACCTCCTGGACTCAGGTGATCCTCCAGCCTCAGCCTCCCATGTAGCTGGGACCACAGGCATGTCCCACCATGCCCAGCTAATTTTTTTACTTTTTGTAGGGGACGGGGGTCTCACTTTGTTGCCCAGGCTGGGAGAGACTCTTTTTTTCTTTTTCTTTTGAGACAGAGTCTCGCTCTGTCCCCCAGGCTGGAGCACACTGGCACCATCTTGGCTCACTGCAACCCCTGCCTCTCGGGTTCAAGTGATTCTCCTGCCTCAGCCTCCTGAGTAGCTGAGATTGCAGGCACGTGCCACCACGCCTGGCTAATTTTTGTATTTTTAGCAGAGACGCGGTTTCGCCATGTCAGTCAGGCTGCTCTTGAACTCCTGACCTCAGGTGATCCACCCGCCTCAGCCTCTTAAAGTGCTGGGATTATAGGCGTGAGCCACTGCGCCGGGCCGAGACTCTTTTTTTGATGGGCAGAGGGAGGTGTTCAGAGGCAAGGAAGAGGCTGTAGGGAAGCAATTTGGGGATCAAGCATCCACTGCCAAGAAGCAGATGCCCTTGGCCACCAGAGCCAGAGCTGTAGTAGGTCCTTTGGGATCTGAACTGGGACTATGGGCTGGGAGGGCCCCATAATCAGGGGGAACTCTCACGCTGAGTCTCCAGTGAATCAAAGGATGCCCTGGTGCCCTGCGGTCACACCCCTTAGCAACCAAGTACAAGGAGAGGAAGCCTCAAATCCCTCCATCCTGCCCGGATGGAGCCTCATCTCCTGATGCCCACAGATATCTCAGGCATCCTTAGCCAGGTCCCGACAATATGCCCTTCCTTGGAAGCGGTGGTACTGACCAAGGCTGAGATCAGATCTCTGGGCTCTGAACTTGAGAAACAATATGTGTGGAACGGCAGGAGGAAA
The DNA here is from genome assembly GCF_000001405.40 of Homo sapiens. Lineage (NCBI taxonomy): Eukaryota > Metazoa > Chordata > Mammalia > Primates > Hominidae > Homo > Homo sapiens. Next base: position 48,867,066 of record NC_000019.10, read on the forward strand.
AAGAAATGAGTGTCTCCCTAAGCTTTTGGCTGGGATGCCGATTTGGGATGCAAGTATCTGGAGGCCCCTTGGGTCTTATTGTCAGAGAAGGGTCTCTCCTTATAGGATTTCATTAGTGGGTAGATTGGATGGCGAGAGATAGGACAGCAAGTTCTGGCACTAATCAAGAGCAGCCACTACTTCTCAGAACTCGAGGGGCCTCATGGCTGGGGAGCGGCTTTATCTTAGCAACCAGGGTCAAGGGAGGTTGTTACTCTGGTTTAGAATTAGGAAAATACAAAGGGTGGGGACAGAGCTGGGAGTGCCTCTGAATTCCTAGCTGCGGTGTGTAGGCAATTTGGGACCTTACTATGTCTGGCAGACCCCGTTGCTAAGGATCTTTGTCCTTAACAACCAGAGTCCTTGGGGAAACAGAAGGATGGGCGGCCCAGAGCCCCACCTTCCTCCCCATCCCCGCCAGGAAGCTCAAACCTTGGGGCTCAGGCTGCTGAGCGAGGAGATGGTGGAGGCGCTGCTGGCCAGGCTCAGGCTGCTGCGAGGTCGGCTCCCCTCCATCAAGGGCTGGGGGAGAGAAAGAAAGGGGCTGTGTCTCTGCAGTGACGGGTGTGAGACAGAGATGGGGTCAGGGGCTTGGAGGTCGGAGGAGGCTGCAGAGAAAGAGCCTGTTGTTTCGGGACTTGGGGGGCTGGGGGAGGCCATGGCCCGTGACCACATACCAAGAGTGGTGCCAAGAGAGGTAGGCGGCCCTGGCAGCTGCGGGAGGGGGCAGCTGTCTGCAGCCCAGGCCAGAGAATAGGGGCTTCTTTATTCCTGCCCACTGCACTCAGGCCAGGAATTTGACCCTCTCTGTGCTTAGGGACTCCCCATTCCCTGCCTCCTTCCGGCTGCCCCAGGCTACCTGTCTCCCGCCCTCCCACATGCACCCCCAAACCACCCCTGCCAACTCCCCAAGCCAAGCCCTGCGGCACCAGGAATGTGAACCCAGAGAGCCCCTCCCAGCCCAGCCAGGGAACTTACCCAGCTCTGGGGTCCCAGTGACGGGGGGGCAAGAGGACGGTGTGGGTGCTGCGGCACCTAGGCAGTCTCCCGCCTCCTTTGTCTCTTAGCTGCTGTCTCTCATAGTTCTCAATCTCTCTCCTCACCTGCTCACTCACACTTTTTGTCTCTTTGTCTCCTGTCTCTTACGGTCTCTCTCTCTCTCTCTTCCTTTTACACTACCTCTCTCCCCACTCTCACTTTCTGTGTCTCCCTCTGATCTCTGTCTCTTCCAGTCTCTCTCTCACTCATTCTCTCCCTCTCTCTCTCTCTCCAATCTTTCTGTTTCTGTCCAAATCTTTTATTGTCAGACTCACAGGGTCTCTTCCTTAAGTCTCTGTCTCATTCTCTCTCTCTCTCTCTCTCTGTCTCTCAGTCATCCCCTGTGTCCTCTCTCCTTCACACTCAGTCTCTTCCTCTTTCTCTCTGGCTCTGCCGTTTCCTCCCTTTTCTCTTTCCGATTTCCCTTCTCACTTTCTCCCTTCCTCCCTCTCCCAGTTTCTCTTTCCTCTCTGCTGGTCTTTCCCTGCCTCTGCCAGCCGCCCACGCTGCTGTTCTCCCCTCCCAATCCCGGCTGTCCCCGCCCCTTCTGGCCTCCCCACTACAGCCTGACCTCTGGCTCAGCTGCCCCCATAGCTGAAGGGAGGGGCTTGGGCCCCCCAATTCCCAGGTCCCCTAAGGACCAAGGTTGGGACTTCTCAGTGTTTGGAGAGTTGGACTTGAGGCCTGCACTCCAGGGCCCCCGTGGGTTTGCTGCTGTGGTTGGGGGCCTGAGCCACTGGTGTCCTAAACGGAGGAGGCTTGTGTCCTGCAAGGGGTGGGGACTCAAATTTCCAAAGCCCTGGAGGGAATGGGTTAGGGATCCAGACTCCTGGGTGCCCGAGAAGGTCTGAGCTAGGATCAGGACTCCTGAGTCGTGAAAGAGCTGGGGGTCTGGAAACATGGCTGTGCTTGGAAGGGGCCAGGGACGGTTTGTCCAGGTCCCCTAGGGAGAAAAGGGGATGGTCCCAGTAGGGCAGGGTGAAATGGAGAGTTCCAAACCTCCACCTCAGATCCAGGTGAGAATTCTCTTCTAGACTGAGGACAACTCCCTCAGGAGAGAGACATGATTCCTTGGTATATTTTGAGGAACAAGATTATGCATCCGTAGGCAGGGGAGGAGAGCGGGGGGCTGGAACTGTCACCCAGGGCCTGGAACTTGTAGCAGAAGCGCCCCCACCCGCACAAAGAGTGCCACCCAGGCAGAATCGCGGCTTGTGGGGGCAGAGCTACTGCCTAAGTCTGAAGCAGATGACACCCAGGAGTGGAGCCTTGTGCCTGTGACCGGGAAGGAATCTGAGCTTTCGGTTTAACTGCCATTCACCATGCACCTGTTGAGCACCTACTGTGTGCAGGCACTGTCTGTTGCAGCCACTGAGAAGAAAGCAGTGAGCCCTGGCTGGGTGCAATGGCTCACGCCTGTAATCCCAGCACTTTGGGAGGCCAAGGCAGGAGGATCGCTTGAGACCAGGAGTTCAACACCAGCCTGGGCATCATAGCGAGACCTTGTCTCTATTTAGAAAATGAATTTCTTTTTTTTTTTTTTTTGAGGCGGTGTTTTGCTCTGTCGCCAGGCTGGAGTGCAGTGGCGTGATCTCGGCTCACTGCAACCTCCGCCTCCCGGGTTCAAGCGATTCTCCTGACTCAGCCTCCTGAGTAGCTGGAACTACAGGCACATGCCACTGCACCCGGCCTAAATTAATTATTATTATTATTTTTTTGAGACGGAGTCTCGCTCTGTCGCCCAGGCTGGAGTACAGTGGCACGATCTCAGCTCACTGCAAGCTCTGCCTCCCAGGTTCACGCCATTCTCCTGCCTCAGCCTCCCGAGTAGCTGGGACTACAGGTGCCCACCACCACGCCCGGCTAATTTATTTTGTATTTTTAGTGGAGGCGGGGTTTCACCGTGTTAGCCAGGATGGTCTTGATCTCCTGACCTCATGATCCACCTGCCTCAGCGTCCCAAAGTGCTAGGATTACAGGCGTGAGCCACCGCGCTCAGCCTAATTACTTTTTTTTGAAAAGCATTGAGCCCAGCAAAGTGCCTGATCTCATAGTGCTTACATCCTCATTCTCATTTGCAAGGAATCTGGACCCTGCTGTGACTATCTTGGTCAAGTGGCTTCATTTCCAAGCCTGTTTCCCCATCTGTGAAATGGGAACAATGACACCCTCGCACTCGGGGAGGAAACCAACCACATGTGAAAATAGGAGACTCTAGCCAGGCGTGGTGGCAAGCTCCTGTACTCCCAACTACTCAGGAGGCTGAGGCAGGAGAATTGCTTGAACCCGGGAGGCGGAGGTTGCAGTGAGCCAAGATCATGCCATTGCACTCCAGCCTGGGTGACAGAGTGAGACACCGTCTCAAAAAAAAAAAAAAAAAAAGAAAGAAAAAGAAAAAAGAAAGAAAAGAAAAAAAAAAGAAAATGGGAGACTCTAGGCTGGGGCCTGTGGGCTAAATTGGGGTAGGAGGCCAGGCACAGTGGATCACAACTGTAATTCCAGCACTTTGGGAAGCCAAGGCGGGCAGATCACCTGAGGTCAGGAGTTCAAGACCAGCCTGGTCGGCCGGGTGCGGTGGCTCACACCTGTAATCCCAGCACTTTGGGAGGCCGAGGCGGGTGGATCACAAGGTCAGGAGATCGAGACCATCCTGGTTAACACGGTGAAAAACCCCGTCTCTACTAAGAATACAAAAAAAATTAGCCGGGCGTGGTGGTGGGCACCTGTAGTCCCAGCTACTAGGGAGGCTGAGGCAGGAGAATGGCGAGAACCAGGGAGGAGGAGCTTGCAGTGAGCCAAGATCGTGCCACTGCACTCCAGCCTGGGCGACAGAGCAAGACTCCGTCTCAAAAAAAAAAAAAAAAAAAAAGACCTGCCTGGTCAACATGGCGAAACACTGTCTCTACTAAAAATACAAAAATTACCCAGGCATTGTGGCACATGCCTGTAATCCCAGCTACTCCAGAGGCTCAGGCAGGAGAATCGCTGGAACCCAGGAGGTGGAGGTTGCAGTGAACCGAGATGGCGCCACTGAACTCCAGCCTGGGCGACAGAGTGAGACGCCTACTCAAAAAATAAATAGGCTGGGTGCAGTAGCTCACGCCTATAATCCTAACACTTTGGGAAGCCGAGGCAGGCAGACTGCCTGAGCTCAGGAGTTCGAGAACAGCCTGGGCAACATGGCGAAACACTGTCTCTACTAAAAATACAAAAAATTAGCTGAGTGTGGTAGTGCGTGCCTGTAATCCCAGCTACTCGGAGGCTGAAGAGGGAGAATCGCTTGAACCCGGAAGATGGAGGTTGCAGTGAGCCGAGATCACGCCATTGCACTCCAGCCTCGGTGACAGAGCGAGACTCCATCTCAAAAAAAAATAAAAAAATAAAAAATAACAAATAAATAAATAGGCCTGGAGTGGTGGCTCACGCCTGCAATCCCAGCACTTTGGGAGGCCAAGGCAGGCAGAACACCTGAGGTCAGGAGTTCGAGACCAGCCTAGCAAACATGGTGAAATCCCGTCTCAGAAAAATAAATAATGAATAAATAAATAAATAAATAGGCCGGGCGCGGTGACTCACGCCTGTAATCCCAGCACTTTGGGAGGCCAAGGCGGGAGGATCCCCTGACGTCGGGAGTTCCAGACCAGCCTGACCAACATGGAGAAACTACGTCTCTACTAAACAAATACAAAATTAGCCGGGCGTGGCGGCACATGCCTGCAATCCCAGCACTTTGGGAGGCCAAGGCGGGAGGATCCCCTGACGTCGGGAGTTCCAGACCAGCCTGACCAACATGGAGAAACTACGTCTCTACTAAACAAATACAAAATTAGCCGGGCGTGGCGGCACATGCCTGCAATCCCAGATACTCGGGATGCTGAGGCAGGAGAATCGCTTGAACCCCGAAGGCGGAGGTTGCGGTGAGCCGAGATCGCCCCTTTGCATTCCAGCCTGAGCAACAAGAGCAAAACTCCGCCTCAAAATAACTAACTAAATAAATAAATAAATTGGGGTGGGAAGGCATTGACCCTGAGCTGAGAGAGAACTGGCTCGCTGTTGAAGCAGGGCCACGCATTTGATTGACAGTTCGTTTGTTGGAGGGGCGTGGTCACGCTCGGAAACTCCGCCGTGACGTTGCAAAAGCTGGAATCTCCGCGAGAAGTCCTGTCTTACTTCCACTTCCCACCCTTCGGGTTGCGGTCTCGAAACCCCGCCTCTCTTCGTGACGTCAGCACGCCGGGCGCGGTAGGCTATAAAAGCCTAGTGGCCATTGTGTTCGTTGCTCTTATCGGTTCCCATCCCAGTTGTTGATCTTATGCAAGACGCTGCACGACCCCGCGCCCGCTTGTCGCCACGGCACTTGAGGCAGCCGGAGATACTCTGAGTTACTCGGAGCCCGACGCCTGAGGGTGAGATGAACGCGCTGGCCTCCCTAACCGTCCGGACCTGTGATCGCTTCTGGCAGACCGAACCGGCGCTCCTGCCCCCGGGGTGACGCGCAGCTCCCAGCCGGTGAGTAAGGGGTCGGAACGCCTGGGTCCCCACGGGGCTGGGGGCCCGGATTTAGAAAGGAGAAGGGGTTGGGAGCCTGGAGTCCTGAGCCTGAGGGAGGAGGGATCTGGAAGCCAGATTCTTGGGTCCCCCGTGAAGGAATCATCTGCCAAGTAGGGGGTCGGGTCAGAATGTTTCAGTCTGCGAGGGAGGAGGGTGTGAGGGTTTGATTTGTCAATCTTCAGCAGAATGAGAGAGCTAGGGACTATGACTTTGTCGCCAAGGGAAGCAAGTAAAGACTTTTGTTCTTGGTTCTTGGGACTGGGAGTTCTGCGTCTGAAGAAAGAGAGGGCTGGGGGCTTGGACCCTTGGATCTAAGGCAGAACTAGGGGCTCAGACTCCTGGCTATTGAGAGATAAGAACAGAGCCAAGGGACAGAGATGGGCGTGGCCGAGATCAGAAAGGAATTTGGGACTCTCGCGTTGCTATTTACAATAGTTGTGTTACTATTTCCGTTGCTATGACTCATAGTCACGCCCGGATGCCATCCTCTAAATGGCCCCTAAACTTTATTTTTTTCTCCCCCTTTTCCAGCCCAGACACATGGCCCCAGGCCAAGCACCCCATCAGGCTACCCCGTGGAGGGATGCCCACCCTTTCTTCCTCCTGTCCCCAGTGATGGGCCTCCTCAGCCGCGCCTGGAGCCGCCTGAGGGGCCTGGGACCTCTAGAGCCCTGGCTGGTGGAAGCAGTAAAAGGAGCAGCTCTGGTAGAAGCTGGCCTGGAGGGAGAAGCTAGGACTCCTCTGGCAATCCCCCATACCCCTTGGGGCAGACGCCCTGAAGAGGAGGCTGAAGACAGTGGAGGCCCTGGAGAGGACAGAGAAACACTGGGGCTGAAAACCAGCAGTTCCCTTCCTGAAGCCTGGGGACTTTTGGATGATGATGATGGCATGTATGGTGAGCGAGAGGCAACCAGTGTCCCTAGAGGGCAGGGAAGTCAATTTGCAGATGGCCAGCGTGCTCCCCTGTCTCCCAGCCTTCTGATAAGGACACTGCAAGGTTCTGATAAGAACCCAGGGGAGGAGAAAGCCGAGGAAGAGGGAGTTGCTGAAGAGGAGGGAGTTAACAAGTTCTCTTATCCACCATCACACCGGGAGTGTTGTCCAGCCGTGGAGGAGGAGGACGATGAAGAAGCTGTAAAGAAAGAAGCTCACAGAACCTCTACTTCTGCCTTGTCTCCAGGATCCAAGCCCAGCACTTGGGTGTCTTGCCCAGGGGAGGAAGAGAATCAAGCCACGGAGGATAAAAGAACAGAAAGAAGTAAAGGAGCCAGGAAGACCTCCGTGTCCCCCCGATCTTCAGGCTCCGACCCCAGGTCCTGGGAGTATCGTTCAGGAGAGGCGTCCGAGGAGAAGGAGGAAAAGGCACACAAAGAAACTGGGAAAGGAGAAGCTGCCCCAGGGCCGCAATCCTCAGCCCCAGCCCAGAGGCCCCAGCTCAAGTCCTGGTGGTGCCAACCCAGTGATGAAGAGGAGGGTGAGGTCAAGGCTTTGGGGGCAGCTGAGAAGGATGGAGAAGCTGAGTGTCCTCCCTGCATCCCCCCACCAAGTGCCTTCCTGAAGGCCTGGGTGTATTGGCCAGGAGAGGACACAGAGGAAGAGGAAGATGAGGAAGAAGATGAGGACAGTGACTCTGGATCAGATGAGGAAGAGGGAGAAGCTGAGGCTTCCTCTTCCACTCCTGCTACAGGTGTCTTCTTGAAGTCCTGGGTCTATCAGCCAGGAGAGGACACAGAGGAGGAGGAAGATGAGGACAGTGATACAGGATCAGCCGAGGATGAAAGAGAAGCTGAGACTTCTGCTTCCACACCCCCTGCAAGTGCTTTCTTGAAGGCCTGGGTGTATCGGCCAGGAGAGGACACGGAGGAGGAGGAAGATGAGGATGTGGATAGTGAGGATAAGGAAGATGATTCAGAAGCAGCCTTGGGAGAAGCTGAGTCAGACCCACATCCCTCCCACCCGGACCAGAGGGCCCACTTCAGGGGCTGGGGATATCGACCTGGAAAAGAGACAGAGGAAGAGGAAGCTGCTGAGGACTGGGGAGAAGCTGAGCCCTGCCCCTTCCGAGTGGCCATCTATGTACCTGGAGAGAAGCCACCGCCTCCCTGGGCTCCTCCTAGGCTGCCCCTCCGACTGCAAAGGCGGCTCAAGCGCCCAGAAACCCCTACTCATGATCCGGACCCTGAGACTCCCCTAAAGGCCAGAAAGGTAGGTGCTGAGAGCCCAGATTCTATTTTTTTTTTTTTTTTAATTGAGTTGGAGTCTTGGGCTGTCACCCAGGCTGGAGTGCAGCGGCATGATCTTGGCTCACTGCCAACCTCTGCCGCCCAAGTTCAGGCGATTCTCGTGCCTCAGCCTCCAGAGTATCTGGGATTACAGGCGCATGACACCACACCCAGCTAATTTTTTTTGTATTTTTAGTAGAGACGGGGGTTTTGCCATGTTGGCCAGGCTGGTCTCAAACTCCTGACATCACGTGATCCACCCATCTCAGCCTCCCAAAGTGCTGGGATTACAGGCGTGAGCTACCACATCTGGCTGAGAGCCCAGATTCTTGAGTCTTAGAAAGAAAGGGGGCTGGGGGCCGAGACTTCTGGGTCCCTGTATGTTGCAGAGGGTTGCATGTCATCTCCATGGAGAAGGCTGTGTACGCTGTCACGCAATCCCTTGTAAGAGGCCAGGCCCCTGGGGGAGGAGGGAGCAGCTGTGGCTCACAGCAGCCCCAGGAAACCACCTCTTCCTTCAGTGAGTCAGATAGATAGAGAATCCCGTGACAGTGACAGGCAAGTGACTAGCCAGATAGAAAGCATTTTTGTGTAATAACTAATTTTTGTTTGCTTCTCTCTCTCTCTTCCCCGCCCTCCCCATCCGGATTCCCGTGGCTGTGTGCATCTCCTGCCTGTGTCCCCATGTCTGCCCGCAGGTGCGCTTCTCCGAGAAGGTCACTGTCCATTTCCTGGCTGTCTGGGCAGGGCCGGCCCAGGCCGCCCGCCAGGGCCCCTGGGAGCAGCTTGCTCGGGATCGCAGCCGCTTCGCACGCCGCATCACCCAGGCCCAGGAGGAGCTGAGCCCCTGCCTCACCCCTGCTGCCCGGGCCAGAGCCTGGGCACGCCTCAGGAACCCACCTTTAGCCCCCATCCCTGCCCTCACCCAGACCTTGCCTTCCTCCTCTGTCCCTTCGTCCCCAGTCCAGACCACGCCCTTGAGCCAAGCTGTGGCCACACCTTCCCGCTCGTCTGCTGCTGCAGCGGCTGCCCTGGACCTCAGTGGGAGGCGTGGCTGAGACCAACTGGTTTGCCTATAATTTATTAACTATTTATTTTTTCTAAGTGTGGGTTTATATAAGGAATAAAGCCTTTTGATTTGTAGCGAGCAGCGTCTGTATGTGTCAGAAACTGACAGCATTCTACTTACAGGTCCCTGAGGGAGCTGGGAAGAGAATAGCATAAAACAAAGCACTTCAATGGCGGATAAACCGCTTTTCCTCAAATTTGCTACCACTCATCCTGAGGCTTCTTTTGAACCTAACAGTGCAGGGACCAGCCCCACAGGGTCGGTGGGCTTCTCCCTGTGTGCGGCGACGAGAGAGTGTAGAAATAAAGATACAAGACAAAGAGATAAAAGAAAAGACAGCTGGGCCCGGGGGATTACTACCACCAATGCGCGGAGACCAGTAGTGGCCCCGAATGTCTGGCTGCGCTGATATTTACTGGATACAAAGCAAAAGGGGCAGGGTAAGGAGTGTGAGTCATCTCCAATGATTGATAAGGTCACACGAGTCACGTTTCCACCGGACAGGGGGCCCCTCCCTGTTTGGCAGCCCAGGTGGAGAGAGAGAGGAGACAGCTTATGCCATTATTTCTGCATTTCAGAGACTTTTAGTACTTTTACTGATTTTGCTACTGCTATCTAGAGGGCAGAGCCAGGTGCACAGAGTGGAACAGGAAAGTGAAACAGGAGCGTGACCGCTGAAGCACAGCATCACAGGGAGCCGGTTAGGCCTCCGGATAACTGTGGGCCAGCTTGACTAATGTCAGGCCCTCCACAAGAGGTAGAGGAGCAGAGTCTTCTCTAAACTCCCGCAGGGAAAGGGAGACTCCCTTTCCTGGTCCGCTAAGTAGCGGGTGTTTTTCCTTGACACTGAGGCTACCGCTAGACCATGGTCCACTTGGCAACGGGCGTCTTCCCAGATGCTGGCGTTACCGCTAGACCAAGGAGCCCTTCTGCTGGCCCTGTCCGGGCATAACAGAAGCCTCGCACTCTTGTCTTGTGGTCACTTCTCACTATGTCTCCTCAGCTCCTATCTCTGTATGGCCTGGTTTTTCCTAGGTTATGATTATAGAGCGAGGATTATTATAATATTGGGATAAAGAGTAATTGCTACAAACTAATGATTAATGATATTCATATATAATCATATCTAAGATCTATATCTGGTATAATTATTCTTGTTTTATATTTTATTATACTGGAACAGCTCATGTCCTCGGTCTCTTGCCTCGGCACCTGGGTGTCTTGCCGCCCACATAACAGCTGGTGGGTTTTATAGTTTTTTTTGTTGCTTTTTTTGAGACTGAGTCTCGCTCTGTTGCCCAGGCTGAAGTGCAGTGGTGCAATCTCAGCTCACCACAACCTCTGCCTCCCAGGTTCAAGTGATTCTCCTGCTTCAGCCTCCCGAGTAGCTGGGACTAGAGGTGTGCGCCACCACGCCTGGCTAATTTTTGTATTTTTAGTAGAGACAGGGTTTCACTATGTTGGCCAGGCTGGTCTCAAACTCCTGACCTTGTGATCCACCTGCCTTGGCCTCCCAAAATGCTGAGATAACAGGCGTGAGCCAATGCACCCGGCCTATGTATTTTTGTTTGTTTGTTTGAGATGGAGTCTCGCTGTGTCACCCAGGCTGGAATGCGGTGGCACGATCTCTGCTTACTGCAACCTCCGCCTCCTGGGTTCAAGCGATTCTCCTGTCTTAGTCTCCTGAGTAGCTGGGATTACAGGCACACTCCACCATGCCTGGCTAATTTTTGTATTTTTAGTAGAGACGGGGTTTCACTACGTTGATCAGGCTGGTCTCGAACTCCTGACCTCATGATCCACCCGCCTTGGCCTCCCAAAGTGCTGGGATTACAGGCGTGAGCCACCGCACCCAGACCCGGCCTGTAGTTTTTCTTTGACATCTGCCTAAATTGTATTAAACTTGGGACAATTATCACCACCCCCCCAAGGGAGCTGGAGAATTGAGTCACGGATCCCTAAAAGGAGGCAGAATTGTCTGTGCCTTGCTGGACCATTAAGGCTCAATCTCTACAGGCCTTTACATTCTCCTCCGTTGCTTTGATACCAGTGGGTATCGAGGTCCCCAAGCCCGGGTGGGACCTCCCCCTCAGCCAGTGTTCAGGCTCTTGACACAGTCATGAAAATGAATTCAAGGACGAGTTGGAAAAGAGTGAAAATACAGGATTTATTGCAAAGGGGAAAGTCCACACTCATGAAAGGGGACTCGAGAGAATCACGTGCAAGGGGGGTTGAGGCTGCTACCGTTATGGGTTTTTTGTTTGTTTGTTTGTTTTTTAAAGATGGAGTCTTGTTCTGTCCAGCCCAGGCTGGAGTGTAGTGACACGATCTCAGCTCACTGCAACCTCCACCTCCTGGGTTCAAACAATTCTCCTACCTTAGCTTCCCAAGCAGCTGGGACTGCAGGCGCCACCACACCTGGCTAATTTTTTGTATTTTTAGTAGAGACAGGGTTTCTCCATGTTGGCCAGGCTGGTCTCAAAGTCCTGACCTCAAGTGATCCACCTGCCTCAGCCTCTCAAAGTGCTGGGATTACAGACGTGAGCCACCACGCTGGCCCTTTTTGGATTTTTTTAACCAAGGGGTAAAATACTCATGAGCATTCCTGGAAAAAGATGGAGATTTCTCAGAACTGTGGTGCCACCCATCTTTACACCAAATATGGGTGTTCCTGGGACCGTCATGATGCTGGTGGGTGTGTGACTGTGTTGATGAACATATAATGAGGTCCTACGTGAAACCGAGGTCAGACCCAGTGCCATATTGGGTCTAGTCGGACTTAGCCTACTTGGCCCACGCCCTGGTTTTTCAGGATCTTATCAGCCCATAGCTTCTGTAGCTATTTCAAGTTTCCTGTTGCTGGTCTGGTCTTGTGAAACTGCTGCCTGGAATTTTCTAATCTCCTGCAACCACCCTGTATGATTGCTGTTGCAGCCTGATTTTACATTTATAAGCCCTGTGTCCATAGGCCTAGTTTCCTTATCTGTAAGCTGACTAACAATTGTACATATCTTATGGGATTGTAAGGCCCCAAAGGAGTTAAAACAATGCTCATGAAATAAATGCTATAATACGGTAATTATTCTATATACCGTTATTCTTTTTTTTTTTTTTTTTTTTTTCCTGATACGGAGTCTCACTCTGCTGCCCAGGCTGGGGTGCAGTGGTGGGCTCTCGGCTCACTGCAACCTCCACTTCCCAGGTTAAAACAATTCTCCTGGATCAGCCTCCCAAGAAGCTGGGACTACAGGTGTGCGCCACCACTTCCAGCTAATTTTTTTTTTTTTTATGGAGTTTCACTCTTGTTACACAGGCTGGAGTGCAATGGCACGATCTCAGCACACCAGCAACCTCCGCCTCCTGGGTTCAAGCGATTCTCCTGCCTCAGCCTCCTGAGCAGTTGGGATTACAGGCGTGAGCCATCACGCCCAGCTAAGTTTTGTATTTTTAGTAGAGAAGGAGTTTCACCATGTTGGTGGTCAGGAGTTTGAGACTCCTGACCTCATGATCCGCCCACCTCAGTCTCCCAAAATGCTGGGATTATGGGCATGAGCCACTATGCCCACCTCTACCTCTAATTTTTAATTTTTTTTTTTTTTTTTGAGACCGAGTCTCTCTGTGTCACCCAGGCTGGAGTGCAGTGGCGTGATCTCGGCTCACTACAACCCCCTGGGTTCAAGCAATTCTCCTGCCTCGGCCTCCCTAGTACCTGGGATTATATGCGTGCGCTACCACGCAGGGCTAATTTTTGTATTAATCTACCTCTAGACCTTCACAGAATGCAGGCTCCTCTCATCCTCCTAACCTAATGGCCTTTCATTAGCTTTACAAAAGCAGCTTAGTTAAACTAGAAATCCTAGCACTTTGGGTGGCCGAGGTAGATGGATCACTTGAGGTCAGGTTTTTGTTTGTTTGTTTGTTTTGTTTGTTTATTTTGAGGCAGAGTCTTGCTCTGTCGCCCAGGCTGGAGTGCAATGGCAGGATCTTGGCTCCCTGCAACCTCCGCCTCCCGAGTTCAAGTGATTCTCCTGCCTCAGTCTCCTGAATAGTTGGGATTATAGGGGCCCGCCACCACACAGGGCTAATTTTTGTATTTTTAGTAGAGACGGGGTTTCACCTTGTTGGTCAGGCTGATCTCTAACTCGAGGTCAGGAGTTTGAGACCCCCACTCCTGCCATATAATCCTTTCATTTCCCCAAGGCAACCAAGCCTAATTCCACCTAATTAAAAACCTTTGTATGAGTGCTACCTGCTGCCTGAGGATCCCAACCCTGAGGCCTCTTGCTCAGCTAGTTGCTCCTGATTCTTCAGATGTAGTGTGAAAATTCCTTTTTTTGGTGGGGGGATAGAGTCGCATTCTGTTGCCCAGGCTGGAGTGCAGTGGCACGATCGGGTCACTGCAACCTCCGCTTCCCAGATTCAAGCAATTCTCGTGCCTCGGCCACCGGAGTAGCTGGGATTACAGGCATGCGCCACCATGCCCAGCTAATTTTTGTATTTTTAGTAGAGACGGGGTTTGCCATATCGGCGAGGCTGGTCTCGAACTCCTGACCTCAAGTGATCCTTCCGCCTCGACCTCCTAAAGTGTTGGGATTCCAGGTGTGAGCCACCGCGCCCGGCATTTTTTTTTTTTTTTTTTTTTTGAGACAGAGTCTAGCTGGAGTGAAGTGGAGCTATCTCAGCTCACTGCAGCCTCCGCCTCCCAGATTCAAGTGTTTCTTCTGCCTCAGTCTCCTGAATAGCTGGGATTACAGGTGCCTGCCACCACGCCCAGCTAATTTTTGTACTTTTAGTAGAGACGGGGTTTCACATGTTGGCCAGGCTGGTCTCGATCTCCTGACTTCAGGTGATGCACCAGCTTCAGCCTGCCAAAGTGTTGGGATTACAGGCGTGAGCCACCTTGCCCGGTCAGTGTTGGTTATTAAGGTGGTGCAAAAGAAGGCATGTCGGGGCCCTTCCTCCAAATGAGGAGGCACAGAAGCTGGCAAGGGTATGGTATTTTATTGAGTTATTCAACAGCCAGCTTCTAATTGAAACTGGACAAGCAGATGCTGAAGGCCTGGAGCGGGCTAAATGGAAAGCAGAAGTCCATGGTGAATGTGTCTGGGCCCACTCGGCCGAACTGGAGCACCAGATGTTCTTCTGAGAAGTGAATCAGGAACAAAGCCTTAGCCTGACTCTCTCATCTCCCAGCTTCGAGAACTGAGACTTTTTTTTTTTTTTTTTCTTTTTTTTTTTTTTTTGAGACAGAGTCTTGCTCTGTCGCCCAGGCTGGAGTGCAGTGACCTGATCTTGGCTCACTGCAACCTCCACCTCCCAGGTTCAAGCAGTTCTTCTGCCTCAGCCTCCCAAGTAGCTAGGATTACAGGCATGTGCCACCACGTCCGGCTAATTTTTTTTTTTTTTTTTTTTTTTGAGATGGAGTCTCGCTCTGTTGCCCAGGCTGGAGAGCAGTGGCGCGATCTCGGCTCACTGCAAGCTCCGCCTCCCGGGTTCACACCATTCTCCTGCCTCAGCCTCCTGATTAGCTGGGACTACAGGTGACCACCACTACACCCAGCTAATTTTTTCTGTGTTTTTAGTAGAGACGGGGTTTCACCGTGTTAGTCAGGATGGTCTCAATCTCCTGACCTCGTATCCGCCCGCCTCGGCCTCCCAAAGTGCTGGGATTACAGGTGTGAGCCACAGTGCCCGGCCTAATTTTTGTATTTTTAGTAGAGACAGGGTTTCACCATGTTGGCCAGGCTGTTCTTGAACTCCTGACCTCAGATGATCCACCCACCTCGGTCTCCCAAAGTGCTAGGATTATAAGCGGGAGCTACCGCGCCAGGCCGAGAATGGAGACTTTTAAGAGGCTGAGCGGTGCCCTTACTAAGCCAGAAACCCTGAGGGTGTGTAAACTACAATTCCCAATAGGCTTTGCAATAGGGTGGCATCTGCCCTGCCTAGAAAAACGCTCAAGTGATGATGGGAGATGTAGTTCCCTTCCGTTCACACCCTAACCCCCACCCCACCTGGCCCGGCTAAACTGGTTTCCAGGAGCTCACGGTGTTTGGGATCCACGATTTGGAAGTTCTTCACCGAAGCCCGAGTGACTCGACCATGGAAATTGAGCGTGTAGACACCGTTCTCCTTGTCCCACGACGGGGTTTTGTTGTGCAACAAAAGCAACCCTTGTTTGTCCCCACGTTGGTAACGACTCAGTAGCGACTCCTGTTCCTAGAAGGTAAAGAAGGGGCTGTGGTTTTCTCAGAGGCTTTCGAAACTCCATCTTGAACAGGGGCGACTCCATCTTGAACAGGGGCGACTCCATCTTGAACAGGGGCTGGGTAAAATGAGGATGAGACCTGCTGGGCTGCGTTCCCAGGAGGTTAGGCATTCTTAGTCACAGGATGAGACAGGAGTTTGACAGGACTGGTATCACAATGTTAGAAATGCTTGTTCCCCGGTGCAGTAAAGAAATAGCACTTGAGCATAAATTTAATTTCCTCAGCAAGGCCATTTTTTAACTTTCTGCAGAAAGGGTACACTCACCAGGAGTTTTGCCATGAGAGTACACTGAACAAAGGAGACAGGGTCATTTATAACCTGGCGCATCCACCCTACTGCCGTGTAGGGTTTCCATTGGCTGGAACGGGACCTCACGTTCTGTATTTGTCCCAATTGGCTAGCAACTTAGAACTTTTTAAAAGAGGGAAAAGCAGAAGAATACAAAGTAAGGAGGAAGTAACTTGTGGAATGTTGAGAAAGGTAAAAACACCTTCAAATAAGGAAGAGGAACAGGCTATGACCTAATGCTTGCTTGGACCGGTACAAGCATGCCAGGGCAAATATTTAGGGTAAATTGTGGGAGCTAAAAACGTAAAGTACACTGATTTCTTTATTATGGCTAACAGATATTTAAGAATGTTAGCACAGGTCTTTGAATAAATTTTGCTTGTAAGAGAGGTTACTGCCGGGCACGGTGGCTCACGCCTGTAATCCCAGCACTTTGGGAGGCCGAGGCGGGTGAATCACGAGGTCAGGAGATCGAGACCATCCTGACTAACACAGTGAAACCCCGGCTCTACTAAAAATATAAAAAATTAGACGGGCATGGTAGCGGGCGCCTGTAGTCCCAGCTACTCAGGAGGCTGAGGCAGGAGAATGGCGTGAGCCGGGGAGGTCGAGCTTGCAGTGAGCCGAGATCGCGCCACTGCACTCCAGCCTGGGCGACAGAGCAAGACTCTGTCTCAAAAAAAAAAAAAAAGAAAGAAAGAGAGAGTCTAAAAGAAGCAGGAACCCTCAGTTCTGGGAATTGCCCACCCCTTTCCCAGAAAATTAATGAATAATCCACCTCGTTTAGCATATAATCAAGAAATAACCATAAAAATAGCCAACCAGCTGGCCTCAAGGCTGCTTTGCCTATGGAGTAGCCATTCTTTTATTTCTTCTCTAATAAACTTGCTTTCACTTGACTCTACGGACTGGCCCCAAATTCTTTCTTGCCTGAGATCCAAGAACCCTCTCTTGGAGTCTGGATCAGACCCCTTTTTGGTAAGTTTGTTAACCTACCATCAAACCTTTTTTCTCCAGATGCAAATGTTTTGAGTCTCTAGTCTTTTACTCCCTGAGACATGGAAGGCTAACAAAGTCCTTCAGGCTTCATGTGACACCTGCAACCCACTGGCCTCCTCTTCCTCCTCTTCTTCTTCCTCCTCTGGGATCTAGGAGGACCGGCCCCAGCCCCTTCTCCATTGACCCAGAGATTCCTGATGTCAGGGACTCACATTTAGTGGCTGGACATTGATTCGCTGGTTCTGGCTGTTGGTTCCTGGGAGAATCACAGTCATTTTCCGAGGCCCCAGGTATCCTAAGACGTTGGGCTCCTGGGGGTATTACATTCCAGTTGGCCTGGTTCCTTCTTCTGACTATCCTACCCCATTCTCTCATCCCCAGGACACTCACATAACACACAGCCCCCAGCTCCTGTCTGATCCGGGCAGTATTCCTGGTTAAATGCTCCCGGTCAGGATTCACCCCATTGTCAAAGATGGTGAACTTGGTGCTGAAGACATTGGATCTGCTCCAGGAAGGGAATGGATAGAATAAAAATACTAAGTGTTACTCTTTGAGTAAGTGTCACTCATCGCATCGACTCTTCCCATCAATCCCCTATGTCTAAGACTATGTCCGAATGTCTAAGAATCATGTTCCTGGCTGGGCACAGGGGCTCACACCTGTAATCCCAGCACTTCAGGAGGCAGAGGCAGGAGGATAGCTTGAGCCTGGGCAAAATGGCAAAACTCCTTCTCTACAAAAAATAGAAAAATTAGTTGGGCGTGGCAGTTTGTGTCTATGGTCCCAGCTCTCAAGAGGCTGAGGTGGGAGGATCACCTGAGCCCCAGAGGTCAAGCCTCCAATGAGCCGTGATCTTGCCACTGCACTCCAGCCTGGGTGACAGAATGAAACCCTGTCTCTAAATAAATATATAAATAAATAAAAATAAATAATTAAATAAATGAGGCCGGGTACGGTGGCTCACACCTGTAATCCCAGCACTTTGGGAGGCCAAGGCGGGTGGATCATCTGTGGTTGGGAGTTCAAGACCAGCCTGACAGACATGGAGAAACCCCGTCTCTACTAAAAATACAAAATTAGCCAGGCGTGGTGGTGCATGCCTGTAATCCCAGCTACTCAGGAGGCTGAGGCAGGAGAATTGCTTGAACCTGGGAGGCGGAGGTTGTAGTGAGCCGAGATTACGCCATCGCACTCCAGCCTGGGCAACAAAAGTGAAACTCTGTCTCAATAATAATAATAATAATTAAATAAAT
Source organism: Homo sapiens (assembly GCF_000001405.40). NCBI lineage: Eukaryota > Metazoa > Chordata > Mammalia > Primates > Hominidae > Homo > Homo sapiens. The sequence continues at coordinate 48,884,798 of NC_000019.10, forward strand.
GAAACAACCATGTTTCCAGCATCCATGGTCCCAGGCCCCCTCATTTCTTGGGTGAGCCATGTACTTTATGTAGCCTCCCTATTTTATTTAAAGGGCCCTTTAGGAACCCTCTTTTTTTTTTTTTTTTTTTTTTTTTTCTGTTGCCCAAGCTGGAGTGCAGTGGCTCAATCTTAGCTTACCAAGACCTCTGCCTCCTGGGATCAAGTGATTCTCCTGCATCAGCCTCCCAAGTAGCTGGGATTACAGGTTCACGCCACTATGCCTGGCTAATTTTTGTATTTTTGGTAGAGACGGGGTTTCACCATGTTGGCCAGGCTGGTCTCAAGCTCCTGACCTCAAGTGATCCTCCCGCCTCTGCCTCCCAAAGTGCTGAGATTATAGGCGTGAGCCACCTCGCCACTCCCTCTACCTTTTTGGATGCAATAATTCACACATTCCAGGCCTCTTTTCCCACAGAAAGTTAGGAATCCCAGTCCCTTGCCTGTCAAGGAGTCAAATGCCTTAAATGCCAGCCTACGTTCCAAACCCTTCAGTTCTTCTGGTCCCTGAGCAGGTGGAAGGTATGCTCTGTGGCCTGCTGGGAAATGGAGTCCCCCTGTCCCTAAGCTCCCTGCTACCTGCTCCTCACCACATGTCAGAGCTCTACCCACCTGACTTTGCCCACGAAATTGTCCCCGTCCCGAGATAGGTGTGTAGGATCCAGGGAGATGAGGTAATTAGAAGTTTTGCTCCTTCTTCTCTTTCGCCCAGCCAGGAGGAAGCGCTATGGATGAGAGGAACAGTCCATTAGAATGGACTTCTGGATGCTGGGTGTGGTGGCTCATGCCTGTAATCCCTGCACTTTGGGAGGCTGCGGCGGGCAGATCACTTGAGGACAGGAGTTCGAGACCAGCCTGGCCAACATGGTGAAACCCCGTCTCTACTAAAAATAAAAAAAATTAGCCAGGCGTGGTAGTGCGTGCCTATAGTCCCAGCTAGTAGGGAGGCTAAGGCAGGAGAATTGCTTGAACCCAGGGGGCAGAGGTTGCAGTGAGCTGAGATCGCACCACTGCACTCCAGCCTGGGCAATAGACTGAGACTCCATCTCAAAACAAAAATAAAAAATAATGAAAGAAAAATGGACTTCTGGAAGCTGGTTAGAGCCAGGGGTCCAAAGACAAGGAAACGTCATGTCCCATGATAGAGGAGCCAGTGATGGCACAACAAGCTTCTCAAGACTTACTGGGAGGCCGGGCACAGTGGCTCATGCCTGTAATCCCAGCACTTTGGGAGGCCCAGGCGGGCAGATCACGAGGTAAGGAGATTGAGACCATCCTGGCTAACACGGTGAAACCCCGTCTCTACTAAAAATACAAAAAATTAGCCAGGCGTGGTGGCGGGCGCCTGTAGTCCCAGCTACTCAGAAGGCTGAGACAGGAGAATAGCGTGAACCTGGGAGGCGGAGCTTGCAGTGAGCCGAGATCGCGCCACTGCACTGGGCGACAGAGCAAGACTACGTCTCAAAAAAAAAAAAAAAAGACTTACTGGGAAATGTGGTTCTCACTGAGGGAAGCCATCAGCTGGGTCCTGAATGGAAGCTTCCTATCTTAATATCTCCTCCTCATTCCTTCTGCCTATGGGTCCAGAGTTGAAGCTTAGCCCAGGAAGGGTCTGGCTTTGGAGAATGGGGAGCACCCTCACTTGCAATATTGCAGCAGGACTTTGGTAGGCGTTTCACCAAGAAAAATGGGTTTGGTTGGCTCTGAGTAGGGCAAAAAACCTCTTTCTAGGGGGAGAGAGGATACCCCGAGGAGAGGAGACCATACTTGCAGGGTAAAGGCCAGAAAGACTAGATTGAGAGAAGTGGGGCTTGGATCTGGAAAGACAAACCAGGGGAGGGACCTGGTTGCTGGGGGCAGGATTTATCTCAGGATTGAGTGAGGCCTGATAGCTTATAGCAAGAAAGGCTCAGTGAGGGAGGGTCCAGACTATTTTTTTTTTTTTGACACAAGATCTCCACCTCCTGGACTCAAGCCATTTTCCCTCAGCCTCAGCCTCCCAAGTAGCTGGGACTACAGGTGGGCACCACCAGGCCTGGCTAATTTTTTTTTTTTTTTTGTAGAGACAGGGTTCCACCTTGCTGCCCAAGCTGATCTGGAACTTGTCAGCTCAAATGATCCACCTGCCTTGGCCTCCAAAATGCTGAGATTACAAGCGTGAACCACCGTGCCCGGCCTTTTTTTTTTTTTTTTGAGATGGAGTTTCGCTCTTTCACCCAGGCTGGAGTGCAGTGGTGTGAGATCTCAGCTCATTGCAACCTCCGCCTTCGAGTTTCAAGCATTCTCCTGCCTCAGCCTCCTGAGTAGCTGGGATTACAGGCGCCCACAACCACGCCTGGCTAACTTTTGTATTTTTTAGTAGAGACGATGTTTCGCCTTGTTGGCCAGGCTGGTCTCGAACTCCTGACCTTGTGATCTGCACGCCTCGGCCTCCCAAAGTGCTAGGATTACAAGTGTGAGCCACCGCGCCCAGCCCTTTTTTTTTTTTTTTTTTTTTTTTTTTTTTTTATGCAGAGTCTAACTCTGTCGCCCAGGCTGGAGTGCAGTAGCGTGATCACATCTCACTGCAGCCTTGAACTCCCAGGCTCAAGCAATCCTCTCACCTCAGCCTCCCGAGTAGCTTGGACTACAGGCACATACCACCATGCCCAACCAATTTTGTATTTTTTGTAAAGACGGGGTTTTGCCATGTTGTTCAGGCTGGTCTTTTTTGTGTTTGTTGGTTGGTTTTTTGTTTTTTGAGATGGAGTCTTCCTCTGTCGCCTAGGCTGGAGTGCAGTGATGCAATCTCGGCTCACTGCAACCTCCGCTTCCCAGGTTCAAGCGATTCTCCTGTCTCAGCCTCCTGAGTAGCTGGGACTACAGGCGCCTGCCACCACTCCCGGCTAATTTTTGTATTTTTAGTGGAGACGGGGTTTCACCATATTGGTCAGGCTGGTCTTGAACTCCGGACCTCAGGTGATCCACCCGCTTCAGCCTCCCAAAGTGCTGGGATTATAGGCGTGAGCCACTGTGCCCAGCCCCAGGCTGGTCTTGACCTAGCTCAGAAAGGAGTGGGATTTTGCCTGGGAGGTGGGGGCTTACTCCCAAAGCTGTTGGGCTGGCTTACTGCACCTGCAGGCTGTCAGAGGTCTCCAGGTAGAGGTAGTAGAGGGGGAACAAGCCCTTGTCCACGCCGTGCTTGTCACGGGTGAGGTAGCACTGCATCATGGTGCCCGGGAGCGCTGGCCGCAGCACGTAGGCTTCCATGTCCTCCTCCAGCCCAGGGCAGGGGGAGCGGATTGCCAAGGAGGCTTCGTGCCTCATATGGTCGCTGTCCGTGCCACCCTCGCCTTTCAGGGCCTTGGACAACTCTTCGTTGTGTGCTGCTGAGGAGTTCGTCCCTGTAGACTCAGAGGCCTCTCTCTTCTTTTCCAAGTCTTCTTCCTAGCCCAGGCACCAAATTTAAAGTCGAGGGACAACCACCGGCCCAGCCTTGCTTACTACTGATTGACCATCCCAGCCCTAGGGTCCCGCCCTTGCCCATCCACATTTTCTGCTTATTGGTCAAAAATCTCATTCAGTCCACCCAGTCACGCCCTCCTCTGTTGACTGGCCAGTCTATTCGCTTTCCTCTGCAGCCACACGCATTCCACCTGCTGATTGGAAAATTCCTTTCTGAAAGCAAGGCCCATTCCGTTAAAATGGCTGTTAGTTTGATCTAGATAACATAATACAGCCCAGATCTACCCTCAAGAGAAACCATCTACTGCACTTTCACCAACACCAAAGTGAGTGCCAGTTGGCCCTTTTCTTTTATTTTTTAAGACAGAGTTTCGCTCTGTCGCCCAGGCTGGAGTGCAGTGACTCGATCTCGGTTCACTGCAACCTCTGCCTCCCAGGTTCAAGCAATTCTCCTGCCTCAGCCTCCCAAGTAGCTAGGATTACAGGCTTTCGCCACCACGCCCAGCTAATTTTTGTATTTTTAGTAGAGACGGGGCTTCACCAAGTTGGCCAAGCTGGTCTGGAACTCCTGACCTCAGGTGATCTGCCTGCCTCGGCCTTCCAAAGTGCTGGGATTACAGGCGTGAGTCACCGTTCCTGGCCTGCAACTGGCCCTTTTCGATCAGTGTTCTGCCCTTTCTGAAGCTCGCTGTCTTTCCATGGCTGCACCTATTTTTTTTTTTTTTTGGACAGTCTCACTCTGTCTCCCGGGCTGGAGTGCAATCTCAGCTCACTGCAACCTCCGCCTCCCAGGTTCAAGTGATTCTCCTGCCTCAGCCTCCTGAGTAGTTGGGATTACTGGCGTGCGCCACCACACCTGGCTAATTTTTGTATTTTACTAGAGACAGGGTTTCACCACGTTGGCCAGGCTGGTCACGAACTCCTGACCTCAAGTGATCTGCCCACCTCAGCCTCCCAAAGTGCTGGGATTACAGGCGTGAGCCACCATACCATAAGCTGTATTTTAATGGCCATGTCCATGTCAAGTCAAATCCTCTGATTTGATGAATGGTACACACACACACATGCACGCACGCACGCACGCACGCACACACACAAGTCTCTGCCAGCTTAATCACCACCAGGAAAAAGAGCTTCTGATTGGGTGGCAGAATTTTAGCCCCACCCTCACCAGAGGTCCGAGGCTAGCCCTCTTCTTCCAATATCCTGAGTGATTGTGCATTTTCCTACCTTTTGGAAGGCCAAGTTTTCATATACACAGTCACCATCCATTCCAGGGTTTGGTCCCATATTGGGTGACTTGTGTGCATCTCCCATATCCTGGGAGTCACTCTCACCCTCTGCACGGGTCCCTAATGTGGGGAAAAGCAAGAGAGATCAGATTGTTACTGTGTCTGTGTAGAAAGAAGTAGACATAGGAGACTCCATTTTGTTCTGTACTAAGACAAATTCTTCTGCCTTGGGATGCTGTTAATCTATAACCTTACCCCCAACCCCGTGCTCTCTGAAACATGTGCTGTGTCCACTCAGGGTTAAATGGATTAAGGGCGGTGCAAGATGTGCTTTGTTAAACAGATGCTTGAAGGCAGCATGCTCCTAAAGAGTCATCACCACTCCCTAATCTCAAGTACCCAGGGACACAAACACCGCGGAAGGGCGCAGGGACCTCTGCCTAGGAAAGCCAGGTATTGTCCAAGATTTCTCCCCATGTGATAGTCTGAAATATGGCCTCGTGGGAAGGGAAAGACCTGACCGTCCCCCAGCCCGACACCCGTAAAGGGTCTGTGCTGAGGAGGATTAGTATAAGAGGAAGGCATGCCTCTTGCAGTTGAGACAAGAGGAAGGCATCTGTCTCCTGCCCGTCCCTGGGCAATGGAATGTCTCGGTATAAAACCCGATTGTACGTTCCATCTACTGAGATAGGGAAAAACCGCCTTCGGGCTGGAGGTGGGACATGCGGGCAGCAATACTGCTTTGTAAAGCATTGAGATGTTTATGTGTATGCATATCTAAAAGCACAGCACTTGATTCTTTACCTTGTCTATGATGCAAAGACCTTTGTTCACGTGTTTGTCTGCTGACCCTCTCCCCACTATTGTCTTGTGACCCTGACACATCCCCCTCTCGGAGAAACACCCACAAATGATCAATAAATACTAAGGGAACTCAGAGGCTGGCGGGATCCTCCATATGCTGAACGCTGGTTCCCTGGGTCCCCTTATTTCTTTCTCTATACTTTGTCTCTGTGTCTTTTTCTTTTCCAAGTCTCTCGTTCCACCTAACGAACCCACAGGTGTGGAGGGGCAACCCACCCCTTCACCTAAAGGATGAAAGAAGCCTGGACTAAGCTCAGGACAGCTGGATCCCAGGAGTGTGGGACACCATCATCAGTGCTAGCCAGAGATGGCCAGAACTCCTGGGTTCTCAGTCCCTACTCATGACTCAGCGCCCTCACTTGCAACAACCTCCTCCTCCTCCAGGTGCACGGAAGTCTACAAGGGCCAGAGTTTCTGATTACCCTGGATCTAAGGACAGGGAGGGGTTAGGGTCTTTCCTTTTCCTTATCTCAGACAAAGCATCACAGAGACTGAAGATGGGGGGATGGAGTTTGGGGTGATAATAATTCTGTCATTGAAATCATTGGCCATCTCATGAAAATAAAAGGAAACGTCACCACAATGGAATATTATAAGGGAATAAAAAGGAATGAAGTACTGATAATACTACCACACGGATGAACCTTAAAATTTTATGGCCGGGCACGGTGGCTCACGCCTGTAATCCCAGCACTTTGGGAGGCCGAGGCGGGCGGATCACGAGGTCAGGAGATCGAGACCATCCTGGCAAACATGGTGAAACCCCGTCTCTACTAAAAATACAAAAAAAAAAAAAAAATTAGCCGGGTGTGGTGGCCGGCGCCTGTAGTCCCAGCTACTTGGGAGGCTGAGGCAGGAGAATGGTGTGAACCCGGGAGGCGGAGCTTGCAGTGAGCCGAGATTGTGCCACTGCACTCCAGCCTGGGCAACAGGGCGAGACTCCGTCTCAAAAAAAAAAAAAAAATTTGTTAGGTGGGCCAGGGGCGGTGGCTCATGCCTGTAATCCCAGCACTTTGGGAGGCGGAGGTGGGCGGATCACGAGGTCAGTAGTTCAAAATCAGCCTGGCCAACATAGTGAAACCGGTCTCTACTAAAAATACAAAAATTAGCAGGGCGTGGCAGCGTGCACCTGCAGTTCCAGCTACTCAGGAGGCTGAGGCAGGAGAATCGCTTAAACCCAGCCAGGCAGAGGTTGCAGTGAGCCGAGATCGTGCCACTGCGCTCCAGCCTGAAGGGGGCCTGCCCCTCCACACCCGTGGGTATTTCTCGCAAGGTGGAGACGAGCGGCTGAGAGAAGAAAGAAGACACAGAGACAAAGTATAGAGGAAGAAAAGTGGGCCCAGGGGACCAGTGCTCCGCAAGTGAGGACCCGCACCAGCGCTGATCTCTGAGTTCCCTCAGTATTTATTGATCACTATCTTTACTATCTTGGTGAGGGGAATTTGGTGTGACTATAGGGTGATGGTGGGGAGAGGGTCAGCAGGAAAACATGTGAACAAAAGACTCTGTGTCATAAATAAGTTTAAGGAAAGGTGCTGTGCCTGGATGTGCACATAGGCTGGATTTATGTTTAACTTTACATAAACATCCCAGTGCAGTAAAGAGCAGTATTGCCGCCATGATGTCTCGCCTCCAGCCATAAGGTGGTTTTCTCCTATCTCAGAATAGAATGTATGGTCGGTTTTACACTGAGTCATTCCATTTCCAGAGACGTGCAGGAGACAGATGCCTCCTTCTTATCTTAACCGCATGGAGGCCTTTCTCTCTCACTAATCCTCCTCAGCACAGACCCTTTACGGGTGTCGGGCTGGGGGACCGTCAGGTCTTTCCCTTCCCACGAGGCCATATCTCAGGCTGTCTCAGTCGGGGAAATCCTGGACAATGCCCAGGCTTCCTTGGGCAGGGGTCCCTGCAGCCTTCCACAGTGTGTTATGTTTCTGGTTAATAGAGAATGGAGAATGGCAATGACTTTCACAAAGCATACTGCCTGCAAAACCATTTTTACCAAAGCACATCCTGCCCAGCCCTAAATCCCTTAAAACTTGAGTCAATATAACACATGTTTCTGTGAGCACAGGGTTGGGACAAGAGTTGCAGATTAACAGCATCTCAAAGCAGAACAGTTTTTCTTTTTTTTTTTGGGGGGGGGACGGAGTCTTGCTCTGTCACCCAGGCTGGAGTGCAGTGGCGCGATCTCAGCTCACTGCAAGCTCTGCCTCCCGGGTTCACGCCGTTTTACTGCCTCAGCCTCCCGAATAGCTGGGACTACAGGCGCCCACCACCGCAACCGGCTAATTTTTTGTATTTTCAGTAAACGTGGGGTTTCACTGTGGTCTCGATCTCCTGACCTCGTGATCCGCCCGCCTCGGCCTCCCAAAGTGCTGGGATTACAGGCGTGAGCCACCGCGCCCAGCCAGCAGAACAGTTTTTCTTAGTACAGATCAAAATGGAGTTTCTTATGTCTTCCTTTTTCTACATAGACAAAGTAACGATCTGATCTCTCTTTCTTTTCCCCACACAGCCTAGGTGACAGAGTGAGACTCCGTCTCAAAAAAAAAAAAAATCATTAGGTGAATGAGGTGAATGAAGACACACGGTGGCTCACACCCGTAATCCCAGCACTTTGGGAAGCCAAGGTGAGAGGATCACTTGAGCCCAGGAGTTCAAGACCAGCCTAGGCAACATAGTGACACACCATCTCAAAGCAAAAGAGGCCAGGTGCATTAGCTCACGCCTGTAATCCCAGCACTTTGGGAGGCCGAGGCAGGCAGATCACAAGTTCAGGAGTTTGAGACCAGCTGTGCCAACATGGTGAAACCCTGTCTCTACTAAAAAACACAAAAAATTAGCCGAGCATGGTGGCACGCGCCTGTAACCCCAGCTACTCGGGAGGCTGAGGCAGGAGAATCGCTTGAACCCAGAAGGCAGAGGTTGCAGTGAGCTGAGATCGCGCCATTGCATTCCAGCCTGGGAGACAGAGCAAGACTCTGCCTCAAGAAAAAAAAAAAAAAAGGAATTGAAGAAAGAAGCCACATACAAAAGACCACATATGTATACGATTCCATTTGTGTGAAATGTACAGAATAGCCAAATCTAAGAAGACAGTGGAGGTTGGTGGTTGCCAAGGGCTGGGGTAAATGGAAAAGGGGTGACTGCTAATTGATGCACTATTTCTTTCTTTCTTTTTTTTTTCCTTGAGACAAAGTCTCGCTCTTTCACCCTGGCTGGAATGCAGTAGCCTGATCTCAGTTTACTGCAACCTCTGTCTCCTGGGTTCAAGCAATTCTTCCACCTCAGCCTCCCCAGCAGCTAGGATTACAGGTGCATGCCACCACGCCCAGCTAATTTTTGTATTTTTAGTAGAGACTGGGTTTCACCATGTTGGCCAGACTGGTCTTGAACTCCTGACCTCAGGTGATCCACCCACCTTTGCCTCCCAAAGTGCTGGGATTACAGGCGTGAGCCACCGCGCCCAGCCATGATGCAGGATCTCTATCTGGGGTGATACAAATGTTCTAAAATTGATTGTGGTGACGGTTGCAGAATTATATAAATATAGTTAGCTTCTCGTATCCTACAGGCTCCACATCCCCACTGCTGACCCAAAATATTCAGGAAAGAAATTGAAAAACAACAAGATGACAATAAATAACAGAACCAATTTTTTTTTTCTTTGAGACAGAGTATTGCTCTGTCACCCAGGCTGGAGTACAGTGGCATGATCTCGGCTCACTGCAACCTCGGCCTCCTGGGTTCAAGTGACTCTCTTGCCTTGGCCTCCGGAGTATCTGGGATTACAAGCCTGCACCCCCTTGCCTGGCTAATTTTTGTATTTTTAGTAGAGACATGGTTTCGTCACGTTGGCCAGGCTCGTCTCAAATTCCTGGACTGAAGTGACCAACCAGCCTCAGCCTCCCAAAGTGCTGGAATTACAGGCACTTTATTTTTAAAAATTTTTTTAAATAACATATAACAGCTATTTACGGGCCAGGCATGATGGTTTATGCCTGTAATCCCAGCACTTTGGGAGGCTGAGGTGGGTGGATCATGAGGTCAGGAGTTTAAGACCAGTCCGGCCAGCATGGTGAAACCCCATCTTTACTAAAAATACAAAAATTAGCTGGGCGTGGTGATGCGCACCTGTAGTCCCAGCTACTTGGGAGGCTGAGGCAGGAGAATAGCTTGAACCTAGGAGGCGGAGGTTGCAGTGAGCCAAGATCACGCCACTGCACTCCAGCCTAGGCGACAGAGTGAGACTCCCTCCCAACAACAACAGCAACAAATATTTACATTGCATTTATACTGTATTAGGTATTATAAGTTATCTAGAGATGACTTACAGTATATGGGGGGATGTTCATAGTTTATATGCAAATTTTACACCATTTTATATAAGGGACTTTGGCGTCTGCGGATCTTGGTATCTGTGGGGTTCCTGGAACACATCACCTGCAGATACCGAGGGGCGACCGTGTACTGGAAACCATGGAATTGTGAACTTTAAATGGGTGACTTGTATGGTTTGTGAATTATACTTCAGTGAAGCTGCTGCCTAAGAAAGGGGAAGATTTGCTGCATGAACCAGGAGATCCCAGGTTTCACCCCAATGTCCCCTAAATTACCAGGTCGTTGGTGGGCTTGCCAACCCTTGCGTCGGATTCTCGGAGACTGTTTAAAAGGTGGGGGAGAGACGGAACCATTCTCCACGGAGACTTCCTCCAATTCTGCATCGGAATTGTCTGGGAGCCAGGATAAGAAAGGGGACTGGAGACCGAGATTCCTGAACACTGAGGAAGGAAGGAGGGGAGAGTTGGATTTCTGGATGCTGCAGGAGGAGGCGGCTCAGGACCTGAACTCCTTGGTGTGAGGAAGGAGTGGGTGCGGTCCTGAGCTCCTGAGTATTTTGGACAGATGGATTGAGGCACCAGACTCCTGGGTTTTAGTGGGGACGGAGTTCTGGGGTCTAGGAGGTCGGTGGACTCGCAAATACCTGCTTCTGTCCGCGGTGTCGGGAGGCCGCGCTCGCCCCTGCCGTCTCCACCACAGCTCACGGTGCCCAGGGCACTGTGGATGCCAGAGGGCAGATGTGCCTCTGACACTTTCTTCCGGAGGAAAGGGTTCCCAAGGCCTGGGAGAAGGTTCAGCGAGCCCATGAAAACGATCTACAAATTCCGGTCCTCAACCAAAATCCACCCCGTCACTGGGCTCCCAAATATCACCCCCGCCAGGCGCCGTGGCTCACGCCTGTAATCCCAGCACTTTGGGAGGCCGAGGCAGGCGGATCACCTGAGGTCGGGAGTTCGAGACCAGCCTGACCAACATGGAGAAACACCGTCTCTACTAAAAACACAAAATTAGCCGGGCTTGGTGGCGCATGCCTGTAATCACAGCTACTCGGGAGGCTGAGGCAGGAGAATCGCTTGAACCCGGGAGACGGAGGTTGCGGTGAGCCGATATCCTGCCATTGTACTCCAGCTTTGGCAACAAGAGCTAAACTCCGTCTCAAAAAAGAAAAAAAAATCACCCTGTTTCGCGGACCGCCCAAACCTTGAGACCCAGGTCCCAAACTGCATCCTAAGCCTCAAACAAGCACAGCCCTGCCGCTGGATTGTTGCGGGCTCCGCACGTAAAGAATCTCGCGCCAGGCTCTCGTAATGAGACCGCGCCCCGCCCCGGACCCCTAGACCCCGTCTCCGCAATCCCGGGTTTGGGGTGGGGGTCCCGGCTTTCCCAGGCTCCACCACCGAGCTCTGCCAAGCCCAATCATCACATTCTCTTGCCCCTTTCCCCTGCTAGTTGTACCATGCCCCGCCCCTGCGCTCTGTAGCCCTGCCCCGAACCCCTCCCTCACAGGTCCTGCCGCGGGGGGCCCCCACAAGCCTCTCCCCTGGGCGCCCACAGGCCCTGTTCTAAAGCTCTCCTGGGCCAAGGCCCGCCCCCATCCACTGCCAAGTCCCCACCCTAAGGCTCCACCCCTTCATCCACTAGGCCCCGCCCACAGACTCCCACAGGCCCCTCCCCTCCAGGCGAACGCCCCCAGGGGTCTTTGGTCACCTCTGTCACCTAAAAGGCGCTCCTCCCGCAGACAAGAGCGCCAAAGCCACGGGGAAGCGTCAGGATTGGCCTGAACCATGAGGAGCTCCTGGCGCTTCTGTCGCTGCTTCTTTTCAAACAGCCGCCGCTGGGGAGATGGGAGAGGTGGGTGTCCGGGACAGGAACCAGATGGGAAGACAGAAGTGAGGTGGGGCCTGGGGCAAGGGCTCGCATCGGCGCGAGAGTTCGTGAACCCCTTCCTCCACTGGGGCCCACACGTCCAGGCCCTCAGTTCTTCAGCAGCTCCTCCCTTATTCCACCGTTGGACTCAGATCCAAGAGTCCTGACACCCTGTCCTCTCATCCCCCAGGACCCAGGAGTCCTGCCTTCTAGAAGCCTTGTTCCTTAGAAATTCATCACAAGGGTTTGTTTGCTTCTTTAGAACCCCCAATTCCTATTTTCTTTTCTTTTTCCTTTCTTACTTTTTTTTTTTCTTTTTGAGACAGAGTCTGGCTCTATCGCCCAGGCTGGAGTGCAGTACCACGATCTCCGCTCACTGCAGCCTCCGCCTCCCGGATTCAAACGATTCTCCTGCCTCAGCCTCCCGAGTAGCTGGGATTACAGGCGCCTGCCACCACACCTGGCTAATTTTTTGTGTGTTAGTAGAGACGGGGTTTCGCCGTGTTGGCCAGGCTTGTCTTGAACTCCTGACCTCAAGTGATCCGCCCACCTCAGCATCCCAAAGTGCTGTGATTACAGCCGTGAGCTGCCCTGCCCGGCCCCAAATTCCTATTTTCTCATTTCTCAGTGGGAAAACTCAAGGATGAGAGACAGCCAACACGGGCTGGGAGTCCTAGAGCAAGACCTGGTGGAGAGGCCCCTGGGGAGGCACAGAAGGCGGAAGAGTTGGAGTGGTGAGATTCCTGGGCACAATACCTGCTGTTCCAGCTTCTGCAGCCTCATAGCAGCGAGCTCATGCCCCAGGATGCTGAGAGAGACACAGGCCCATGGTGACAGTGCACAGGGAACCTCGGTTGCCCAAGAGAGTCCCTCCTTCCCCCATCCTGCCCCTATCTCAGCTTGGGTTCTGGGCACCTGTGAGGTCACAGGAGGTGCAGAACCTGAGCCTGCTCCACCAGTTATAGGGCCCTTTCTCCTGGCACTGGCCCACAGAAGCCGGGACCCAGAGATCCCAGGTCCCTCCTGTCTCAGGATTCAGGAGTCTGGGGCCCCCAACCCCTTCTCTTTCAGACCCAGAAGTCTGCACCCTAGCCCCATCCCTTCAGGACACAGGAGTCCAGGTCCCCAGCCCCTTCCTGCAAGGCCGATGGTGCTGAACCTGCAAACATGGTTATGAAGCCAGAGCCGAGTGCACGGGGTCCCCAGCCCTTTCCACCTCCACCCCTACCCATCTGTTTCCCTACTCACTCTCTCATCAATGTGTCATTATCCTGAGACATTCTGCAGAAGCAAGAATGAGGAGTCAGGATCAGAACCAACATCCCAATGGATCCTGCCCACCAGCACCTAATCTTTAGCCTTATTTATTTATTTATTTATTTATTTATTTATGTATTTAGAGACAGCTGAGCCTCGCTCTGTCGCCCAGGCTGCAGTGCAGTGGCGCCATCTCGGCCACTGCAACCTCCACCTCCTGGGTTCAAGCGATTCTCCTGCCTCAGCCTCCCGAGTAGCTGGGACTACAGGCGTCCGCTATTCTGCCTAATTTTTTTGTATTTTAGTAGATACCGGTTTTCACTATGTTGGCCAGGCTGGTGCCGGACTCCTGACCTCAGGTGATCTGCCCGCCTTGGCCTTCCAAAGTGCTAGGATTACAGGCATGAGCCACAGTGCCCGGCCTGATCCTTACCTTTAAATTTGCTTCCGGACCCAGGCAGCCCGAATCCCAGCACCCACTCCTGTCGGGATCTAGTAGCCTGTTTCCAGCTTCCCACGGGGGTCCGCAAGTCCGCTTCTCTCTCCCCCAAATATCTAATTCTCCAGCACCCAGGCATCAGAACTCAGGACTGTGCACTTCAAACACCCAGCCCCCAGCGGCCTAGAACTCCACTGCCCACCTGCCTGGGATCCGGGAGACTTGTTCTCCTCACCAGGTGCCTGGAGAGGCTGCTCACATTGATGCCTCGGTACCTTGCCTCTCTGGCCAATCTCTAAACATACCTGATCCTCTCTTTGGAAGCTGGGGACCTAATCTCGGGATATCTGCGAAATAGGGAGGAGAAGAAAGACGGCTCAGAGGGAGGGAGGATTCCCTCTGGGACCTGAACTGGTCCACTCCCTTCTGACCCTCCACTCTCCACTTCCAACAAAGTAACGAACTCGGTCACTGATGCAGCCAGGCAACCCTGCTCCGGGGGTTCTGAACACGAATGCCGTGTGGGGGTTCCTTAAAGAGACCAGAGACCGGCCCGGCGCGGTGGCTCACGCCTGTAATCCCAGCACTTTGGGAGGCCGAGGCGGGCGGATCACGGGGTCAGGAGATCTAGACCATCCTGGCTAACATGGTGAATCCCCGTCTCTACTAAAAAAAAATATATATATATACACAAAAAAATTAGCCGGGCGTTGTGGCGGGCGGGCGCCTGTAGTCCCAGCTACTCGGGAGGCTGAGGCAGGAGAATGGCGTGAACCCGGGAGGCGGAGCTCGCAGTGAGCTGAGATCGCGCCACTGCACTCCAGCCTGTGTGACAGAGGTAGACACCGTCTCAAAAAAAAAAAAAAAAAGAGAGAGAGAGAGCGGGAGACCAGAGACCTCGCGGCCTCACTGTACACATCTCGCTTACAAGAAACTTAAAAGAGGCGGGGCGCAGTGGCTCACGCCTGTAATCCCAGCACTTTGGGAGGCGGAGACGGGGAGGCAAGATTGCTTGAGTCCAGGAGATCCAGATCCAGACCAGCAACACAGAGATTTTTTTTTTTTTTTGAGACGTAGTCTCACTCTGTCGCCCAGGCTGGAGTGCAGTGGCGCGATCTCGGCTCACTGCAACCTCCGCCTCCCGGGTTTAAGAGATTGTCCTGCCTCAGCTTCCTGAGTAGCTGGGATTACAGGCATGCGCAACCACGCCTGGCTAATTTGTATTTTTAGTGGAGGCGAGGTTTCTCCATGTTGGCCAGGCTGGTCTCAAACCCTTGACCTCAGGTGATCTGCCTGCCTCAGCCTCCCAAAGTGCTGGGATTACAGGAGTGAACCCCCAAGCCCGGCTTGACATCCGTCTCTTTAAAAAACAACAACAACAAAGTGTGAGAAGTGTGAAAGACAGAACGTTAAAAAAAAAAAAAGGCTAAAAAAGAATTAAAGATTTAAATATTTGTATTAAAAATTTAAAAAATATACATTAGCCAGGCATGGTAGTGTGGCCTGTGGTCCCATCTACTTGGGAGGCTGACGCGGGAGGATTGCTTGGGCCTGGGAGGTAGAGGCTGCAGTGAGAAGTGATTGCGCCACTGCACTCCAACCTGGGTGACAGAGCAAACCCTGTCTCGAATAATAAGAAGAAGAAGAAAGAAACTCATAAGAAAGGCTATGCAATTGCTACCGCGCTATAACTTCCAGGCACTTCGTGGGGCGAAAATAAATGGGAAAACTACAGCTCCCATGAGGCGAAGGGGCCACGATGCCCGCGGAAGTTATTTTTCCCCCGGCCGGCAGGGAGTTGTAGTTATCTTTGAAAGCCTTCTCTCTCTTTTGGCATAGGCGGGAAATGTGGCGTCAAGAGGCTGGGATTCCGAGAAAGAAGCGAGGCTTTCACGAAAATGCGAGCGGCTTCGGCAAGGGGCGGGGCCGCTGGACGTGGATGAAAGCTACAGAGCCAGCGTGGACCAATCAGACCTCTTTGGGGCGGGGCCTCTGTGGATAAGTGGGCGTGGTCTAGGGGGGAAGTCACCAAGAACGCACCGGAGGTCCTTGCCCGCCCTGGAAAACGCCCTCTGCGGTGAAGGAGAGGTGAGAGGCCAGGGTTCCCATACTCTTGGGTCCTAGGGAGGATGGGGGCCAGAGGGCTGGAAAACTGGGTCCCGGAGGAGGATGCACTGGGTGCCAGTACTTTAGGTCCTGGGAAAAGAGGAGGCTGGGACCCTGGACTCTTGGGTCTGGGGGAGGAGGCGGCCGAGATCCCGGATTCCTGAGTGTGAGAGAGGAGCGTGTTGGGAGCCAGGACCCCTGGGTCTGAGGGCCCAGACTCCTGTGTCGGAGGAAGGGAAGGCCGGAGGCCTGGAATCCTGGGGCCTGGGTAACAAAATGCTTGTGTCTTGATTCTTGGAAGTGGGGGCGGCGCTGGGGGCCCGAACTCCTGGTTCCAGGGGAGGAAGAGGCTTGGGACAGACATTATGCATTATCCAGCCCTCCATCCCCCACAGACCACACTGCCATGCCTCCCTCTGGGCCCCGAGGAACCCTCCTTCTGTTGCCGCTGCTGCTGCTGCTCCTGCTTCGCGCCGTGCTGGCTGTCCCCCTGGAGCGAGGGGCGCCCAACAAGGAGGAGACCCCTGCGACTGAGAGTCCCGTGAGTGGCCCTGCCCTGCTATCCAGCCAGGTGTTTGCAGTGGTACTACAGCTCCTGCAGACCCCGGTGCCCGTAGGGCGGATGCTCCAGTGACTTCCTGGCCCTACAGTTGTAGCTTGTTTTTTGCCCACCATTCCTCCCAGCAGCAGGGGTTTGACTTGGTGAAAAACTGGAGGTCCCTGACTCTGAGGTGTGGAAAATCTGCATCACGCCCCAACTAAACGTCTGTTTTTTTAAGATTCTCTCCACCCAAGAAGGAATTTGAAAACAAACAAACAAAACTACATTTCCCAGTAGCACCATGTTGCTAGTTCCCAGTAGCAGTTGATGTTGGCTAGCTGGGGTATTCTGACTTCATGGTGCTCTTGGGAGTTGTAGTTTAAATTACAGAAGGGCGGGTGAACTGCTTGTTTATTAATTCCTACATGTGTTTATCAAACCCAATAAAAGCTTTGGTCTTAAGGGATTTGGAACTTTGGAGATCCTGAAGGTCAGTGAGTGTCTTGTGGTCCGAATCTTCCTATAGCTCCCCATAAGGATAGGCTGGTCAGGCCAGGCGCAGTGGCTCATGCCTGTAATCCTAGCACTTTGGGAGGCCGAGACAGGCGGATCACTTGAGGTCAGGAGTTCAAGACCAGCCTGGCCAACATGGCAAAACCCCATCTCTACCAAAAATGCAGAAATTAGCTGGGCGTGGTGGCTCACGCCTATAATCCCAGCTACTCTGGGAGGCTGAGGCACGAATTCTCGTGCTGGAACCAAGAGAGGTGGAGGTTGCAGTGAGCCAAGGTCACGCCATTGCACTCCAGCCTGGGCAACAGAGCTGAGACTCTGTTTTCTGAGACTGTCTCAAAAAACAAAGAATGGGCTAGTCATTACCCCCTGGAACGGATCATTGCATGTTCCTGGTCCCCACGCTGCAAGTTAGGCCTCTATTCTGTGAAATCCTTGCAGACCCAGGAAGGCTTTGTTGAGTCCCATTTCTTTTCTTCCATTCCACATGTTTCCTGAGCACCTTCTATGAGCCGGGCATAGTGTTGCCTATGTGTTGCATAGTTGTTAGGGCCCAGCCATGTGCATGCCCCATGCCCATGGACTATCCCTGCTCACTGGGAGATGGAAGACAAAGGGCAGGGCTCTATGAGAGTGAACACCAGGGGTGACAGTCAGGGAGGAAGGGAGGCGTGAGTTGAGTTCTTTCTTTCTTTCTCGCTCTGTCACCAGGCTGGAGTGCAGTGGTGCAATCTTGGCTCACTGCAACCTCTGCCTCCCAGGTTCAGGTGATTCTCCTGCCTCAGCCTCCCGAGTAGCTGGGACTACAGGCGCACACCACCACGCCCATCTAATTTTTGTATTTTTAGTAGAGACGGAGTTTCACCATGTTGGCCAGGATGGTCTCGATCTCTTGACCTCTTGATCTGCCTGCCTCGGCCTCCCAAAGTGGTGGGATTACAGGCATGAGCCACCTCATTTTTTCTTTTCCTTTTTCTTTTTTTTTTTTTTTTTTATTTTTGCTGTGTCACCCAAGCTGGAGTGCAGTGGTGCAATCACTGCAATCTCCATCTCCCAGACTCAAGCGATCCTCCTGCCTCAGCCTCTGGAGTAGCTGGGACTGCAGGCATGTGCCACCATGCCTAGCTAATTTTTTTTGTATTTTTGATAGAGACAGGGTGTCATTATACTGCCCAGGCTAGTCTCGAACTCCTGAGTTCAAGTGATTTGCCCGCCTCGGCCTCCCAAAGTGCTGGGATAATAGGTGTGAGCCACTGAGTTCTGAACTGGAGAGATATGTTAAGTCAAGAGCAAGGAAGAGAGGAAGTGAGGGGAAGAGCATTCCAGGCAGAGGGAACAGCATGAGCAAAGGCCACTTGGTAGGAGAAAGCAGAGCAAGTTGAGGACGTCAAGGAGGCTGCTGTGGCTGGAGCAGGGAGAGTGAGAGGGAGGGGAGAGGGGGATTATGTGGATCATGTGGGATCTTGTGAGACTAGGTAAAGAGGTAAAGAATGTATATATATATATATATGTTTAATAGACAGGGTCTTGTGCTGGTGCCCAGGCTGAAGCGCAGTGGCAGGATCATACCTCACTGCAGCCTTGAACTCCTGGGCTCAAGTGATCCTCCTACCTCAGCCTCCCAAAGCACTGGGATTACAGGCATGAGCTACCATGCCTGGCCTTCTCTCTTTTGTAATTTTATTTATTTATTTTTTCCAACTTATCTTATTTGCTTTTCACCACAACTCTGGGAGGCAGAGGATATATTGCCTATTTTATAAATAGTAAGAGCATAGAAGGCCCAGGGAGAGTAAAGTCCCACCCAGCTACGCATGACGGGGGTGGGACTAGGAGGCCTGGGACTTTTGTCTGTGTTGTTCACAGTGCCTGGCATATGATAGGGGCCTGGTGAATGTTTGTTGAATGAATGAATGCATGCATGGGCGGGTGGGTAGATGGATGGGCAGTTGGATGGATGGGCGGGTGGATGGATGGGTGGGTGGATGAGTGGATGGATGGATGGATGGGTGGTTGGATGGATGGGCGGGTGGATGGATGGGCGGGTGGATGGATGGGTGGGTGGATGAGTGGATGGATGGATGGGTGGGTGGATGGATCGATGGGTGGGTGGATGGATGGATGAGTGGATGGATGGGCGGGTGGATGGATGGGTGGGTGGATGAGTGGATGGATGGATGGACGGGTGGTTGGATGGATGGGCGGGTGGATGGATGGGTGGGTGGATGAGTGGATGGATGGATGGGTGGGTGGATGGATGGATGGGTGGGTGGATGGATGGATGAGTGGATGGATGGGCGGGTGGATGGATGGGTGGGTGGATGAGTGGATGGATGGATGGATAGATGGATGGATGGATGGATAGGTGGGTGGATGGATGGGCAGGTGGATGAGTGGATGGATGGATGGATGAGTGGATGGATGGATGGATGGATGGATGGGTGGGTGGATGGATGGATGGGTGGATGGATGGATGGATGGGTGGGTGGGTGGATGGATGGATGAGTGGATGGATGGGTGGATGGATGGATGGATGATGGGTGGATAGATGGGTGGGTAGGATGTATGTATGGATGGGTGGGTGGGATGTATGGATGGATGGGTGGGTGGATGCATGGATGAATGGGTGGATGCATGGATGGATGGATGGTTGGATGGATGGATAAAAGTATGATTCACAGCTTCCCAACAAGTCATGTCCACTCTGAGCACCCACTCTGGGCAGTATTGGGCTGGGTGTTCACTGATGTGATTTTCATTTCATCTTTGCTGCATATGTGGGAAAAGGTAAAAACTGAGTCCCTTGTCAGCTGCCCCAGGGAGCAGGCCATAGCAGTAACAGGAGTGAGGGTGGGGATGGGGATGGGAGCAGGGGCTGCTATGTCTGTCCTTGTTGCCTCAGGACACAGGCCTGTACTACCACCGGTACCTCCAGGAGGTCATCGATGTACTGGAGACGGATGGGCATTTCCGAGAGAAGCTGCAGGCTGCCAATGCGGAGGACATCAAGGTGCGGCTGGGGGAGTGGGGGCTGTGGGAGGGGTACGTGCTGGGAGGGCAGAGTTCAGGGGAGGACTGGTTTCTTTTTTTTTTTTTTTGAGACGGAGTCTTGCTCTGTCACCCAGGCTGGAGTGCGATGGTGCGATCTCAGCTCACTGCACCTCCACCCCGCAGGTTCAAGCAGTTCTCCTGCCTCAACCTCCCAAGTAGCTGGGATTACAGGCGTACACCACCATGCCTGACTAATTTTTGTATTTTTAGTAGAGACGGGGTTTCACCATGTTGGCCAGGCTGGTCTCGAACTCCTGACCTCGTGATCCTCCCATCTCGGCTTCCCAAAGTGTTGGGATTACAGGCATGAGCCACCATGCCTGACCATACTGGTTTCTTCAAAGGGGCC
The DNA here is from genome assembly GCF_000001405.40 of Homo sapiens. NCBI lineage: Eukaryota > Metazoa > Chordata > Mammalia > Primates > Hominidae > Homo > Homo sapiens. Next base: position 48,904,845 of record NC_000019.10, read on the forward strand.
ACATGGCTCCAGCTGTGCCTGTATTTGAAAATCACCAAAGTAAGACTCAGGGAGAAGTTGCTTCTTGGGGTCACAAGCTGGGAAGAGCTTTGGGGAACACAGAATACGTGTTTAGTGCAGAGTCCCGTGGGCAGGCTTTCAGTCGCAGCTCCGCCGCTTACCAGCTATGGGGCCTCCCCTCACCGTGCCTCAGTTTCCCCACCTGTAAAATGGGAGACATCATAGAACCTGCTGCACAGTTCGGATTTGGATTTTCCAAGGGAAGGATTTTGGGGTTTGGATTTTCCAAAGGAAGATGTGTAAAGGGTTTGGAAGAGCATGGTGACACTCCTTAGCAAGTGTTGTGGGAGGGCTGCGTCAACAGAATGCTCCTATGGTGCCTTCTACAGAGGAAGAATTCAAAATAAGGGAGGTGCTGGTGTCCCTTACATCACCATGAACTCCCATATCAGGCCTCTAGGAGCACCATCATTGTCCCCATTTCACTGAGTAGGACACTGAACCCTCGTATCAGGATCTGTCCTTCTCATGGACCTGGGTCTCACCACCATGCACGGCTAATTTTGTATTGTTTCTAGAGACAGGGACTTGCCATGTTGCCCAGGCTGATCTTGAGATCCTCCCACCTCAGCCTCCCAAAGTGCTGGGATTACAGGCGTGACCCACCGCACCTGGCCCCTAAACATGTGGCTTGATGAATGACAGGAGATGGGGCAGCACAGGTGGGCAGGGCCTTGAATGCCAGGCTGACGGGCTGGGAGCTGTCCTTCCTGGAGACTCTGAGGAGCTGGGGGACTATAAGCAGGGAAGGGGCAGTATAAGACTGGGGCATGAGAAAGCTTATAAGAAGCTTCCAGAGAAGACAGAGAGCAGGCCCCCAGGCTGACCAGGGTCTCCTCTCCTGTCAGAGCGGGAAGCTGAGCCGAGAGCTGGACTTTGTCAGCCACCACGTCCGCACCAAGCTGGATGAGCTCAAGCGACAGGAGGTGTCACGGCTGCGGATGCTGCTCAAGGCCAAGATGGACGCCGAGCAGGATCCCAGTGAGCAGGGGCAGGGCGGGAGGGACAGGCAGGGAGGGGTGGGGAAGGGTGGCCTCACTCCCGGCCTCCAGGTGGTTGTGTGCTAGGCAGGTGAGGCCTCCCTCCCCGCTGCGAAATGTGCTGAAATGTGCGTGGGAGATTGCCCCAGTGTTCCTCCCAGCATGATTTAATATTAACATTACAATGTTGTTTGTTTATATTCTGTTTCCATTTGTTGTTTTTAAAAATCTTTATCATGGGCTGGGCACAGTGGCCCACGGCTGTAATCCCAGTACTTTGGGAGGCTGAGGCAAGCAGGTCACCTGAGGTCGGGAATTGGAGACTATCTGGCCAACATGGTGAAACCCCATATCTGCTAAAAATACTAAATTAGCCGGGCATGGTGGTGCACGCCTGTAATCCTAGCTGCTCAGGAGGCTAAGGCAGGAGAATTGGTTGAACCCGGGAGGCGGAGGTTGTAGTGAGCCGAGATCGCACCATTGCACTCCAGCCTGGACAACAGAGTGAAACTCTGACTCAAAAAAAAAAAAAAAAAATTGTCATTTAAAATTCTGGTAGAGGCCGGGTGCAGTGGCTCACGCCTGCAATTCCAACACTTTTTGAGGCAGGAGAATCACTCGAGCCCAGAAGTTCAAAACCAGCCTGGGCAACATAGCAAGACCCCTGTCTCTATAAAAAATATTAAAAAATAAGCTGGGCATGGTAATGCATGCCTGTGGTCCCACCTCCTTAGGAAGCTGAGGTGGGAGGATCGTTGAGCCTGGGATGTCAAGGCTATAGTGAGCCATGACTGCGCCACTGTACTCCAGCCTGGGCGACAGAACAAGATCCCATCTCAAAAAAAAAAAGTTGAAAGAACTTCAAACTTTTAGAAAAGTTGTAAGAGTAGTACAGAAAACTCCCAAACACCCCTGACCTGGCTTCTCTAGTTAACATTTGCTCCATTTGCTTTGTCACTCACGTTTGGGACTTCACCACAGTCACCATCTCATCACCCTTACACATTTCAGTGTGATACTCTTGCATAAGTACAGCGATAAAATCGGGAGATTTATCAGGTCACACTGTTTTTCCTTGCTCAGCTAATATCTTTCTTTTTTTTTTTTTGAGACAGAGTCTCGCTCTGTCACCCAGGCTGGAGTGCAGTGGTGCAATCTCGGCTCACTGCAAGCTCCGCCTCCTGGATTCACGCCATTCTTGTGCCTCAGCCTCCCAAGTAGCTGGGACTACAGGCGCCCGCCACCATGCCCAGCTAATTTTTTGTATTTTTAGTAGAGACGGAATTTCACTGTATTAGCCAGGATGGTCTTGATCTCTAACCTCGTGATCCGCCCACCTCGGCCTCCCAAAGTGCTGGGATTACAGGTGTGAGCCACCGCGCCTGGCCTTTTTTTTTTTTTTTTTTGGTGAGACAGAATCTTGCTCTGTCTCCCAGGCTGCACTACAGTGGCGCGATCTCGGCTCACTGCAACCTCCGCCTCCTGGGTTCAAGCAATTCTCCTGCCTCAGCCTCCCAAGTAGCTGGGATTACAGGTGTGTGCCACCACACCTGGCTAATTTTGTATTTTTAGTAGATACTTGATTTTGCCATGTTGGCCAGGCTGGTCTTGAACTCCTGACTTCAAGTGATCCTCCTGTCTCGGCCTTCCAAAGTGCTGGGATTACAGGCCTGAGCCACCAGCCTTGGCCCCCATCTTAAGGTCTTTAATGTAATCCCATCCGCCAGGACCCCTTAGCCCGGAAAGGTCACGCATTCACAGGTTCCGGGGATCAGGATGTGGATATCTTTTAGGGCACCAGTATCCAGCTGCCACAACACCCAGGCTCTTCCCGTCCCTCCTCTGCCCAGAGCCTGCCCCCGGCACCCCAGTGCCCTCAGGCCCGCATTCATGTTCCTCTTGTCTGCTCGGAGCCTGGGTGGACCTTGGCCACACCCGCCCAACCCTGCCCTTCCCGTATGCACCCTGACCTTCTTGCGTCAGCATTTTTAGAAATTGCTGGCGTGCAGCCTTGGGACCTTTGTCCGTTCGCCCCGCTCTCCCGTGACATTCTTTCTCAGGGCTCTTTGCCTGGTCCATGGACCTTCCATCTCCCCTGGAATGTCACCTCCTCAGGGTGTCACCGCCCCGGCTGTCCTGTGTGAAGGAGCCTCTGTGTTATTTGTGTCCTTGGTATTCCTTTGTTCATCCCTTGGTCGCCTGTTCTCTGTCTCTCTAGACTGGGTGCTCCAAGAGGCAGAACTCTTTTGGTTGTTGTTGTTTTTGAGACAGAGTCTCACTCTGTCGCCCAGGCTGGAGTGCAGTGGCGCGATCTCGGCTCACTGCAACCTCTGCCTCCCAGGTTCAAGCGATTCTCCTGCCTCAGCCTCCTGAGTATCTGGGATTACAGGTGCCCGCCACCATACCTGGCTAATTTTGTATCTTTAGTAGAGACAGGGTTTCACCATGTTGGCCAGGCTGGTCTCAAACTCCTGACCTCAGGTGATCCACCCGCCTCAGCCTCCCAAATTGCTGAGATTACAGGCATGAGCCACCCCGCCTGGCCTCCAAGAGTCAGAATTCTGTCATCATTTGATTCCTGCTGTGTCCATAGCGGCCGGCGCTGGGTCAGCCTGGAATAGCGGCTCAACACACGTCCCTGGCACAAATAATGAATTTGAGATTCAGTTTGTACCTGTGTCCTGCACACCTGTCACTCCTCTGGGCTCAGCCAGGGCCGGAGCTGCCTCCACTGCAGCCTAGGTCTCCCAAATTCTAGCTGCCCGTGTGTGTGTGTGTGTGTGTGTGTGTGTGTGTGTGTGTGTGTGTGTGTGTCTTTCTGCCCACTTGACCAAGGGGTGTGTGTGTGTGTGTGTGTGTGTGTGTGTGTGTGTGTGTGTCTTTCTCCCCACCTAACCAAGGGCCACTGGAGGCCAGGGCCAGGCTGATTCATTTTGGGTCCAGCATTGCACAGCGCAGGCCTGGGCCCCTAGAAGCCTCGGGAGACATGCGTGCGGTAAGTGTGTGTTGGCAGCGTGTGCGCTGTCCTTTCCTGCCTGGAAACCCTACCCCTTCCTGACTACTTGGAAACTCCCATATGAGGGAGGCTGCACTTGTTTGCTGAGGCCGCTGTAACCAAGTACCACTGACCAGGTGCTTCAGCAACAGAACTTGACTGTCTCATGGCCTGCAGTCAGAGTCCAAAGTGAAAGTATTGGCAGGGTTGGTTCCTTCTGGGGCTATGAGGGAGGATCTGTACCAGGCCCCTCTCCTTGGCTTGCAGATGGCCGTCTTCTCACTGCATTTTCACACCATCTTTCCTCTCTGTGTGCCTGGCCCAAATTTCTCCTTCCATTATTATTTTTTATTAATTATTATTATTATTATTTTTTTTTTTTTCCAAGACAGAGTTTTGCTCTCGTTGCCCAGGCTGGAGTGCGGTGGCGCGATCTCAGCTCACTGCAACCTCTGCCTCCCAGGTTCAAGCGATTCTCCTGCCTCAGACTCCTAAGTAGCTGGGATTACAAGCACGCGCCACCACGCCTGGATAATTTTGTATTTTTAGTACAGATGGAGTTTTGCCATGTTGGGCAGGCTGGTTTCGAATTCCTGACCTCAGGTGATCCACCCGCCTTGGCCTCCCAAAGTGCTAGGATTACAGGTGTGAGCCACCGCGCCCGGCCTATTATTATTTTGAGACAGGGTTTCACTTCTATCCTCCAGGCTAGAGTGCAGTGGTGCGATCTCGGCTCACTGCATCCTCCCCCTCCCACGCTCAAGTGATTCTCCTGCCTTAGCCTCCTGAGCAGCTGGGACTACAGGCACACACCACTGCACACAGCTAATTTTTATATTTTTTGTAGAGATGGGGTTTCACCATGTTGCCCACGCTGGTCTCGAATGCCTGAGCCCAAGTGATCCTCCCACCTCAGTCTCCCAAAGTGCTGGGATTACAGGCATGAGCCACTGTGCCCAGTCATAAATTTCTGCCTTTTATAAGGTCACCAATCATGTTGGATTAGGGCCCACAGTAATGACCTCATCTTAACCTGATTCCCTCTGTAAAGACCTAGTCTCCAAATCAGGTCACATTCTGAGGTACTGGGGCTTAGGACTTCAACATAGAAACTTAGGAGCGTGCAATTTAACCCCTAAGATTGGTTGATGCTTTATCAAAAATTTTGATGTTTTTCTTTTGTTTGTATGTATGTATTTATTTTATTTATTTATTTTTCAGACGGAGTCTCACTCTGTCACCAGGCTGGTGCAGTGGCGTGATCTCGGCTCACTGCAACCTCCGCCTCCCAGGTTCCAGTGATTCCCCTGCCTCAGCCTCCCAAGTAGCTGGGGCTACAGGTGCGCACCACCATGCCCAGCTAATTTTTTATGTTTTTATTAGAGATGGGGTTTCACCATGTTGGCCAGGATGGTCTCAATCTCTTGATCTTGTGATCCGCCCCCCTTGGCCTCCCAAAGTGCTGGGATTACAGGCGTGAGCCACCGCACCCAGCCTTGTTTGTTTTTTTTAAAGAGTGGTTGAGGCTGGGCGTGGTGGCTCACACCTGTAATCACAACACTTTGGGAGGCCGAGGTGGGTGGATCACCTGAGGTCAGGAGTTCAAGACCAGCCTGGCCAACATGGTGAAACCCTGTTTCTGTTTCTACTAAAAATACAAAAATTAGCCGAGTGTGGTGGCATGCACCTGTAGTCCCAGTTACTCGGGGCTGAGGCAGGAGGATTGCTTGAGCCTGGGAGGCGGAGGTTGCAGCGAGCCGAGATCCTGCCACTGCAGAGTGAAACCCTGTCTCAAAAAAAAAAAAAAAGAAGGAAAAGAAAAAAAGAAATGGTTGAGTGTCATGGTTTTTGGATGTCCAATGGCTGGTTCCCATCCTTGCTCTGCCACTTGCTAGCTGGTACCCTAGACCAGTCACAACCCCTCAAGGGGTCTCAGTTTTCACATTCATAAAATGGGGATAATCATAAAACCCTTGTTGTCAGGATTTTGTGGAAAGTGAATGAATTAATACAGTTAAAGTGCTTAGGGCATGGCCTGGCATCTAGTAAGTAGGCACTACATGTTAGTTTTTATTATGGTTATTATTGTAAGCATCAGACTCAGTCGTGGGATCACCTCCTCCAGGAAGCCTTCCCTGATTGCCCCAGGTTCAAGCTGTCTTCTGGGCTTCCCTAGTGCTGTCCGTGACTTCTTTGGATCATGTCTGGCCCAAGATGGGGGTTCTGAAAGAACATGCCCTCAGGTGTTGGACTCTTCCCTCTCTTCCAGATGTACAGGTGGATCATCTGAATCTCCTGAAACAGTTTGAACACCTGGACCCTCAGAACCAGCATACATTCGAGGCCCGCGACCTGGAGCTGCTGATCCAGACGGTAATGGGAGTGGGTCCGGAGGCAGAGGATTGAGGGTAGCTTTGCGGAAGGGGAGAAGGGGACAGAGTCCCAGACGTGAGCCAGCTCACCATTCCTGCTGGTGTTCTCTGAGGTTGGAGGCTGGTAGAGGGCTGAGTCGTTTCTTTTCTTTTCTTTTTTTTTTTTTTTTTGAGACGAAATCTCGCTGTTTTCCCCCAGGCTGGAGTGCAATGGCACAATCTCGGCTCACTGCAACCTCCGCCTCCCGGGTTCAAGCGATTCTCCTGCCTCAGCCTCCCGAGTAGCTAGGATTACAGGTGCCTGCCGTCACGCCCAGAAAATTTTTGTATTTTTAGTAGAGACAGGGTTTCACCATGTTGGCCAGGCTGGTCTCGAACTCCTGACCTCAGGTGATCCACCCGCCTCAGCCTCCCAAAGTGCTGGGATTACAAGTGTCAGCCACCGCACCCAGCTCTTCTTATAGTGATACCCACCGTAATCTAGCAGGCCATCATCTTAACTAATTACATCTGCAAACACTCTATTTCCAAATAAGATCACATTCTGAGATTCCAGGTGGACATGAATTTGGGAGTGTGGGGGGAGTATACTGTTCAACCTGGTATTGTTAACTCCATTTTACAGAGGTGGAAACTGAGGCACAAAGAGGCTGAGTAACTTGCCCAGTGTCACAGAGCTTATGAGATTTGGTCACAAAGCAAAGCCTAGATTTGAACGCTGGGCAAAATAGTTAGAAACCTCTTGTTCTTTTTTTGGTTTATTTTTACTTTTTTTTTTTTTTTTTTTACCTGAGACAGCGTCTTGCTCTGATGCCCAGGCTGGAGTGCAGTGGCATGATCACAGCTCACTGCAGCCTCAACCTCCTGGGCTCAAGCAATCCTCCCACCTGACCCTCCTGAGTAGCTGGGACCAGAGGTGCAAGCCACCGCACCAGGCTAATTTTAAAAATTTTTAGTAGACACAAGGTCTCGCTGTGTTATGTGAGTTAGTCTTGAACTCCCGGGCTCGAGTGATCCTCCCACCCTAGCCTCCCAAAGTGCTAGGATTCCAGGCGTGACCCACCTCTCCTAGTCTGACCTTATGTTCTTGGCCACCTAGCTGTACCTGAAATACATAAATACTAAGTTCACCACATATGTTGTTCCTATTTACTTATTCCTCCAAGATCTGGAGATTGTGGAGGACTTGAAAGAGGTGGGTTGAAGTTGCTATTGTATAACCGTCCCAATCTGTTTTGAATAAAGAGAAGAAAGTGTGTTATGGGGCAGGAGCAGTCATGGAAACCAAAAAGGGCGACATCAGGCTGTGCGCGATGGCTCACGCCTATAATCCCAGCACTTTGGGAGGCTGACGTGGGCGGATCACCTGAGGTCAGGAGTTTGAGACCAGCCTGGCCAACATGGTGAAACCTCGTTTCTACTAAAAATACAAAAATCAGCTGGGCCTGGTGACACATGCCTATAATCCCAGCTACTCGAAAGGCCGAGGCAGGAGAATCACTTGAACCCGGAAGACAGAGGTTGAAGTGAGGCAGTGAGCAGAGATTGTGCCACCGCACTCCAGCCTGGGCAACAGAGCAAGACTCCCTCTCAAAAAAAAAAAAAAAAAAAGGGACATTAGGACACGAGACGTAAGAAAGACAGGTAGAGGCTGGGGCTGCCCTCAGCCAGGTTCAGGGCCAAGGGCCTGCCATTTACAGGCTGGAATTGGGGGCTGGGCAGAGGGGGCAGAGGGGAATGACCCTGTGCCTTTCCCCAGGCCACCCGGGACCTTGCCCAGTACGACGCAGCCCATCATGAAGAGTTCAAGCGCTACGAGATGCTTAAGGAACACGAGAGACGGCGTTATCTGGAGTCACTGGGAGAGGAGCAGAGAAAGGAGGCGGAGAGGAAGCTGGAAGAGCAACAGCGCCGGCACCGCGAGCACCCTAAAGTCAACGTGCCTGTGAGGACCCCATTTGTGCCCATCCACTCCCTACCACATCCAGTTCAAACGCAAGACAAGAAAGCAGTTAAAGAACTACAATTCCCAGGGGCCCTTGAGGCAAAAAAACTCCCTGTTACTGTACCTGGCTGCCCCAGGGTCTGCTGGGAGTTGTAGTTTTCTTAGTTTTCTTGCTTGAGGGAGATGATGTTTGTTGGATGAGGGTAAAGGGATATTTGGTTTTATCCCATGGCATCCAGACTTCTTGCTCATGAGCTCCTGGCTCTCCCCTCCACAGGGCAGCCAAGCCCAGTTGAAGGAGGTGTGGGAGGAGCTGGATGGACTGGACCCCAACAGGTTTAACCCCAAGACCTTCTTCATACTGCATGGTAAGGTGGGGAGGGAGTTCCAGAGCCAGGATGAACCCTAGATTCTGACCCTTCTAGGACCTGAATGCTAAGAGGGGTGTGTCTGTCCCAGGAGGGCTTAGTCAGGCCCAAGAGCCAAGCCTATGTCCCCTGGTTGACCAGACAGCCCTGCCTCTCCCGACTACAAGGCTAGGATCTGCATGGAAGGGTTGGGCCTCTTTTCTAGCAAACACCAGACCTCGGGGTTCTAAGGACAGCTGGTGTCCTCTGTAAGCAAACCAGGCTTGGCTAGGCCTGGGCCCTCTGCCCACAGCAGCCCAGGAGAAGCCCTGGTCCACTCTGGGAACCCTGTCGCTAGGAGTGGGTTGTTCCCTAAGAACCAGGCCTCCAGAAGCCTGGAAAACCCTTTCTCTTTTTCTTTTTCCTTTTTTTTTTTTTTTTTGAGATGGAGTCTTGCTCTGTTGCCCAGGCTGGAGTGCAGTGGCATGACCTCGGCTCACTGCAACCCCCTGCCCTCCGCCTCCCGGGTTCAAGTGATTCTCCTGCCTCAGCCTCCCGAGTAGCTGGGATTACAGGCATGCACCACCATGCCCGGCTAACTTTTGTATTTTTAGTAGAGATGGGGTTTCACCATGTTGGCCAGGCTGGTCTCGAACTCCCAACCTCGTGTGATCTGCCCCCTCAGCATCCCAAAGTGCTAGGATTACAGGCGTGAGTCACTGCGCCCGGCCTCGAAAGCCCTTTCTCTATGGTGGATCAAAGGCACACTCCCCTCAGTCTGTCTCTTCCTGTCTGGAAATGTGGCCTGGGGTTGCCAAGCCCCCTCAGGTATGCCAAGCACCCTGTCCCAGAATCTGTAGCCGGTCAGATAAGCTTAGCAAGGCCTGACTCATTCATTCAGCAAACCTTTCCTAAGTTCCCTCTAAGGACCAAGCTTTGTCAAGACCCCGTGGATACAACTGTAAACAAAACAAAGTACCTCCCCCTCAGAGCCAGTGATCAGGCACACAGATCATACCATACTTTAGTAACTCCACGAGACTGTACAGTATGAGAGGTGCTAGCATTTTACGTAAGCTGCCAATTAAATTAACGTACCATTGAAAACAAGATGCGTCCTGGGCTGGGTGTAGTGGCTCATGTCTGTAATCCCAGCACTTTGGTAGGCCAAGGTGGAAGATGGCTTGAGCCCAGGAATTTAAGACCAGCCTGGACAACAAAGTGAGACCCTGTCTCTATTTAAAAAAAAAAAATAGACCAGGCGTGGTGGCTCACGCCTATAATCCCAGCATTTTGGGAGGTTGAGGTGGGAGGATCACCTGAGGTCAGGAGTTCAAGACCAGCCTGGCCAACATGGTGAAACCCCATCTCCACAAAAATACCAAAATTAGCTGGGCATGATCGTGAGTGCCTGTAATCCCAGCTACTCAGGAGGCTGAGGTGGGAGAATCACTTGAACCCGGGAGGCAGAGTTTGCAGTGAGCCAAGATCGTGCCATTGCACTGCAGCCTGGGTGACAGAGCAACACTCCATCTCAAAAAAACAAAGAAAAAAATAAAAATTAAAAGTTAAATAAATAAAGATACATCCCTATTTCAGGGGTGATAAAATAGAAGAACACAAAAGTGCATCTCAGAATCAACGAAGGTTCTAGGCCGGGTGTGGTGGCTCACGCCTGTAATCCCAACACTTTGGGAGGCCTAGGCGGGTGGGTCCCTTGAGGCCAGGAGTTGGAGACCAGCCTGGCCAACATGGCAAAACCCAGTCTCTACTAAAAATACAAAAATTAAAAAACAAAACAAAAATTAGCCAGGCATGGTAGTGCTCACCTATAGTCCCAGCTACTCAGGAGGCTGAGGTAGGAGAATCGCTTGAACCCGGGAGGCGGAAGGCGGGGGTTGCAATGAGCTGAGATCACACCACTGCACTCCAGCCTGGGCAACAGAGTGAGACTCTGTCTCAAAAAGCAATAGAAAGTAAAAAAGAATTAGAAGATTCTGTAATGGGGTCTCAGGTAGTGACGTGTACTACCTCGCAGCCTTGACCACCCAGGTTCAAGTGATCCTCCCCCTCAGCCTCCCAAGTATCTGGGACCACAGGCACGTACCACTATGCCTGGCTAATTTTTTTAATTTTTAGTAAAGGCAAGGTTTTACCATGTTGCCCAGGCTGGTCTCAAACTCCTTTGCTCAAGCGATCCACCTATCTTGGCCTCCCGAAGTGCTGGGGTTACAAGCATGAGCCATCCCACCGGGCACCACCCCCCGTGTTTTGTTTTGTTTTTTTTTTGAGACAGGATCTTGCTATGTTGCCCAGGCTGGAGTCAAACTCCAGGCCTCAAACAATCCTCCTGCCTCAGTCACCTGAGTAGCTGAGACTGCAGGTGTGTGCCACTGCGCCCAGCTTTAAAGATGTTTAATTGTACAGTTCAATAGTATTAAGTATATTTACACTGTCATGCAACCAATTCTGAGAGCTCTTCATCTCGCACAACCGAAACCGTATCCATTAAACCACTCGCCCTCCCCTTCTTTCCCCTGCTCTCTAGCAACCACCATTCTATTTTCTGTCTCTATGATTTTGACTATTTTAGGTACTTCATGCAAGTAGAATCTTTTGGTATTTGTCGTGTGTGTGTGTGTGTGTGTGTGTGTGTTTGGCTTATTTCACTTAGCATAATGGTGAGGAACTGAAGTTTTCATTCTACTGGATATTAATTTCTATTTCAATTGCCCCATGTGGCTAGTGGCTGCTGTACTGGAGTCCCAGCACAGCTCTAGAGAGGACATTTGGGCTGGATGCGGTGGCTCACGCCTGTAATCCCAGCACTTTGGGAGGCCGAGGTGGGTGGATCCCTTGAGTCCAGGAGTTCAAGGCCAGCCTGGGCAACATGGCACAAACCCATCTCTACAAATAAAATACAAAAATTAGCTGGGTGTGGTGGCGTGCATCTGTAGTCCCAGCTCCTTGGGAGGCAGAGGTGGGAGGATCACTTGAGTCCAGGAATTCAAGGCTGCAGTGAGCTATGATCATACCAGTGCCCTCCAGCCTGGGCAACAGAGTGAAACCCTGTCTCTAAAAAATAGAAAATAGGCTGGGCTCAGTGGCTCACGCCTGTAGTCCCAGCACTTTCGGAGGCCAAGGCAGGCAGATCAGGAGCTCAAGAGATCGAGACCATCCTGGCCAACATAGTGAAACCCCGTCTCTACTAAAAATACAAAAATTATCTGGGCATGGTGGCACGCACCTGCAGTCCCAGCTACTCAGGAGGCTGAGGCAGGAGAATCACTTAAACCCTGGAGGTGGAGGTTGCAGTGAGCTGAGATCATGCCACTGCACTCCAGCCTGGCAACAGAGCGAGACTCTGTCTCAAAAATAAATAAACAAATAAATAGGCCCGGCGCAGTGGCTTACCCCTATAATCCCAGCACTTTGCGAAGCCAAGGCGGCTGGATCCCTTGAGACCAGGAGTTCAAGACCAGCCTGGGCAACATGGCAAAACCCCATCTCTATGAAAACAAATACAAAAATTAGCTGGGTGTGGTGGCGTGCATCTGTAGTCCCAGCTACTTGGGAGGCTGAGGTGGGAGGATCACTTGAGCCGAGGAGTTCAAGGCTTCAGTGAGCTACGATCACACCATTGCACTCCAGCCTGGGTGACAGAGTGAGACCCTGTCTCTAAAAAATAAAAAAATAAAAACCTTATTTAATCTTTTTAATCAGGCAGTCCCTACAGACCAGAATAGGTTCAGAGCAACTCCCTATACCTTTTTTTATTTTTCATTTTTTTTATTTTTAGAGATGGGGCTTCCCTTTGTCACCCAGGCTGGAGTGCAGTGGCGTGATCATGGCTCACTGCAACCCAGACCTCCTGGGCTCAAGTGATTCTTCCACCTCAACCCTTAGAGTAGCTGGGATCATAGGTGCACACCACCATGCCCAGCCAATTTTTAAATTTTTTTTTTCTTTTTGAGGCAGAGTCTTGCTCTGTTGCCCAGGCTGGAGTGCAATGGCATGATCTTGGCACACTGCAACCCCCGCCTCCCAGGTTCAAGCTATTCTCCTGCCTCAGCCTCCTGAGTAGCTGGGGTTACAGGCACTTGGCATTATGCCTGGCTAATTTTTGTATTTTTGTAGAGACGGGGTTTTACTATGCTGGCCAGGCTGGTCTTGAACTCCTGACTTCAGGTGATCCTCCTGCCTCGGCCTCCCAAAGTGCTGGGATTACAGGCGTGAGCCACCGCACCCGGCCCAATTTTTTACTTTTTTTTTTTTTTTTGTAGAGACGGGGTCTAGCCATCTTTTCTAAGCTGGTCTCGAACTTAATGTGCTCAAATGATCTTGCCTTAGCCTTCCAAAGTACTGGGATTACAGGCATGAGCCCCTAAATTTGGCCCCTACATTTTCTTTAATCTTAATCAATTTACATTTAAACAGCCCATGTGGCTAGCGGCTACTGTACTGGACAGCGCAGATCCAGAGTTTAGGCAGAGAAGAGACCCCCAGGCCTGAGCCCTGGGCCACACTAGCATGTGGAGGTCAGGAAGAGGATGGAGCCGTCAAAGGAGGTGGAGGGGCAGCCAGAGAGGACAGAATCATGTTCTGGAAGCCAAGGGCAGAAAGTCAAGTCAGATGCAGGTGGAAATTAACCACTGGATTTGCAAGATGAGGGTTCCTGGCCTCCTCCTCAGGAGGAAGGTTGTGCTTGTCTGAGGGAGCCGAGGAAGGAGGGCCGGTGGTGAGGACAGGAAGTGTGGCTGACCGAGCCTGAAGCCCTGCAGCTGTGGGGTCTACGTTGGTAGGAGAGGCTCCCCTCACAACTGGAGTCGGCACTGGCCTGGTTGTCTGGGAGGCAGAGGTCCCTGATAACCCTGGAGCTGACTCTGTGTCCAGAGCACTGAATGCCAGGGCCAGAGAATCCTGCATGACAGTGACCCAAGCATGTTTCCTCGAACCCTCCCTTTGATCTATTCCATTCTCAACCCCCTGGTCGCTAGGCAGTGGCCCTAGCAACGGGTCTAGTGGGGTACTAAAGCCTGGGGGCCACCGTTCCACCGCGGGAGACCCGTAGTTACCTGTCCTCTGATAACAGACCCCACATCAGCCCAAAATTTCTTCACCAGGGACCTTACACATCCCGTCCTCGGTCCCCTGAGATACCTTGCTATCCTCTTCCCTTCAGATATCAACAGTGATGGTGTCCTGGATGAGCAGGAGCTGGAGGCACTCTTCACCAAGGAGGTGAGCATCTTGGAAGCCTCGGGCACCTGGAGGGACGCCCAAATCAGCCACTTGTTTCCTCCTGCAGTCCCCTTAAATCCCCCTGGATGGGAGCTCAGTGAAAACTACAACTCCCATCAGCCCCTGGGGCAAAAACGGCTCCCAGGAGTGGTAGCGTGCCCAAAGGACTGCTGGGAGTTGAAGTTGTCGGGAATGAGCTCGCTGGGGACCTCTCAATGCTGTCTGCCTCTCGCTTGCTCCTGCAGCTGGAGAAAGTGTACGACCCAAAGAATGAGGAGGACGACATGCGGGAGATGGAGGAGGAGCGACTGCGCATGCGGGAGCATGTGATGAAGAATGTGAGGTGGGGGCCAGGCGGGGGAGAGGACGGGCCCCCAGCTCTGTCACTCACCCTTATCTGGCTCCCCAGGTGGACACCAACCAGGACCGCCTCGTGACCCTGGAGGAGTTCCTCGCATCCACTCAGAGGAAGGAGTTTGGGGACACCGGGGAGGGCTGGGAGGTGAGAACATGGGGGATACTCGGGGTCCTGAACCTCTCTCTCTTCTAGCCATGACCTTTCTTTCAGAATCTTAGGCCCCTTCTCTTTCTCTCTGGGTCCCCGTCCATTCTCCTGGGTCACTGCATCTCTATCTCTGGGTCTCTGTTTTCCCCTGTCTCTAGGACTCTTATTTATTTATTTATTTATTTATTTATTTATTTATTTATTCTGAGACGGAGTCTCACTCCATCGCCCAGGCTGCAGTGCAGTGGCACGATCTCGGCTCACTGCAGCCTCCACCTCCCAGGTTCAAGCAATTCTCCTGGCTCATCCTCTTGAGTAGCTGGGATTATAGGTGCGTGCCACCACACCCAGCTGATTTTTGTATTTTTAGTAGAGGCAGGATTTCACCATGTTGGCCAGGCTGGTCTCAAACTCCTGACCTCAGGTTATCCACCCACCTTGGCCTCCCAAAGTGCTGGGATTAGAGGTGTGATTTTTTTTTTTTTTTTTTTTTTTCTGAAACAGGGTCTTGCTCTGTCGCGTAGGCTGGAGCCCAGTGGTGGGATCTCGGCTCACTGCAACCTCCGCCTCTTGGATTCAAGCGATCCTCCCATCTCAGCCTCATGAGTAGCTGGGATTACAGGCGTGAGCCACCATGCCTGGCTAATTTTTGTATTTTTTGTAGAGATGGGGTTTTGCCATATCGGCCAGGCTGCTCTAGAACTGCTGGACTCAAGCGATCCACCTGACCTGGCCTCCCTAAGTGGTGGGATTACAGGCATGCACCACCGCACCACACCTAGCTAATTTTTGTATTTTTTGGTAGAGACAGGGTTTTGCATGTTGGCCAGGCTGCTCTGAAACTCCTGGACTCAAGCTATCCACCCTTCTCAGCCTCCCAAAGTGCTGGGATTACCCAGGCTGGAGTGCAGGGGTGTTATCATGGCCCACTGCAGCCTCAAACTCCTGTCCTCAAGTGATCCTCCTGCCTGAGCCTCCCTATTAGCTGGGACTACAGGCACATGCCAGCATGCCTAGCTAATCTAGCTCATTCTTTTATTTATTTATTAATATTTTTTGAGACAGGGTCTCCTGTCACCCAGGCTGGAGTGCAGTGGTGTAATCATAGTTCACTGCAGCCTTGAATTCCTGGGCTCAGGTGATCCTCCTTCCTTAGCCTCCTGAGTAACTGGGACTACAGGCACATACCACCATGCCCAGCTAATCTAGGTCTCTGTTTTATTTATTTATTTATTTGTTTGTTTATTTTTCAATACAGAGTTTTGCTCTTGTTGCCCAGGCTGTAGTGCAATGGTGCATTCTCAGCTCATTGCAACCTCCACCTCCCAGGTTCAAGCAATTCTCCTGCCTCAGCCTCCTGAGTAGCTGGGATTATATGCATGTACCACCATGCCCTGCTCATTTTGTATTTTTAGTAGAGACGGGGTTTCTCCATGTTGGTCAGGCTCATCTCAAACTACTGACCTCAGGTGAGCCACCCACCTCGGCCTCCGAAAGTGCTGGGATTACAGGTGTGAGCCATGGTGCCTGGCCTATTTCTATATATTTTTCAAGATGCCCAGCCAATTTTCTGTAGAGACAGGGTCTCGCTCCGTTGCCCAGGCTGACCTTGAACTCCTGGCGTCAAGTGATCCTTCCCACTTTCGCCTCCCAAAGTCCTGGGATTACAGGTGGGAGCCATGGTGCCCGGCCTTGTCTCTCGGTCTTTATCCCACTCCCACCTCCCACTTGGGCTTCTTTGCCCACCCACATGGCCCTGGCCTCCCAGCCTCCTCTACACCTCCCCCATTGGCACAACCCTCTCCAACATGGGTGGGCCGAGGTTGGACCTGTGCCCCTGATGGCCCCTGTGCCTGCCCTGCAGACAGTGGAGATGCACCCTGCCTACACCGAGGAAGAGCTGAGGCGCTTTGAAGAGGAGCTGGCTGCCCGGGAGGCAGAGCTGAATGCCAAGGCCCAGCGCCTCAGCCAGGAGACAGAGGCTCTAGGGCGGTCCCAGGGCCGCCTGGAGGCCCAGAAGAGAGAGCTGCAGCAGGTGACAGCGGGGGAAGCTGCTTCCATCCACTGAATCTCTGGCTGCCCGTGTCCGTGTCCCCATGGGTGTCCAGAAGCTGGGAAGGCCTGTGGCCACCATGTTAATCACTGGGGGAGCCTCAAGTATTCACCGCCATCTTGAGTAAGGGCAGACGTTTTCCCGTCTCTGACGGCTCTGTGGCTGCCATGTGAGATAAGGGCATTAAGGCTGTAAGTGAGGAGGGAAAGGCCCAGGAGGGGGAGAAAGGCAGACTCAGCCAGGGATGGGTGAGGGTTTCCCTGTCCCAAAGCAAGACCCAAGCTGTGACTGGAGGGAGAACTGGATCCTTGACTATTATTAAGCCCGACTGTCAATGAAAGAGAGAAACTGAGGCCCACGGAGAAGGGGTTGGCCGTGACCACTTAGCAGGCTGCTGTGAAGTCTCCGTTTGGGGACTGAGGCCTGAGCACTTGCAATGCCAGCATCACACCCTCTTGTCTGTGTGACCCCCCACCTCCCACAGGCTGTGCTGCACATGGAGCAGCGGAAGCAGCAGCAGCAGCAGCAGCAAGGCCACAAGGCCCCGGCTGCCCACCCTGAGGGGCAGCTCAAGTTCCACCCAGACACAGGTGCTGGCCCTAGTCCAGGGAGGAGGGGCTGCAGGGCTGGACCCCTGGGTCTGAGGTTGGAGGGGCTGGGCCTGGACTCCCAGATCTGAGGGAAGAGGGACTGGGGGCCCAGACTCCCAGATCTGAGGGAAGAGGGACTGGGGGTCCGGACTCCTGGGTCTGAGGGAGGAGGGGCTGGGGGCTGGGACCCCTGGGTGTGAGGGAGGAGGGGCTGGGACCCCTGGGTGTGAGTGAGGAGGGGCTGGGGGCTGGACCCCTGGGTGTGAGGGAGGAGGGGCTGGGGGCTGGACCCCTGGGTGTGAGGGAGGAGGGGCTGGGCCTCTGGGGTCCTGGGGGAGGAGGGGTTCGGA
Source organism: Homo sapiens (assembly GCF_000001405.40). NCBI lineage: Eukaryota > Metazoa > Chordata > Mammalia > Primates > Hominidae > Homo > Homo sapiens. The sequence continues at coordinate 48,922,283 of NC_000019.10, forward strand.
TGTCCTGTGCCACCATTCCCTCCCTCCATTTCCAGACGATGTACCTGTCCCAGCTCCAGCCGGTGACCAGAAGGAGGTGGACACTTCAGAAAAGAAACTTCTCGAGCGGCTCCCTGAGGTTGAGGTGCCCCAGCATCTGTGATCCTCCGGGACCCCAGCCCTCAGGATTCCTGATGCTCCAAGGCGACTGATGGGCGCTGGATGAAGTGGCACAGTCAGCTTCCCTGGGGGCTGGTGTCATGTTGGGCTCCTGGGGCGGGGGCACGGCCTGGCATTTCACGCATTGCTGCCACCCCAGGTCCACCTGTCTCCACTTTCACAGCCTCCAAGTCTGTGGCTCTTCCCTTCTGTCCTCCGAGGGGCTTGCCTTCTCTCGTGTCCAGTGAGGTGCTCAGTGATCGGCTTAACTTAGAGAAGCCCGCCCCCTCCCCTTCTCCGTCTGTCCCAAGAGGGTCTGCTCTGAGCCTGCGTTCCTAGGTGGCTCGGCCTCAGCTGCCTGGGTTGTGGCCGCCCTAGCATCCTGTATGCCCACAGCTACTGGAATCCCCGCTGCTGCTCCGGGCCAAGCTTCTGGTTGATTAATGAGGGCATGGGGTGGTCCCTCAAGACCTTCCCCTACCTTTTGTGGAACCAGTGATGCCTCAAAGACAGTGTCCCCTCCACAGCTGGGTGCCAGGGGCAGGGGATCCTCAGTATAGCCGGTGAACCCTGATACCAGGAGCCTGGGCCTCCCTGAACCCCTGGCTTCCAGCCATCTCATCGCCAGCCTCCTCCTGGACCTCTTGGCCCCCAGCCCCTTCCCCACACAGCCCCAGAAGGGTCCCAGAGCTGACCCCACTCCAGGACCTAGGCCCAGCCCCTCAGCCTCATCTGGAGCCCCTGAAGACCAGTCCCACCCACCTTTCTGGCCTCATCTGACACTGCTCCGCATCCTGCTGTGTGTCCTGTTCCATGTTCCGGTTCCATCCAAATACACTTTCTGGAACAAATGCATGGCTCCATGCCTGTGTATCTGGACTGGTCCCTCCAAAACGCTATTGCCACGTCACCTGCCGGAGTCCTCATCTTTGAAGACTGGATTCAAGCATCACTTCTGAGAGGCTCAATCCTGGTATTTTTCCATCTGCCCCTGATGAGTCTGCAGCCTTCACTCAGGGTCCCTTCAGCCACAAGGACAGAAAACCCAAACCTGGGATTAAGCAATTTTTTTTTTTTTTTTTTTTGAGATGGAGTCTTACTCTGTCACCCAGGCTGGAGGGCAGTGGTGTAATCTCAGCTCACTGCAACCTCTGCCTTTTGGGATCAAGCGATTCTCCTGCCTCCGCCTCCCGAGTAGCTGGGATTACAGCTGCCTGCCACCACGCCCGGCCTTCTAATTTTTGCATTGTTTTAGTAGTGATGGGGGTTTCACCATATTGGCCAGGCTGGTCTTGAACTCCTGACATCATGATCTGCCCACCTTAGCCTCCCAAAGTGCTGGGATTACAGGAGTGAGCCACTGCACCTGGCCGGGATTAAGCAACTTTTAAAAGATGAATTTGGCCAGGTGCTGTGGCTCACGCCTGTAATCCCAACACTTCGAAAGGCCAAGATAGGGGGGATCACTTGAGGCCAGGAGTTCAAGACCAGCCTGGTCAACATGGCAAAACCCCATCTCTACTAAAAATACAAAGATGAGCCGGGTGTGGTGGTGGGCACTTGTAATCCCAGCTACTCGGGAGGCTGAGGCAAGAGAATTGCTTGATCCTGGGAGGCGGAGGTTGCAGCGAGCCAAGATTGCACCACTGCACTCCAACCGGAGTACCAGAGCAAGATTCCATCTCAAAAAAAAAAAAAAGAATGTACCAGGTATGGTGGCTCCACCTGTAGTCCCAGCACTTTAGAAGGCAGAGGCGGATAGATCACGAGGTCAGGAGATGGAGACCATCCCGGCTAACACGGTGAAACCCTTTCTCTACTAAAAATACTAAAAAAATTAGCTGGGCGTGGTGGCAGGCACCTGTAGTCCCAGCTACTCAGGAGGCTGAGGCAGGAGAATTGCTTGAACCCAGGAGGCAGAGGTTGCAGTGAGCCGAGATCATGCCACTGCACTCCAGCCTGGGTGACAGAGCGAGACTCTGTCTGAAAAAAAGAAGGCTGAGGCAAGAGGATCACTTGAGCTTAGGAGTTTGAGACCAGCCTGGGCAACATAGCGAGACCCCGTCTCAGAAAAAGAAAAAAAATTAGCTGGGCATGGTAGTGTGTGCCTGTAGTCTCAGCTGCTTAGGAGGCTGGTGTGGGAGGATCCCTTGAGCCCTGGAGTTTGAGGCTGCAGTGAGCCATGATCTATCACTCCACTGCACTCCAGGCTGGGTGACAGAATGAGGCCCTGTCTCTAATAGAAAAAAGAATAAATAAAAATGAATTATGATAAAAACCAAGATGTCCCAAGGCAGGATGACTTCAGGGAACCAGGTTCTCGCATCCCCTAGCTGTGCCAAGGATAGGTTTGGGGGCTGGACCCCCCCTCATGGTCCCAAGGTAGCTGCAGCTGCTCCAGATGTCACCAACAGCCAGTGAAGGAAGAGGCCGCATTCTGTTCTGGGCATTGTTAAGTGGGAGAAAATCTGTCCCCAGAGTTCCCTCTCCTTTCAGCCCTCTCCTCATGTTCCCTTATATCCCACTGGCTGTGAGGCACAGGTCAGTGACAGCTGCAGACAGATCCACCAAGCTGGCATCCACCAGTGGTGATTTCATCCTCACCTGGGATGGGGATGCTTTCCTTGGACCAAGTTGGGGTCTGGTAAAAAGCAAGCGGGGAATATTTGTTTTTGTTTTGTTTTGTTTTTGGAGACAGAGTCTTGCTCTGTCTCCCAGGCTGGAGTACGATGACGCGATCTCGGTTTACTGCAACCTCTGCCTCCTGGGTTCAAGCGATTCTCCTGCCTCAGTCTCCTGAGTAGCTGGGATTACAGGTGCCCAGCACACACCCGGCTAATTTTTCTGTATTTTTAGTAGAGATGGGGCTTTCACCATGTTGGTCAGGCTGGTCTTGAGAACTCCTGACCTCAGGTGATCCCCCCGCCTCGGCCTCCCACAGTGTTGGGATTACAGGCCTGAGCCACCACGCCCGGCCAGGAGTATTTGTTTAAATGAAATTCTGGCCAGGCACAGTGGTTCATGCCTATAAGCTCAGCACTTTGGAGGCCAGGGATGGGCAGGGTGGGGGGTTTCAGGAGAGGATGACAGGAGGATGACTCAAGCTCAGAGCTCAAGACCAGCCTGAGCAACATAGCAAGACCTCATCTCTAAAAAAAAAAAAAAAAAAAAAAAAAAAATTAGCCGGGTGTTGTGGCATGCACCTGTGGTCCCAGCTACTCAGGAGGCTTAAGGACAGAAGAATCGCTTGGCCACAGAAGGTTAAGGCTACAGTGAGCCATGACCACGCCACTGCACTCCAGCCTGGGAGACAGGGCAAGACCCTTTCTCGAGAAAAATAAATAGGCCGGGCACAGTGGCTGATGCCTATAATCCCAACGCTTCAGGAGGCCAAGGAGGAAGGATCCTTTGAGCCCAGGAGTTTGAGGCCAACCTGGGCAATATAGGGAGACCCCATCTCTATGTAAAAAAATAAATAAATAGGGCCAGGCGCAGTCACTCACAACTATAATCCCAGCACTTTGGGAGGCTGATGTGGGCGGATCACTTGAGGGCAGGAATTCAAGCCCAGCCTGGGCAACGTGAAACCCCGTCTCTACAAAAAAATACCAAAATTAGCCGGGCGTGGTGGTGTACACCTGTAATCCCAGCTACTCAGGGAGGCTGAGGCACAAGAATCACTTGAACCTGGGAGGCAGAGGTTGCAGTGAGCCAAGATCACACTACTGTACTCCAGCCTGGGTGACAGAGCAAGACTCCATCTCAAGAAAAAAAAAAAAATTAGCTGGGTGTGGTGGCACATGCCTGTAGTCCCAGCTACTTGGGAGGCTGAGGTGAAAGGATCGCTTGGGCCTGGGAAGCGGTGATTGCAACGCTGCACATCAGCCTGGGTGACCAAGCGGGACTCTGTCTCAGAACAAAACAAAACAAAAATACATATTCCCAGATCCTGGAATGTCCTGGGAAGCTATATGTGTGTCATGCCCTCCCAGCTGCACCTGAACAATGAGCATAGCAAACATCAGCTGCAGCCTCTCTTTGCCTCTCTCAGAAAATGAGGGGAGTTGAGCTTCAGTGACCCAATCTGGAAAACGGGCCTAAATGGTGTTCTTTGAAAGGTTCATATAGGCAAAGCGGTCCCCAAATGCCGAAGGAGCCAAGAAACCAAAGAATGAGGCCGACCCATCTAGTTTGTCAATACAGGGTGGTTTATTAGGGGGAAACTTAGAGTGTGGTCTTCGCCAGGCATGGTGGCTTATGCCTGGAATCCCAGCACTTTGGGAGGCCGAGGCAGGTGGCTCACTTGGGGTCAGGAGTTCGAGACCAGCCTGACTGACATGGTGAAACTTGTCTCCACTAAAAATACAAAAATTAGCCAGGTGTGGTGGTGGGCGCCTGTAATCCCAGCTACTGGAGAGGTTGAGGCAGGAGAATCACTTGAACCCGGGAGGTGGAGACTGCAGTGAGCCGAGCTCACGCCACTGCACTCCAGCCTGGGCTACAAAGCAAGACCCTGTCTGGAAAAAAAAAAAAAAGAAGTGTGGTCTTGGGCAGCAGCAAGACAGATAGATCACACCCTGCAACCCCCAGACACAGGGCTTCTATCTCGAGGAAAGCATATCTGTGCTCTGGAAGAAACGCGTAGGTGGCTATGGGCGATACATCTTGTGATGGATGTGACAACATCAAGGCTTGTTCTGGAGGAAAGGCTGGTAAGTACGTGTTTCTACATAAAGAGTAACACATCCGTTAGACATGTTGGAGGCATTCCCAGTTTCGGGTTAGTCAGAAGTCACACGGCAGGCTGGGTGCAGTGGCTCATGCCTATAATGCCAGCATTTTGGGAGGCTGAGGCAGGAAGACCGTTCGAGCCCAAGAGTTTGAAACCAGCCTGAGCAACATAGTGAAACCCCGTCTCTTTTTTTTTTTTTTTGAGACAGAGTCTCACTCTTGTTGCCGGTGGCTCGATCTCGGCTCACTGCAACCTCCGCCTCCCGGGTTCAAGTGATTCTCCTGCCTCAGCCTCCTGAGTAACTGGGATTACAGGCGCCCACCACGCCCAGCTAATTTTTGTATTTTTAGTAGAGACAGGGTTTCGCCATGTTGGCCAGGCCGGTCTCAAACTCCTGTCCTCAGGTGATCTGCCCTCCTCTGCCTCCCAAAGTGCTGGGATTATAGGCATGAGCCACCACGCCCAGCCAACCCTGTTTCTTTCTTTTTCTTTTTTTTTTTTTTTTGATACGGAGTCTTGCTGTGTCCCCCAGGCTGGAGTGCAATGGCACAGTCTCGGCTCACTGCAACCTCCACCTCCCGGGTTCAAGCAATTCTCCTGCCTCAGCCTCCCAAGTAGCTGAGATTACAAACCCCGTCTCTTAAAAAAGGAAAAAAATCACATGGCAGAGTAGCATTTTAAAATAAAGTCACGAGGCTGGGCGCGGTGGCTCACGCCTGTAATCTCAGCACTTTGGGATGCTGAGGCAGGCGAATCACCCGAGGTCAGGAGTCTGAGACCAGCCTGACCTACGTTGAGAAACCCCGTCTCTACTGAAAATACAAAATTACCCGGGCCTGGTGGCGCATGCCTGTAATCCCAGCTGCTCAGGAGGCTGAGGCAGGAGAATCGCTTGAACCCAGGAGGTGGAGGTTGCGGTGAGCCGAGATCACGCCATTGCACTCCAGCCTGGACAACAAAAGCAAAACTCCGTCTTAAAAAATAAATAAATAAATAACATTAAACTACGTCACTCAGCCTGTGAACAATGGCTCACGCTTATAACCCAGCAATTTGGGAGGCCGCAGCAGGTGGATCACTTGAGGTCACGAGTTCGAGACCAGCCCGGCCAACATGGTAAAACCGCATTTCTACTAAAAATACAAAATTAGCTGGGTGTGGTGATGGGCGCCTGTAATCCCAGCTACTCATGAGGCAGGAGAATCGCTTGAACCCAGGAGGCGGAAGTTGCAGTGAGCTGAAATTGTGTCACTGCACTCCAGCCTGGGTGACAGAGCAAGACTCCGTCCAAAAAAAAAAAAAAAAAAAAAGGGACCATGTTCTAGTGTAGGGGTAAGTGGATTGTTTTGGCCCCAACCCCAAGAGGATCAAGGGAGACCACTGCAGCTGCCCGAGAAATTCTTGCCCTCTGACAAGAAACACCCTATCCAGTCTGGGGAATTTGCCAGTCCAACCCCTCCCCTTGGCTCAAGATTCTGGGAAATCCTAAATAGTGTTTACCATTGGCCTTTTATCAGCTCCAGTATAAATGCGTCTGGCCAGACTTGCTTTACAACTATGCATAATGGATAGTTGGGCCAGGCTTGGTGGCTCATGCCTAGTGCTTTGGGAGGCCGAGGTGGGAGGATCACTTCAGCCCAAGAGTTGGAGGCCAGCCTAGGCAACATGGTGAGACACCATCTCTACAAAAAAAAATTTTATTTTCTGTTTTTTTTTTGAGACGGAGTGTGGCGCTGTCACCCAGGCTGGAGCAACAGAGCCAGACTTTGTCTCAAATAAATAAATAAATAAATAAAACCTGCAAAAAAATTTTTTTAAATGCCATTTTTCTTTCTTTCTTTCTTTCTTTTTTTTTTTGAGGCAGAGTCTTGCTGTGTCACCCAGGCTGGAGTGCAGTGGCGTGATCTCGGCTCACTGCAAGCTCTGCCTCCCGGGTTCACGCCATCCTCCTGCCTCAGCCTCCTGAGTAGCTGGGACTACAGGCGCCCGCCACCATGCCCGGCTAATTTTTTGTATTTTTAGTAGAGATGGGGTTTCACTGTGTTAGCCAGGATGGTCTTGATCTCCTGTCCTCGTGATCCGACCACCTCGGCCTCCCAAAGTGCTGGGATTACAAGCGTAAGCCACCGCGCCTGGCCATTTTTCTTTTTAATCAATCCTGCCACTTGAAGATTATATGGTAAGGGAAATCTGCAGTCTATACACAATACTGAGTTGCTCCAAGCCCTTGAGGATTGTGAGGGACCCAGTGTTCTAATTCTTGCTAGAGTGTCTACCTCCATGTTACCAGAGGCGAGTCTGACCGGGTACTGACATGTGATATACCATTAAGTGTGCAGTGGGTTCTTTTAGCCTTTCCCAAATGTCTTTCCACATGGCAGCGCCCCACAGCATTTTCTTTTTCTTCTTTTTTCTTTTTCTTTTTTTTTTTTTTCTTTTTTTTCCTGGGCAACAGAGTCTCACTCTGTTGCCCGGGCTAGAGTGCAGTGGCGTGATCTCGGCTCACTGCAAGCTCTGCCTCCTGGGTTCAAGCGATTCCAGTGCCTCAGCCTCCCAAGTAGCTGGGATTACAGGTGCACACCACCACGCCCAGCTAATTTTTGTATTTTTAGTAGAGATGGGGTTTCACCCTGTTGGCCAGGCTGGTCTCAAACTCTTGACCTCAGGTGATCCGCCCGCCTCGGCCTCCCAAAGTGCTGGGATTACAGGCGTGAGCCACTACGCCCGCCCTCTTTTTTCTTTTTTGAGACAGAGTCTCACTCTGTTGCCCAGGCTGGAGTACAGAGGTGCCATCATAGCTTACTGCAGCCTCAACCTTCCCAGCTCAAGCGATCCTCCCGCTTCAGCCTCCCTAGTAGCTGGGAATACAGATGCACACCACCACACCTGGCTAATTTTTTGCAGGTTGGTCTCGAACTCTTGGGCTCAAGAGATCTGCCCGCCACAGTCTCCCAAAGTGCTGGGATTACAGGCATGTGCCACCGTGCCCGGCATATTTTCTTTTCAGTGTTTACCTTTTTGCCTCCTCTGAGGTGCTGGAGTGCAGCAATAAGAAAGTAATAATTTTAGGCCGGGCGCAGTGGCTCACGCCTGTAATCCCAGCACTTTGGGAGGCCGAGGAGGGCGGATCACGAGGTCAGGAGATCAAGACCATCCTGGCTAACACAGTGAAACCCTGTCTCTACTAAAAATACAAAAAATTAGCCAGGCGTGGTGGTGGGCGCCTGTAGTCCCAGTTACTTGGGAGGCTGAGGCAGGAGAATGGCGTGAACCCGGGAGGCAGAGCTTGCAGTGAGCTGAGATCGAACCACTGCACTCCAGCCTGGGTGACAGAGCAAACCTTCATCTCAAAAAAAAAATATATATATATATTATATATATATATTTTTTTTTTTAGACCGGGTCTTCCTCTGTTGCCCAGGCTGGGGTGCAGTGGTGTGATCTCGGCTCACTGTAACCTCTGCCTCCCAGGCTCACGCCACTCTCCTGCCTCAGCCTCCAGACTACAGGTGCCCGCCACCACGCCTGGCTAATTTTTTGTATTTTTAGTAGAGATGGGGTTTCACCGTGTTAGCCAGGATGGTCTTGATCTCCTGACCTGGTGATCCACCCATCTTGGCCTCCCAAAGTGCTGGGATTACAGGTGTGAGCCACTGTGCCTGGCCGCTGAGTAGTATTTTGTTGAATCCACTGGCAGCTTAAAGGACATTTGGGCTTGAGCTATGTACAGCTGCTAACACCTGTGCACTGGTTTGTGTGCAAACATGTTATTTTTTCTTTCTAGGACAAATACCTGGGAGTATCAAAATTATTTTTTGATATTTATTATTAAATGATTTTTTCTTTTTCTTCATAGTAATGATATTGTGTCCTATGTGGATTTCCCTCCCCCTAAACCTTTTTTTTTTTTTTTTTTTTTTTTTGAGACAGAGTCTCTCTCTGTCACCCGGGCTGGAGAGCAGTGGTGCGATCTTGGCTCACTGCAACCTCCTCCTCCCAGGTTCAAGCAATTTACCTGCCTCAGCCTCCCAAGAAGCTGGGATTGCAGGCGTCCGCCACCATGCTTGGCTAATTATTTTGTATTTTTAGTAGAGATGGGGGTTTCACCATGTTTGCCAGGCTGGTTTCGAACTCCTGACCTTAAGTGATCCGCCCACCACGGCCTCCCAAAGTGCTAGGATTACAGGCATGAGCCACTATGCCCTGCCCCCTCCCCCCACTTTTTTTTTTTGGTAGAGATGGGGTCTTGCTTTGTTGCCCAGGCTGGTCTCAAAGTCCTGGCTTCAAGCATTCCTCCCATTTGGGCCTCCCACAGTACTGGGATTACAGGCGTGAACCACCGTGCCTGGTCCCATTTGTGTTTCTATTCAGCAGTTTGTGTAAACTTGAAGTCTGTGAATCCATGTGTGACACTCAGGTCTTAATTATTGTCTACCAAGTAAGAGAAAGTGACAATATCCTGCCCTGTGTGAAGCTGGCCAGCCAGTTAGGAATTATCATGTCCCAACCAGCCTGGGAAACTTGGCAAGACCCTGCCTTGATAAAAAGTTTAAAAATCGACTGGACACAGTGTCTCATACCTATAATCCCAGCACTTTGGGAGGCTGAGGCAGGAGGATTGCTTGAGCCCAGGAATTGGAGACCAGCCTGGACAACAAAGTGAGACCTTTTCTGTACAAAAAATTGCTGGGCATGGTGGCTCATGCAGGTAATCTCAGCACTTTGGGAGGCCAAGGCAGGCGGATCACCTGAGGTCAGGAATTCGAGGCCAGCCTGGCCAACACAGTGAAACCCCATCTCTAGTAAAAATACAAAAATTAGTCGGGCGTGGTAGTGGGCGCCTGTCATCCCAGCTACTCGGGAGGCTGAGGTAGGAGAATTGCTTGAAACTGGGAGGTGGAGGTTGCAGTGAGCCAAGATTATGCCACTGCATGATCACCCCAGCCTGGATGACAGAGCGAGACTTCGTCTCAAAAACAAAAAACAAACAACAACAGCAACAAAAATTAGCAGGCTGGGTGCAGTGGCTCATGCTTGTAATCCCAGCACTTTGGGAGGCCAAGGCAGGCAAATCGCAAGGTCAGGAGATCGAGACCATCCTGGCCAACATGGTGAAACCCTGTCTCCACTAAAAATAAAAAAAATTAGCTGGGCATGGTGGAGGGCGCCTGTGGTCCCAGCTACTCAGGAGGCTGAGGCAGGAGAATCACTTGAACCAGGGAGGCGGAGGTTGCAGTGAGCTGAGATCACACCACTGCACTCCAGCCTGGGGATAGAGTGAGACTCCGTCTCAAACAAACAAACAAACAAATAGCGGTAAGTGGGGCACATGCCTATACTCCCAGCTACTCAGGAGGCTGAGGCGGGAAGATAGCTTGAGCCCAGGAGTACAAGGCTGCTGTGAGCTATTATCACGCCACTGCAGTCCAGCTAGGTAACAGAGTGAGACCCTATCTCTAAAATAATTAATAAATAAAACAAAATAATTAGCCAGGTGTAGTAGCCAGTAGCTACTTTGGGTCCCAGCTACTGTAGTCCCAGGTACTAGGGTGGCTAAGGCAGGAGCTAATTCCTTGAGCTAAGGAATTTGAGGCTGCAGTGAGCTATGATTGTGCCACTGCACTCCTTCCTGGGCGACAGAGCGAGACCCTATATCAATAATAATTATAATAATACAGTATATTTTACATAATAGACCATAGAGCTCAATGAATCCTCCTCACAACCCTATGTAGGTAGATGTTATCATGATCTCTGCTTTCCAGAATAGAAAAGTGAGGACCAGAGAGGGCGACCTCTTGTCCAAAAGCAATACAGCCAAGAAGGGGCAAGGAGGGTTTTGAAACCAGTCGGCCAGGCTCTGGGGCTCCTAACAAGCAAAGCAGCCTGGTTTCTAAAACTATAGCTTCTGGAAGCAGCCAATTCACAGGTCTTTACCTCCTGACTGTGAGACCTCCAAAAAATGACCAGGGATCTTGGAGTCTGTTTCCCCCTTTGTGAACTGGGGACAATAGAAGCTACTTCCCAGGTCTGCGGGGAGAAATTAGGAACGAAGAAGGTAAAGCGCAGAGCTGAGGAGCTGGTCTACAGGTGCTCTATACATATTAGTAATAATTATTAAGTTTGCTGTTACAATCCTCTCTCTCTCTGTGAACAACCCCTAATGATGCGTGGCTTTGAGAGCAAAAAAGTCAGGGCAAAGTTTTGCCACAAAGTCCAGAGGGCAAGACATTAAATCTAACTCTCAAGGATTGGTGTTGGCAAGAAAGCAAACCTCTCCTCCCCACGCTGTCCTTACCCCGCGTATCCGACGAGCCTAAAGTCATAGGTAAGAGATCTGTAGAAGCGACGTCAAGGTGTGGTTCCCTCTGTAAGGCGGAGCTAAACGGTGCATTCGCCCAGCGGGGAAGCTAGAACTAAATGACCGCTCTGCCGACTGGAGCCAACGAGAATCGGCGTAGGCGCAATACGGGCGGAGGATGGGGACCCGCCCCCGGGGTGGGCGGGGCGTCAGGTACTTAATTCGCGCCTGGAGGGACCGAAGGTGCCGAGGGCTCCGCATCGCAACCATGGCGCTGCGCTGGGGCATCGTGTCTGTCGGCCTCATCTCCAGCGACTTCACAGCCGTGCTGCAGACGCTGCCTCGCTCTGAGCACCAGGTCTGCCCGCCCTCCGGATTCTGGGGAAGAGGAGGCGGGGGGCGGGACTCCAGAGTCTAAAGGAGGAGGGAGTTTAGGGTTCAGGACTAGTGAGTGGGTCGTCATTGCAGTGAAACGTCTGTTTCCTTGCTACCTCCTTCTCCATCTCTGTTCTGCAAACCTGTGGGGAAAAGAAAGATCAGATTGTTACTGTGTCTACGTAGAAAATGAAGACATAAGAAACTCCATTTTGAACTGTACTAAGAAAAATTGTTTCTGCTTTGAGATGCTATTAACCTGTAACTTTAGCCCCAACCGTGTGCTCACAGAAACATGTCCTGTATTGAATCAAAGTTTAATGGATTTAGGGCTTTGCAGGATGTGCCTTGTTAACAATATGTTTGCAGGCAGTATGCTTGGTAAAAGTCATCGCCATTCTCCATTCTCTATTAACCAGGGGCACATTGCACTGCGGAAAGCCGCAGGGACCTCTGCCCAAGAAAGCCTGGGTATTGTCCAGGGTTTCCCCCCACTGAGAAAGCCTGAGATATGGCCTCGTGGGAAAGGAAGACCTTACATCCCCTAGCCCGACACCAGTAAAGGGTCTGTGCTGAGGAGGAGTAGTGAAAGAGGGAGGCCTCTCTGCAGTTGAGATAAGAGGAAGGCTTCTGTCTCCTGCTCTCCCTGGGAATGGACTGTCTCAGTGTAAAGCGGACCATTCCCATTCCTTCTATTCTGAGATAGGAGAAAACCTACCTGTGGCTGGAGGCGAGATATGCTGGCAGTGATACTGCTCTGTTACTCTTTGCTACACTGAGATGTTTGTGTAAAGTGAAACATAAATCTAGCCTACGTGCACATCCGGTCACAGCACCTTTCCTTGAACTTATTCATGATACAGATTCCTTTTCTACATAGACACAGTAACAATCTGATCTCTCTTTCTTTTCCCCACACAAACCTGAGTGTCTTGAGGTTTGGAAAGGCCTTGATGTAAGCTACTATGAAGATAATTTCAATATTGGGGGATTTAATAACGGCTTTCCCCCAGATCTCTCTTTCCCAGGGCCCAAATGTCCAGCCCCCGTCATCTCTTCCCCCAGGACCACGTCTCCCCTTCCCCTGGCCAGAGCCTCCTCCTTTGCCTCCCTTCCACCCAGTTTCCACGCCTGCCTCAGCCCCTCAAATCCGATTCTTGTGCCCCTCCAGGTGGTGGCGGTGGCGGCCCGCGATCTGAGCCGTGCGAAGGAGTTTGCACAGAAACACGACATCCCCAAGGCCTACGGCTCCTATGAGGAGCTGGCCAAGGACCCGAGCGTGGGTGAGTGGCGAGGGCGATGGGGGTGCTGGCCGCCGCCCCTGGAGCGGTGCCCCCTGGCTGCCCCCTGGGAGATGCAAGGCTCCTCAGGATGGTCCAATCCCTTTGGGTTCCATAAAGACCTTTGGCTGGGAGGAGAACTATAAAACGGGCTTGGTCTGGGACTGGCTGTCTAGTAGGTGTTAAACTACACTTAGCGTTCGAGACCAGCCTCGGCAACGTAGCAAGACCCAATCTCTACAAAAAATAACAATAAAAATAAATTAGCCAGGTATGGTGGCACGCACCTGTAATCCCAGCTACTGGGGAGGCTGAGGCAGGAGAATCACTTGAATCCGGGAAGCAGAGGTTGAAGTGAGCCAAGATCGCGCCACTGCACTCCAGCCTGGGCGACAGAGTGAGACTTGGTCTTAGAAATAAATAAATAGGCCGGGCGCGGTGGCTGACGCCTGTAATCCTAGCACTTTGGGAGGCCAAGGCGGGCAGATCATGAGGTCCGGAGATGGAGACCATCCTGGCTAATACGGTGAAACCGCATCTCCACTAAAAATACAAAAAATTAGCCGGGCATGGTGGCGGGCGCCTGTAGTCCCAGCTACTCGGGAGGCTGAGGCAGGAGAATGGCGTGAACCTGGGAGGTGGAGCTTGCAGTGAGCCGAGATCGCGCCACTGCACTCCAGCCTGGGCGAAGAGTGAGACTCCGCCTCCAAAAAAAAAATTAATTAATTAATTAAAAATTTTAAAAAAGAGAGCGAGAATGGCGAGAGGTAACAGCCCCTTCCTAAGGACAGCTCCCTAAGGGAGACAGGGGTGTGACCGACCACCTGGTCCCTGGGTGCTAGGGCGGGGCCTCGAAGTTGTGGGCGGAGCTCGGCTGTCTGGGTGGGCGGGGCTGCTGACCTCTTGACCTACTCCCACCCTAGAGGTGGCCTACATTGGCACCCAGCACCCCCAGCACAAGGCGGCGGTGATGCTGTGCTTGGCGGCGGGCAAGGCCGTTCTGTGCGAGAAGCCCACGGGCGTGAACGCGGCGGAAGTTCGCGAGATGGTCGCGGAGGCCCGATCCCGAGCCCTCTTCCTTATGGAGGTGAGGGCAGAGGAGCCCTTCCAATATCCAGCGTAAAAGTGCTTGCCATTAAATATGGTTGCCAGTGCGCGGACGGGGTCAGTGCATTTGCCAGGATGTATCTGAATCTCCTTGGCAGCATCTATTACCGTGAAAGCCATTGCTTTTGGCCCTTAGCAAACACGGCAAGGCTTACTGAAATTGCTTGGATCTTTTGTCAGTCTTTAAGAAAAAGATGCCGGCCGGGCGCGGTGGCTCATGCCTGTAATCCCAGCACTTTGGGAGGCCGAGGCGGGCGGAGCACGGGGTCAGGAGATCGAGACCGTCCTGGCTAACATGGTGAAACCCCATCTCTTCTAAAAATACAAAAAATTAGCTGGGCGTGGTGGCGGGCGCCTGTAGTCCCAGCTACTTGGGAGGCTGAGGCAGGAGAATGGCGTGAACCCGGGAGGCGGAGCTTGCAGTCAGCCAAGATTGCGCCACTGCACTCCAGCCTGGGCAACACAGTGAGACTCCGTCTCAAACAAGAAAAAAAACAAACAAAAAAAAAAACAAGAAAAAGATGCCAAGAGTGAAAGTGGCATAGAATGGCAATGGCTTAGTTTGGGTGGGGTTCCAGGTAGAGGTTGAAAGGACCAAGGAACCCCCTACAAACCTGCAGTGCAGTGGCGCGATCTCGGCTCACTGCAACCTCCACCTCCCAGGTTAAAGCGATTCTCCTGCCTCAGCCTCCCAAGTAGCTGGGACTACAGGCGCCCGCCACCATGCCCAGCTAATTTTTGTATTTTTAGTAGAGACGGGGTTTCACCATGTTGGCCAGGCTGGTCTCAAACTCATGACTGCAAGTGATCCTCCTGCCGCGGCCTCCCAAAGTGCTGGGATTACAGGCGTGAGCCACCGCGCCCGGCCCCTACCTCAAGGTCTTTCATGTAATCCTATCCGCCAGGACCCCTTAGCCTTGTAAAGTCACACATTCACAGACTCCGGGGATCATCAGGTCGTGGATATCTTTGGGGGCACCAGTAGCCTACTGCCACAACACCCAGGCTCAGAGCCTGCGCAGAGCCTGCCCCCGGCTCCCCAGTGCCCTCAGGCCTGTGTTCACGCTCCTCTCGACTGCTCCGAGCCCGGGCGGACCTCGGCCACATCCGTCCTGCCCCGCCCTTCCCCCGTGAGCCCTGACACTCTTGCGTCAGCATTTTTAGAAATTGCTGGTGTGGGCCAGATGCGGTGGCTCACGCCTGTAATCCCAGCACTTTGGGAGGCCGAGGCGGGCAGATCACCTGAGGTCAGGAGTTCAAGACCAGCCTGGCCAACATGGCGAAACTCCGTCTCTACTAAAAAAGTACAAAAATTGGCCGGGCGCGGTGGCTCACGCCTGTAATCCCAGCACTTCGAGAGGCAGAGGCGGGCGGATCACGACGTCAGGAGATCGAGACCATCCTGTCTAACACAGTGAAACCCCGCCTCTACTAAAAATACAAAAAATTAGCCGGGCGTGGTGGCGGGCGCCTGTAGTCCCAGCTACTCGGGAGGCTGAGGCAGGAGAATGGCGTGAACCCGGGAGGCGGAGGTTGCAGTGAGCTAAGATCCCGACACTGCACTCCAGCCTGGACGACAAGAGCGAGACTGTCTTTAAAAAAAAAAAAAAAAAAAAAAGAAATTGCTGGAGTGCAGCCTTGGGACCTTTGCCCATTCTCCCGGCTCTCCCGTGACATTCTTTCTCTGGGCTCTTTGCCTAGTCCACGGAGCTTCCGTCTCCCCTGGAATGTCACCTCCTCAGGGTGTCACCGTCCCGGCTGTCCTGCGTGAAGGACCCTCCATTTTATTTGTGTCCTTGGTATTCCTTTGTTCATCCCTTGGTTGCCTGTTCTCTGTCTCTCTAGACTGGGTGCTCCAAGAGGTAGAACTCTGGTTTTTGTTGTCATTGTTGTTGTTTTTGAGACAGAGTCTTGCTCTGTCGCCAGGCTGGAGTGCAATGGCGTGATCTCGGCTCACTGCAACCTCCGCTGCCCGGCTTTAAGTGATTCTCCTGCCTCAGCCTCCCGAGTAGCTGAGATTACAGGCATGCACCACCACGCCCGGCTAATTTTTGTATTTGTAGTAGAGACGGGGTTTTGCTATGTTGTCCAGGCTGGTCTGGAACTTCTGACCTCAGGTGATCCGCCCGCCTTGGCCTCCCAAAGCGCTGGGGTTACAGGCATGAGCCACAGCGCCCAGCCCCCAGTTCCAGGAGTTTTTTTTTGTTGTTGTCATTTTGCATTTTTCTACATAGATGATGTCATCTATGAACAAAGAGTTTTATTTCTACCTTCTGTATCTATATGCCTCCTTTAAGGAGTTTCACTAGGAGATGCACACGTAACTCTTAAACCCACTGGCCTGCATGCTCTATACCTACATCTAATCTCTTCTTATAAGGACACCAGTCATATTGTCATATTGGATAAGGGCCCACCCTAATGACCTCATTTTTTTTTTTTTTTTTGAGTTGGAGTCTCGCTCTGTCGCCCAGGCTGGAGTGCAACGGTGCGATCTTCAGCTCACTGCAACCTCCACCTCCCGGGTTCAAGCAATTCTCCTGCCTCAGCTTCCCGAGTAGCTGGGACTACAGGCGTGCGCCATCACGCCCAGCTAAAATTTTTTGTATTTTTAATAGAGACGGGGTTTCACCGTGTTGGCCAGGCTGGTCTCTTGGCTAGGCTGGTCTCGAACTCCTGACCTCGTGATCTGCCCACTGTGGACTCGCAAAGTGCTGGGATTACAGGCGTGAGCCACCGTGCCCAGCCTTGACCTTATTTTAACATAATTATCTCTCTGAAAACCCTGTGGCCACAACAGTTGCTTTCAGAGGTACTAGGGAGTTAAGGCTTCAACACGTGAATTGTGTTTGGCAGGGCAGAAGCGAGAGGGAGAGAGACACAATTCATCCCATAACATGGGGAGACTGGGGCAATGGTCCAGATGAAAAAGAACAAAAGTCAATAGGGCACGGTGGCTCATGCCTGTAATCTCAGCACTTTGGGAGGCTGAGGTGGGAGGACTGCTTGAGCCCAGGAGTTCGAGACCAGCCTGGGCGACATAGTGAGACCCTATCTCTATTCAAAAAAAAAAGAAAAAGAAGAAAAGTCAAGAGGGTCAGGAGCAAGAGGGATACAACCTGGGGACTGATGGGCTGTGTTTGGAGACTGGGTTGCAGTGGGTATCCCCCTATGATTGGGACCCCAGAAGGGATTAGAACTGGTTGGTTAACTCCTTTCCTTGTGGTCTGCAGGCCATCTGGACCCGCTTCTTTCCTGCCTCCGAGGCTCTGAGGTCTGTTTTGGCCCAGGGAACTCTAGGAGACCTCCGGGTGGCTCGGGCAGAATTTGGGAAGAATCTCATCCACGTTCCCCGGGCCGTAGACCGGGCCCAGGCTGGGGGGGCCCTGCTGGACATCGGCATCTACTGTGTCCAGTTCACCTCCATGGTCTTTGGAGGGCAGAAGCCAGAGAAGATTTCTGTCGTGGGAAGGCGTCATGAAACAGGTACCATCTATCCTGGAATATTTCATGGTGATGGGAATGATTCTGTCTCTCTGGGAGCACTGAACTGAGGACAAGTCTCCAAGTCAATGAGAATTAGATCAGACACCTAGAGGAACAACTTTCCATGAAGCCAGAGAGGATCAGAGTCAAGACTGCAGGTGGGCACTCTCCTGGGACTTTGCTGTGTGATCTTAGCCAGCAGACTTAACATCTCTGAATCTTAATTACTTTACTGGTAAAGTGTCACTAATAGGGTTGTCATGGGAGTTAATGAAGTAACTGCTGAGGCAAATGGCAGTTAATAAATATAAAATTATTATTTTTTGAAGTTGTCTCAGTGAATCTTTGCTACAAAAAAGACTACCCCACTTGGCCAGGCGTGGTGGCTCACGCCTGTAATTCCAGCACTTTGGGAGGCCGAGGTGGCCAGATCACCTGAGGTCAGGAGTTGGAGACCACCCTGGCCAATATGATGAAACCCCATCTCTACTAAAAATACAAAAATTAGCTAGGCATTGCGGCAGGCACCTGTAATCCCAGCTATCTGGGAGGCTGAGGCAGGAGAATCACTTGAACCCAGGGGGCGGAGGTTGCAGTGAGCTGAGATGGCGTCACTGTACTCTAGCCTGGGCGACAGAGTGAGACTCCATCTCAAAAAAAAAAAAAGCTGCCCCACTTTGCAGAAGAGGCCCTTGCCTTGGCTTCCACTCAGCTGGAAAGTATCCAAGAGTGCCTGAGCCACCCAGATGTGATGCCCTTCATCTTTGACCTTTAACCCCAAGGAGCAAGAGGCAGTTCATGCTTCATTAAAGTTACATTCAGCCGCAAAAAAAAAAAAACATAACACTACCCCAAAACTTAGTGACTTCAGGCTGGGCATGGTGGCTCACGCCTGTAATCCCAGCACTTTGGGAGGCTGAGGTGCGCGGATCACTTGAGGCCAGGAGTTCAAGACCACCCTGGCCAACATGGTAAAACCCTGTCTCTACGAAAAGTGCAAAAAAAATTAGTTGGGCGTGGTGGTGTGCACCTATAGTCCGGCTACTCTGGAAGGTGAGGTGGGAGGATCAATTGAGCCTGGGAGGCAGAGGTGGCAGTGAACTGAGATGGTGCCACTGCATTCCAGCCTGGGGAACAGAGCCAGACCCTGTCTCCTTTTTGTGGAGAACAGAGTCTCGCTATATTGCCCAGGCAGGTCTCGAACTCCTGGGCTCAAGCTATCCTCCCGCCTCTGCCTCCCCGAGAGCTGGGATTACAGGTGTGGCCACCGCCCCCGGCAAGCCAGACCCTGTCTCAAAAAAAAAAAAAAACTTAGTGACTTCAAATAGCAATCATTTATTAGCTTGTGATTCTGTGCATTGGCAAATTGGGGCTGGGCTCTGCTTGATGGTTCTTCTGCTGGTCTTATTCCTGCAGCTGCAGTCAGTTGGCTGTTCAGCTGGGACTGGACAGTCTGGTAGGCTTCATTTATATCTTACAGGTGGCAGGCAACTGTCTGGGAAGCCTTGATTCTCCTCCACCTGGCCTCTCCAGCTGGCTAGATACCATTCATATCGTGGTGTGAGAATTCCTGATGTGCAAGCACTTTTCAGGCCTCTAATTACACCATATTTGCTACTGGCCCATTGGCCAAAGCAAGTTACATGGCCAGCTCAGTTTTCAGAGATGGGCAAATAGACTGTAATTTTTGTTTTTTTTTAGATAGTATCTCACTTTGCCACCCAGGGTAGAATATAGTGGTGTGATCTTGGCACACTGCAGCGTCAACCTCCTAAATTCAAGCGATTCTCCTCCGTAAGACCCCCAAGTAGCTGGGCATACAGATGTGGGCCACCACGCCTGGCTATGTTTGTTTGTTTTTTGTAGAGATGGAGTTTCCCCATGTTGCCCAGGCTGGTCTCGACCTCCTGGGCTCAAGCAATACACACATTTGGCCTCCCAAAGTGCTGGGGATTACAGGCATGAACCACCGGCTTTTTTTTTTTTTTTTTGAGACGGGGTCTCACTCTGTCACTTAGGCTGAGTGCAGTGGCACAATCATTGCTCACTGCAACCTTGACCTCCCAGGCTCCAGGGATCCTCCACCTCAGCCTCCTGAGTAGCTAGGATCACAGGCACAAGCCACCACACCCAACTAAATTTTTTATTTTTTGTAGAGACAAGGTCTCACTATGTTGCCCAGGCTGGTCTTGAACTCCTGGACTCAAGGGATCCTCCTGCCTCCACCTCCCAAAGTGCTGAGATTATAGGTGTGAGTCACTGTGCACAGCCAAGACTGTACTTCGTGTGTGTGTGTGTGTGTGTGTGTGTGTGTGTGTGTGTGTGTGATGGAGTCTCGCTCTGTCGCCCAGGCTGGAGTGCAGTGGTGCCATCTCGGCTCACTTCAAGCTCCGCCTCCCACGTTCACGCCATTCTCCTGCCTCAGCCTCCCGAGTAGCTGGGACGACAGGACTACACCACGCCTGGCTAATTTTTTGTATCTTTAGTAGAGACAGGGTTTCACCGTGTTAGCCAGGATGGTCTTGATCTCATGACCCCACGATCTGCCCACCTCAGCCTCCCAAAGTGCTGGGATTACAGGCGTGAGCCACCGCGACCAGCCAGCACTTCATTCTTTTGCCTTGCCATGCAAGAAGTGAAGTCTCTTGCCCAAGGTTCCACAGGCAGGATTTGGGGCCTGTGCAGTCTCAGAGACTCTGCCCTGAGAGACCCTGCCCTGACCCAGGACTTCCCTCCAGGTGTGGATGACACTGTCACGGTGCTCCTGCAGTACCCAGGGGAGGTCCATGGCAGCTTCACCTGCAGCATCACCGTGCAGCTCTCCAACACGGCCTCCGTGAGCGGCACCAAGGGCATGGTACAGGTGAGGCATGGCGGGCCCAAGCGCTGGGGATCGTGCCCCTAAAATAGGAGGGGGACAAATGGCCTCTGGAGCTAGATGAGAGCTTAACCAGCCAATTTCACATCATTGCTAAAGAGTTCCTCCTTAACCAAGCCAAGAGGTGGGTTCTGGGCCT
Organism: Homo sapiens; assembly: GCF_000001405.40. Classification (NCBI taxonomy): domain Eukaryota; kingdom Metazoa; phylum Chordata; class Mammalia; order Primates; family Hominidae; genus Homo; species Homo sapiens. The sequence continues at coordinate 48,942,719 of NC_000019.10, forward strand.
CTAGGCTCTCCTTACTTAGGATGAACCTATTGCTCTGTCAAATATTCTTGGGCCTGGCTGGCACGGTGGCTCACGTCTGTAATCCCAGCACTTTGGGAGGCCAAGGCAGGCAGATCACCTGAGGTCAGGAGTTCCAGACCAGCCTGGACAACATGGTGAAACGCCATCTCTACTAAAAATACAAAAATTAGCTGGGTGTGGTGGTGGGCGCCTGTAATCCCAGCTACTAGGGAGGCTGAGGCAGGAGAATTGCTTGAATCCGGAAGATGGAGGTTGCAGTGAGTTGAGATTACGCCATTACATTCCAGCCTGGGTGATAAGAGCAAAACTCCATCTCAAAAAAAAAAATATATATATATATATGTATCCTTGGGCCTGGCCGGCACGGTGGTCACACCTATAATCCCAGCACTTTGGAGGCTGAAGCTGGTGGATCACTTGAGCCCTGGAGGTCGAGGCTGCAGTGAGCTGTGATTGTGCCACTGGACTCCAGCCTGAGTGACAGAGTGAGATCCTGTCTCAAATATCTATCTTTAGTCCTGAGGAGAAGCCAGTTATTATCAACCATGCTTAGTGGGCAGTTGTGAATTTCGGAAGTGCATCCGGGGGAGGATCTGGGTGTTACCAAAGGTCAGCTTAACTGGTCTTCCTGGGGCCTTGTTGCTAGAAAAAAAAAAAACCCTATTTTATAGCCAGGCATGGTGACTTACACCTGTAATCCCAGCGTGATTGGGAGGCCAAGGCAGGCAGATCACTTGAGCTCAGGAATTCAAGACTGGCCTGGCCAACATGGTGAAACCCCGTCTCTACTAAAAAAAACATACAGGCTGGGCGCGGTGGCTCACACCTGTAATCCCAGCACTTTGGCAGCCCAGAGCGGGTGGATCACCTGAAGTCAGGTATTTGTGACCAGCCTGACCAACATGATGAAACCCTGTCTCTACTAAAAATGCAAAAATTAGCCAAGTGTGGTGGTGCATGCCTGTAATCCCAGCTACTCAGGAGGCTGAGGCAGGAGAATTGCCTGAACCCGAGAGGCGGAGGTTGCAGTGACCCGAGATCGAGCCATTGCACTCCAGGCTGGGCAACAAGAGCGAAACTCCGTCTCACAAAAAAAAAAAAAAAAATTAGTCAGGCATGGTAGTGGGCACCTGTAATCCCAGCTACTCGGGAGGCTGAGGCAGAAAAATCACTTGAACCCAGGAGGTGGAGGTTGCAGTGAACCGAGATTGATCCACTGCACTCCAGCCTGGGCGACAGAGCGAGACTCCATCTCAAAAAAAAGAAAGAAAGAAAGAAAGAAAATAAATAAGAAGAAAACATGGTTCACAGACACACAAAGATAAGCCCTCCTCTCTAGACCTTAAGAACACCTTGTTTCTAAGCTCCTAAGGTTAGGGAGAGGTTTGCTCCTGGGGAGACAGACAGGATTTTTGTGTCACATCAGCGTTGCTAAGGAACAAACTTCTAGCAACTAGAAATGAAGGAGGGTCCAAAGCTCCCCGGGGATGGACAGGGCAAGCTCTTAGCCACCAGGTTCAAGAGGGAGGCCCCTGTGCACCACCTGGCATGTTCCTGGAGGCAGCCTCAGCAGCACCGTTGGTGAAGGCAGCAGTGCCACTTCTTCTCTCCCTCCAGCTCCTCAACCCCTGCTGGTGCCCGACCGAGCTGGTGGTGAAGGGGGAGCATAAGGAGTTCCCGCTGCCCCCAGTCCCAAAGGACTGCAATTTTGACAACGGGGCAGGCATGAGTTATGAGGCCAAGCACGTCTGGGAGTGCCTACGCAAGGGTAAGGATATGGATGCGGGGCAGGCGCCAGGCCTGGTAGGGGGATGTTGGGCCCCTCCCCACCTGCTCTGTCACCCTGCTGTTTAGAACTACATCTCCCAGGAGGTTGCAGTGAGCCGAGATTGCACCACTGCACTCCAGCCTGGGCAACGGAACAAGACTCTCACTCCAAAAAAAGAACTATATCTCTCAGGAACCCCTGCAGCATCCATCTGCCTGAACCATGTATATTGTGCCACATGGAATTCTGGGAATTGTAGTTCTTTGGGTCTTGGGCGCGTGGGTAGGAGGGGTCCCTAACTACACTCTCCCCACAGGTATGAAGGAAAGTCCTGTGATTCCCCTGTCGGAAAGTGAGCTCCTGGCTGACATCCTTGAAGAGGTGAGGAAGGCCATTGGAGTCACCTTCCCCCAAGACAAACGCTGATGTATCCCCGAATAAATAAAGACATCTTACATCTTCGTGGTAGTGGTTTGGCAGAAGCTGGAGAACCCAGTATCAAAGGGTCACTAGAAAAGAATTTGGGCAGGGCTGGGCATGGCAGCTCATGCCTGTAATCCCAGCACTTTGGGAGGCCGAGGAGGGTGGATCACCTGAGGTCAGGAGTTTGAGACCAGCCTGACCAACATGGTGAAACCCCATCTCTACTAAAAATACAAAATTAGCCGGGCATAATGACGCATGCCTGTAATCCCAGCTACTTGGGAGGCTGAGGCGGGAGAATCACTTGAACCTGGGAGGCGGAGGTTGCGGTGAGCCGAGATCGTGCCATTGCACTCCAGCCTGGGCAACAAGAGCGAAACTCTATCTCAAAGAAAAAAAAAAGAAAGAAAAAAAAAATAATTCGGGCAGAATGATGAGGGAAGGCCGGGCATGGTGGCTCACACCTGTAATCTCAGCACTTCGAGAGGCCAAGGTGGGAGACTTGCTTGAGGCCAGGATTTCGAGACCAGCCTGGGTAACATGACAGGACCTTGTCTCTACAAAAAATAAAAATATTATCCAGGCATGGTGGCCCGCACCTGTAGTCCCACCTACTTGGGAGGCTGAAGTGGGAGGACTGCTTGAGTCCAGGAGGTTGAAACTGCCGTGAGTCATGATTGCACCACTGCACTTCAGCCTGGGTGACAGAGACAGACCCAGTCTCAAAAAAAAAAGAATGATTTTGGAGAGGGAGGAATGTGCAGGGTCAGGACCACATTCCCAGAAGCTCCTGGCACAGACACCTGTGGGAAGATCCACCGTTTGCCTGTCACGGCCTCTCTGGGGTTTGACCCTCATTGCCTTGGAGTGACTTTTGCAAAACAACTTGATTTCTCACCTCAAAAATCAGTCTTTTTCTGGACTCCTGAAAGCCACCCAGCTTTTGTTCTTGTTGCTCTTCCTGCCTGTAATTGTCTCTCCTTGAATTCAATATAGTAGTCAGGCTGTTCCTTTGGACAGTGTCAGAAACACAACTCAGAATGTCTCCACAAGGCCAGGCATGGGGGTCACAGCACTTTGGGAGGCTGAGACAGGAGGACCACGTGAGGCCAGGAGTTTGAGACCAGGCTGGGCAACATAGTGAGACCCCGTCTCTTAAAAAAAAAAAAAAAAAAAAGCCTGCACAGGAATGGAATGCTTGGTAATTAAAGCCTTCAGGGCAGGGCAGGCATCAGCCCAGGACTCTGTTTTTCTCTATCTCTTTGACTTTCCTTGGCATGGGTTTTAATGGCAGCAGTGGGCCATCTGGTACAGCCGGGGCCATCATGCTGGCTGCTGCCGGGAGGGCACAGAAAAGAGATGGACAGACCCTCACCCCTGCAGTCCGCTGCCCGGGGGGCTGCCCCCACAGAGCTGGGCCGGGTTTTGTGCCAGGTGAGGGGGAGCTCCAGGCCGTCTCTGAGTGCCAGGGTCACAGGAGGAGCTCACAGCCATGTTGCTTCGGCCCCCGATGCCAGCCCAGTCCTAGTAAGGACCCAGAGCTCCCACCCCTGGCTGCACATGGGTACAGTCAGGTGCCATGCTTCATGGAGCTGGCAGGAGCTGGGGACACACGGGAGCCCTGCCCCTTCCAAGATCAGGAGGGTGAGAGCTCCGCAGGAGCAACTGCAGCTGCCCAGGCCGTGGCTGCAATCCAGACACCCCCGTGCTATTGGGAGCTGGGAGTAGACAGGAGCCACACCCAGTTGTGTCTATGGATGTGGATGTGGGCCTCCTGCTCTACAGAGCAGGCAGGAGCCCCGCCCCCCAAGGCACAGCTGCAGCCCCCAAACCGGGGCTGTAGACCCAGGCATCCCTGCACTCCTGAGAGGCCTGGAAAGGCCTCCCTTGTCCTTGTAGGCTCAGAGGTGCCTGCTACCACTGCCTGGCCTCTCCCCACTCCCTCTCTTGCTCTGATCTCAGAGTGGGGTTGGGGCTGAGCCCAGGTGCTGACATTGTCCACCAGGTGTGCACATGCTCAGGGTAGTGCTAACATGTGCGAGCACTCTGCCACCTTGGCCTCCTCCAGACATTGGGTGCCGAGGAGCACAAGAGGGGAACCTGAGGGGGTGCTAAGGGTGGCTGGGTGCTGGCGTGAAGGTGCCCCTTGGTGCCAGCAGCCTGGGCACCATGGATGGCCATGGGAGGCAGACAGGCTCCTGGGCAGAAGGGGGCAGGTCCCCAGTGAAGCCCCACCTTCAGGCCAGGCAGGTTTGAAGCCTGGGGGCCAGGGTGCCAGTCCTGTGGACTGAAGGGGGAACTCATGGTGCTTTTTCCTGGGCCCACCCATCCTGCCATGGACCAATAAGCATGCACTTCCCCTCTGTGAGGCCCATAAAAGCCCCAGGCTCAGCCAGAGCCAGCAGAGGACAGAGAGACAACAGGATGACCAGCTACAGAGCGGAGCTACCCTCTCCAGGGCTCCTCTCTACTGAGAGCTGAGCACTTGGTGGGACAACCTGCCTACAGAGAAGAACTACCCACTGCGGGTCTCCCCTGAGCTGTTGTAATACTCAATAAAGCTCCTGTTTGTCTTTTTCACCCTTCCGTTGTCTGCATACCTCATTCTTCCTGGACACAGGACAAGAACTAGGGCAAAGGCACCACCAGCCACAGAGGTTTCTGGCCAGAAAAGCAACACCCCAAAGATCCTGTAACAGTTTCACCAGTTAAGTGTAGGCCTGGGCACTGGAGCCAGATGGTGCCTGTGACCTCAGGAAACTAATAGCGTGTGGGTAGGAAGTGTCCCTAAATACACTCTCCCCCAGCCTCTGTTTGTCTCTTCATCAGTAAAGGGGTACTACTAACTTTCCTCTGCTGAGGAATAAATGAGATGGTGACTGATGGGGCCGGGTGCGGTGGCTCACGCCTGTAATCCCAGCACTTTGGGAGGCCGAGGCAGGCAGATCATGAGGTCAGGAGATCGAGACCATCCTGGCTAACACGGTGAAACCCCGTCTCTACTAAAAATACAAAAATATTAGCTGGGTATAGTGGCGGGCGCCTATAGTCTCAGCTACTCGGAAGGCTGAGGCAGGAGAATGGCATGAACCTGGGAGTCGGAGTTTGCTGTGAGCCAAGATCACGCCACTGCACTCCAGCCTGGGTGACACAGTGAGACTCCATCTCAAAAAAAAAAAAAAAATGAGAAGGTGACTGATATGTAGTTTGGATCTGAGTCCCTGCCCAAATCCCATCTTGAAATTTAATTTCCAGTTTTGGAGGCAGGGCCTGGTACAAGGTGATTGGCTCATGGGGGTGGCTTTCTCGTGAATGGTTTAGCACCATCACCTTGGTATCACCCTCACGACAGTGAGTTCTCTCGAGATCTGGTCATTTGAAAATGTGTAGTGTTGGGAATAGACCCCCAAAATCTGGCCATAAACTGGCCCCAAAACTGGCCATAAACAAAATCTCTGCAGCACTGTGACATGTTTGTGATGGCCATGACGCCCATGCCGGAAGGCTGTGGGTTTACTGGAATGAGGGCAAGGAATCCCTGGCCGACCCAGGGTGGAAAACTGCTTCAAGGCGTTCTTAAACCACAAAAAATAGCATGACTGATCTGTGCCTTCAGGACATGTTCCTGCTGCAGATAACTAGCCAGAGCCCATCCCTTTATTTCGGCCCATCCCTTTGTTTCCCATAAGGAATACTTTCAGTTAATCTATAATCTGTAGAAACAATGCTTATCACTGGCTTACTGTCAAAAAATCTCTGTTCGAGGCTCTCAGCTCTGAAGGCTGTGAGACCCCTGATTTCCCACTCCACACCTCTATATTTCTGTGTGTGTGTCTTTAATTCCTCTAGCGCCACTGGGTTAGGGTCTCCCCAACCGAGCTGGTCTTGGCAGTGTAGCACCTTCCCCACTCTCTCCTGCTCCTTCTCCCGCCTTGTGAGATGCTTGTTCCCCCTTCACCTTCTGCCATGACTGGAAGCTTCCTGAGGCCTCCCCAGAAGCAGAAGCCTGTGTTACACTTGCTGTACACAGTCTGCAGAACCATGAGCCAATTAAACCTCATTTTTTTTTTTTTTTTTGAGATGAAGTCTCACTCTGTGGCCCAGGGTGGAGTGCAGTGGCACGATCTCACCTCACCGCAACCTCTGCTTCCCAGGTTCAAGTGATTCTTTTGCTTAGCCTCCCAAGTAGCTAGGATTACAGGTGTGCACCACTGCACACGGCTAATTTTTTTTTGTCTTGAACTCCTGACGTTAGGTAACCTGCCTGCCTTGGCAAATCCAAAGTACTAGGATTACAGGTGTGAGCCACTGTGCCCAGCAAACCTCTTTTGTTTATAAATTACCCAGCCTCTGTCAGGTGCAGTGGCTCATGCCTGTAATTTGAGCATTTTGGGAAGCTGAGGTGGGCAGATCACTTGAGGTCAAGAGTTCAAGACCAACCTGGCCAACATGGTGAAATCCCGTCTCTACTAAAAATACAAAAATTAGGCCGGGCACAGTGGCTCACACCTGTAATCCCAGCACTTCGGGAGGCCAAGGCGGGCAGACCACCTGAGATCAGGAGTTCTAGCCAGCTTGGCCAACATGGTGAAACCCCATCTCTACTAAAAATACAAAAATCACCTGGGCATGGTGGTGCATGCCTGTAATCCCAGCTACTCGGGAGGCTGAGACAGCAGAGATCTCTTGAACCTGGGAGGCGGAGGTTGCAGTGAGCCAAGATTGCACCACTCCACTCCAGCCTGGGTGAAAGAAAAAAGAAATTAATGGGTGGCTTAGCTGGGTGGTTCCAGCTCAGGGTCTCCCTGAAAATTGCAGTCATGACATCAGTCAGGACTATCTTCACCTGAAAGCTTGACTGGGGCTGAAGAATCCCTTTCCAAAATGATTAACTCACCTGGCCAGAGGACTTGGTTTCCTGCCACCCGTGTTTCGCCAGAGTATGACTGCTTGAGTGTCCTCACTGTCACACGTGTCCGTGCAAAGAGACCACCTAACAGACTTTGTGTGAGCAACAAGGCTGTTTATTTCACCTGGGTGCAGGTGGGCTGAGTCTGAAAAGGGAGTCAGCAAAGGGTGGTGGGATTATCATTAGTTCTTATAGGTTTGGGATAGGTGTACAAATTACATTCTCAAGAGTGGGGAGAATATTGCAAAGTACCTTCTTAAGTGGGGTGGAGGGGAGAATATATCATATCAGTTAGAGTGGGGCAGGAACAAATCACCATGGTGGAATGTCATCAGTTAAGGCTATTTTCACTTCTTTTGTGGATCTTCAGTTGCTTCCGGCCATCTGGATGTGTACGTGCAGGTCACAGGGGATATGACGGCTTAGCTTGGGCTCAGAGGCCTGACACTCACCACATGGCAGCTGGCTTTCCTTAAAGGAAGTGATCTGAAAGGGAACAAGGTGGAAGCTGTAGTGGCTTTTCTGACCTGTCCTGTGAAATCACACTCTGTCATTTCCACAATATCCTCTTGGTCACACTGTTTAGCCCTATTGAGTGTGGGCAGAGACCACACAGCAGCATGAATACCTGGAGGTGTGACTCCTCAGGTGCCATCTTGGATGTGGGCTTAATAGTTTTGATTCAGCATCTTTATTATTATAAAGAGTTTGGCTGGGTGCGGTGGCTCACGCCTGTAATCCCAGCACTTTGGGAGGCCAAGGCGGGCGGATCATGAGGGCAAGAGATCGAGACCATCCTGGCCAACATGGCAAAAGCCTATCTCTAATAAAAATATCAAAATTAGCAGGGCGTTGTCACACGCCTATAGTCCCAGCTACTCAGGAGGCTGAGGCAGGAGAATCACTTGAACCCGGAGGCGGAGGTTGCAGTGAACTGAGATCACACCACTGCACTCCAGCCTGGCGACAGAGCAAGACTCCGTCTCAAAAAACAAAACAAAGCAAAACAAAACAAAACACACAAAAAAGAGTTTTAGTCAGGCACAGTGACGCATGCCTGTAGTCCCAGCACTGTGGGAAACTGAGGCAGGTGGCTCACTTGAGCCCAGGGGTTTGAGACCAGCCTGGGCAACATGGCAAAACCCTCTCCCTACAAAACATACAAAATTAGCAGTGCATAGTGGCACACACGTGTAGTCCCAGCTACTCCAGAAGCTGAGGTGGGAGGATCCCTTGAGCCCAGGAGGTCGAGGTGGCAGTGAGCCACAGTTGTGTCATTGCACTCCAGCCTGGACGACAGAGGGAGATCCTGTCTCAAAATAAATAAATAAAAATAAAAATAAACAGTTTTGACTTCACAACTAGCTAAAAAGTGTATTCCCTCACTCAGTGACTGTACTGTTCAGAGGTGTATACCTGCATTAAAAGCCCTTTCCTTCCTTCTCTGTAACTGGAGTAGGGAAGGGCTATCTCATTGGACTGGAGTAACACACACAGATAAAGCCGGATGCAAAGTTAACAGGAAACACTATTTCTCTCAAGGATACGCTTTGTTTGTTTTTTTTTTGAGATGAAGTCTCGCTCTGTCACCCGAGGTGGAGTGCAATGGCACGATCTCTGCTCACTGCAGCCTCTGCCTCCTGGGTTCAAGTGATTCTCTGGCCTCAGCCTCCCAAGTAGCTGGGATTACAGGAGCACACCAGTACGCCCAGCTAATTTTTGTATTTTTAGTAGAGACAGGGTTTCACCATGTTGGCCAGGCTGGTCTCAAACTCCTGACCTCAGGTGATCTGCCTGTCTTGGCCTCCCAAAGTGGTGGGATTTCAGGTGTGAGCCACCACGCTGGCCAAGGACATGGTTTCTTACAGAGACTTTGTTCTCTAAATTCATAAATTGTTGGAAATTCTATCAGTAAAAATGAAACATCCGAGTCTTGCTGACAGGATCTAATCCACTTGATACAGAGTAGCAGCCTTGATTTCCAAAGCAGGTGCACAGCTTCAGATAAAGGGTTTCTGGATGCAACATTTCACATGTACCTTCTTGTTTCCAGCGATTCAGGACACTGGTTTCACTTCACAGTCCTGATCCAATGTTGACCTTGCTTTGCTCTAAGCTATCATTTGGTTGTCACCTAAGCTCTACCCTCCCCCTTTATCTTGGCTTTTTCTTTTCTTTTTTCTTTTTGAGACAGGCTCTTCCTCTGTCACCCAGTCTGATTGCAGTGATGCAATTGATCACAGCTCACGGCAGCCGGGACCTCCCAAGCTCAAACAATCTTCCCACCTCAGCCTCCCAAGTAGCTGGGACTACAGGCACGCACCACCACATCCAGCTAATTTTCTTTTTTTTCTGCTTCCTTTTCTTTTTGTTTTTTTTTAGATAGAGGCTTGCTCTGTTGCCCAGGCTGGGGTGCAGTGGCACGATCTTGGCTCACTGCAACCTCTGCCTCTTGGGTTCAAGCGATTCTCCTGCCTCAGCCTCCCAAGCAGCTGGGACTGCAGGCACGCGCCACCACTCCCAGCTAATTTTTTTGTATTTTTAGTGGAGACGGGGTTTCGCCATGTTGGCTAGGCTGGTCACAAACTCCTGACCTCAGATGATACACCCACTTCGGCCTCCCACACAGCTGGTATTACAGGTGTGAGCTACCACGCCCGGCCCCCCCTCCTTTCTTTTGTTTTTTAGTTGACACAGGGTCTCACCATGGTACAGCCCAGGCTGGTCCTGAACTCCTGGCTTCAGGTGATCCTCCTGCCTTGGCCTCCCAAAGTGCTGGGACTATAGGAATGAGCCATCACACCTGGCCCCTTTCTTCAATTTTCAAAACAAACTGATCCTTCAAGGTCAAGAGGAAATACCTCCTCTGAGAAGTCTTCTCTGAATGTCAGAGGCAGACAATGTCTGATTTCTGCATGCTCCCCAACATTCAATCATACAGTTATTGAATAACACATTTTGAGAGATAACTATGAATCAAGTAACATGCTGGTTTCTGGGAGAATTGAGGACAAATTAACCTTGTGGAAATTTTGGGTGGATGAAAAAAACCAACATGAAATTAAAACACTGCACACATTTACAGCTGTGAGAAGCATTACACATCCTGGGTGCTATGCGAGCTTTTTTTTTTTTTTTTTTTTTTTTTGAGTTGGAGTTTCCCTCTTGTTACTGAGGCTGGAGTGCAAGGTCACGATCTCAGCTCACTGCAACCTCTGCCTCCAGATTCAAACGATTCCCCTGCCTCAGCTCCCGAGTAGCTGGGACTACAGGTGCCTGCCACCACACCTGGCTAATTTAGAATTTTTAGTAGGGATAGGGTTTCACCGTGTTGGCCAGGCTGGTCTCAAACTCCTGACCTCAGGTGATCTACCCATCTCGGCCTCCCAAAGTGCTGGGATTACAGAAGTGAGCCACTGAGCCCAACCAGGAGCTTTTTCGAGAAAGAAGGAAGTCCAAGAGATCTTCCTGACACCCTAGTCTGACTCTGCCCTTTGCCTGCTCAAAATTTCCCCATGCTTCCCAGCGGCCTTCTGGACATAGATCAAGTCCCTTCTCTGACAGGCCCAAACCCTTTATCATCTGATCCTAGCTCATTTTTCTGAGTTTTCCTTAGTTGCTATTATTTTCTGTCTAAAGTGACATGTCATAATATTCATAAAGCACACAAGTCTTATGTGTACAGCTCAATGAATTGTAAATATGTGTATACCCGGCCGGGCACAGTGGCTCACGCCTGTAATCCCAGCACTTTGGGAGGCCGAGGCAGGTGGATCACTTGAGGTCAGGAGCTTGAGACCAGCCTGACCAACATAGTGAAACCCCATCTTTACTAAAAATACAAAATTAGCTGGGCGTGGTGTCGCATGCCTGCAATTCCAGCTACTTGGGAGGCTGAGGCAGGAGAATTGCTTGAACCCGGAGGCAGAGGTTGCAGTAAGCCGAGATCGTGCCATTGCACTCCATCCTGGGCAACAAGAGCAAAACTCCGTCTCAAAATAATAATAATAATAATAATAATAATAATAATAATAATGTGTATACCCATGTAAACACCATTCAGATAAAAATATGGCATATTTGGGGCACCCGGGGAGTGTCTCTTGTGGCCCCTCCCCTCCATACCCTGCTGATCTATCAGCACAGATTAGTTTCTGCCACTTTTTAAACTTCATATTCCTTTTCTTTTTACACAAACACAAACATTCGAGTCATGACTGGGTGGGGTGGCTCAAGCCTGTAATCTCAGCACTTTGGGAGGCCAAGGTGCGAGGATCGCTTGAGTCTGGGAGTTCAGAGACCAGCCTGGGCAACATAGAGAGACCTCATCTCCACATAAAAAGTTTTAAAAATTAACCAGGGGCGGTGTAGTCCCAGCTACTCAGGAGGCTGAGGTGGGAGGCTTCAGCCCGGGAATTCCAGACTGCAGTGAGCCATGATTGGGCCACTGCACTCCAGCCTGGGCAACACAGTGAGACCCTGTCTCAAAAAAAAAAAAAAAAAAAACAGGAAAAAACAAACAAACAGAAAAGCAGGCCTGGCGCGGTAGCTCATGCCTGTAATCCCAGCGCTTTGGAAGGCTGAGACGGGGTTATCTCTTGGGCTCACAAGTTAGAGACAAGCCTGGGCGTGGGCTATATTGCTAGATCCAGGTCTCTGCAAAAAACAAAACCACTCAGTTTTTAGTCATCTATAACGTCCTGCCTGGAAGCATGCTATTTTGGGCCTCTGAGCTTTTGCACTTGCTAATTCCTTCTGCGCTGGGGAGAGCTCAAACCCTGCCCGAAACTTCTAAAAATGGTGCCTGGATAAATGAAGGCATTAGAGCTGCGATTGGACGGACGGCTGTTGGACGGCGCCACTGCTGGCACTTATCGGGAGATGCTCATTGGACAGTCACGTGACGGGACCAAACCTCCCGAGGGAGCGAGGCAGGTGCGGTCACGTGACCCGGCGGCGCTGCGGGGCAGCGGCCATTTTGCGGGGCGGCCACGTGAAGGACGCACGTTCAGCGGGGCTCTCACGTGACCCGGGCGCGCTGCGGCCGCCCGCGCGGACCCGGCGAGAGGCGGCGGCGGGAGCGGCGGTGATGGACGGGTCCGGGGAGCAGCCCAGAGGCGGGGGTGAGGCGGGAGGCAGACGGGCGGGAGGAGGGCGAGCCCCCTCGCCGGCCCGTCCGGGATCCTTCCTACCGGCCTGGGGCTGTGCGATCTCCAAGCACTGAGGGGCAGAAACTCCCGGATCGGGCGCTGCCAGCCTCCAGTCCCCTCCGTCCTCGGAGGTTCCTGGCTCTCTGATCCCCGTGTCCCGATCCCTGCCTCTCTGGCGCTCTCGGACCCTCGAGAACCAGGGGATCTCGGAAGCCAAGCCCCCGGGCAGGCCCGGGCTTGTCGCCCGCACCACTTCCTGCCTCTGGCACTGGTGGGAGGGGCGGGTCTCGCCTCTGCCCCCTCAGGCCAGGGGTCTGGATGCATATAGCGTTCCCCTAGCCTCTTTCCCCGGGGAGAATGTAGGATACAGGCCCAGCCTCCTGGCCTTTCTCCATCAGGGACTCAGTTGTCTGGGCCCCCCCGTCACTTTATCTGCTAGGGTCCCAGAAGTCCAGGGTCCCCAGCTCTGTCCTCCCTCAGGGGCCGTGAGTCTCCACAGTCTCCTGATCCCCTAGAACCCAAGAGTCCAGGTACCTCTTCCCTTCCTTTCTCCTCTAGGGCCCACCAGCTCTGAGCAGATCATGAAGACAGGGGCCCTTTTGCTTCAGGGGTGAGTTTGAGGTCTGATTATTGTGGCACAGATTTGAGGAGTGACACCCCGTTCTGATTCTGCACCCTCACTCCATCCCCACTCTAGTTTCATCCAGGATCGAGCAGGGCGAATGGGGGGGGAGGCACCCGAGCTGGCCCTGGACCCGGTGCCTCAGGATGCGTCCACCAAGAAGCTGAGCGAGTGTCTCAAGCGCATCGGGGACGAACTGGACAGTAACATGGAGCTGCAGAGGTGTGGGCCCCTGAGGACCCAGAAGTCCAGCCACTGGGCTCCTTCAGGACACAGGACTCTCAGCCCCGCATTCTCCTCCTCCCCTAAGAACTAGGAGTCTGGGCCCCACAACTCAGCGCAAACATTCCGGACTCCCAGCCCTCCTCTCTGCCAGGATCTTAAAACCCTCCTTCAGGGAGTCATTTTTCCCACCTTCCTAAATGTCTGTCTTGTCCCCTTCCCTTGTCCCCCGTTGGCCTGTTGCTTTTCATTTCAGCCTGGCTTGGGGCTCAGTCTCCTTATCTTTAGTGTGCGGTGGATGCGGGAATTTTCCACCATCAGCCTGATGCCTGCTCCCCGGCACTGGTTCTCCTCTCTCCTGCAGGATGATTGCCGCCGTGGACACAGACTCCCCCCGAGAGGTCTTTTTCCGAGTGGCAGCTGACATGTTTTCTGACGGCAACTTCAACTGGGGCCGGGTTGTCGCCCTTTTCTACTTTGCCAGCAAACTGGTGCTCAAGGTGGGCAGCTGCAGGGCAGTGAGCCCAGGGATGCTCCCCCTCAGATCTGTGAGGACCTGGGGATCGTGGTATCAACCCCCTGCAGTGGCCCAGTGACCACAGAGGGCATGGAGAGAGATGGCTGTGCACTGGGTGTCTGCTCCTTCTTTTATTCATTCAACAAGCATTTACTGGACCTGCTATGTGCCAGGCCTATACCTGGCACCTGGGACACAGCACTGTACAAAGCAGGCTACATCCCTGCTCTCAGGGAGTTCACGTGCAGGGGTGAAGTAAAGTGGGCAGTGTGATTTAGCAGAGTGGTCAGGAAAGATTTCTATTTTTTTTTTTTTTTTTTTTGAGATGGAGTTTTGCTCTTGTTGCCCAGGCTTGAGTGCAATGGCATGATCTTGGTTCACTGCAACCTCTGCCTCCCAGGTTCAAGCGATTCTCCTGCCTCAGCTTCCTGAGTAGCTGGGATTATGGGTGTGCACCATTATCCCTGGCTTTTTTTTTTTTTTTTTTTTTTTTTGTATTTTTAGTAGAGACGGGTTTCACCATGTTGGTCAGGCTGGTCTTGAACTCCTGACCTCAAGTGATCCACCTGCCTTGGCCTCCCAAAGTGCTGGGATTACAGGCATGAGCCACCGCAACAAGCCAGGAAAGACTTCTAAGGGCAGGTGACATCAAAGAGCAGGTGACATTAAAGCCAAAGCTAGAATGATAAGAAGCATGCAGTGATCTATAGTGATCGGGGGGAAGAGGCATCTGGTAGAGGGAACAGCAAGTGCAAAGGCCCTGAGGTAGGACCAAGCCTCATCTTTTGACAGTAGGGAGGAGGCCAGTGCTGTTGGAACAGAGTGAACTGGGGAGAGGGTGGGAAAGGAAGGCACAGTTGGGCAGGGGCAGATTGTGTGGAGTTTTTCGGGCTGCTGGAAAGACTTTTTCTTTTCTTTTTTTTTTTTTTTTTTTTTTTTTTTGAGACAGAGTCTCACTTTGTTGCCCAGGCTGGAGTGCAATGGCGCCATCTCGGCTCACTGCAACCTCTGCCTCCCGGGTTCAAGTGACTCTCATGCTTTAGCCTCCCAAGTAGCTAGAATTACAGGCACACACCACCATGCCTGGCTAGTTTTTGTATTTTTAGTAGAGACGGAGTTTCGCCATGTTGGCCAGGCTGGTCTCAAACTCCTGGCCTCAAGTGATCCGCCCACCTTGGCCTCCCAAAGTGCTGGGATTACAGGCGTGAACCACTGCACCCAGCCTGGAAAGACTTTAACTTTACTCTGAGTGTGATGGGAGTGATTGGCTGGTTTTAAATACGGAAGCGACAAGACCTGATTTATAACTTTAAGAGATTATTCTAGCAAGTATAGATGCCCCTTGACTTGCAATGGTGTTACATCCTAGTAATCCCATCATAAATTGAAAATAACATAAGTTGAAAATGCATTCAATGCCCCGATAAACCCATAGTAAGGTCAAAATTGTAAGTCAAACCGTCATAAGTTGGGGACTGTCTGTATAGCAAAATGTTAATTGTAGAATCTAATTATAGGTGGCGGCTATATGGCTTTTAACTGTGAAATTCTTTTAACTTTTCATTATGAAGATTCTCATAAGAAAATGTGGTGGGGGTGGTGGTGAAATGCTCCTGGCTGTTGTTGGCCAAAAGAGATCATGAGGCACAAGGGCAGAAGCGAGGATCCTGGAGAGGTGGCACCTGTCATAGTCTTGCTGAAAGATGACAA
Source organism: Homo sapiens (assembly GCF_000001405.40). Classification (NCBI taxonomy): domain Eukaryota; kingdom Metazoa; phylum Chordata; class Mammalia; order Primates; family Hominidae; genus Homo; species Homo sapiens. The sequence goes on from NC_000019.10 coordinate 48,958,061, forward strand.
GCCCTGGTGGTAGCAGCAGAGGTGCGGGGGGGGCATTTTTTTTTTTAAGAGGTAGGGTCTTGCTCTGTTGGCCAGGCTGGAGTGCAGTAGTGATCATAGCTCACTGCAGCCTCAAACCGCTGGGGTCAAGCAGTTCTCTCGCCTCAGTCTCCAGAGTAGCTGAGACTACAGGAGCATGCCACCACGCCCCACTAACTGTTGCATTAGTCTTTTTCTATAGAGACGGGGTCTCGCTATGTTGTCCAGGCTGGTCTCCAACAGGGAGGGATATTTCTTTTTGGAAGATTTTTTTTTTTTTTTTTTTTTTTTTTTGATACAGGGTCTCGCTCTGTTACCAAGGCTGGAATGCAGTGGCATGACCTTGGCTCACTGCAGTCTCCACCTCCTGGGTTCAAGCAATTCTACCTCAGCCTCCTGAGAAGCTGGGATTACAGGCTCTCCCCACCACACCAGCAAATGGGAGGGATATTTCTTTCTTTCTTTCTTTTTTTTTTTTCCTGAGACGGAGTCTCTCTCGGTTGCACCCAGGCTGGAGTGCAGTGGCGCGATCTCAGCTCACTGCAACCTCCACCTCCTGGGTTTAAGCGATTCTCTTGCCTCAGTCTCCCGAGTAGCTTGGGATTACAGGCGTCCGCCACCACACCCAGCTAATTTTTGCATTTTTAGTAGAGATGGGGTTTCACCATGTTGGCCAGGCTGGTCTCGAACTCCTTACCTCAGGTGATCCGCCTGCCTCGGTCTCCCAAAGTGCTGGGATTACAGGCGTGAGCCACCGTGCTCAGCTGAGAGGGATATTTCTTGATGTGTTTTCAAGATTGAGCTGATGGGGCCTGAACGTCCGAGATGAGGGGAATAGCAGTGCAGGTGATGGTGGCACCACCTACAGAGCGGGGATGATAGAATAGAAGTGGCCAGATAAAGGCTGCAGGAGAAGTCTTGGGAGTTGGGAGAGCAGGTCGGGGTCCATGGTCAGGGGTTGATCTTCTCTGGTCCAGAAAAGTCCTCTCTGGCTGGGCGTGGTGGCTCACGCCTGTAATCCCAGCACTTTGGGAGGCCGAGGCAGGGGGATCATGAGGTCAGGAGATCGAGACCATCCTGGCTAACATGGTGAAACCCCGTCTCTACTAAAAATACAAAAAATTAGCCGGGCATGGTGGTGGGCACTTGTAGTCCCAGCTACTCGGGAGGCTGAGGCAGAAGAATGGCGTGAACTGGGAGGCGGAGTTTGCAGTGAGCTGAGATTGCACCACTGCACTCCAGCCTGGAGCGACAGAGTGAGACTCCGTCTCAAAAAAAAAAAAAAAAAAAAAAGAAAAGTCCTCTCTGGGGAAGTGACATTTGCCCTGAGAGCTGAAGGGTAAGAATTTGCTTCGTCGAGGCCTGTTTAGGCGGAAACAGGAGTACATGAAGAAGTCCCGAGGCAGGAAGAATTTGATGGGAATTTAAAAAATTAAAAAAAAAAAAAAAAATGGGGCTGGGCATGGTGGCTCACACCTGTAATCCCGGCACTTTGGGAGGCTGAGGCATGCGGATCACCTAAGGCCAGGAGTTTGAGACCAGCCTGACCAACATGGTGAAACCTTGTCTGCACTAAAAATTCAAAAAAAAAAAAAAAAATAGCCCGGTGTGGTGGCGGATGCCTGTAATACCAGCTGCTTAGGAGGCTCAGGCAGGAGGATCACTTAAATCTGGGAGGCGGAGGTTGCAATGAGCCGAGACTGCACTATTGTACTCCAGCCTGGGCAACAAGATCAAAACTCTATCTCAAAAAAAAAAAAAAAAATTAGCCAGGCATGTTGGCAGGCACCTGTAATCCCAACCCTTTGGGAGGCTGGGGCAGGAGAATTGCTTGAACCCAGAAGGCAAAGCTTTCAGTGAGCCGAGATTGCGCCACTGCACTCCATCCTGGGTGTCAGAGCAAGACTCCATCTTAAAAAAAAAAAATGGAAGCAGCTCAGCGAGGCACAAAACAGGAAGTGGAAAGGTGGAGTGAGGTCAGGCCAAAGCCTGCACACAGGGCTTGTGGGCTGCACTGTGCCTTCGGGTCTTCATCCTGAGGGTACTGGGGAGCCACAGAAGGCTCAGGGGTGGGGCAGTTGAGAGTAACATTATCTTGTTTACAATTTTATTTTTTTTATTTATTTATTTTTTGAGACGGATTCTTGCTCTATTGTCCAGGCTGGCGTGAAATGGCGTGATCTGGGCTCACTGCAACCTCTGCCTCCTGGGTTCAAGCGATTCACCTGCCTCAGCATCCCAAGGAGCTGGGATTACAGGTGCCTGCCACCACACCCAGCTAATTTTTGTATTTATTTATTTTGAGATGGAGTTTTGCTCTTGTTGCCCAGGCTGGAGTGCAATGGCGCAACCTCGGCTCACTGCAACCTCCGCCTCCCGGGTTCAAGCAATTCTCCTGCCTCAGACTCCCAAGTAGCTGGGATTACAGGCATGTGCCACCACGCCCGGCTAATTTTGTATTTTTAGTAGAGATGGCATTACTCCGTATTGGTCAGGCTGGTCTTGAACTCCCGACCTCAAGTGATCCGCCTGCCTTGGCCTCCCAAAGTGCTGGGATTACAGGCATGAGCCGCCGCACCTGGCCATGTTTACAATTTTTGAAGCCGACTTCAATTGTGGGTGGCAGAAATCTTTGAGGGGAGGCAAAGAATTGACAAAGGAGGTTTGGGGCCACTATCTCCAGGCAGTGGGGACAAGGTTCAGTCCCTAACGCCCACTCCACTCCCCACAGGCCCTGTGCACCAAGGTGCCGGAACTGATCAGAACCATCATGGGCTGGACATTGGACTTCCTCCGGGAGCGGCTGTTGGGCTGGATCCAAGACCAGGGTGGTTGGGTGAGACTCCTCAAGCCTCCTCACCCCCACCACCGCGCCCTCACCACCGCCCCTGCCCCACCGTCCCTGCCCCCCGCCACTCCTCTGGGACCCTGGGCCTTCTGGAGCAGGTCACAGTGGTGCCCTCTCCCCATCTTCAGATCATCAGATGTGGTCTATAATGCGTTTTCCTTACGTGTCTGATCAATCCCCGATTCATCTACCCTGCTGACCTCCCAGTGACCCCTGACCTCACTGTGACCTTGACTTGATTAGTGCCTTCTGCCCTCCCTGGAGCCTCCACTGCCTCTGGAATTGCTCAAGTTCATTGATGACCCTCTGACCCTAGCTCTTTCCTTTTTTTTTTTTTCCCCACTGAGAAGGGGTCTCGCTATGTTGCCCAGGTTGGTCTCGAACTCCTGGCCTCAAGCGATCCTCCCGCCTCAGCCTCTCAAAGTGCTGGGATTACAGGTGTGAGCCACCATGCCTGGCCTGAGTCCAGCTCTTTAATGCCCGTTCATCTCAGTCCCCTGCCCGCAATCCTGCCTTCTGGCCTCCTCCGTCCCTGATCCCGCCTCTGCCTGCCCAGGGGCTGCCCCTGGCCGAGTCACTGAAGCGACTGATGTCCCTGTCTCCAGGACGGCCTCCTCTCCTACTTTGGGACGCCCACGTGGCAGACCGTGACCATCTTTGTGGCGGGAGTGCTCACCGCCTCACTCACCATCTGGAAGAAGATGGGCTGAGGCCCCCAGCTGCCTTGGACTGTGTTTTTCCTCCATAAATTATGGCATTTTTCTGGGAGGGGTGGGGATTGGGGGACGTGGGCATTTTTCTTACTTTTGTAATTATTGGGGGGTGTGGGGAAGAGTGGTCTTGAGGGGGTAATAAACCTCCTTCGGGACACACTTCGGCATCTGAGTCACTGGGCCTCTGCCCCGCTCCCCGGCACGTCAGGAGAGCAGGCCCTGTCCGCTGCCCCACGCCGGGCCCGCCGTCTGCTGGCCTAGAGATACCTGCTTGGGCCACTCAGGGACGTGGGGCTCTCTGCACTCACTTGACATCTTTTTCTGGGGTGCCCTGTGGGGTCTGTGGGTTAGGGATGAGTTGGTCCTGGGCCTGACCTGCAGGAGCTCACGGGAAAGGAAAAGAAGGGAGCTCACGGGAAAGGAAAAGGGAGCTCACGGGAAACGAGGGTGATAGGTGGTACATCTGTCGCAGCCCAGGATGATCTGTGCGGGACAGAGGCAGCGGCCTGTGAGGCCCAAGCAGGCGTGTGGGTAAGGGAAGAACAGCACGGCCGGCTGCAGAGCAAGCCTCCTCGGCCCGGGGACCACAGCCTGGCGTGTCACACGTGGGACCTCAGGAGGCCATACCTTTACCGAGCTGGAGAATGGGAGTGGGGGGAGGAGGGATGGGAGGACCAGAGGAGCAGGAAGGGCTCTGGAGCCTGGTGGTGAGGTCGCTGGAGGGTGGCAGGCTGAGGACACCAGGGCGAGGGCCCACGGGAGAGGCCTCCTGAGCTGGGCTGAGGACAGAGAGGAAGGGACCTGGCTGGCGACTGAGAGGCTGGAGGGCAGGGCAGAGGAGGAGGAACCTGGTCTGGCCCCACAGCTGGGTGGGGCCCCCCTGGAGAGGAACTGCCGGAAGAAGGTGCTGAGCTCAGAGGCCCAGTGACCTTAGACACAGGCGGAGCGAAGACAAGGGGGCTAGAGGATGTGGGTTCTCAGTCACAGGGTCTCTGGCACCCCCCTCTGGGTCTTTACCCCCTCCCATCTCTGGGTCTCTGTCCCCATGCTCTGGGTCTTTGCTTTCCGAGCCTCTGTTCCCACCCCACCTTTGGCCCTCTTTCTCTGGGCCTCTTTCCACCCCTGGCACCCAGACCTCTGGCCCCCTCTCTCTGGGTCTCTGTCCCCCCCTCTGGATCTCTGGCCCCCCATCTCTCTCTGGGTCTGTCCCCCGACCCTGAGTTTCTGTCTCCCTCTCTCTGGGTCTCTGTCCTCTCTCTGGCTGTCACTCTCTCTTGGGTCTCTGTACCTCCCCTCTCTCTGGGTCTCTTTCCCTCTCCCCGGTCTCTGTCCCCCGCCCCCGGGTCCCTGTCCCCGCCCCCCCAGGTCTCAGTCCTCCCTAGTCTCTGTCCCCTTCTCTCTGAGTCCCTGTCCCCCCTCTCTCTGGGTCTCTGTACCCCCTTCTCTGGATCTCTGTCCCCACCTCTCTCTGGATCTCTGTCCCCCACTCTGGATTTCTGTCCCCTCCCGCCGGGTCCCTCTGGGTCTCTATCCCCCCCACCCCTGGGTCTCTGTACCTCCCTGCCTCTGTCCCCCCCCACCTCTGTCCCCCCCTCTCTCTGGGTCTCTTTTCCCCTCCCTCTGGGTCTCTGCCCTCCTCTCTCTAGGTCTGTCCCCCTCCCCTCTCTCTCAGGGTCTCTGTACCCCTCTGTCTCCGGGTCTGTTTTCCCCTCTCTCTGGGTCTCTGTCCCCCTCTCTCTCAGGGTCTCTGTCTGAGTCTCTTTTTCTCTGGGCCTCTGTCTCCCCACCCCACGTTCTCTATGGTCTTCAGATCCTGTCTCTCTCAGCCCCTCCTCTCCCTCCACCTATGGGCCCCAAGGCCCCTCTCGGCCGACTAAAGGTCTCTGGGCTGAGGTATGACATTTGGTAAATGAGTAACTCGGGCCCCACAGTCAACGGGGTGCTTTGGACGGCTGCCCCTCCTCCATGGACTCTTCCCAGAGACCCCAAGTCAGGGGAGAGAGAGGGGCAGAGGATCAATGAGTGTACACTGAGCCACCACCCAGAGTGAGGGGACAATATGGCCACAGGCAGGATCCCAGAAAAAAAAAAATTATGGGAACCAAAAAGACACGGAGACAAAGCACACAGCCGGCTTCCAACAAGGGGGGACCTTGGGGTAGGGGGCCCGATTTGGGTCTGAGCCAGGTCTAGTTCTGAGGGTCCCACCAAAAAAGTCGGGGAGTGCCAAGGGGATGAGGTCAGCGAGTGGCCCCACCCCCATCCGTCCCCGCGGGGGCCCCTTCCCGCGCTGAGCTCAGCATGACTCAGCAGTCGCTGCCTGCAACAAGGACCCCAGATACCGGCCTGGCGGGGCATCTGCAGATCCCCTCGGTCAGGGGCTGCCCCGCCTGGGCTGTTCGGAGCAGCTCCTCTGTAGGGCAGGGCCTGACCTCACCCCACACCCCAGTGGCTTCAGCTCCCTGCCCAGCGCACGGGCTGCCTCCATCAGGGCACTTAAGTAGAGTCAAGGTTTGCGCCGACTCCGTCTCCCAGAAATCAACGTGGACCAGGCCCACTTAAAAAATATGCATTAGTCGAAGACAGACGTCTCGTCCATAGGTCCCCAGACTGTTTGTCCACAACGCAGGGCTTCTCTTTGTGGGCCTGAAGGAGCACACGTCAGGCAAGACACGAGGGCAACTTCAGAGACACTGTTCAGGGCCACGGAGAATTCTCGAAGTCTGTGAGTTGTCTCCAAAACAGCCTCCAGGAAATGCAATCCCAGAGACACCGCAAAGCTCAAAACAGACTTTTCATTCCTCCCCATTTCCACTCCCAGAAAAAGCCTGGGCCCCTGAAAGAGCTCCAAGGTATCCCCAAAGTCCCAGCCCATCTTTGGAGGGTTCCAGAGGGCTGTCCAGGGTTCCAGAAGTCACCCTACCTCATACAATGCTCCTCCTGGGCTTCCCGCACTGGGTGAAACCCACGGCTCCAGAATAACTGCCCTTTCCAACTTGCAGAGCACCTCAAGAACCTAAAGATTTCCCCGGGGAGGGCTCCAAAATATAGAGAGTTTGCATCGTGAACCCCCACCCCTGTAAATCCCAGGACTCCAGTCCCCGCAACACTCCATCTTCCAGAGATCTCCAGGGGTCCAGAAATAACACCTCACAGCCTTCCAAGCTTCCCAAGGATCCGGAGACTCCTTATCTCGCAGCGCAAACCTCAGGCAACTACAGGTCCTCCCTGCACCTTTGAGGTGCCCCTCCCCCCACTCAAGGTTCCAGAAAAATCCATGCCCTCGGAAACCCCAGAATCTTACTTTCCCGAGGCACCCCAGGACCCCAGGGTCATCAGTTCACAGGGCTGTTAGTGCTCCCATAAAACTCTAGCCTCCCAGAGGGACCCCAGCCCCCACCCTCCCGCCCACGAACCCCTGCATTTCCAGAATCAGCCCCAGGGCCCCAACCCCCCCAAGCCCCCATTTCACAACACGCTGGCGCTACAGGCGCGTGACTTCCCCTTGCTTTGGGGCGGGGGGCTGAGACTCCTATGTGCTCCGGATTGGTCAGGCACGGCCTTCGGCCCCGCCTCCTGCCACCGCAGATTGGCCGCTAGCCCTCCCCGAGCGCCCTGCCTCCGAGGGCCGGCGCACCATAAAAGAAGCCGCCCTAGCCACGTCCCCTCGCAGTTCGGCGGTCCCGCGGGTCTGTCTCTTGCTTCAACAGTGTTTGGACGGAACAGATCCGGGGACTCTCTTCCAGCCTCCGACCGCCCTCCGATTTCCTCTCCGCTTGCAACCTCCGGGACCATCTTCTCGGCCATCTCCTGCTTCTGGGACCTGCCAGCACCGTTTTTGTGGTTAGCTCCTTCTTGCCAACCAACCATGAGCTCCCAGATTCGTCAGAATTATTCCACCGACGTGGAGGCAGCCGTCAACAGCCTGGTCAATTTGTACCTGCAGGCCTCCTACACCTACCTCTCTCTGGTGAGTCCCCAGGACGCCCCTGGCCCTAATTTCCTCCAGCTGCGCACCTCCGGCCCTCACTGCACGCGCCAGCCTTCTTTGTGCGGTCGGGTAAACAGAGGGCGGAGTCCCCTTGGCCTCGCCTCCCGCTAACCATTGTTGCCTCCATCTCTTCCCGTAGGGCTTCTATTTCGACCGCGATGATGTGGCTCTGGAAGGCGTGAGCCACTTCTTCCGCGAATTGGCCGAGGAGAAGCGCGAGGGCTACGAGCGTCTCCTGAAGATGCAAAACCAGCGTGGCGGCCGCGCTCTCTTCCAGGACATCAAGGTAACTAGTGTGTGGGTAATGGACTACATCTCCCAGCAGGCCGTGCGCGCGAGGAGCCTTGATTTGAGGGCGTAGGTGTCGCGTGGGCTTCTGGGAGATTGAGTTCGGTCTTGTGAGCCCTCTTAACCGCTGGAAATAGAGGCGCACCTCGTGCAGTGCCCACAACACGCGGCAGTCCACACCGCTGCGTGGTCTTAGGGACGTATAGCTGTAAGAGCTAGGACAGGGTGCGGAGAGTGATAAATACAAGCTGTCACATGTCTTTGTGGCCTGGGCCTCTGACCCCCAACGACTCTTGGGAAATGTAGGTTTAGTTCTATGTGCCGAGTGTGTGTATTCTGAGCCATTTCTCCCTTCTATATAGAAGCCAGCTGAAGATGAGTGGGGTAAAACCCCAGACGCCATGAAAGCTGCCATGGCCCTGGAGAAAAAGCTGAACCAGGCCCTTTTGGATCTTCATGCCCTGGGTTCTGCCCGCACGGACCCCCATGTACGTACCCGCTGCATCCATGGCTACCCAACCATACCCCTCAAGCCTCTGCTCCCTTTGGGCAAATTTCCTTCAGAGCCTCATTTCACACCTGTCACATTTTAATCTGCAACTGGCTGCTCTCTCCCCCTCTTTTCCAGGGATTGGGTTTCTAATTTCTCCCTCTTCTCTCTCAGCTCTGTGACTTCCTGGAGACTCACTTCCTAGATGAGGAAGTGAAGCTTATCAAGAAGATGGGTGACCACCTGACCAACCTCCACAGGCTGGGTGGCCCGGAGGCTGGGCTGGGCGAGTATCTCTTCGAAAGGCTCACTCTCAAGCACGACTAAGAGCCTTCTGAGCCCAGCGACTTCTGAAGGGCCCCTTGCAAAGTAATAGGGCTTCTGCCTAAGCCTCTCCCTCCAGCCAATAGGCAGCTTTCTTAACTATCCTAACAAGCCTTGGACCAAATGGAAATAAAGCTTTTTGATGCAGCTGGTGGTTTTGTGTGTGGTGTGGAAGATGAGGTGGGATCTGTTCTCATAAAGCTTCTGGCTGGGTTGGGATGCCAGTGAAAGAGGAGTTGGCCCCATCTCCCATTTTCTTAACTGTCCTAAGACAAGAGGCTATCTGGGTAGTGTTGAACCTGAGGGTTCTCTGCTTGCCTGGCTGTTAACTGTCCCTCCCAGATGGTAGAGATAGACTCCAGGGAGTTGAATTAAGACCTAGGTTGGTATCTAGAAACAGATGTTAGGTCTCAGCCAGAAACAGCCCTATTTAACGAGTGATTATGGGGCCAGGTGGGTCGCTCACCTGATGTCAGGAGTTCGAGACCAGCCTGACCAACATGAAGAAACCCCGTCTCTACTAAAATACAAAATTAGCTGGGTGTGGTGGCTCATACCTGTAATCCCAGCTAGTCAGGAGGTTGAGGTAGGAGAATCGCTTGAATCTGGGAGGCGGAGGTTGCAGTGAGCTGAGATGGCGTCATTGCACTCCAGCCTGGGCAAAAAGAGTGGAACTCCCATCTCAAACAAAAAACATGTCTGCCTCACGGAAGTTGCGGTGAGCTGAGATGGCGCCACTGTGCTCCAGCTTGGGCAACAGAGTAAGACTCTGTCTCAAAAAAGAAAAAAGCCTCAATTCTGGGAGGCAGTTGGAATTATTAGGCCCTTTATATGGGCACATTGACGCTATTGCTATGCAACTTGCATGGCAACCGGGGGGCTCACTGAGGTCTTTGCTCCAGAGTTTAAGAGATTATGGCCCGAGCTTGAGTGATCCCAATGTGAGGCGCACACTGAGAGGAACTGGCCAGTGGAGCTGAGCAGCCAGGAACACGTGATGCCCAAGCAATGCTGGACAAGGGGTTTAGGGTTCATCACAGAAATGGGATGTGAAACCTTGGGCCGGATTCTCCAAATGGGAACTGAAGAAGCTTAAAACAGGCCTTAAAAAGCACTTGCTGTGTCCAAGCTGCAAAACTGCTGTGTCAGCTCTGACTCTTCCCCTTCTCCTTCCCCTGGGTCTGGGGCAGGGTGGTTCAAGCCTGTAATCCCAGCACTTTGGGAGGCCAAGGCAGGACGATCACTTGAGCCCAGGAGGTTGAGACCAGCCTAAGCAACATAGGGAGACCCCCCAAGTCTCTCTAGAATAAGAGGATGAGCTCAGACCAGGGAAGGGGTGGTACTGGGGGGACGTCACAGCCAGGCCCACCAAGTGTCATGTCTGACCACACCTGGGATTCTTAAATATAGATGTATTTTTTTCATCTCATCTCCGGACACACTCCAATCACACCCCTCCTGCCCTCCCCTCTCAACTGCAAACCAAGCGGTGCAGACACAGCACAGCACACATGAGGGGCCCTCCCTTTCACCAAAGCTGAAGGCAGGGCACAGTTTGGGGATGGAAGAGCCTCGAGGTAAATGTGGGGGTTCTAGAACCCAGTGACCTCAGTTCTGGATCATGGGAAAGGGATCAGTATGCAGTAACGTGGTAAGGTTCCAGATCTAGAAGCCAGGACCTAGAACCTAGTGGTTTCACAGTGGGCAGAGCAGTTGGGAATAAGCCAGGTTAGGGGTGGGGGAAGACAGCCAGCTCTGTCCTCTGCAGGCGGATTCCCTGGAGGGAGATCTCAGATTTAGAAAGGAAGAGTAGGATCTGGTCCAGAAAGGGCCAGAAAGACAGGAAGGCATCTGGACTGAGACTGTGTGTCCTCCAGAAGGAATGAGCAGCCAAGTGGTTCTACCACCTCTTGCTTGGCCAAAGTGTAGGGGATGACAGGAGCCGGATGGAGGGATCCTCCAGGCAGAGCCTGGCTCTGACATGCCAGGGAGGGCTAGAACATCCCTCCCAGAGCCCCACTTCTGGAGTTGAAATGGAGGACCATCTGCTCTCAGTTACCTTCAAACTCTGAAAGTGCCCCGGCTCTGGACTTGATCGCCCCATTCGCAGGGACACCACGTGGTTTCCAGAACTTGGTGGCCCGCATGCCGGGCCTGAGCGTGGCCTGCTCTGTATGCTGTAGAATTTGTAAGCCACACGGGGGGCTCTAAAAGCCCCAGACCTGAAAGCACCATGCCAGGTTTCCTAAAACCTCTGGCACCACCGCAGAGTAATGGCAGATTCCTGGCCTCTGGGAAGCGGTCCAGGCCCAGGGGACTCCAGGGCGCTGATTATGCATATTCTGGAGCCAGAGAAAGGCACGGCTTTGTGGATTCTGGAGTGCAGGAACTTGGAAACTGGAGCTGGAGGGGGTGGAGTGTTTGGCGGACTGGGTGGGGGCACTGCGGGGCCACACCCAGTGCAGATCTGGAGCGGGGGTTTAGGAGCAGCACCCCTCTGCATCCTCTCTCTGGAGCAGAGAGGCAGGACAGGCGGGGAGTGTGGTGGGGCGGACTTAGTTACGCTCCTCGCCCAGGGAGCTGGTGGGGCTGAGGGGCTCGCTCGGGGTGCTGAGTGAGCTGGAGGTGGCCGTGTCCACAGAGTTGCGCTTGCTGCCGCTGGTGGAGGAGGTGCAGGACGCTCGGCGCGGCCACTCTGGTGCACGGATGTTGCGCCGGTCCTTGGCGGCCTCCTCGTCCTCATCGTAGCGCTCGCCGTCTTCCTCCAGCGGCCCGTTCCGGGGATCCTCCTCGTCCTCACTCTGGTGCGGGCTGGAGTGTCGTGACAGCGAGGGCGACGGTGGCACCGAGGCTGGCCGTGGGTAGCGGTACCCCTGGGCCTGCATACGGCGATGTGGGTGCAAACCAGGGTGAGCTGAGGACCTCACAGTCCCACCCAGGCATCCAGCCACCTCTAGGCCTTCCCACTCCAGGAGGGACCCCCACCCCACCGAAGCCCAGCCCTTTAGCTCCTGGCTAAGCAGAAATCCAGGGTCCACTCACCGCATCCGCCTCGTTGGGCTCGTAGGTGAAGTGCTCTGGAAAGGCCTTGGACAGCGCCATGTGGCGCGCAGACATATAGTACTAGGGGAAAGGAGGAGAGGGGGCAGAGGATGTGAGAGCCAGGCCCCACCCCCAGGCAGATGATGGGGGTCTTGGCCACACCCTTTATGCAGATGAGCACACTGCTGCACCCCATACAAATAATCCATCTATCTGACTCCACCCCTTATGTAGATAAGCAGACCTGTGAATGGACAGTTTCTGAGCCATACCCCTCAAACAGGGGCCGAATTCTCAAGTGAGTCTCCTCTTTGGCCACACCCTTATGCAAATGAGAACGCCTGACCAATGTTCTTTTTTTCTTTTTAAACACGGTCTTGTTCTGTTACTCTAGGATGGAGTGCAGTGGGTTTGAACAAGGCTCACTGCAGCCTCAACCTCCGGGGCTCAAGCGACCCTACCACCTCAGCCTCCCCAGTAGCTGGGACTACAGGCACGCACCATCACGCTCGGCTGATTTTTTTTTATTTTTAGTAAAAATAAAATGTTGCCCAGGCTGGTCTCTTAACTCCTGAGCTCATGCGATCCTTCCTGTTAGGCCTCCCAAAGTGCTGGGATTACAACCATGAGCCACCATCGCGATCGGCCTGGTTCATTGCTTAAAGGGACAGCAACTGTTACAAGTAGGATGAGACCCTGCACCCTGCACCAAAGACCCCTAGCCAGGAGCTGCTGATTTGCCAGGAGAGGATAGGAAAGTGGGGGTCCTACCCGGCCTAGGTATTTCCAGTCCAGAAGGTCGGAGAGGCGCTCCGTGCGGTTCCGCTGGATGATACGCTGCCGCCGGCTCTGCTGACAGAAACTGTAGAGGAAGGAGGTGAGCTGCGAGCAGGAATCATCCAGGCTGCGGAACCGCCGGTCAAGAATGTAGATACCTGTGGAGGCCAGGACCCAGGTTCAGAAAACATCCTGGGGAGATCTTCATGGTCTCCAGGACTCTGTGGCACCAGGACCCCTCCTCTCCCAGCGGCCCGAGAGCCCCCCCATTTCCTGGTGCCCCTGGTCTCCAAGGGTGCAAGCTCCTCCTTCCCAGGATCCAGGAGTCACTGTTCTCAAGCCCCCTTCCAGAATCCTCAGGGGCCTGGGCGCTGACCGTAAGCTGAGGGGTCTGCGATGTGTTCCTCCATGAAGCAGCCGAAGCCGGAGAGATTGGTGGAGATACTGGGGATTCCCATAACCGTGCACTCAGCTGCGGGAAGGCAGGAGAGAGACCCACTTAGCTTCCCTCATCGCCTACCGTCTTAATCGCAATAGACGCCTCAACACCGCCCTCTACTGGCGCCTGTACCAAGTGCCAGGCGCTGTGCGGAGCGTCGCTGAGCCCCCACAACCAGGCTGTGCATTTCCCTATTTCTCAGAGGGGACGCTAAGAGGCTCAGAAAAGAGAATTACTTGCTCTTGCTCCAAGATGCGGGAAAGTCCATAGTTGGGAGATAAGGATGCTAATTTATTGAGCATCCCAATATCCATTTGACTTAACTCTCACAACCTGTAGGATCGGGCCAAGGTCCATCATTCTACTTAATTGTCACAACCTGTAAGATCCTTTCTTGTGCCAGTATCTTGTACGGACTTAGTCTATTTTGATGGGGGGTAAGATAAGGTCTCTCATTATTAGTATCCCTGTGTACAGAGCATCTAGTACGTCTTGTTTAATACCTTTAACAACCTTGAGAAATAGTTCAAGGAATGTATTATAATTTTTTGATGGATTTTTATGCTTTTTTTTTTTTCTTTCGAGACAGGGTCTCACTCTGTCACCCAAGCTGTAGTGCAGTGGCACAATCTCGGCTCACTGCAACCTTCACCTCCCGGGTTCAAGCGATTTTCGTGCCTTAGCCACCCGAGTAGCTGGGACTACAGGCACACACCACCATGCCCAGTTAATTATTGTATTTTTTAGTATAGACAGGGTTTCACCATGTTGGCCAGGCAGGTCTTGAACTCCTGACCTCAGGTGATCCATCCGTCTTGGCTTCCCAAAGTGGTCAAATTATAGGTGTGAGCCACTGCGCCTGGCCCAATGCTTTTTTTTTTTTTTTCTCGAGACAAGGTCTCACTTTATCACCCAACCTGGAGGACAGTGGCTTGATCATAGCTCACTGCAGCCTTGACCTCCTAGGCTCAAGCAATCCTCCCACCTCAGCCACCCAAGAGGCTGGGACTACGAGCACACAACACTACGCATGGCTAATTAAAAATAAAAAAAAAAAAGGCCGGGCACGGTGGCTCATGTCTGTAATCCCAGCACTTTGGGAGGCCAAGGCGGGTGGATCACGAGGTCAAGAAGAGAAAAAAAAAAAAACCATCCTGGCCAACATGGTGAAACCCTGTGTCTAATAAAAATACAAAAATTAGCTGGGTGTGGTGGCAGGCGCCTATAGTCCCAGCTACTCTGGAGGCTGAGGCAGGAGAATCACTTGAACCCGGGAGGCGGTTGCAGTGAGCCAAGACTGTGCCACTGCACTCCAGCCTGGCAATAGAGCAAGACTCTGTCTCAAAAAAAAAAAAAAATCTTTTATAGAGACAGGGTCTCACCATGTTGTCCAGGCTGGTCTTGAACTCCTGAGCTCAAGCTATCCTCCCACCTCAGCCTTCCAAGATGCTAGGATTATAGGTGTGAGCCACTGCCCCTGACCTATAATTATTATTATTATTATTTTAGACAGGGTCTGACTCTGTCGCCCAGGCTGGAGTGCAGTGGCGCGATCTCAGCTCACTGCAATCTCTGCCTCTGGGGTTCAAACGATTCTCCCACCTCAACTTCCCGAAGGGCTGGGATTACAGGTGCCTGCCACCACCCCCAGCTAATTTTTGTATTTGTAGTAGAGATAGGGTTTCACCATGTTGGCCAGGCTGGTCTCAAACTCATGTCCTCAAGTGATCCTCCCACCTCGGCCTCCCAAAGTGTGGGGATTATAGGCGTGAGCCACCATGCCTGGCCTGATCTATAATTCTTATGTAAGTTTTCCTAAAAACATCTGTAAACTGCAAAAATAGGCACTAAATATAATACATCTGTCAGGCATGGTGGGATGCACCTATAATGACAGATACTCAAGAGGCTGAGGCAGAAGCACCTGAACCTAGGAGTTCCAGGTGAGCCTTGGCAACAGAGTAATAACCCCATCTCAAAAAAGAAACAAATAGTAAAATGTATTAAATATATATTTATGATATAGTTTGACTCTGTGTTCCCCCCCAAATTTCATCTCAAAATGTAGTCCCCACGTGTCGAGGGAGGGAAATGATTGGATTACGGGGGTGGTTCCCCCGCCGCTGTTCTCATGATAGTGAGTGAATTCTCACGAGATCTCATGGTTTTATAAATGTTCGTTTTTCCTGCACCCTCACATACTTCTCCCTCCTGCCGCCATGAGAAGAAGCTTCTTTCTTCCCCTTCTGCCATGACTGAGTTTTCTGAGGCCTCTCCAGACATGTGGAACGGTGAGTCAATTACACCTCTTTCCGTTATAAATTACCCAGTCTTGGATTTTTTTTTTATAGCGGTGTGAAAACAGACTAGTACTATCTATCAATCTATCTATAAAACAAGGCCTATGGAAAAAGGGAATTGGGGCTGACCGCGACTCCTAATTATCATGCAAGCACAGTTTGCAGGACTTGTTAAATTACTAATAAATTAGGAAATGGCACTAATTTAGCTTTAATTTTTTTTTTTTTTTTTTTTTGAGACGGAGTCTCGCTCTGTCACCCAGAGCACAGCACTGCCGGAGTGCAGTGGCATGATCTCAGCTCACTGCAACCTCCGCCTCCCAAGTTCAAGCAATTCTCTGCCTCAGCCTCCCAAGTAGCTGAGACTACAGGTGCGTACCACCACACCTGGCTAATTTTTGTATTTTTAGTAGAGACAGGGTTTCACTATATTGGCCAGGCTGGTCTCAAACTCCTGACCTCATGATCTGCCCATCTTGGCCTCCCCAAGTGCTGGGATTACAGGCATGAGCCACCACGCCCAGCCTTATTTAGCTTTAAAAACACTGGCTAATGTGAACCAACAAGAGGAAGGTGGAGTTGATGGGCACTGGGAACGTCTTACGAGGAGACTTGGCCACACTCGGCTGTATTTGTGAATTGTGCATTTCATTGCCACTATTTGGGGGGCCACTGCTTTCTGGGAGAAAGCAGTGTGAACTGTGACATCCAGTTCACTAGTCCTCAAAACCCAGTCTTCTAGTTTCTCAATACATGAGCTATTGTATCACAAAAGCACGCGCTGTAGCAGAACAGGTGATTACCATTGTTCCTGTTTTGCAAAGAAGGCAACAGGCTCAGAGAAGGCCAGTGCCTCGCCCCAAGACATGCTAGCTCTGACTAGGATGCCATGACCACGCTGTCCCCTGCCCACTACACTCACCCGGTGTGTAGCCCCAAGGCTCATAGTAGGAGGGGAAGACTCCAAGGTGACAGCCACGGACAAACTCCTCATAGTCCACAGGGAGCAGGGGGCTTGTGGAGGAGAGGAACTCCGGGTGGAAAATCACCTGGTAGTGAAAAAGAAGGACTCAGCCCAAGTGCCTTATTTAGCTAAGCCCTGAGATCCCAAGGTGGCCCAGAGAGGGTAAAAAGCTTGTCTAGCATCACACAGCATGTGTTTGGCAGGACCAATGTTCAAACCCAGGTCTGCCTGCCTCAGAAGCCAGGGTTCTTTCTAACCACAGCAATACCTTTGATAAAACTTATAGGGGAATGGAGTGTGTGAGGCCCAGGACCCAACCCCTTCCCTCTGCCGTGCCCAACCCAGCCCTGACCAAATGCCCTCACCTTCACCCTGTCGGCACTGCTATTGAAGAGGCCGATTCGGCGGATGGTGGTCAGGATGGGGTCTGAGGAGTCATCCAGCATATTGTGGGTGCACACAGGGGGGAAAGACTGCCGCTGCAGGAGCCACAAGAAGGGTAAGGGGTCATGGAAGGGACAGAGAACTCCCTACTTCCTCATGAGCCATGCGGACCCTGGGGGAGCCAAGGAGACCACAAATGCACCGGACGTGGGGCAACAAACCCAAGTGATCACCAGGAGTTGTGGATTCCCACTAGTACAACCTGTAAAGGTTTTCTTTCTTTTCTTTTAAATTATTATTATTTATTTTTGAGGCGGAGTCTCGCTCTGTCGCCCAGGCTGGAATGCAGTGGCACAATCTCGGCTCACTGCAAGCTCCACCTCCCAGGATCATGCCATTCTCCTGCCTCAGCCTCCCGAGTAGCTGGAACTACAGGCGCCTACCACCACGCCCGGTTAATTTTTTGTATTTTTAGTAGAGACGAGGTTTCACTGTGTTAAATCAGGATGGTCTAGATCTCCTGACCTCGTGATCCACCTGCCTTGGCCTCCCAAAGTGCTGGGATTACAGGCGTGAGCCATTGCGCTCAGCCTAATTTTTTTTTTTTTTTTTTTTAATAGAGATGGGGTTTCACTATGTTGGCCAAGTTGGTCTCGAACTCATGGGCTCAAGCGATGCATCCGTTTTGGCCTCCCGAAGTGCTGGGATTACAGACATGAGCCACCACACCTGGCCTGGAAATGTTTTCCTTCCCTTAACCACCATGAGCTTCAAAGAACTAGAATTCCCAGCTGTCTTTGAGGCAAAGCCGTGTTAGCAACTCCCTTACCTCCAAGGACTATGAGGAGTTGCAGCTACCTTGTTCTGTACTCTGGGCTCTATTATTAAAGAAACCCAAAGGAAATATAACTATCCCCAGTCAATGGGGGTGGAGACTGTGCCAATATGGCAGCAAGCTTTGGAGACTGCTGGGAGTTGTAGTTTCCTTATGAAAATTCACTTCCAACCACCAGGCGTGGTGGCTCACGCCTGTAATCCCAGCACTCTGGGAGGCCGAGGCAGGAGGATGACGAGGTCAGGAGATCGAGACCATCCTGGCTAACACGGTGAAACCCCGTCTCTACTAAAAATACAAAAAATTAGCCAGGCGTGGTGGTGGGTGCCTCAGGAGGCTGGGGCAGGAGAACGGCATGAATCCGGGAGGCGGAGGTTGAAGTGAGCCAAGATCGCGCCACTGCACTCCAGCCTGGGCGACAGAGCGAGACTCCGTCTCAAAAAAAAAAAAAAAAAAAAAAAAGAAGAAAAAAGAAAATTCACCTCCAACCCTAACAAAGGCCCAAAGAAACCACAATTTCCAAGAGTCTCTGGAGCAAGACAGAGCTAGTGTGATAGGAAGTCCTGAGGACTGCTGGGGTGTATAGTTCTTAGCAACTGTTCCATCATAGCTCATTAAAGATTTTACTTACCACCACTCTACTGAGTCTAGGGGCCCGAGAAACTACAACTCCCAGCATCCCGATGGCAGAAACATTCATAATGAGGTGGGCTGCTTTAGGGACTATTGGAAATTATAGGTTAGCCAAAAGCAGTTCACGTTTTGTTTCTACAACTTAGCTGTCTGGGTTTCCATTCCCCAGGAAATGGCTCCCCAATGTAGACCACAAGTACTGAAGTCCCTGGACCCCAGAGAATGAAAGAACTCTAACTCCCAGAAGCCTCTGGACAAGGGAAGCGTCAATGCCCCAGAAAGCCAGCAGGGGCTGCTGGGAGTTGTAGTTTTTTGGGCCCCTAGACTCAATAGAATGACGGTAAGTTCTCATTTTATAAATGCCAATTCTCTCTGAAGTTAGGGATCTAAAGCAGCTACAATTCCCAGGGGTGTCTGGGGACCAACACACAGCCTCTGGAAATAAGAAACCGCAGCTGCTGAGAGTTTGCAATGTTTTCTGGAGAATGCTGGGTGCTTTTGCTCACCTCCTGACTGCGTCCCTAAAGTGGCCCGATAAAACTACCACTCCCAGCAGTTTTAGGGGTAGAGGTGGAGCCGTGTGCAGCAAGGCCCAAGGAGAGCTGAGAGTTGTAATTCTTTTATGGCTGTCTTGACCTTTTCTTTTCTTTCTTTTCCTTCTTTCGTGTGTGTGTGTATGTGTCCGCCTCGCTCTGTTGCCCAGTCTGGAGTGCAGTGGCATAATCATAGCTCACTGCAGCGGCATAATCATAGCTCACTGCAGCCTTGACCTCCTGAGCTCAAGGCATCCTCTGGCCTCAGCCTCCCAGGTAGCTGGGATAACAGGTGTATGCCACTATGCCCAGCTCATTTTTGTATTTTTGGTAGAGACAGGGTTTCATCATGTTGCCCAGGCTGGTCTCAAACTCCTGGGCTCAAGCGATCCTCCCACCTCAGCCTCCCAAAGTGCTGGGAATACTGACAGGTGTGAGCTACCAAGCTGGGCCTTGACTTTCTTTTGGGGGTGGGTGGGGGGCTAGTGTGGGATCTGGCTCTGTCCCCCAGGCTGGTGTACAGTGGCACAGTCATGGCTCACTGCAGCCTCAGCCTCCTGGTCTCAAGTGATCTTCCTGCTTTGGCCTCTCAAAGTGCTGAGATTACAGGCATGAGCCACCACACCTGGCCCTTTATTACATTTCTACACTTCCTTTTAAACTTCCCTTTGGGCTGGGAACAGGGACTCACGCTTGTAAACTCAGCACTTTGGGAGGCTGAGGCAGACAGAACACTTGAGGTCAGGAGCTTGAGACTGGCCTGGCCAACATGGTGAAATCTCGTTTCTACTAAAAATATATAAATTAGCTGGGTGTGGTGGCATGTGCCTGTAATCCCAGGTACTTGGGAGGCCAAGGCAGGAGTATTGCTTGAACCCAGGAGGCAGAGGTTGCAGTGAGCCGAGATCGTGCCACTGCACTCCAGCCTGGGCGACAGAGCGAGACTCCATCTCAAAATAAATAAATAAATATAATAAAAATAAATAAACAAATAAGCTTCCTTTTGCTCATTGACCCCAGAATCCCAGAGAAACCACACGTCCCAGCAACCCTCGTGGCAGAATAAGCCACAGAAAACAGCCCACCCTAAGTGCCTCGCCTCCAGCAACTGAAGTTGCACGAGTCAGCACGTGCCCTTCTGTGGACCTCAGAATAGATCCCTTCATAAAGGGCTGCAGGAGAAAGCAGGACTCCCAGCAATCTCTGGGGTCTGAGCTGGCCTGGCAAGCTGCCTCTGGGGCTGCCAGGAACTGCTATCTCTCTGCACAGAGGTCCAATCCATACCTGCGTTGCAAAGATGGCTCTCTTCATCATAGTGAAGTCTTCCTTATCCAGCATCTTGTTCATGTCGGGAAGGCTCCCACTGCAAGGCAAGCAGGGGCATGCATGTGAGAACGGAGTAATGAGAGGGGTTAGTCAGGGCCTAGGAGGGCACAGGGCTGAGGGTGGGGCACTCACACCAGTAAGGATTCATAAAGCTTCCTCCCGAACTTTTCCTTCACCGTGTTGGCCGTGTCCCTGGAGGAAGCAGAGCAACAGGGTCACATACACACCAGCTGCCATTTACTGTTAGGCTTCTTTAGTTAGTTTGTTTGTTTATTTTGAGACGGAGTTTGGCTCTTGTTGCCCAGGCTGGAATGCAATGGCGTGATCTCGGCTCACTGCAACCTCTGCCTCCCAGGTTCAAGCAATTCTCCTGCCTCAGCCTCCCGAGTAGCTGGGATTACAGGCATGAGCCACCGCGCCCGGCTAATTTTCTATTTTTAGTAGAGACGGGGTTTCTCCATGTTGGTCAGGCTGGTCTCAAACTCCCAACCTCAGGTAATCTGCCCACCTCGGCCTCCCAAAGTACTGGGATTAGAGGCTTGAGCCACTGTGCCCAGCAGTTTATTTATTATTATTATTATTATTATTGACAGAGTTACTCTGTCGTCCAGGCTGGAGCGCAGTGGTGCGATCTTGGCTCACTGCAACCTCTGCCTCTCAGGTTCAAGCAATTCTCCTGCCTCAGCCTCCTGAGTAGCCGGGATTACAGGCACCTGCCACCATGCCCGGCTAATTTTTGTAACTTTAGTAGAGACGGGGTTTCACCACGTTGGCCAGGCTGGTCTCGAACTCCTGACCTCTGGCTGGTAATTGGCCACCTCGGCCTCCCAAAGTGCTGGAATTACAGGCATGAGCTGCCGCGCCCAGCTACCCTTAGGTTTCTAGGATAGCAAGGAAACTGAGGTGTGAGCAGGGAAGCCGTGCCCTGGGGCCTCCAGGCTGGAGGATGGGGACCCAGGGGGCAGGCCCTGGAAGGCTTAGGACCCACGTGCCTGACATCAGCTGTGTGGTCAGGGACAGGTGGCCTTCCCTCTCTGACTGCAGTGACTCATTTTTCAGAGGAGGATGAAAATAGAATCAACCTCAGAGGTTTGCGATGAGGACCCAATGATGTCATGCCAAAAAGTACACATGGCAAGCCTTCCAGAAATGTCAGCTATTATTAGGACTTGTACTTGTCCTGCAGATGGCAATGCTAAGCCCCATTTTATACGAAAAGAAAGTAAGATTCTGAGAAAGGACCACTTAGGCACACAAGTAAAGCTAGCAGTGTCACACAACAGCCCCACGGTCACTCCTCCACTTAAAATCCTCCCATAGCTCTGGCCTCATTTATTTTTCTTTCTTTGTCTCTTTTTCTTTTTTCTTTTCTTTTTTTTTTTTTTTTTTTTTTTTTTTTTTTTTTTTTTTTTGAGACAGAGTCTTGCTCTGTCGCCCAGGATGGCGCAATCTCGGCCACTTTCTAGGTTCAAGAAATTCTCCTGCCTCAGCCTCCTGAGTAGCTGCAATTACAAGCGTGCGCCACCACATCTGGCTAATTTTTATATTTTTAGTACCGATGGGATTTCACCACGTTGACCAGGCTGATCTCGAACTCCTGACCTCAAGTGATCTGCCCTCCTCAGCCTCCCAAAGTGCTGGGATTACAGGTGTGAGCCACCGCGCCCAGCCTCTTTCTTTCTTTTTTTTTTTTTTTTTTTTGAGACCGAGTCTCACTGTCACCCATGCTGGAGTGCATTGGCGCGATCTTGGCTCACTGCAATCTCTGCCTCCCGGGTTCGAGCGATTCTCCTGCTTAGCCTCTCGAGTAGCTAGGACTACAGATGTGTGTCACCACGCCCTGCTGATTTTTTTTATTTTTAGGAAAGACGGGGTTTCACCATGTTGGTCAAGCTGGTCTCAAACTCCCGACCTCAGGTGATCCACCCGCCTCGGCCTCCCAAAGTGCCGGGATTACAGGTGTGAGCCACCACGCCCGACTTCTTTTTTATTTTTTTGAGACAGAGTCTCACTCTGTTGCCTAGGCTGGAGTGCAGTGGCGCAATCATGCCTCACTACAGCCTCAACCTCCAGGGCCAAAATGATCCTCCTGCCTCCTGTAGCTGGCACTACAGGTGCCCTCCATCTTGCCTCACTTTCTACCCCTTCTCTATGAGACATGTCACTCCAGCCCCATGGGACTCCCCACCGCGTCTCAATCATGCCTCGGGGCCTTCGAGTTTGCTGTTCCTCAGATACCCACAGGGCTTGCTCCCTCGTCACCTTTCCTCGTCTCTGCCCAATAACACTTTCTCAGTGTGGCCTGTCCTGACAACCCCGTCTCATATTCCAGTTCTGCTTTATTTTTGCCCAAAAGTAAATTCCGTCTACAGGATTTTCTAGAATACAAGCTCCATGAGGAAAGGGATCTTATCTTTCTGGTTCACAGCTGTATTCCCAGGACCTGGAATACATGAGGAGGGCAGGTCACTTGAGGTCAGGAGTTCAAGACCAGCCTGGTCAACGTGGTGAAATCCCATCGGTGCTAAAAATATAAAAATTAGCTAGCACATAGTAGATGCTCAGTGAGTATCTCTGCTAATGAATGAACGGTTTTACAGATGAAGAAACTGAGCTTTGCTGGGAGGCGGAGGTTACAGTGAGCTGAGATTACGCCACTGCACTCCAGCCTGGGCAACAGTGAGACTCTGTTTCAAAAAAAAAAAAAAATCAGAGAAAAGAAAAAGAAACTAAGCCAGGCGCAGTGGCTCACCCCTGTAATCCCAGCACTTTGGGATGCCAAGGCGGCTGGATCACCTGAGGTCAGGTGTTCAAGATCAGCCTGGCCAACATGGTGAAACCCCATCTCTACTAAAAATACAAAAAAAGGCTAGGTGTGGTGGCTCACGCCTGGAATCCCAGCACTTTGGGAGGCTGAGGCAGGCGGAACACCTGAGGTCAGGAGTTCAAGACCAGCCTGGCCAATATAGTGAAAACCTGTCTCTAATAAAAATAAAAAGTTAGCCAGGTGTGGTGGCACACCCCTGTAGTCCCAGCTACTCAGAGGCTGAGGCAGGAAAATCGCTTGAACCCAGGAGGCAGAGGTTGCAGTGAGCCGAGATCATGCCATTGCACTCCAGCTTGGGCGACAGAGCAAAACTCCATCTCAAAATAAAAAAAAAAAAGAGGGCCGGGTGCGGTGGCTCATGCCTGTAATTCCAGCACTTTGGGAGGCTGAGGCGGGCAGATCACGAGATCAGGAGTTTGAGACTAGTCTGGCCAATGTGGTGAAACCCCATCTCTACTGAAAATACAAAAATTAGCCAGGCATGGTGGTGTGCACCTGTAGTCCCAGCTACTCGAGAGGCTGAGGCAGATGACTTGCTTGAACCCAGGAGGTGGAGGTTGCAGTGAGCCAAGATCGCACCACTACACTCCAGCCTGGGCGACAGAGTGAGACTGTCTCAAAAACAAACAAACAAACAAACAAACAAAACAAAAAACTGAGACTCTAGGAGAAACACAGGACCCAAAGCATGCATCTGGGAGTGGGCTGCGCCAGGGGCCGGAGCGAGGGCTGCTAACCAAAGCTGTTTGCGCACAGCTTGGCCTTTGAGGGTTTCCACGTTGAAATTGTTGGTCCGCGCTGGCATGATGAAGAAGGCAACCACTGTCTGCTCGCTGCCGTTCACCTGCGCAGAAAGAAAGGAGGGGGAGGCCAGGATCATGTGGGGGAAGCCTGGAACCAGCCAGCCTTTCTGTCAAGACCACTGGGATCCTGCCATACCCATTCCTGTCAAGGAGAATTATAGGACAGTCCCCACCTGGACTCTGACCTTCTTTCTGGGTCTCTATACTCCCCTCACGGCCCCCCACCATACTCAGGGGCTTTCCTACCCCCATCTTCCTGGCTTCTTGGGTTTCTGTTCTGTAATTTTTTGTTTTGTTTTGTTTTGTTTTGTTTTTGAGACAGCGTCTTTTTCTGTCGCCCAGGCTGGAGTGCAGTGATATGATCTTGGCTCACTGCAACCTCCACCTCCCGGGCTCGCGTGATCCTCCCCGTTCACCCTCCCGAGTAGCTGGGACTACACGTGTGAGCCACCATGCCTGGCTAATTTTTGTATTTTTTGTAGAGATGGGGTTTCACCATGTTGCCCAGGCTGGTCTCCATCTCCTGGGCTCAAGTGATCCTCCCGCCTTGGCCTCCAAAAGTGTTGGGATTACAGGTGTGAGCCACTGTGCCTGGCTGTTCTCCCTAGTTATAAACTGCTTTGCTTGCCCTCCCTGTCCCCTCATAGCCCAGGCCTCACTCTGAGCAGATAGTTGAGCCGAGCCAATGCCTCCAGGAAGACGTCAGCACCCTTGTTGGAGAACTCATAGCGGCCGGCGATAAAGAAGTATAAGGTCTTGTCCAAGTTGAAGTCCAGATGCCTAAAGAACCCACAAGGCACGGTAAAGCCCAAAGCCCTCACCCGCTAGCCCTGGCCTCAAAACTACAAATCCCAGAAGCTATGGGTGGGGGGGCAGAGGATGTCTTAGGTAATACAGAGGCATCACGGGGCCTCCTGGGAGTTGTAGTTCTTCTCTTTAGATGGAGATTTCCTTTAATCCTGAGCCCATTGTTCCAGCGCTCAAGAATTAAGGAGGCCGAATACCCAGGTGCCCCCTCCCTCAGACCCAGGAGTCTGGGCCCCCAGCTGCCCCCTCCCCCAGACCTAGATGGTTAGGCTCCCAACGCCCTCCTCTCTTAAGACCTAGGTATATGCCCCACGTACCCATAAAAATGGCCCCGCACAAACTCCTGGATTCGAGCCTTGCTCTGAGCATGGAGGTTCTGGAACTCATGCATGGCAGAAAACTTCTTCACATTCAGCCCATTGGGGGTCACAATATCTGGGATTGGGGGTGAGGGTCCCATGTTTTATTTGTTCATTCAGATCAATGTTGTGGTTGAATGAATAAATGAAGAAAACACCCTTTGCCTTTTGCAATTTTTTTGTTTCAAGAGCGTTCCTATGAGGTCCCCCCTCCCACCTTTTTTGTTTGTTTGTTTGTTTTTGGAGACAGGGTTTCTCTCTGTCGCTCAGGCTGGAGAGCAGTGGCACAATCACAGCTCATTGCATCCCTGACCTCCTGGGCTCAAGCAATCCTCCCTCCTCAGCCTCCCGAGTAGCTGGCACTACAGGCGTGCACTACCACACCCGGCTAATTTATTTATTTTACTTTTGTAGTGATGGGGTCTTGTCATGTTACCCAAGCTGATCTCAAACTCCTGGCTTCAAGCAGTCTTCCTGCCCTGGCCTCCTAAAGTGCTGGGATTACAGGTGTGAGCCACCATGCCTGGCCAGTTCCCTTGGTGACACACCTACCCTGACTCCAAGATGCCTTCTTGCCTAATATTACTTGCTTAGGTTCACAAGCACAAGTATAAGTCTCCTCAGCTACTGCAAATGGCTAACAGGGATCTGATCCACACTGGTGATTCTGGGAAAGTTGTACTTCTTTTGTTTCCTCTTAGCCCACCCTGAGATGGAAATGATTAAACATCCCCAAAGTCCTGCTTCTCCTAGGATATATCCTCTACTTCCAAGCTTCTTACAGGGACCCAATCATTTCTTCTCCTCATAGAAATTAAAGTATATCAACGAAAAACTACAACCCCCATCAGCGCCTAGGGCAAAGTTCTGGAACATATAGAGCTAACCAGTCAAAGGCCTTCTGGGAGTTGTAGTTCTCACCTTATACTCACTGAGAACGGATACTAAGGGCTGGGAAGAATGCCCAGTTCTGACCTAACCTTTCTCAAAAGCAAAGTCCACTGATCTTCCATTCCCTTTCATAAGACCAATCTACATTAGCCAATTACAGAATTTTATCATATCTGAAATTAATATGAAAGAAATTATACCTCCCATTAGCCTCCAGAGTATATAGTCAGAGAGCCTCAAATACAGGTCACCACCCCCACAGCCTTCTGGGAGCTGTAGTTCTCTATTCTTTAGGTAAAAAAATGGTAACTGATGGTCCCCAGCTTAGGACTTAGGATGGTCCAAGTTATGATTTTTCTTTTCGAGACAGAGTTTCGCTCTTGTTGCCCAGGCTGGAGTGCAATGGCACAATCTTGGCTCACGACAACCTCTGCCTCCTGGGTTCAAGAGATTCTCCTGCCTCAGCCTCCCGAGTAGCTGGGTGGCTGGGATTACAGGCGCCTGCCACCATGCCCACCTAATTTTTGTATTTTTGGCAGAGAGGGGGTCTCACAATGTTGGCCAGGCTGGTCTTGAGCACATGACCTCAGGTGATCTGCCCACCTCAGCCTTCCAAAGTGCTGGGATTACAGGTGTAAGCCACCGTGCCCAGCCAAGTTATGATTTTTCAACCTTATGATGGTGTGAAAGTTACATACATCCACATGAGTCCAATTTTGGATTTTGATGAGATATTCAACACTTTTTTTTTTTAATTTTTTGAGATGGAGTCTCGCTCTGTTGTCCAGGCTGGAGTGCAGTGGTGTGATCTCGGCCCACTGCAACCTCCGCCTCCTGGGTTCAAGTGATTCTCCTGCCTCAGCCTCCCGAGTAGCTGGGATTACAGGCACCCACCACCACGCCCGGCTAATTTTTGTATTTTTAGTAGAGATGGAGTTTCGCCATGTTGGCCAGGCTGGTCTCGATCTCCTGACCTCGTGATCTGCCCGCCTTGGCCTCCCAAAGTGTTGGGATTACAGGTGTGAGCCACTGCGCCCAGCCTATTCAACACTTTATTATAAAATAGGTTTGTATTAAAATTAGCCAGGCGTGGTGGCAGGCGCGTATAGTCCCAGCTACTTGGGAGGCTGAGGCAGGAGAATGGCATGAACCTGGGAGGCGGAGCTTACAGTGAGCCAAGATAGCGCCACTGCACTCCAGCCTGGGCGACAGAGCGAGACTCCGTCTCAAAAATAAATAAATAAATAAAAATAAAATAAAACAGATTTGTATTGGATGATTTTGCCCAGTCGTAGGCTAACATAAAGTGTTCTGGGCACATTTAAGGTATACTAGCCTAAGCTATGATGTTCAGTAGGTTAGGTGTATTAAATGCATTTTTTTATTTTTTGAGACAGGGTCTCACTGTGTCACCCAGGCTGTGACAGGGTCTCTCCAGGCCACCCAAATCATGCAATGGCACGATCACAGCTCACTGCACCCTTGACCTCCTAGGCTCGAGCAATCCTCCCACCTCAGCCTCCTGAGTAGCTAGGGATACAGGCACACACCATGTCTGGCGAATATTTTAGACAGGGATTCGCCATGTTGCCCAGGCTGGTCTCAAATTCCCGGGCTCAAGTGGTTCTCCTGCCTTGGCCTCTCAAAGTGCTGAGATTACAGGTGTGAGCCACCATGCCCAGCCGAAATACGTTTTCGGTTTATGCTATTTCAACTTACAGTGGGCTTCTTGGGCTGAGGAGCAACTGGCTTTGGCATAGACAGCTGCCTACCTCATTCACGTCTGGGGACTTCAGCCCAGCCCCTACCTGGTTTCCTCTTGAGCAAGTGCTGTGCCTCGATGGCGGTGATCTGGGACACAGTAGTGAAGACGTGAGCGCAGTGGGCTGCCGCCCTTTCCATGCAGTATCGGTGGTAGATCTGCCTCTCCCCTGCTTCCTTGTCCACGTTGAACTGGGTGGGAGGGGACAGCAGTCCGGTTAGAAGGATTGGGGAGAAGACTCTGGAGGTCCAGACACTGGGGTCCCAAGAGAAATTGGTGCTGGGGGCTGGATTCCTGGGTCTGAGGTAGGAGGGGTCTGGGGACTTGGACTCCTGGATCCTGGGAGAAGAGGGGGTGCCATCCCCTTGGGCCCCCCAGAGCTTTGGGTTTTCCTGGCATACTCGCAGTCCCCCATCTGCCACGGTCCCAGCTCACGTTCTCCAGGTTGTTGTAGAAGTCCACGGCACCGGCACACAGGTAGCGCCCCAGCAGCGTGGCATGGGTGGTGAAGATGGTTGCTACAGGCAGTCGCCGGGCACGACACAGGCAGAGTCCAACGCCTGCCAACCACTCATGGAAGTGAGCAACCACATGTGGCTTCTCCTCACTCTGTGCCAGGAACTGTGGGCAACAGGGACAGGGCCACTGTCTCCACGAGTGTTGGGAAAAGAATCGGCAATCCCCAGTAGGGACAAGGACTCGGGGAGAGGTCAATCTGTCACCACTACTGCACAGAGTGGGCAGCGGCCCACTGCAGCAATCCCAACCGGACAGGGACCTGTAAATCCCTGAGGCAGCCCAGGCTGGTCTTGAACTCCTGGGCTCAAGTGACTGCCTCCTCAGGGGTTGACAGGAACTGAGGATTTTTTGGCCAACCATCTAAGTCCTGGCAGGGTTAGATTGGACAGACTGAAGTTTTCATGTTCCCAGGTCCTGGACATAGTTTCCAAAGACCCCTTGTCTCAAGGGTACGCTGTCTGCACCCAACATTGGCAAAGGGACTACAACTCCCAGAATGCCATAGGAGCAGCCAGTTCCTCAATTATTTGTCCCAGGGCATGAGAAATTAAGCTTCTTTTTTTTTTTTTCTTTTTCTTTTTTTTTTTGAGACAGTGTCTCACTCTGTGGCCCAGGCTGGAGTGCCGTGATGCAATCTCAGCTCACTGCAATTCCCGCCTCCCAGGTTCAAGCAATTCTCCTGTCTCAGCCTCCCAAGTAGCTGGGATTTGGGATTACAGGTGCCCACCACCACACCCAGCTAATTTTTTTGTATGTTTAGTAAAGACGAGGTTTGGCCATCTTGAACTCCTGGCCTCACGTGATCTTCCCCCATCGGCCTCCCAAAGTGCTGGGATTACAGGCATGAGCCACCGTGCCCAGCCTGGAAACTAAGCTTCTTGAGCCTCTTAAAACCTAGAAGGGGGTCAAAACCAGGTCAGGCTGGGGATTCATGAGCATCCAGGGCAGCATCTGAGAGCTGAGTCCAGCAATATCACACTAGAGAACTACAACTCCTAGAATTCCTCGGGCAAGCCCGCCAGCCTCACTTTGAGGCTGATTCCAAGAATCCCTATGCTTGGAAGACTAGAGTAAATGAAGTTGGCATCGAGAGTAGAGCCTGGGCCCTTGGATGTTCATGTCCTCAAAGGCCAGAGCTAATCCTTGGATTAAAGGACCCTATGACTCCCAGAATGCCCAGGGAGAAGCCCATCCTCTGGCCCAGGGGCTGATGGTCATTGTAGTTTCAGGTATGGGTGGAATGTGTCAGACGGGGCCTACCTCACCCAGGAACCAGGTGGTCAGAAAGCCAAAGAGGACAGCGTCGTTGGCCTCGCGGTCGTACCACGGCACTCCGATGTTGCAGGTATCCCAGAGCTCTCCCTTCCAGCGCTCCAGGGCCCAAGCTGAGGCACCCACGTCCAGGAGCACCACCAGAGGGCCTCCCTCGATCAGCCAGCGCCCGAAATACACCTGGGATGGGGTTGGGGAGGCACCATAGGGAGGCTCTGGGCTTCAGCCTCATATCTTCACTCATCCGTGGTTCTCCCATTTGCAGGCAGATGTCTATAGACTTAAGCCTCAGCTCTCTTATCTTCTGTTTCCATATCTGCTGCTAATTTCTCACCTGCTGCCTTAGCCTTACTTCTCTATTTGCATGATTTATTCCTGCTACACATTTTTTCCATCTCTGTTGCAATATTTTCCGTGCCCCCTGCTTACTTTCTTTCTTTCTTTTTTTTGAGATGGAGTCTCACTCTGTGGCCCAGGCTGGAGTGCAGTGGTGCGATCTCAGCTCACTGCAACCTCTGTCTCCCGGGTTCAAGCAATTCTCCTGCCTCAGCCTCCCAAGTAGCTGGGATTACAGGCACCCGCTCCCACACCTGGCTAATTTTTTTTTTTTCTTGAGACGGAGTCTGGCTCTGTTGCCCAGGCTGGAGTGCCGTGGCATGATCTCGGCTCACTGCAACCTCTGCCTCCTGGGTTCACACCATTCTCCTGCCTCAGCCTCCCGAGTAGCTGGGACTACAGCGGCCCGCCACCACGCCCGGCTACTTTTTTTTGTATTTTCAGTAGAGACGAGGTTTCACTGTGTTAGCCAGGATGATCTCCATTTCCCGACCTTGTGATCCGCCCGCCTCGGCGTCCCAAAGTGCTGGGATTACAGGCGTGAGCCACCGCACCCAGCCTCCTGTTTAATTCCTGTAACTGCTACCCTTCTCCCACTCGCTGCCTCCTTTCTCTGCTTATAACCACATATGTCACATGTCCTGTGTCTATGCCCCCACTGCCCTGTCTGGCCACTCTGCAAATCATTTCCCCTACCTGCTGCCTTGTTTCTGTACTTGCTGCCACATTTCTCTTACCAACCATCTGCATCTCCCACTGTCTTTTCTTTCTGATGCTAATTCCTTCCACGGGATGCTTCTTTTTTGTTTTCAGACAGGGTCTCGCTCTGTTGCCCAGGCTGGAGTGCAGTGGTGTGAACATGGTTCACTATAGCCTCAACCTCCCTGGCTCAGTCAATCCTCCCACCTCACCTCCTACAGGCGTGGGCCACCATGCCAGGCTGATTTTTTAATTTTTTGTGGAGATGGGGTCTCACTATGTTGCCCAGGCTGATCGTGAACTCCTGCGTTCAAGCAGTTTTCTTGCTTAGCCTCCCAAAGTGTTGAGATTAGAAGTGTGAGCCACCTAAAGCAGGCCCTTTTTTATTTTCAGAGACGGGGTCTTGCTCTGTCCTCCAGCCTGGAAGGGAGTGGTGCAATTACGGTTCACTGAAGCTTCGATCTCCCAGGCTCAAGCAATCCTTCCACCGCAGCTTCCCACGTAGCTGGGACCACAGGCACAAGGTATCACATCCCGGCTAATTTTTAACTTTTTTGTAAGGACAGGGTTTCACCATGTTGCCCAGGCTGGTCTCAAACTCCTGGCCTCAGCCTACCAAAGTGCTGGGATTACAGGCGTGAGCTACTGCACCCAGCCTGTAATGATTCTCTTACTGTTCATGCTGCCACTTTTCTTCCCCATGATGCCTTGTTTCTGTTCCTTTCATCACATATCTGTCACCTGCGACCTCTTTCCTCTATCCATAGGCCCATTTTGTAGTCCACAGCCTCCTTCCTTCCTTCCTTGCTTCCTTCCTTCCTTCCTTCCCTCTCTCCCTCCTTCCCTCCCTCTCTCCTTTTTCTTTCTTTCTTCCATTTTTTTTTGTTTGTTTTTGTTTTTGACAGGGTCTCACTCCGGTCACCCAGGCTGGAGTGCAGTGGTGCAATCATGGCTCACTGGGCTGGGCGCGGTGGCTCACGCCTGTAATCCTAGCTCTTTGGGGGGCCGAGGCGGGCGGATTGCCTGAGCTCAGGAGTTTGAGACCAGCCTGGGCAACATGGTGAAACCCTGTCTCTACTAAAATACAAAAAATTAGCCGGGCGTGGCAGCATGTGCCTGAGGTCCCAGCTACTTGGGAGGCCGAGGCAGGAGAATTGCTTGAACGCGGGAGGCGGAGGTTGCAGTGAGTCGAGATTGTACCACTGCACTCCAGACTCAGCGACAGAGTGAGATTCTATCTGAAAAAAAAAAAAAAAAAATTATGGCTCACTACAGCCTCCACATCCCATCCTCCCACCTCAGCCTCCTGAGTAACTGGGATCACGAGCACGCACCATCATGCCTGGCTAATTTTTTGTATTTTTAGTAGAGACAGAGTTTCGCCATGTTGCCCAGGTGGGTCAGGAACTCCTGGGCTCAAGCTATCCTCTCACCTCGGCCTCCCAAAGTGCTGGGATTCCAGGCATGAGCCACCGCCCTCGGCCACGCCACACATTTCTAACATAGCCCATCCTCTGTCCGTGCCCCAGGGCTGCATTTTTCTAGCCACTGCCGTGTTTCTAAGACTTGCTGTCTCACTTCTGCCTCTGCCACATTTCTCCAGTTGGCTGTTTTCCTCCCTGAGACCATGGCTTTGGTTCTGGGCCTGCTGCCACAGCAGTGGAGAAGCAGCCCCGCTCCTCGCCGACCTGGCTTTTTGCTGCCTGGAGCCTCGCTCTGAGGTCCCTCCCCCTCCCAGCTGTTGTCTGCCCTTTTGCTGGGGGGGGGGGGGGGCTATTCTTAGGCCCCCAGCACGTGGGAAGCAGCTGCCCTCAGGAAGCGACTGGGCTGTTCTGGGTTCCCTTAGGGACACAGTCGGACCTGAATGGATTCCAGACCCCACCCCAAACCAGAGGCTGTGAATGAGTAAAGGAACCACAGTGCCTCTCCATCCCCAGCCTGGACCTGTCTGTCCCTTAGCCCTGCCGCCTGATGGCTTTCTCCTTGGACAACAGCGTGCCGCCTGATGGCTTTCTCCTTGGACAACAGCGTGTCTCTTTCCGTCTTCACCCTGGGGCCCTGGAACTCCCCCTCCTCTCTAATCCCTGATCTGCCCATCTCAGACTCTGTCCTGTGGGTCTGTCCACTGACCTCTCCTCTCTTCCCCGATATTCCATGCTTCTCTCTCCTT
This sequence comes from Homo sapiens, assembly GCF_000001405.40. Lineage (NCBI taxonomy): Eukaryota > Metazoa > Chordata > Mammalia > Primates > Hominidae > Homo > Homo sapiens. The sequence continues at coordinate 48,990,411 of NC_000019.10, forward strand.
CTAGGACTGGCTTTCTGAAACATCTGGTGGCCTCTCTTCTGTCCCCAGTCTATTACTCTTGCCTGTGGCTCCATCCACCCTTCTCCCTTGGTCTGCCTGTCCCCCTCACTCTCCAAGCTTGGCTGTTAGTAACAATAATGACGATGATCATAACAATGACAATCACCGCCCACACAATGTGCTACCTTCATGCCAAGAACTCTACTAACCACTTTGTCCTTATTAACTGTTTCCTCCTCCCAGCACCGCTAGAAGGTAGACGCTATTAGCATGTCCATTAGCCAAGGACACACAGGCAGCAAGTGGAGGGTGAACTTGAACTTCAAGCTCCAGAATCCTGCTCCTTCCTGACCTCAGGCCCACTTCTCCCCAGCTCTGCCTGGCTGGCTGGCATTCTTTTCTGAGACAGAGTCTCGCTCCGTCGCCCAGGCTGGAGTGCAGTGGCCCAATCGCAGCTCACTGCAACCTCCGCCTCCCGGGTTCAAGCGATTCTCCTGCCTCAGCCTCCCGAGTAGCTGGGATTACAGGCACCCGCCACCACACCCAGCTAATTTTTGTATTTTTGGTAGAGACGGGGTTTCGCCATGTTGACCAGGCTGTCTTTCGATCTTGCTCTCTTTCTCTCTGGGTCTGAGGACCTTGGCCTCTTGGATCTCCGTCTCAGTCTGTCTCATACTTGCCATCTGTCTGTCCATTCGCCCATGTCTGGGATCCACCCACCCACTTCCAGGCCCTGCATCTGTCTGGGTGTCCTATCACGCCTCCTTCCTGTGTCCAAGCCTGCCTCGCTCTCTGGCTGGGGCTGTCCACCCTGCACCCTCTCCGTCTGTGGCTCCCACCCCGATGGCAGGCTGTCCACCCGCTTCTGCCCTGGGCTGGGCCACGTCCCACCTTGCAGCCCTTGCTGTTCATGGAATCCAGTGTCCTCTTCAGGGCCGGGGTGGGGGCCTCCAGCAGTTCCACCTGGGTCCTCACGCCCTGCTCCGTGTACGGCCCCACCAGGAAGTAGTTGTCGCCCCATTCGTCCCCTGTCACCTTCGCCTTCGTCTGCAGCACCGTGTAGATGCCACCCACTGTGGGCCCAAGCGTGTGAGGGCAGGCCCCGGCCGAGGTCCATAGTTCTGGGGCCTGGGGTGGGGTGGGCCGGGGATGTAGGGGGCACTCAGGCCCCAGACCTCTAGCTCAGGGGGAAGAGGGGACTGGGAGCCCATAGTTTGGAGTAGGGGTTGGAAGCTTGGATGAGGGGAACACGAGGGCTGGAGGGCAGTCCTCCTGGGTCTAAGGGAGAAGGGGGCTGGGGTCAGGACCCTGAAGGAGGAGGGGGCTCAGGCTAGACTTCTGGGTCTGAGAGAGAAGGGGCTGGGTGCCGGGACCCCTTGGTCTGAAGGAATTAGGCACTGGGGCTCTAAGGATGGCAGAGCTGAGGACTGACTACCCGGACTCAGGTTCCCGAGTTCCCAGCTCACAGGAGCTGGGTTTAAATCGCAGCCAGGCTCCAAAACCCAGTGAGGGAGACCCCCTCATGGCCAATCCAGCTTCTCACCATTGCCCAAGAGAAGCCTGCATGGTCATTCCCTGCCCCCAGGGACCTTGCTGACCTGCCTCCCAATTTCCTCTCCCTGACTAGGGACACCAGCATGCAGGGCTCTGCCTCTCCCATGACCCTATCCCAGACCCAGGAGCCCCAGCCCCCAGCCTCCTCCCATCCTGGAGCCCAGGCCCTGGCGATACCCGGCTGGGTGTTCACGGGCCCCCTCTCCTCCTGGGAGACACAGTCCCTTTCTCCTCCAAGACCCAGCAAAGCAACCCCCCAGACCCTGCTCTTTGAGGTGTGAGATTGGCTTGTTCCTGGGGATTTCAGCCCCAGCCTTCTCCAAGGCCAGAACCTCAGCTTTCTGAAGCCCAAGACACAGAAATGCAGGCTCCTAGCCCCTCCCATCCTAGGGCCCAGCCTCTGACTAACTTAGGACTTCCCAGCCTTCCCCTATTCCAGTACGCATGTGTCCCAGGCCATGGGCTCCTCTACTCCTAGGAACTAATAGCTCAGGCCCTCAGCTCCTTCAAAGCCCAGGCATTCATTACAGTCTCCAGCCCGTCCCATCTTTATTCTTAAGCAGCCAGATCCTCAGGTCCTCCCACCGCCGCTCAGGCCTCCTATCTCCCAGTCAGCTCTCTCTCAAATCTGGAGTTTTATCCCCTAGACCATGCTGTTAGGGTCATAGGTCTGAAACCCCGGCAGCTTCCCAGGTTTGCACGCAGAAATCCCATCCCCCCATCCCCTTCCCTGTTCAGGACCCAGGTATCTAGTCTCTCGGAAGCCTGCCTCCAGGACCTAGGAGTCTCATTTTAGCGCCCTCTTCCCTAGGACCCAGAACCCGGGCTTCCAGCCTCCTTTCATCTTAAGTCAAACGAACCATCCCTCTCCCACCCACCTCCGGCTTCCCAGCCCCTCCTCAAGGACACAGCCTCCTTGCCCAGGTCACAAGGGTTCCCCTAGTAGCCCCGTCCTCCTACAACTCAGAGTTCCGGGCCCCCATCCACTACTGTCCTTCTCGTCAAGGGCCCCGACGCCTGGCGTGCTCACCCTTGTTAGCCACCTCCCAGGCCACTTCGAAGAGCACTGCGTTCTCCAGGTCGAATTCATCCTCCCAGTCCTCCAGTCCTGGCAGTGAGGACATGGACAAAGTGCGGTTTAAAGGCATGGCTGGCGCAGGAAGGGGGGCTCCGGGGATCTCCAGGTAGGGACCCCGGAGGTGTCTAGGGAATGCACCAGGTAGGGTGCGGGGCCGAGTAGCTGGTGCCCGACGGGAAGCTTGCAAGACGCTCGGCTTCCTATTGCAAGACCGCACCCCTGCCCCGAAGCGTTGGGACCTAGGCAGAAGGAGGCCGCAGCGTCACTGAGCCCACTGGCGCCCCTGCAGTGAAACCTCGCAGCCGCCAGGAGGCGGTGGCCGCCCCCCCCAGCCAGCGCCATTGGCCCACGCCCGGGGGCGGGGATTTCCGCGTGTCCTCATTGGTGGAACGGGTTGGAGTCGCTGTGTCCCGGCCCCGCCTCGGCCGTGAGACCTCCAGGGGGCGGAGCTTGCCGCTGCGCTTTACGGAAACGAGTGGCCTTCAGCTCTGTCAATCTGGAGCTGGAGGCCTCAAAGTGGGGAGGAGGAGGAGGGTGGGATAAAGAGGAAAGGAGCGTGGAGGACGTGTGGTTACTCAAAGAACAGCTAAGAATTTTGCAATCGGCCTGAGCGGGGCGGTGGTGGGGCTGAGCAAAAGGAGGAGGAGCCAGGAGACATTGGGAATGGACCCAGGAGTTCCGGACGCCCGTCTTCCAGCGCAGCCTCGGTGGGAGGGCGGGGCATAAAGTCCCGCCACGCCCCCACAATATTTACATATTTATGAGGAACCATCGAGATCTTTGAAGAACCAGCTAGCCTAGAGGAGCCAGAACATCTCGCTCCTCGCGCGTTTCCGTTTCCGCTAGGACTCTGGCAGTTGGTGAGCATCATGGCAACCGTTGTAAGTGTGGGTGCATGGAGGGTGAGGAGCGAGCTAGCAGTCTCGAGTTTGAGAGAGGAGGATGCTGGAGGCCCTGACTCCTGGGTCTGAGGGAGGGGGGATCTGGGGGTTCAGACTCCTGGGTCTGAAAGAGGAGGAAGCTCGGCCACCCAGATCTGGGGGAGAAGGGGACATGGGGGCTGGACTTCTGGATCTGAGGCGGGGAGGGGGCTGGGATCCCAGAATCTCGGGTCTGGCCCCATCATGCTATAGGAACTCCAACTTTCAAAATCATCTTGGCGCAACGGCCGGTTCCGCAGTCCTTGGCGCCAGTGTGTGATGAGGAGGGTTGTAGGACCTTGCGCTTCGAGCCATTTGGGAGCCTTGGATTGTTAGTGGTGCCAATGGCACTTGAGTTCCAAGCTGGAAGCACAGGCAGGTACCTGTTCAGTGTGTCTGAGAGCGCGAGGGCGCCTAGTGAGCCTTTAGTGGGAAGAAATTGTCGAGGAACAAGAGAGTCTTAGTGGAGAGGACTGAAGGATTAGGGACCCAGAAATCGGGATCTTGTCATGCTACCGTTTTGGCCATTTTCATATTTCCAGTATTTCACACGGGCTACGTCTCAGTGTAAATGCTCAATAAATTATCACTTGAATATTTGAATGAATGAATACATGTGAATGAAGGAGAGGCCAGGAAACTTGGCCTGGCACCTGCTCAATTACCTGAATAAAGAAGCGATTTTGGCCTGGCGTGGTGGCTCATGCCTGTAATCCCAGCACTTTGGGAGGCCGAGGCGGGCGGATCACTTCAGGTCAGGAGTTCGTGGCCAACATTGCGAAACCCCGTCTCTATTAAAAATACAAAAATTAGCCAGGTGTGGTGGTGCAGGCCTGTAATCCCAGCTACTCAGAAGGCTGAGGCAGGAGAATCGCTTGAACCTGGGAGGCAGAAGTTGCAGTGAGCCAAGATCGCGCCACTGCATTCCAGCCTGGGCGACAAAGCGAGACTCTGTCTCCAAAAAAAAAAAGGTAATGTGACCTGAACTTAGGGACTGGGCTGGGCTTACAGGTGCCTCAATTTCCATGATGAGCCCAGTCAAGATGGAGGAAGGGAGGGGGAGAAAGTTGTTGGTAGCTGGGGATGAGATTTGAGTCTGTTGCTGTCACCAGGGCAAGGAGGAGGAGGAGGTGGATAGGGAAGTAGAAGAGGAAGGCTATGACCAGAACTACCGTGGAGAAAGTATTGGAAGTATGAGGGGACGGTGTGTGCTGAGTTTTGAAATGACCTTGGTTTTCATGGGAACAGCGGGCAGCAAGGTTTTGGAGAGACTTATGATGAAAGAGAAAGTCTTTATAGGAGACAGTCCTTGGTAAGGGGCCTGTTTATGTTGAGAGAGCTACATTTGGGATTCCTGGATTCATGTCTTTTTTGTGGGGTGGGGATGCCTAGTCTTCTGCTTGTAGTCTGGGGGTAATGTTCTATGCTCCTGGGTTCCAGCTTCCTATAGGAGACGGTAGGTGGGAAGGTTCACACAGTGACAGGGAAAGCTTGTGACCATTGATGGCCAGAAAGTCTAAACGATTGGCTCCAGAGGGAGGAGGCTTCCTCTGGGCTGGATAACTGCATGTCCTCTCTAGGGGAAGAAGAGAAGAAAGACCTGTGGGCTGGGCACAGTGGCTCACGCCTGTAATCCCACACTTTGGGAGTCCGAGGTAGAAGGATTGCTTGAGCCCAGGAATTTAAGACTAGCCCTGGCAACATAGCGAAACCCTGTCTCTACAAAAAAATAAGAAAATTAGGCCGGGTGCGGTGGCTCACACCTGTAATCCCAGCACTTTGGGGGGTCGAGGCGGGCAGGTCATGAGGTCAGGAGTTTGAGAGCAGCCTGGCTAATATGGTGAAACCCCGTCTTTATTAAAAATACAAAAAAAATTAGCCGGGCGTGGTGGCACATGCCTGTAGTCCCAACTACTCTGGAGGCTGAGGCAGGAGAATTGCTTGAACCCGGGAGGCGAAGGTTGCAGTGAGCCGAGATCGCGCCACTGCACTCCAGCCTGGGTGACAGAGTAAGGCTGTGTCTCAAAAAAAAAAAAAAAAGAAAAGAAAAGAGAAGAAAATTAGCCAAGTGTGGTGGGACACACCTGTAGTCCCAACTACTTGGGAGACTAAGGTGGGAGGATTGCTTGAGCCTGGGAGGTGGAGGCCACAGCAGTCCAGCCTGGGGGACAAAATGAGATCTTATCTCAAAAAAAAAAACACAAACCTGTGGGAAGGAAGGAGACCTGGGGATGGGTGGCCTCGGTTAGCATGCTAGCTTCTTAGGCTTCCTTTTCCTTATTAGAAATTATGAACTATTCCAAAGTGTCAGAAAATAATGTAACAGACATGCAAAGATCCACCATCCAGGATTGTTTTTTTGTTTTTTCTTTTTTTCAAGACAGAGTCTCACTCTGTCTCCCAGGCTGGAGTGCAGTGGTGTGATCTTGGCTCCCTGCAGCCTCTGCCTCTCTCCCATGTTCAAATGATCCTCCTGCCTCAGCCTCCTGAGTAGCTGGGACTACAGGTGCGCGTCACCACGCCCAGCTAATTTTTGTATCTGTGTGTGTGTGTGTGTGTGTGTGTGTGTGTGTGTGTGTTAGTGATAGAGTCTTGCTCTGATGCCCAGGCTGGAGTGCAGTGGCGCGATCTCTGCTCGCTACAACCTCCGCCTCCTGGGTTCAAGCAATTCTCCTGCCTCAGCCTCCCAAGTACCTGGGATTACAGGCACCTGCCACCACGCCTGGCTAATTTTTTGTATTTTTAGTGTAGACTGGGTTTCACCATGTTGGCCAGGCTAGTCTCGAACTCCTGACCTCAAGTGATCCACCTGCCTTGACCTCCCAAAGTGCTGGGATTACGGGCGTGAGCCACCGTGCCTGACCTAATTTTTGTATTTTTAGTAGAGACAGGGTTTCACCATGTTGGCCAGGCTGGTCTCGAACCCCTGACCTCAAGTGATTTGCCTGCTTCAGCCTCCCAAAGTGCTGGTATTACAGGTGGGAGCCACTACGCCCAGCCTGTTGTTTTTTTTTTTTCTTAATAGCTTTATTGAGATAGAATTCACGTACTACATAATTCACCCATTTAAAGTATACAGCTCAGTGTTTTCTAGTATATTCACAGACTTGTGCAGCCATTTCCACAGTCAATTTTAGAACATTGTCGTCACCCCAAAAAGAAACCCCATGCCTCTTACCTGTCACCGCTAATCCTTCCATACCTCCCATCTTCAGTTCTAGGCAGCCACTAATCTTTCTCTGTATATGGATTTGCCTATTGTGGCTACTTCATATAGATGGAATCATACCATATGTGTCTTTCGTGTGTGGCTTCTTTCAGTCAGTATAATGTTTTCAAAGTTCATCCACGTTGTAGCATGTATCAGAACTCCATTCCTGGCCGGGCGCGGTGGCTCACGCCTATAACCCCAACGCTTTGGGGTGCCAAGGCAGGTGGATCACCTGAGGTCAGGAGTTCAAGACCAGCCTGGCCAACATGGTGAAACCCCATCTCTACTAAAAAATACAAAAAAATATTAGCCAGGTGTGGTGGCGGACACCTGTAATCCCAGCTACTCGGGAGGCTGAGGCAGAAGAATCACTTGAACCCAGGAAGCAGAGGTTGTAGTGAGCCAAGATTGCGCCATTGCACTCCAGCCTAGGTGACAGAGTGAGACTATGTCTCAAAAAAAAAAAAAAAAGAAAAGAAAAAAGAACTCCATTCCTTTTTATGACTGAATAATATTCCTTTGCACAAATAGACCCTGTTTTATTTTGCCATTCATCAGCTGATGGACATGTGGGTTGTTTCTATCTTTTGGCTGTTGTGAATAGTGCTGCCGTGAACACTCGTGTCCATGTTTTGTGTGGACCTCTGGGGGGGTCCTGAATTGTCCCGGGTGGTGTTTACTCACCTCCCTCCCCCATGTGAGAAGGGGTGGTAGCTGGCTCCTCTCTGTGGAGAACTGTCAACATGGGAAGCCTCGGTATATTCTTGTTGAATGAGCTCAGCACTTTAGAGTATCACTTAGCAAACCACAGACATTGAGTCCCGAGGTGAACAAGAGAGAACAGGCCGTGCCCTTCATGGGACTCATGTCCACTGGAGCAGAGAATATTGATCCATCCATCTCCCTCGGGAATGTGAGATCACACAGGGAGATCGGGCTCCCAGGGAGGCCTTTCATCTGTCTGAATGTCTAGAGGTCCTAGAACTAGCCTGGCAGGGCTGTTGGACAGAAAGGGCCTCCCCTAGGGGGCAGCACTTGATCTAATTCAGTGAGAGGGCAGGGAGAGCAGTCTGGACTCAGGGGCCAGCATGTGCAAGGCCTGGTGGTTGAGAACTGGGGCCGCCTGGTACAAGGGATGCTGGGAAATTAGCAGGGGCCAGAGCATGTCCAGCTCCATGCCTGCTCCTCATTGGTGTCTGTCCTTATGGAGCTCACAGTTATTAGAAATGGGGAGGACTTGTCTGGGCACGGTGGTTCACACCTGTAATCCCAGCACTTTGGGAGGCCTTGGTGGGCAGATCACTTGAGGTCAGGAGTTCGAGACCAGCCTGGCCAACCCCAGTAGAGATGGGCGAAACCCCATCTCTATTAAAAATACAAAAAAAATTAGCCAAGTGTGGTGGTGTGCGCCTGTAGTCCCAGCTACTCAGGAGGCTGAGGCGGGAGAATCGGTTAAACCCAGGAGGCGGAGGTTGCAATGAGCTGAGATCGGGCCACTGCACTCCAACCTGGGCGACAGAGCAGACTCCGTCTCAAAAAATAAGAAAAAAAAAAAAGAAATGGGGAGGACTTAGCCGGGCACAGTGGCTCACGCCCATAATCCCAGCACTCTGGGAGGCCAAGGCTGGTGTATCACTTGAGGCCAGGAGTTTGAGACCAGCCTGGCCAACATGGCAAAACCCCATCTCTACTAAAAATACAAAAATTAGCCGGGTGTGTTGATGCGCGCCTGTAATCCCAGCTAGTCAGGAGGCTGAGGCAGAGAATTTCTTGAACCCAGGAGGCGGAGGTTGCAGTGAGCCGAGATTGGGCCACTGCACTCCAGCCTGGGTGACAGAGCGAGACTTCATCTCAAAAAAAAAAAAAGAAACAGGGAGGATTTCATTCATTCACCAAATAACCAAATATGTGCTGGACCCTGAGGACCAAGCTGTCGATGAGACAGACAGTCCTTGTCTTCCTGGGGCTCAACCAACCAGCCATTAGGCAGTGACAGGCAAGAGGGGTGGGGGTGACTGGTGCCTGTCCCATCGCCTGCCTGTGAGGGGAAGGAGTGGAAAGGACCATCTCATGGGAGGGACAGAGGAGGGGTTGGTGAAAGCTGGGACCACACTAGTCCTCTGACACATCTTCTTGCACCCCCAGACAGCCACAACCAAAGTCCCGGAGATCCGTGATGTAACAAGGATTGAGCGAATCGGTGAGTGAGTTGGGTCAGGAATAGGACCTAAGCCCTGCCTGCCATGTGCCCTGACAGAGCAAACCTATTGAGGACCCCTAAGATGGAGAGGGAGGTGGCCTGCACACCAACTGTGCCCCCACTACCATTCCCCCACTCGCCCTATCTAATGGGGGAGGAGGATCCTCAGTTCCAGAGTTGGGTCAGATGATGCACTGGGGACCAGGCTGCTATCCTGGCTATCCTGGTGGGGTTCCCGGGTATGTTTGCCTGGAAGTCATAGATATTTACTGGGTGCTTTACTGGGTTTGGCCTCGTATACCCAGTACACACTGTGGGGTGAGTTCCCTGAGGGCAGGGACGAGGTCGTGTCATTCCTAGCTGTGTCCCTAGCACAGGACCTAACAGAGCAGATGATCAAGAGATAACCATTGAATGCACGAGTTTGCGTCCTGTGGAGCCCTCGCAGTAGCCGCATGAGGTGCATATTGTAACTGTTAGCTGAGGGAACTGATTTTCAGGACAGCTAAATCACTGGCCCCGGCTCACACAGAGCAGGAAGTTGAGACGCAGTGAGGCCAGCAGGGTGCGCTCTCACAAAGAGCTTTACCGGCAGGGAAGTGACCGCATTCATTCATGCAGCAGGCTCACTGATTCAGGGCATCCGAGAAAGGCAGTAAGGGCTTCTGGCTGTGAAGATGGGTTTTAGAAGCCCAGTGCTGGATTCCTGGAGCTTAGCTCTGCCACTTTCCCACCATGTGGCCAGGGACTAGTTCCTCTCTGTGCCTCAGTTTCCTTATCTGCAAGACGAAGCTAAGATAGTTTACCTCATCAGTTAATGTAAGATTCAGTAAGGTAGTTCATATAAAGCATTTTGGGTCTGTGTGCCAACACTGTTTCATCTATTAAAAGTGCTGGGGCACTGGGTGCAGTGGCTCATGCCTGTAATTCCAGCACTTTGGAAGGCCAAGGTGGGCGGATCACCTGAGGTCAGGAATTTGAGACCAGCCTGGCCAACATGGTGAAACCTCGTCTCTACTAAAAATACAAAAATTTGCTGGGCGTGGTGGCGCGTGCCTGTAATCCCAGCTACTCGGGAGGCTGAGGCAGGAAAATTGCTTGAACGAGGAGGTGGAGGTTGCAGTGAGCCAAGATCATGCCATTGCACTCCAGCCTGGGTGACAAGAGTGAAACTCTGTCTCTCAATAAATAAATAAATAAAAGTGCCGAGACTGGGTGCTGTAGCTCACGCCTGTAATCCCAGCACTTTGGGAGGCCGAGGCGGGTGGATCACCTGAAGTCAGGAGTTTGAGACCAGCTTGGCCAACATGGTGAAACCCTGTCTCTACTAAAAATACAAAAATTAGCCAGGCATGGTGGTGCATGCCTATAGTCCCAGCTACTAGGGAGGATGGCTTGAACCTGGGAGGCAGAGGTTGCAGTGAGCCAATATCGTGCCACTGCACTCCAGCTTGGGTGACAGAGTGACTCCATCTCAAAAACAAACAAAAAGTGCCAAGTATGGCCGGGCATGATGGGTCACGCCTGTAATCCTAGCACTTTGAGAGGTGGAGTCAGGAGGATTGCTTGAATCAGGAGTTCAAGACCAGCCTGAGTCACATAGTGTGATCCTGTCTCTAAAAAAAAAATAAAAAAATTAGCCGGCAGTGGTGGTCCATGCCTGAGTCCCAGCTACTTGGGAGAACTGCTTGAACCAAGGAGGTTCAGGATGTGGTGAGATGTGACTGCACCATGCACTCCAGCCTGGGTGACAGAGTGAGACGCTCTCTCAAAAAATAAAAATAAAAACATTTTTTTTTTTTTTTGGAGACGGAGTCTCGCTCTGTCGCCCAGGCTGGAGTGCAGTGGCGCAATCTCGGCTCACTGCAAGCTCTGCCTCCCGGGTTCACGCCATTCTCCTGCCTCAGCCTCCCGAGTAGCTGGGACTACAGGCGCCCGCCACCATGCCCGGCTAATTTTTTTGCGTTTTTAGTAGAGATGGAGTTTCCCCGTGTTAGCCAGGATGGTCTCGATCTCCTGACCTCGTGATCCGCCCGCCTCGGCCTCCCAAAGTGCTGGAATTACAGGCATGAGCCACCGCGCCTGGCCAAAAAACAATAAAAAATTAAAAAAAAAAAAAAAGGATGAAGAGCCAAGCACCGCTTGTGAGCTGAGGACCCAGTAGAGACTAGCTGCACCCAGGAGCCTCCCTTGGGGTGCTCACAGTCAAGCACTGGGGTCAGCAAATCTTTCCTTATTTTATTTTATTTTTTTTTTTGAGACGGAGTCTCATTCTGTCCCCCAGGCTGGAGTGCAGTGGCGCAATCTTGGCTCACTGCAAGCTCCACCTCCCGGGTTCACACCATTCTCCTGTCAGCCTTCCGAGTAGCTGGGACTACAGGCGCCTGACACCACGGCCGTCTAATTTTTTATATTTTTAGTAGAGACGTGGTTTCACTGTGTTAGCCAGGATGGTGTCTATCTCCTGACCTCGTGATCCGCCTGCCTCGGCCTCCCAAAATGCTGGGATTACAGGCGTGAGCCACCACGCCTGGACCCTAGCAAATCTTTCTTAAAGGGTCAGATGGTAAATCCTTCCTCTGTTGAAACTACTCAACTCTCCTCTTGCAGTGCGAAGGCAGCCACAGACAGTATATAAATGGCAGTGTTCCAATACAAAGATTTTTTGGTTGGTTTTTTGTTGTTTTTTTTTTGAGATGGAGTCTCACTGTGTTGCCCAGGCTGGAGTGCAGTGGGGCGATCTCAGTTCACTGCAACCTCCACCTCCCTGGTTTAAGTGACTCTCATGCCTCAGCCTCCCGAGTATCTGAGACTACAGGTGCATGCCACCACGCCAGGCTAATTTTTGTATTTTTTAGTAGAGACGGGGTTTCACCATGTTGGCCAGGCTAGTCTCGAACTCCTGACCTCAGGTGATCTGCTTGCCTCTGCCTCCCGAAGTGCTGGGATTATAAGCGTGAGCCACCGTACCCAGCTCCAATAAAATTTTATTTGCAAAAACAGGTGGCTGGCCTCCAGGCTGAGGTTTGCTCAACCCTCATCTAATGTAAAGCATGGGAATCCCATCTTCCCCTCTCGCTGGCTGTGTGGCTGGGGCATGGGACCTAACCTCTCTGAGCTCCCTCCCCATTCATATCAATAGGTTCTGGGACTGTTGCCATTTTGATACTCAGAAGTGCTTTCAGGGTGATAGCAGCCAGGGCTCTTGTTTCATTTTATTTTGTTTTACTGAGACAGGTCTTGCTCTGTCATCCAGGCTAGAATGCAGTGGCACAATCTTGGCTCACTGCAACCTCCGCCTCCCAGGTTCAAGCAATTCTCCTGCCTCAGCCTCCTGAGAAGCTGGGATTACAGTCATCTGCCACCATGCCCAGCTAATTTTTGTATTTTTAGTAGAGACAGGGTTTCACCATGTTGGCCAGGCTGGTCTCGAACTCCTGACCTCCAGTGATCCGCCCGCCTCGGCCTCCCAAAGTGCTGGGATTATAGGCAGGAGCCACTGCGCCCGGCCCCAGCCAGGGCTCTTTTTTTGCAGGATCATATGGAATAAACTGAGAACATGTGGGTGCTGTGTAAACCATAAACATGAAGTAATTGTGATCATTAGCCCTTGTGGTTAGATCTTAGTACAATTATGTGCTTAATCAGGCCTCAGTGACTTTTGTTTAACTAGGATGCATCCTCAGAGCAGCTCCAGTTCATTGAGCATTTACCACATTCAGCCATCTTCCTAGGGAGGTGCCAATTTGGGATATCCTTTCCATGTGCCCCTTCATTCCCCCAACCCCTGCTCCCTACTCCCACCCACCCCTTTGACAAAGAAGGAAACCAGGGCTCAGAGGGGTCAGGCCACATGTGCAGCAAGCTGGCTAGTAACTGAGTCTTTGTTCTTTCCCTTCATGTAGGTGCCCACTCCCACATCCGGGGACTGGGGCTGGACGATGCCTTGGAGCCTCGGCAGGTAGAGCAGAGGAGGCTGGGGTGTGAGGGCCTCTCCATGAAGGTCTTGGGTAGTGGGTACCCAGGGTCCTGGGGAGTGTGGGGACTATGTTACGGTCTTCTGGACCTTTGGCTACATACCCATAAACTTCAACCACATGTGGGTTTTCTTGGTACTAAAGAATTGATTAGGCTAGGTGTGGTGGCTCATGCCTGTAATCTCAGCACTTTGGGAGGCCAAGGTGGGTGGATCACCTGAAGTCAGAGTCAAGACCAGCCTGACCAACATGGTGAAACCCTGTCTCTACTAAAAATACAAAAATTAGCCGGGCATGGTGGTGCATGCCTGTAATTCCAGCTACTCAAGAGCCTAAGGCAGGAGAATTGCTTGAACCTGGGAGGTGGAGGTTGCAATGAGCCGAGATTGTGCCACTGCCCTCCAGCCTGGGTGACATCTCGGAAAAAAAAAAAAAGAATTGGGAGTGGGTAGCAATTGCTTTGCCACCTTAAAAAAAAGTTAGACTGGGTGCAATGGCTCACACTTGTAATCCCAATACTTTGGGAGGCTGAGATGGGAAGATTGCTTGAGCCTAAGAGCTTGAGGCCAGCCTGGGTAACATAGTGACACCTCCTTTCTACAAAAAATTTTAAAAATTAGCTGGACATGGTGGTGCACATTTGTGGTCCCAGCTACTCAAGAGGCTGAGGTGGAAGGATCTCTTGATCCCTAGAGGTCAAGGCTACAGTGAGCCATGATTGTACCACTGTACTTCAGCCTGGGTGACAGAGCGAGATCTTGTCTCAAAAAAAAAAAAAAAAAAAAAAAAAGCAGGGAAAGCTTTTTTGGCTTTTCCTAGAAGTCCCAGCTAGTAATGTCTGCTTCCATCTCACTAGCTTCCTGATGTGGTAGAAATGCCATGGTAGCCCCACAGGAAATCACCTCATGTGCGCCTCCCACCCACAGGCTTCGCAAGGCATGGTGGGTCAGCTGGCGGCACGGCGGGCGGCTGGCGTGGTGCTGGAGATGATCCGGGAAGGGAAGATTGCCGGTCGGGCAGTCCTTATTGCTGGCCAGCCGGGCACGGGGAAGACGGCCATCGCCATGGGTAAGAAACCTCCCAGGGCAGGAACTCTCCTGTTTCCTGCTAAATAACTCCTCCTGTGTAAGTCAGGGTCAGGATGAGCCGCCTTTAACAGATGACCCAAAATGGCAGTGGCTTAAACACTCAGGATTCATTCTTGCCCATGGAAGAATCTAGAGGTAGGCCATTTGGGGCTTATTAAGCAGTTCCAGGAAGTCTTCCATCTTCCTGCCTCACCATCCTCTGCACTTGGTTCCAGTCAAGAGGACGCCATGTTCCAAGAGGGCTGCCAGAGCTCCAGCCTTCCCACTCATAACCCAGGCAGCAGGAAGAAAGGAGTTGCCATGAGGATGAACCCCCTCGAGTTGGCTTCCTTTAAACAGTCATTGGAAATCCTCCATGCTTCTGCTTATATCTCATTATCTCATTGACTAGAATGTAATCATATGATCACACTCTGCTTCAGGGGAGGCTGGCACATTAAATGTTTTTTAAAATTTCATAATTTGGACCATTTTTGCCTTAAGAAAATGAGGATTCTTCTGTTGGGCAAAAGGTTGTTGTAAAAATAAAAAATTAAAAAAAAAAAAACAGGAAAGAAAATGAGGGTTCTAGAACTAAGGAAGAAGGGGAAGGTGGGTATTGAGGAGTCACCCAGCAGTCTTTGTTGCAGTCCGCTAGTGGTTTATGATCTTTTCACTCCCAGCTGTTCCTCTTCTTCCTTGTTGAACTCCTATTTATCCTTCAAAACCCTACTTCAGCATCTCTGCCCCATTGAAGCTTTTCCTAACCCACTGCTCTTCCCACTCACTCCCACCTCTGTGCTGAGGCTGGGGCCAGGCAGGGAGAATCAGAGTAACAGCCAGGTCTTCAGTGAAGATAAAGCAGTGCCTGTTGGGGTGCTCGGACTGGACACTGGGGACCCATAGATGAGTTAGACCAAGGCCTGACTTCAAAGAGCTCCTGGTCTGGAGGAGGTGGTCATGGACACGATCCCTTCCAAGGCGACATGTGTTACAATGCAGGTAGCATGTGACAGAGGAGGCTCCTGACCTTGGTAGGAAAACGGGGCATGTGGTGGCATTTGTTGCTAGAGGCTTCCAGAGAAGCGGATACCTGAGCTAAGCCTAGTAGGATGGCCAGGAGGCTCCTGGGCGGACACTGGGGACAGCATGTCCAGGCCCAGAATGTGGCACACACAGTAACTTCCTTCCCTCCATCCTTTCTGCTTTCCTACTCTTCTTCATTTTTTTTTTTTTTTGAGACAGTTTCACTCTGTCGCTCAGGCTGGAGTGCAGTGGTGTGATCTTCGCTCACTGCAACCTCTGCCTCCTGGGTTCAAGTGATCCTCCTGCCTCAACCTCCCAAGTAGCTGGGATTACAGATGTGTGCCACCACACCCAACTGATTTTTGTATTTTTAGTAGAAATGGGATTTCACCATGTTGACCAGGCTGGTCCCGAACTCCTGACCTCAGGTGATCCACCCCCCTGCCTCGGCCTCCCAAAGTGCTGGGATTACAGGCGGGAGCCTGTAGACTTTATTTTTTAGGCATGTTGTGACTGTGCCCGGCCTCGCCTTTCCTCTTCTTGTGTCTCCCGCAGGCCTCCTGCAGGCCAAACCCTGTGCTGGGCAGCACTGGGGTGAGGCTAGCCTCGCCCTGGCGGGGACGCTTCTTAGTCTAGTGAAAGAGGCAGAGAGGACCCCTGGTGTCCCCAGATGGCATGGGCCGTGCTCGTCCACTCAGCCCTCAGCAGATACTTGCTGAGTTCTGTGATGAGGGCCATTGTGTATCCGCAAAGAGGACTAAGAACAGGTCCCACTTGACACTGGGCAGGAGGGTGTGGTGTCAGCCTGTCTGAAAGGGCGTGCCCCACATTGGACCAAACCTTGTGGCCAGGGAACTGGAAGGAAAGGTCTGGCGTTCAGAGCTATTGCTGGAGACAGACCTGCTTCCTGCCAGCCACCCCAGGCCACCGGCGGTAGAGCGTCCTGCCCTGTGCCAGTTTCAGGCTGCGCAACCGTGTTACTGCTGAGCACCAGTGCCTGCCTGCCTGCCTGCCCATAGTCACTCCTAAGCAGGGTGTCATCCCATGCTGGCACGTGTTCTGTTATCATCCCCATTAGACAGAGGGGGAGACTGAGGCTCAGGGAGCAGTTCAGATCGCTCAAGATCCCACGGCGCCACCTGCACTTAAGTGGTGGATCTGGGATGGGAGCCGAGGCAGTCTGCCTTCATCACTTGTAGCTATCGTGTGGGCTCCTTGGCCTTCGTCCCTGGTCCCCTTCGTCCAGCTCTGAGGCTAAACAGCTCGTAGAGGCTGGGAGACTGAGGTGTGGCGAGGTTCTAGGGTGTACCCTCTGGGCAATGTGGGATTCTAAGCCAGGCCTGCCGGAGCAACCTGCCCTGCCTGGCTTCTCACTCACTGTCTGCCTCATGGCTGAACCCCGCTCTCCAGTTCCCCCTCCCCAGCGCTCTGCTCAGCTCGGAGCCAAGTCCTTACATGTAGGATGGCACTGAACCCTCTTTCCTGGGGTGGGAGAAAAGCTAGTTTGCCACAGAGCAGGTGTCGGGGACCTGGTGCCAGAGCGGCTTCACCTACACAGACTGCCTCCTTCCCAGGCATGGCGCAGGCCCTGGGCCCTGACACGCCATTCACAGCCATCGCCGGCAGTGAAATCTTCTCCCTGGAGATGAGCAAGACCGAGGCGCTGACGCAGGCCTTCCGGCGGTCCATCGGCGTTCGCATCAAGTAAGCGGGGGACCCGAGGCGGGTGCCAGACCCCAGAGCCTGGGAGCAACCCCGCACCCCGGGCGGCTCGTCCTTTGTCCCAGAGCTCATGGAAGGTTGTGATTCCCGAGGGTCCAGGTGTCAGGCTGTCTCCTCAGATCTGCTCTCTGGCTAGGGAGGAGACGGAGATCATCGAAGGGGAGGTGGTGGAGATCCAGATTGATCGACCAGCAACAGGGACGGTGAGTCTGTGTGAGTCTGTACCCTGCTGAGGCCACCTCCAGCGCCAGGGTTGGAGAGAGTAGATATCAGGTCTGCACTGAGGTCAGAATCCCATGGAATGTTCTAGCTGCAGACTAGAGCCATGTACATGCCTACAGTAGGAGGTCAGTTAACTTGACAATGGCTTATCCCCTTATGAAGGACATTATGGGCAATAGAAACTGAGGCGGTAAAATAATGAGAGAGATCTGTTAGTGAGTTCCCAACAGACCTCAAAACCCAACAGACTTCAAAACTCGTTCCGTGGCCGAAAGGCATGTCCTGTCCATCTTACATGATACAGGTGATTTGCTCTCTCTTTTTTTTTTGTTTTCGAGACAGAGTCTCCCTCTGTCCCCCAGACTGGAATGCAGTGGTGCAATCTCGGCTCACTGCAACCTCTGCCTCCCAGGTTCAAGTGATTCTTCTGCCTCAGCCTTCCGAGTAGCTGAGATTACAGGTGTGTGCATGCCACCACGCCCGGCTAATTTTTGTACTTTCAGTAGAGACGGGGTTTCACCATGTTGGCCAGGCTGGTCTTGAACTCCTGACCTCGTGATCTGCCCACCTTGGCCTCCCAAAGTGCTG
The DNA here is from genome assembly GCF_000001405.40 of Homo sapiens. Classification (NCBI taxonomy): domain Eukaryota; kingdom Metazoa; phylum Chordata; class Mammalia; order Primates; family Hominidae; genus Homo; species Homo sapiens. Next base: position 49,007,976 of record NC_000019.10, read on the forward strand.
GGATTACAGCCGTGAGCCACCATACCTGGCCTCTTTTTTTTTTTTTTTTTTTTTTTTTACAATTTCTGTTTTCTCCTTTTTGCATAGCTGTGTTTTCTGATTTTGTGATCAACAAAAACACTTTTTATTTGGGTATAAAATAGGAATGTCAAAGTGTGACATTTGGCAATTTTGCGAGACCTCGGGCCTATGTTGTTTTTGATAGACTTTATTTTTTAGGCATGTTGTTTGTTTACTATTTTTATTTTTTATTTTTATTTTATTTTATTATAATTTTTTTTTTGAGATGGAGTCTTGCTCTGTTGCCCAGGCTGGAGTGCAGTGGCACAATCTCAGCTCACGGCAAGCTCTGCCTCCCGGGTTCATGCCATTCTCCTGCCTCAGCCTCCCGAGTAGCTGGGACTACAGGCACCTGCCACCACGCCCGGCTAATTTTTTGTATTTTTAGTAGAGACGGGGTTTCACTGTGGTCTCGATCTCCTGACCTTGTGATCTGCCCGCCTCGGCCTCCCAAAGTGCTGGGATTACAGGTGTGAGCCACTGCACCCTGCCTGTTTACTATTTTTATTAAGAGCTTTATTGAGTTTTGGCCAGGCGCAGTGGCTCACACCTGTAATCCCAGCACTTTGGGAGGCTGAGGTGGGCGATCACTTGAGATCAGGAGTTCGAAACGAGCCTGACTAACATGGTGAAACCCTGTCTATACTAAAAATACAAAATGGCTGGGCGCGGTGGTTCATGCCTATAATCCCAGCACTTTGGGAGGCCGAGGCGGGTGGATCACCTGAAGTCAGGAGTTCAAGACCAGCCTGACCAACATGGTGAAACCCTGTCTCTACTAAAAATACAAAAAATTAGCTGGGCGTGGTGGTGGGTGCTTGTAATCCCAGCTACTTGGGAGGCTAAGGCAGGAGAATCGCTTGAATCTGGGAGGCAGAAGTTGCAGTAAGCCGAGATCACACCATTGCACTCCAGCCTGGGCAACAAGAGCGAAACTCCATCTCAAAAATAAATAAATAATAAAAACACAAAACAATTAGCTGGGTATGGTGGCACACATCTGTAATCCCAGCTACTTGGGAGGCTGAGGCAGGAGAACTACTTGAACCCGGGAGATGGAGGTTGGAGTGAGCTGAGATCACACCACTGCACTCCAGCCTGGGCGACAGAGCAAGACTCTATCTCAAAAAAAAAAAAAAAAAAAAAAAAAAAAAAAAAAAAGAGCTTTATTCACCAGGCGCAGTAGCTCACTCCTGTAATCCCAGCACTTTGGGAGGCCGAGGTGGGCAGATCACAAGGTCAGGAGATCGAGACCATCCTGGCTATCACAGTGAAACCCCATCTCTACTAAAAATACAAAAATTAGCCATGCGTGGTGGCGGGCGCCTGTAGTCCCAGCTACTCGGGAGGCTGAGGCAGGAGAATGGCGTGAACCCGGGAGGCAGAGCTTGCAGTGAGCCGAGATCATGCTACTACACTCCAGCGTGGGCGACAGAGCAAGACTCCGTCTCAAAAAAAAAAAGAACTTTATTGAGTTTTAATTGACATACAGAAAGCTGTACACATTGCAAGTGTCCAGTATGGTCCGTTGGGACATACATGTTCAGCCGCGGAGCCATCACCGCGTCAGGCTGGTGAGCGCACCGTATGTCTTCCCTGGAGAGCTTCCTTGTGTTGTGCCCATTTTGAAGCTGTGGAAGCAGAGGCCAGAGCAGAGCCAGAAGCTTATCAACACTGGGGGCACTGGGGCAACATCAGGGCCCTCTCTGAGCCCCATCCCTGGCTTGTCCCCACTCTCAGGGCTCCAAGGTGGGCAAACTGACCCTCAAGACCACAGAGATGGAGACCATCTACGACCTGGGCACCAAGATGATTGAGTCCCTGACCAAGGACAAGGTCCAGGCCGGGTGAGCAGTCAGGGGCCATGCCAGGCAGCCAGGGGGATGGGCGAGCTTGGGCCCATTCCTTTCCTTACCCTACCCCCCATCCCCCTGTAGGGACGTGATCACCATCGACAAGGCGACGGGCAAGATCTCCAAGCTGGGCCGCTCCTTCACACGCGCCCGCGACTACGACGCTATGGGCTCCCAGGTGCGGCCGGGACTCCCGGGATCCCCTCGCCCCCAGCACTGGGGTGTTTTCATCTCCTCCATCACCCCCTTGACCCATGGGGTCTGGATCTTCCTGTTACCCTGACTGTTTGTCCTGGTACTCCTGGGTCTTCCCTGTAACCCTAGGACAGCAGGGCCCCTCAGCCTGGCACTATAGCTTCGCATGGCCACATGTGGCCTGTGGCTTCTAAGGTCCTCCGGGAGCCCCCGTGACCCTCAGCGCTCTGGAATGTCCCTAGTCCTGACTACCTCCTGGGCCTGGGGTTTCCAGATGACCCCATTTAGCCTCCCAGCTCCATTTCCTGGAGCTCCAGTCTCCCCCAGACAGAGGGCTTTAGGGGCCCCCTTCATGCCCTTCCCTGCCCTGTCTCCGCCGTTCTTCCCCCACCCCCGCCCCATAGACCAAGTTCGTGCAGTGCCCAGATGGGGAGCTCCAGAAACGCAAGGAGGTGGTGCACACCGTGTCCCTGCACGAGATCGACGTCATCAACTCTCGCACCCAGGGCTTCCTGGCGCTCTTCTCAGGTGAGGCCCCTCCTGCCCTGCCCTGCCCTGCCCTGCCCCAGGCCTAGCAGCCTCCCTCGGGCTCCCTCTGTTCCTGAGCTCCGAGTGTGGCCCACCTGCTCCACGCTGTTTCCTGTAACTCCGGCCCGTGGCTGCCTCTGTTCTCCACCTGCAAGTCCGCTCCGTCCCCACCCCTGCTGGTGCTGTGATGGGTGTGGCCCTGCCCTCTCCCCTCCTGTGTTCTCTGCCTCTGTTCCTCCTCTTTGGGGATGTTTCAGGCTCCTCATCCCTCCTTGCTTTGCTCCCCTTCCTCCATCCCTGGCATCATCCTTCTCTGTCTTAGCCACACTCTGGCCCTGGAACCCGCCTCCTCTCTGGCTTCCCTGATGCAACCTGTGCCTCCCATAGGTGACACAGGGGAGATCAAGTCAGAAGTCCGTGAGCAGATCAATGCCAAGGTGGCTGAGTGGCGCGAGGAGGGCAAGGCGGAGATCATCCCTGGAGTGAGGACCCAGGACATGGCCGGGGCGGGTGGTGGGGTGGAGGTGGGCCGGGGAAGTGGGGACGCGGGTGGTGACTCTCACACACACCCCAATCCAAGGTGCTGTTCATCGACGAGGTCCACATGCTGGACATCGAGAGCTTCTCCTTCCTCAACCGGGCCCTGGAGAGTGACATGGCGCCTGTCCTGATCATGGCCACCAACCGTGGCATCACGCGGTGAGCCGGCTACAGGGGCCTCTGGGGAAAACAGGATGCTCTGGGCAGTGGGTGTGGTCAGAGGGTCAATGGGAGCCTGTGTTGACACCGGGTCAGGGAGGGACGCGTGACTGCAGTGTGCGCTCTTTGCTTACAAAAGGCGGGTGGGAGGCAGCTCTGCTTCCCGAGGAAGCCCAGAGACTGTGTTCTTGCTGCCTTTCTGTCTTGCTGCTCCTTTAGCCCCCAAGGCTGCAGTCTTCAAACTGCGTGCCGAGGCACCCCAGGGTGCTGCAGGAAACTCACAGGAGTGCTGTGGGATGTTTTCTAGTCTTGAGGGAAGCACAGTGACATCTGTTAGACATAACATAAACTACGATTGTTCAGTCACTTCGACCCAGCAACTCCATTAACAGAACTCTTAGCGTTGTGTTTGGCCTAAGGATGCCAGGGACAGATTCCCATGACACAGAGGGTACCGTGCTCTGCTGAAGCCTGGGAACCTCATCTCCCAGGTGTTGCCAGCACCCTGTGCACGGGGAACTCTTAATGTTGTGTTTGGCCTGAGGATGCCGGGGACAGATTCCTGTGACACAGAGGGTACTGTGCTGTGCTGAAGCCTGGGAACCTCGTCTCCCAGGTGTTGCCAGCACCCTGTGTAGCTGGGATTACGGGCACCTGCCACCATGCCCGCTGGCTGTCTTCTCCACCTCGCCACATTTTGGCCCGCAGGAAGCAGGGGGATGTGGAGGGCAGGCAGCCCCCATAGGCTGTGATCCACAGGCTGCACCCCAACCTTGCACCCCCATTCCATTGCCCGGCACTGCTTGGGCTCAGTGCTGTACCTGGTGGCAAAGAAGGCTGGGTACTGTCAGCTCCAGCCCTGCAGCCTTGGGCCCAGCTGAAACTGGGCGGTTGGGATGGGCATCACAAAAGGGAAGAAGCGGGCACCCTACAGAGGATGCTGGGCCGCTGGGCCTGGCTCTGTGTTTGGCTCTTTTAACTCCTTGGATCCGCAGAAGAAGCTCAGAAGGTAGATATCACCTCAGCCCCATTTTATAGGGCAGGACAGTGAGGCCCAGTGACTTGCCCAGGTCACAAGTCTAGAAGGTAGCAGGGCCGTAATTTGGTCTCTGGATGGCTGGACACTGGAAGAGACCCCCAGGGCTGATGGTGTTTTCACAGAAACTGCAGGTCAGGGCCTGGGGACTGCCCAGGGGCACCTCCTGTGGGAGGCAGCAGCTACGGGCAGCCCTGATTGTTCGTAGACTCTGTATCTGAGAATCTCGCTTGCTAAGATTTATTTGTAATCCCCAAATAAATATCTGCCCTGCTTTCGGCAACAAATTCAAGTCACCTGACACCCACTTTCCCAGCTGAGTGTGAACGAGGCAACACTGCCTGCTCCCTTAGCGCTCATGCTGTAAATAAGTGTCCTTGTTGTATTCTATTTAGTGCTACGTTTGTCACTTTTGTTCTTTGAGACAGGGTCTTGCTCTGTCGCCCAGGCTGGAGTGCAGAGGCACGATCATGGCACACTGCAGCCTCAGTGCCCACCACACACACACACACACACACACACACACACACACACACACCACCCCTGGGACTCAATCAGTCCTCTGGCCTCAGCCTCCTCATCAGCTGGGACCACGGGCATGCACCACTATGCCTAGCTAATTTCTGTTTTTGTTTTGAGACGGAGTCTAGCTCTGTCACCAGGCTGGAGTGCAGTGGCACGATCTCGGCTCACTGCAACCTCTGCCTTCTGGGTTCAAGCAGTTTTCCTGCCTCAGCCTCCTGAGTAGCTGGGATTATGGGCACCCGCCACCATGCCCAGCTAATTTTGGTATTTTTAGTAGAGACAGGGTTTCACCATATTGGCCAGGCTGGTCTCGAACTCCTGACCTCGTGATCTGCCCACCTCAGCCTCCCAAAGTGTTGAGATTACAGGGGTGAGTCACCGCGTCCGGCCTAATTTTTTTTTTTTTTTTGTAGAGATGGTGTTTTGCCATGTTGCCCAGGCTGGTCTCAAACTCCTGGGCTCAAGCAATCCACCCGCCTCAGCCTCCCAAAGTGTTGTCACTTTTTTTGTGCCTTTTTTTTTTAAACTTTTTGGGGCCATTTGTTGGTGATATTGCCATTTAAAGTGTCCCCTGTGCACAGTGTTGAAGTGCTGTCTAGTATCCTAAGTGCAAGGAGGCTGTGAAGCCTGACGGAGAAAATGCCATGTTACAGACGCTTCGCTGAGCCCAAGTTAGAATGCTGTTGACACGAGCTCCATGTTAGAGAATAAACAGTGATGTTACATAACAAACACATGGAAATAGAAACACACATACATGAGGCCAGGCGCGGTAGCTCACACCTGTAATCCCAGCACTTTGGGAGGCCGAGGTGGGTGGATCACGAGGTCAAGAGAATGAGACCGTCCCGGCCAACATGGTGAAACCCTGTCTGTATTAAAAATAGAAAAAACTAGCTGGGCGTGATGGCGTGCGCCTGTAGACCCAGCTACTTGGGAGGCTGAGGCAGGAGGATCGGTTGAACCCGGGAGGCGGAGGTTGCAGTGAGCCGAGATCGCGCCACTGCACTCCAGCCTCGCAACAGAGCGAGACTCCGTCTCAAAAAACAAACCAAAAAGACCAGAAACACACAAATGAAAATACGCATAGACCCAGATTATATATATATGGATTGATGAAAATACTGTAAGCCGAGGCTCGAGAGAGCCTAACCCTGTATTCCAGTAGGAGCAGTGGCTCAGGATCAGCTAATTGGAGTGTTCACGATGACTTTCTAGAACCTCACTACTGTGAATAAGGGGAACTGACTGTATCCCCTGGCACCAGCCCTGGGCTGGCCCCGCTGCAGCAGGGAACAAGACAGGTGCAGTCCCCTCCTTTGTGAAGCTTTGTGTCGAGCACGGGAGTGGGACCTTGATCCAGTAATCCTGGAGGCAGAGATCTAGCTTAAAGCAGCCCAGCTCCGCGGAAAGGTGCCCTTGGGGGACTGACGCAGCTGTGGAAGGCTGCGTCATCAGGGGTGATGTCATCATGTGACAGGAGACGCGAGCTAAAGGTTAAGTGGTGTTGGGCCCAGTGAGTGGGTGGCGATGGGAGGTGAGAGTGTTCCCAGCAAAGGGAATGAAGAGGGAACATGCCCCTGACAGCCCCCTCTTTCTGCCTCTTCCTCAGAATCCGGGGCACCAGCTACCAGAGCCCTCACGGCATCCCCATAGACCTGCTGGACCGGCTGCTTATCGTCTCCACCACCCCCTACAGCGAGAAAGACACGAAGCAGATCCTCCGCATCCGGTGCGGGCAGGACCAGGCCGTGCGCCTGAGACGCAGGGCTGGGGTCTACCCTGTTTGACAAATGCTGACACTGAGGTCCAGCGGAGTGGCATGGTGGCTGGGCCTACAGGAGAGAGGGCTGAGCGGGCACCCAGACGGTGGCCTCCGATCCGGGAGCAGGAGCCACGGTGGGAAAGGGAGGCGAGGTACCCGTGACTGGTGTTGGGGCCAGCGCCCTGGGGGTGGTCAGGAGGCCTCGGTTTTAGGTCCAGCCCAGCCCCTGTCTCCGTGGCTCTTCTAGCCTCAGCATTCTATGGTTCTAAGATGCAGGCGCCACATATTCCCAGTGGGGAAGGGCCAGAGGGTTGCTGTGGCCACTTCTGCTGCAGTCAGAGGCTGGGCCCCGGCTGAGCCACCCCTGTCCCCCACTGCTTGCAGGTGCGAGGAAGAAGATGTGGAGATGAGTGAGGACGCCTACACGGTGCTGACCCGCATCGGGCTGGAGACGTCACTGCGCTACGCCATCCAGCTCATCACAGCTGCCAGCTTGGTGTGCCGGAAACGCAAGGTCAGCCGGCCGAATTAGCCAGCAGGGCCAGATGGCGGCAGTGAGTGACACAGTACTTCAGGGGCTTCCAGGGTTCCGATTTCATCCTAGAATGTACGTTTTCAGACGCAGGGAATTTTCATCCCTCAGGTTGGCTTCTGTATCATCCAGCCTGGCCTATAGTAGGTATCAGTAAATCTCTCTTGACTTAAGTAGATGCTGTTAGGTCCACCTTACAGATAAAGAAACTGAGGAATGAAGAGGCTGGGCCCACAACAAGGAGATGGCCAGGCAGGATTTGAACCCAGGCAATCTGGCCCAGAATGCCCTCCCCTCACATGCCACACTCTGCTGCCTAGAGCATGGAGGTGGCATACGCTGGGGTCTGTGCCTTGAGCCTCACGGAGAGGGGCCCAACTGAGGACTCGCCCTCCCCCTCCAGGGTACAGAAGTGCAGGTGGATGACATCAAGCGGGTCTACTCACTCTTCCTGGACGAGTCCCGCTCCACGCAGTACATGAAGGAGTACCAGGACGCCTTCCTCTTCAACGAACTCAGTAAGAATCCCCACCCCGCACCTGCACTGCCAGAGCCAACCTCAGAGGGAGGAAGAGGGAGCTCGGCGTAGAAGGCTCAGGCCCTGCCACCTGGGCGACACTGACCATGTGGCCTTCCTTCTCCCCACAGAAGGCGAGACCATGGACACCTCCTGAGTTGGATGTCATCCCCCGACCCCACCCTGTTTTCCACCAGAGTTCTGACACTGTGACTCTGTATAAAATGGTTGGGAAGCTGCACCCACCCTGTGTATGTGTGGTTGCCCTGAGCCCACAGAAAGACACCTCCAGAGTGCGGATTGAGAAGCCTTTATTGTGGGAGGATCGGGGTGTCAGGGCTCCAGGAGTCGGGATGGACTTGGAAGGCTGCGGGGAGGGTCTTTAGAGGAAGAGGAGGCCTGAGAGTTGGGGGTGGTCACAGGTCAAGGGGTGGTCTTTGGGACCCCCACAGTCAGAGGTGCTGCGGCGGCAGGGTCCACAGCGACAGCTGAGAGCCACAGGGAAGGAGACCACGGGGTCCACACCACGCGGGCAGCCAGGGAGCCGGATGGACTCGAAGCGCACATCACGGTAGGTGCACACCACCTGAGGCAGGGGCGGCAGGACCGCCTGCAGCACGCGCATCTGGAGGCCGTGTGAGTGGGGGAATGAGCATGTGCCTGAGGCCAGCGCCTCAGCTGAGCTCCCAAGCTGACCCCACAGGTCCTGGACTCAGGAGCCCAGGAAGCCCTCTGTTCCTGCCTTCCCACACCCCATTCCCCAACCGCAGGCCAGAGAGGCAGACCACCCTTCCTCCCCCGCTGCCTCTGTGGGTCTGGCCCTGAGGTGGCAGCATCTGCCCCTGGCCCCAGGCAGCTCACCATGGTGGGGCAGTAGCCGGCACAGATGGTGGTGTTGACGGTGATGCACACTGGGCAGCCCTCCTTCTCGACAGCCAGGATGGCATTGATGGGGTGGCACCATGGCCGAAGCGGCTCCCTGGATGCCCATGCCCCGCCCATGCTCAGCAGCAGCAACAGCAGCAGCCCCTGGGACAAGGACACTGCTTCACCCAGGTCTGAGACCGCAGCCCCGAGTCCTGGCCTTCCCATCCCGCGTGGTACACCACCCACAAAGACCCAGAGACCCTTCCCGGCATCTCCTATTCAGGACCCACCACCCGGACACCTGCCTTTCAGAGCCCACCCCACAGCCCAGAGGACCTGAGATGCCCCAACATTTCAGATCCCCACCCTCAGGAACTGCCCCACCTGAAGCTTACTGGGGGTCATGCCCCTCCAGAAAGAGGCCTCCTTCCACAGCTCACACGGGTCTGCCCCTTCTCATGCCAGTGATGGCCTGGAAGGAGGTGGAAGGTGCCCAGGGGCCCTGTAGTCTTACCTGGAGCATCTCCATCCTTGGTGCATCCCCTGCCTCGTGTATCTGGCTATATACCTCGGGGTTGTGGGGGCGGCAAGGCCACCAGGAGGTGATAGGATGCTGGGGTAACCTGGACACTAATCCCCCCGGGGGCGAGAGGTGCACATGGCCAGGGAGGCGCAGGAGTGGCTCAGCAGAGCGCCCCAGCCCTCTCCCCTCAGTGGTCTAGCGCCAGAGGTGAGGCAGAGACCACGGTGAAGTGACCTCAGAGACCCAGTTGTCGAGTGCTAGGGACTAGTCGAGCCTGGAGGCACAGGGAGTAGGGTGTAGGAAGGCCTGCCTCTGCCAATTGTGGGGTCTTGGGAGCCAGGAGGAGGCCATGACCCGAGAAAGGTGCTGGACTGAAGCCTCAACCCTCCACTTGAGGCTTTCCTGCACCACAGTCCAACCTAACAGGAGGGGCGCTGCTTCGGACTTAGCTTCTGCCCAGTGAGAGAGGGTCTCCCCGTGACTGTGCTGCCAGGGAAGCCACTTGACCCAGATGCCCCCAAGGAGGGATTAAGCCCGAGCCCCACCTCTCCCTTAGGGACCTCCGCCCACCCTACCCTCAAGCCAGGATGCCCGGAGCGTCCCCGGAAGTGGGTGTGGTTCAGGTGATTTAACTCATTATTTAATACGCCCGCAGGGTGCGTGTCTTGCCCCCGGGGCCACAGCCTGCAAGGACATTATCTGGACTTAGTCCCCTCTCCGTGATGCCGCAGCTGAGTGGGTGTCTGGGCTAGTCCCGCCCCCACGTTGCCAATAGACGTAATGAGTGCGACTCAGGCTGGGTCCGGAACCCTTCCTAGTGAGCGGAGGTCCCGAGCTCCGCTCGGCAGCGCGGCCCTGGGGGCGGGTCTGGGGTGGGGCTGGCCCTGACGGCTCACACCAGCGCCGGCTTCAAGCTGCCATAGCTGGAGTTCTCGGTACTGTAGGCTTTCGGCACGCTGTAGATGCCCCGCAGGGGCTTCCAGTGCGGGCCGCCCCAGGGCGCCTCCAGCGGGCAGAAGCGGTCGAGCCGCCGGAGCGGGTGCAGCAGGGGGCTGTAGGACTCCTGAGCCAGAGACAGGGCTCCCCGGTGCGGCATGGCCGAGGTCACCGGGCTGACGCGCGGCACGCGGACCCGCGGTGGTCGGGGCGGCCGGGAGGAGCGCGGACAGGGCGGCCGCTGCGGGCCGTGGCTCCAGACCTGGGGCGTCTCTTCGAAGCTCCAGTAGGTCAGGGAGTCCTTGCGGGGGTATCCGGACAGCTCCGTCCTGTGGGAGCAGGGCGGGATGGTGAGGATACAGCTGGATCCTTGGGGACGAGTTTCAGACCTCGGGATCTAAGGAGTCTGCACATTCAAACTCCTGCATTTCCAGGCGAGCACCCCTTAGGAAGGACGCGACCCGGCACGCGTTGCCTGCGTTCCTGGGTCCTCGAGGTACTTAACGTCCTGGAAACTGAGCTTTCGCATCCTAGGGAAGTAAAAGGGGACTTTCGCTTCCTTGGGAAGGAGTATCTGGGGGCTCAAGTACCGAAGGAGGCCCTGCCCTCAGATCCGGAATCCCCTCGAGCCGCTGTGCAGGCTTCCTGTCCCTACCGCGGTTCCTGAGAGGTGACACTAAGGACTCCTGGGTGCTTAAAAAAAAAAGGGAGGGGCTGAGGCCTGAACTTTGGTTCTTGCTGCTACAGAAGTCGAGGCTGAGACCACCGGCTCAGGGAATGGGAGCCAGCCCAGGGGCTCGGCGTGCACCGGCCACGGCGGGGGCTGTGCAGGAGGCGGTGCCGAGCGAGAGCCCGGCTTACTTGGGATAGAACCGAAAGTCCCGCGCCGAGGTGGTCAGATAGAGCTGGCGGCGGTCCAGGACGCCCCGGTCGGATACTGTGAAAGGCCGGCCAGACAGCTCGGGGTTCTTCGTCCAGGCAATTAGAGCCTGAGCAAGATTGGGGGAGGAGGCATACCCAAGACATAGATTTCATACCCCATCCCAAGCCCTGGGTCCCGAGTTCAGAATCCCTCTCCTTCGGCCTCGACAGCCATGACGGCCACGGCCCTCACACCCCGCCCCAGGGTTAGAGCCCTTCCTGCCACCCACGCCAGGGAACTTCAGCTTCCTTTCTCATACCCGAACCCTTCCCAGCCTCACCTCCCTAAATCCAAGCACCTTCTGCTGTTCAAGGAACTCAAACCCAAGCCCCCAGCCACCAAAAACAACCTCCCTGGTTCCGCTCTGTCTTAAACCGTCTTGGTGTGGCCACTGGAGCTGAGCTGCATCTTGGGCAGCAACTCCAAGTTACCTCTCCCAACTCCCACCTGACCCCGTCTCAGAATATTCTAGTCTCCTCCCCACCCACAGCCCGCCGTCTAGCTCCGCAGCAGCTTAGGAGCCCTGAAGGTGAGTTTGTAGTCCCTGGTCCTTCTGGCCTGGCCTAATGCCCAGCCCCTCCCCCGGCTCCTCTAACCTCGCGATCCCGCCCCAGACCCTTTAGCCACGCCCCAAAGCCGTGATTCCTTCTGGCCCCGCCCCAGGCTCCCGGAGCTCCGCCCCGTCTCGCCGGCGCCGGCTTCCACCCAGACACCTGGGAAGGACCCCCGCGGTGGTGGTCTGCGAGTTGTGGGGGCTGGGGCCCGAAGTATTCCGGGGCGCGCGGGTCCCCGCTGGGAGAGCCAGTGTACTGCGCCCTCGTCTCGCTGCTCTGGTACTTTGTGGTCAGTGGGAGGCGCCAGCCGCGGTGTCTGAGCTGCGGAAAGGCGACCCAGAGACTCACGTGAAGGAGCAGGGGACTCAAATGCAGTCCCCCGCCCTGTCCCCTGCGGACTCCGGCACTCCCCAAACTTTACCTTTTCTCCTAAATCCTTGATCCCCACAGTCCGCGTGGGGTCTGCAGGCTCTGGGGCTCTGGGCTGGGCGCAGGGCCCGCCATGGGTCTTGGGCACGTAGGCCGAGCCAGAGGTTGTCTCCCATCTGCTGAGGACCTCGTCGAAAGCCCAGTTGTGAGAATCCTGCTTTGCAACTTGGGGTAGAGGGTCCGCGACCGTGGACTGGAGAGAAGGCGCCGCACATCAGCTAGAAAGACTCAGGAGTCCCTATCACCCCCCACCCCAAACTCTGACCTCTTCCAGTCGGCCCCCAGCCCTTTCCTCTGCAGTCCCTGGCATTCAGCTTCCCTGGTGCCTCCTCTCTCAGACCCAGAACTCCAGGACCCTCCTCCTTCAGAGAGGAGTCCAAGCTCCCAATCCGCTTTATTTAGCCCCTATCTTTCTGGGTCTCCAGGCCCGGCAGGGCTGCAGCGTAGGGTCCGCTCACCTGCACCGTGGGCGGGGTGAAGGGTATGGGTGGGATAATGCGGTGGGAAAAGTAGCTGCTGGTGAGATGGCAGTTGGGCCTGGATCCAGGTACCTCGGTTGCAGAGATACGACAGCCCGGAGCCAGGGTGCCACTGGCCATGGTTCCACCCCCACTCCGTAGCCAAGCAGGAGCTGGCTTATTGTGGTTGTTGCCCCAGGTGACAGAACCCGCCCACCCAGAACCTAGTCAATCAAGGGCCTGCAGGCACCTGGATGGATGGAATGAGAAAGAGACCCAGAGACAGGGACCCCAAGAGGGGTACAAAGAAACACAAGGAGGGGGAATGGAGACTCAAAGATAGGAGGGTGGAAAGGGAAGGAGAAGTTCAGTATTTCAGAGACCCAGGGGGTGGGGGAGAGAGAAACCCAAAAAGAGGGACAGGGACCTGGAGGTGTCAGAGATCCAGACAGAGAGACAGAGACCCCTGCGCTGCACCTAGCAACTCAGGACATCCATGAGAAACACCCCCCTTTCTTCCAGGGCCCAGATGCTCCTGGCTGCTTCCTCCCTCTACCAGGCCTGCCCACCTCAGGGTAACGATTTCCAGACATCCCCGGGGCTCCCCGACCCTCCCTGCATGCACGTGCTGAAGTAATCAGCACTAGCATTGGCTGTCCTGCCTGCCTTTGATTGGCTTGAAAAGTTCCACCTGGGTAGGCGGGGTGTGGAAACAGGGAGGCACCCACAGAGAAGTGCACCGGACCATAGCGAAAAACATGGGCTTTGATGAGTGAGAAAGAAATACAAGAGAGGAGAGAGACAGGGAGGAAGACACAGACCACGCTGGAAACGGAGCTATTAGTACTCACCCAGAGGCTAGAGCCACCGGAAGTTAGAGACAGAGAGAAAGGCGGCAAAAAAGAGCAAAATCAGAGATGGTAACAAGGAGATGTAGAAACGGAGGCAGCCACACCCCTCCCTGCCGAGGGGCCTGGTCTGTACAGATTGGTGGAGGGGGTGCCTATGTCCTTTGCTCAAAGCTGGACCTGAGAGAGAGAGAGGGGGAGAGAAAGTGAGAGAGAGAGAGTGTGTGTGTGTGTCTGTGTCTGTGTGTTGGCAACACATGTGGGGAGATGGGTAATAGGTAAAGGGCTATTGTGAAGTCCTGTGGTCTGTCCCAGACAGAGAGAAAGAGAGAGAGAGAGAGAGAGACAGAGTGTGTGTGTGTGTGTGTGTCTGTCTGTGTGTTGGCAACACATGTGGGGAGATGGGTAATAGGTGAAGGGCTATTGTGAAGTCCTGTGGACCAGAGAGAGAGAGAGAGAGTGAGTGTGTGTGTGTCTGTATGTCTGTGTGTTGGCAACACATGTAGGGAGATGGGTAATAGGGGTCATAGGTGAAGGGCTACTGTGAACTCCTGTGGTCTGTCCCTGGCTTCCCTTGTCATTTCTTCACCATATAGAGCTTTTGGTCACCGGGCACGATGACTCACTCCTGTAATCCCAGCACTTTGAGAGGCAGAGGCGGGCAGATAACTTGAGGTTAGGAGTTTGAAACCAGCCTGGCCAACATGGCAAAACCCTGTCTCTATCGAAAAATATAAAAAGTAGCCAGGCATGGTGGCGCACACCTGTAATCCCAACTAAGGCAGGAGAATCACTTGAACTCAGGAGGTGAAGGTGGCAGTGAGCTGAGATCATGCCACTGCACTCCAGCCTAGGGGACAGAGCAAGACTCCATCTCAAAAAAAAAAAAAAAAATAGCTTTTGGTCTAGGCCTCTGCCTCCTCAACCCTCATTATCTCATCCCACGAGCCCATTCTTCAGACAAGGAAACCTGAGGCTGCCTTCTGCAGCCAGGCCCACAATCCCACTTACTGTTCCTCCCTGAATCATGCTTCTGGGGCCCTTCTGTTGGATTTTGCTGACCCTACTCAAGGGCTCTCAATGACGAATAACCCCCTGATCCTAGCCAGGGGGACGGCGAGTTAGTCAGAACCTCATGTCCCACTCAAACTGGACAATTTTTTTTTTTTTTTGAGACGGACTTTCCCTCTTTTTGCCCAGGCTGGAGTGCAATGGCACAGTCTCCGCTCACTGCAACCTCCGCCTCCCGGGTTCAAGCGATTCTCCTGCCTCACCCTCCAGAGTAGCTGGGATTACAGGCACCCGCCTACACGCCCAGCTAATTTCTTTATGTAATTTTAGTAGAGACGGGGTTTCACCATGTTAACCAGGCTGGTCTTGAACTCCTAACCTCAGGTGATTCGCCTGTCTTGGCCTCTCAAAGTGCTGGGATTACAGGCATCAGCCATCGCACCTGGCCATCAAGCTGGAAAATTTTAAGGTCTGTTTCTTTCCCAATGTAGAGTAAAGTTGCGATGTCATCCCCCGACCCCACACTGTTTTCTACCAGAGTTCTCATACTGTGACTCTGTATAAAATGGTTTGGAAGCTGGACCCATCCTGTGTGTGTGTGGTTGCCCTGAGCCCACAGAAAGACACCTCCAGAGTGCGGATTGAGAAGCCTTTATTGTGGGAGGATCGGGGTGTCCGAGGGCCCCGGGAGTCGGGATGGGCTTGGAAGGCTGGGGGGAGGGGCCTTTGAGGAAGAGGAGTCCTGGAAGCGGGGGTCATCACAGGTCAAGGGGTGGTCCTTGGGACCCCCGCAGTCAGTGGTGCTGCGGCGGCAGAGTGCACATTGACAGCTGAGAGCCACGGCGTAGGAGACCACGGGGTTCACGCCGCGCGGGCAGCCAGGGAGCCGGATGGACTCGAAGCGCACATCGCGGTAGTTGCACACCACCTGAGGCAGGGCCGGCAGGACCCCCTGCAGCACGCGGGTCTGGAAGCCGTGTGAGTGGGGGAATGAGCATGTGCCTGGGGCCAGCGCCTCAGCTGAGCTCCCCAGCTGCCCCCACAGGTCTCAGACTCAGGGGTCCAGGAAGCCCTCTGTTCCTGCCCTCCCACACCCCATTCCGCAGCCCCTGACCAGAGAGGCAGACCACCCTTCCTCCCCCGCTGCCTCTGTGGGTCTGGCCCTGAGGTGGCAGCACCTGCCCCGGCCCCGGGCAGCTCACCATGGTGGGGCAGTAGCCGGCACAGATGGTGGTGTTGACGGTGATGCACACGGGGCAGCCCTCCTTCTCCACAGCCAGGGTGGCATTGATGGGGCGGCACCGTGGCCGAAGCGGCTCCTTGGATGCCCATGTCCCGCCCATGCTCAGCAGCAGCAACAGCAGCAGCCCCTGGGACAAGGACACTGCTTCACCCGGGTCTGAGACCGCAGCCCCGAGTCCTGGCCTTCCCATCCCGCGTGGTACACCACCCACAAAGACCCAGAGACCCTTCCCGGCATCTCCTATTCAGGACCCACCACCCGGACACCTGCCTTTCAGAGCCCACCCCACAGCCCAGAGGACCTGAGATACCCCAACATTTCAGATCCGCACCTTCAGGAAATGCCCCACCTGAAGCTTACTGGGGGTCACGCTCCTCCAGAAAGAGGCCTCCTTCCACAGCTCACACTGGTCTGACCCCTTCTCATGCCAGTGATTGCCTGGAAGGAGGTGGAAGGTGCCCAGGGGCCCTGCAGTCTTACCTGGAACATCTCCATCCTTGGTGCGTCCCCTGCCTCGTGTACCTGGCTTTATACCTCGGGGTTGTGGGGGCGGCAAGGCCACCAGGAGGTGATAGGATGCTGGGGTGAGCTCGACACTAACCCCTCGGGGGGCAAGAGGTAGACAAGGCCAGGGGGGCGCAGGAGTGGCTCAGCGGAGCGCCCCAGCCCTCTCCTCTCACTGGTCCAGCGCCAAGGGTGAGGCGGAGACCACGGTGAAGTGACCTCAGAGACTCAGTCGTCGAGTGCTAGGGACTAGTCGAGGCTGGAGGCACAGGGAGTAGGGTGTAGGAAGGCCTGCCTCTGCCTATGGTGGGGTCCTGGGAGCCAGGAGGAGGCCGTGACCCGAGAAAGGTGCTGGACTGAAGCCTCAACCCTCCTCTACTTGAGGCTTTCCTGCACCACAGTCCAACCTCCCAGGAGGGGCGCGGCTTCGGACTTAGTTTCTGCCCAATGAGAGAGGGCCTCCCCGTGACTGTGCTGCCAGGGAAGCCACTTGACCCTGGTGCCGCCAACGAGGGATTCAGCCCGAGCCCCACCTCTCCCTTAGGGACCTCCGCCCACCCTACCCTCAAGCCAGGATGCCCGGAGCTGTCCCCGGAAATGCGTGTGCTTCAGGTGATTTAACTGATTATTGAATAGGCCCGCAGGAGGTGTGTCCTGCCCATGGGGCCGAAGCCTCGGAGGACATTATCTGGACTTAGTCCCTTCCCCGCGATGCCATCAAGCTGGACAATTTTAAGGTCTGTTTCTTTCCCAATGTAGGGTATAGGTTGGCACAGGGAAGAGGGCTAGAAACCTGACTTGAGCTCCCCGCCCAGGGCTGAACTCTCCAGCATCCTGATCACTTCTCATTGAACCTTGCTTATACTCCCCGTGTGATCGGTAGCTCTTTATCTCAAAACAGAATATTCTAAGCCAACCCCTGCCTGCTCTCACCAAGTAAGATTTCTCATTTGAACCCCAGCTCCCAGATACTTAAAGGCCTTCTGTAGACCATGTCCTCAAGGTCCCCTGGCCATCTGCTTGCATGTTCCAGTTTCCCTCCTCCCCCATGCACATCGTGAAATGTGCCCTCCCACTCCCCAGGATGAGCAAGGTGGTGTCCTCTGTGACTGAGCAGTCAGCAACTTAACACCAAAGGTCACCAATGATCAAATCCATGAGAGTTGATCCGAGGAGTTATGTATTAGGGCTACGAAAGAGTAAACACTCAGTAAATAGTGGCTATTATTATTATCATCATCATCATCATCATCATGATTACCCTCAAGTTCCCCTGGGAGAGCTCCTATTCAACCTTCAAAACCACATGTGGTGGCACCCATCCTGCAGAGATTGAGCTCAAATTCAGAGAGTTGTGATTTTGTGATGATTTGATGAGTTCCCCAACTGGGGTCCGTCCGTAGAGCAGCTGGGCCAACCCTGAGGTCTCTCAGCATCCAGCTCTGTTCTTTTTCTGCCTGACCAGTTCCTGGGTATAAGTCTCAGGCCCGGCCAGTCCGGCTGAGGAGTGTGCAGACACAGGCTGTGCCAGTTTGAATCCATCGCCAGTCCACACGGCCCTGGGCATCAGCGGTCAATGCCCGCACATAGGACTGCTTGGCCTTGCACTCAGACACCCAGTGCCCCCCGGTCCACACCCCGGCGGCAGCCCCCTCCACCTACCCCCGGGCCACCTTCCTCAGATTTATCGGCCTCGAAGTGGGCAACAAAGAAGTGCTGGCGGAGGGAACTGCCGACAGCTGCAGGCACCTCGCCCAACACCTCCACCTCGAGCACACCCAAGTCCACAGCAGTCCAGGGGTCTGTCACCCAGACACTGACTGCATCGCACACGGCCAGCTCACCCTGATGACTCGCCGGTGAAGTATCGCTCACCCCTCGCTGGCTGCGGTTGGCCCGGGCGCCTGCTGACTCCCGAAAGGCTCCAGTCTCCAGCAGGAAGACCAGAGGGGGCCCGGCAGCGGCACCCCTAGACAGGACCACTCGGGGGAAAAGAAGGTCCCACTCTGGAGGAGGAAAAGGCGACAATGTCGAGGATGGGGTTAGGACTCCATTGACACACTGGGGAGGAGGAAAATGAGGGGGATGCGGAGGGAGCCTGGGGGAGTGGGAGCATCTCTCAGAGCATCTCTCAGAGCACATGGAGACAGGGAAAAGGAGGCTGGGATTAGAGAAGAGGATAAACACTTCAGTGGGGTCAGAAGTTGGAAACCCCAGGGGAGGCCTGCCTGCCAGGATTATGGGGAAGCCCTTGCTCTAGAAGTTTGGGGGACTCCATATATAGGACTTGCATCACACCCAACTTGTAGATTAATAATAAATATTCAACAACTACAGGTCAGGCACTATGGCTCACACCTGTAATCCCAGCACTTTGGGAGGCTGAGGCGGGTGGATGACTTGAGGTCAGGAGTTCGAGAGCAGCCTGGCCAACACTGTGAAACAACATCTCTACTGATAATACCAAAATTAGCCAGGCCTGGTGCTGCACGCCTGTGGTCTCAGCTACTCAGGAGGCTGAGGCAGGAGAATCGCTTGAACCCGGGAGGCCGAGATTGCAGTGAGCCAAGATGGTGCCACTGCACTTCCGCCTGGACAACAGAGTGAGACTCTGTCTCACAAAAAAAATAAAAATAAAAATAAGGCCGGGCATGGTGGCTCACACTTGTAATGCCAGCATTGTCGGAGGCTGCAGTGGGTGGATCAGCTGAGGTGAGGAGTTCCAGACCAGCCTGACCAACATAGAGAAACCGCACCTCTACTAAAAATACAAAATATCCTCCAGCGTGGTGCTGCATGCTTATAATCCCAGCTACTTGGGAGGCTAAGGCAGGAGAATCACTTGATCCCAGGAGGCAGAGGTTGCAGTGAGCCAAGATCGCGCCATTGCACTTCAGCTTGGGCAACAAAAACAAAGCTCCATCTTAAAAAAATAATAATAATAATCATAAAATAAAGATAAAAATGTTCGGCCGGGTGCAGTGGTTCACGCCTGCAATCCCAGCGCTTTGGGAGGCCGAGGTGGGTGCATCACCTGAGGTCAAGACTTTGAGACCAGCCTGGCCAACATGGTGAATCCCTGTCTCTACTAAAAAAAAAACACAAAAATTAGCTGGGTATGGTGGTGCGCACCTGTACTCCCAGCTACTCAGGAGGCTGAGGCAGGAGAATCGCTTGGACCCATGAAGCAGAGGTGTAGTGAGCCGAGAGCGCGCCACTGCACTCCAGCCTAGGTGACAGGGCCAGACTCCGTCTCAAAAAAAATAAAAATAAAAATAAAATAAAAATAAAAGTAGAAAATATTCAACTACTATTACTCAATAGCAACAGATGGTAAAATACAGGCTCAGAGAAATTAATGATTTGTGCCTGGTCACACAGCCAACAAATGGCAGAGATGGGACTTCACCTCTGGGCAACTGCACTCTGCTATCCTTCCTGTAGAACTCTGAGGAACCGAGGGTCTTGCACCCTGGAGGATGTTCCAATCAATTTTTTTTTGAGGGGGTGTCTCACTTGTCGCCCAGGCTGGACTGCAGTGGCGCGATCTCGGCTAACTGCAGGTCCACCTCCCGGGTTTACACCACTCTCCTGCCTCAGCCTCCCGAGTAGCTGGGACTACAGGCACCCACCACTATGCCTGGCTAATTTGTTGTATTTTTTAGTAGAGACGGGGTTTCCCCGTGTTAGCCAGGATGGTCTTGATCTCCTGACCTTGTGATCTGCCTGCCTCGGCCTCCCAAAGTGCTGGGATTACAGGCATGAGCCACTGCACCCGGCCCAATTTTTTTTTTTTTTTTTTTGAGACAGAGCCTCACTCTGTCTGGCCAGGCTGGAGTACAGTGGCACAATCCTGGCTCACTGTAGCGCCTGCCTCCTGGGTTCAAGTGACTCTCCTGCCTCAGCCTTCTGAGTAACTGGAATTACAAGCGCCTGCCACCGTGCCCTGCTAATTTTTGTATTTTTAGTAGAGATGCAGTTTCACAACATTGGCCAGACTGGTCTCAAACTCCCAACCTCCAGTGATACTCCTGCCCTGGCCTCCCAGAGTGCTGGGATTATAGGCCTGAGAAACCACGCCTGGCCCCAAACAAATTGCTTTAAGACGAGGTCTCCCTATGTTTCCCCACTGCACTTGAACTCCTGGGCTCAAGCCATCCTCCTGCTGTGGCTCCTGAGTAGCTGGGACTACAGACTCAAGCCACCACGCCTGGCCACATTCCACAATTTAGAGAAAGTGCACAACCTGGAATCCTAGGGAGACCCCGATTCACCTCAAAACTGCCACTAAGGAGGTAAAACGCTGCCCCTCTGAGGCAGGCTTCAGTTTCCCTGTGTGTGAAATTGACCTGGCGCTGGGAGAGGCTGGTGGAGGCGCGGATTTTGCAGTTTCCCTACAACATTCTGGAAGCCTGTGGTTCTGGGAAAGGTTGGCGTGGAGAAGACTGGGAAACAACCAGTGGTCACCAGAGCTGTAGCACCTCCTCCACCTCCGAGCTCTGGGGCTGGGAACCCCAGGCTTCGGGGCCCCTGTGGAGGACGCAGGTGGCCCCCTCTTTCCTGACATCTCAGGAGAGGGAGGGGCAACCGGCTAGCAGAAGAAAAGCACAGGAAGGTTATACAGCCAGGTGGGGAAGGGGCCAAATCCCTGAACAACCCCTTCCCAGAGTTCCTCTTCAAGTGCAGGGTACCCAAGAGTCAAGGCCCCGCCCCCTTTCCAGAGGCCCCTTTTCTACCCAGGTGATGGGTCCTAGCTGGGATGGGAGGCAGATGGACGGAGGGGAGGGGGGAGGAGGGGAAGGGAGAGGCAGTGGATGAAGGAGGATGGAAGAGATGACATCCCCCTCGGCCCATTCATCCCATTCAGGTCCCCAAGCCGCGCCCCTCTCCGCCCCACCTGCACTGCCAGTGCCAACATCAGAGGGAGGAAGAGGGAGCTCGGCTTAGAAGGCTGAGGCCCTGCCACCTGGGCCACACCGATCACGTGGCCTTCCTTCTCCCCACAGAAGGCCAGACCATGGACACCTCCTGAGCTGGAGGTCATCCTGCATCTCCACCCTGTTTTCTTTTTCTTTCTTTCTTTCTTTTTTTTTTTTTTTTTGAGATGGAGTCTCGCTCTGTCGTGGAGGCTGGAGTGCAGTGGCGCGATCTCTGCTCACTGCAAGCTCCCCCTCCTAGGTTCACTCCATTCTCCTGCCTCAGCCTTCCAAGTAGCTTGGACTACAGGGGCCCGCGACCAAGCCCAGATAAGTTTTTGTATTTTTAGTAGAGACGGGGTTTCACCGTGTTAGCCAGGAAGGTCTCGATCCCCTGACCACATGATCCGCCCGCCTGGGCCTCCCAAAGTGGTGGGATTACAGGAGCGCAGCACCACGCCCAGCTAATTTTGGTATTAACAGTAGAGATGTTGTTTCACAGTGTTGGCCAGGCTGCTTTTGAACTCCTGACCTCAAGTCAAACACCCGCCTCAGCCTCCCAAAGTGCTGGGACCACAGGTGTGAGCCATAGTGCCTGACCTGTAGTTGTTGAATATTTATTATTAATCTACAAGTTGGGTGTGATGCAAGTCCCATACATGGAGTCCCCCAAACTTCTAGAGCAAGGGCTTCCCCATAATCCTGGCAGGCAGGCCTCCCCTGGGGTTCCCAACTTCTGACCTCACTGAAGTGTTTATCCTCTTCTCTAATCCCAGCCTCCTTTTCCCTGTTTCCATGTCCTCTGAGAGATGCTCCCGCTCCCCCAGGCTCCCTCTGCATCCCCCTCATTTGCTTCCTCCCCAGTGTGTCAATGGAGTCCTAACCCCCACCCTTGACATTGTCCCCTTTTCCTCCTCCAGAGTGGGACCTTATTTTCCCCCAAGTGGTCCTGTCTAGGGGTGCCGCTGCCGGGCCCCCTCTGGTCTTCCTGCTGGAGACTGGGGCCTTTTGGGAGTCAGCAGGCACCCGGGCCAACCGCAGCCAGCGAGGGGTGAGCGATACTTCACCGGCGAGTCATCAGGGTGAGCTGGCCGTGTGCGATGCAGTCAGTGTCTGGGTGACAGACCCCCGGACCGCTGTGGACTTGGTTGTGCTCGAGGTGGAGGTGTTGGGTGAGGTGCCTGCAGCTGGCAGCAGTTCCCTCCACCAACACTTCTTTGTCACCTGCTTCAAGGCCGATAACTCTGAAGAAGGTGGCCCAGGGGTAGGTGGAGGGGCTGCCGCTGGGGTGTGGACCGGGGGGCACTGGGTGTCTGAGTGCAAGGCCAAGCAGTCCTATGTGCGGGCATTGACCGCTGATGCCCAGGGCCGTGTGGACTGGCGATGGATTCAAACTGGCACAGCCTGTGTCTGCACACTCCTCAGCCGGACTGGCCGGGCCTGAGACTTATACCCAGGAACTGGTCAGGCAGAAAAAGAACAGAGCTGGATGCTGAGAGACCTCAGGGTTGGCCCAGCTGCTCTACGGACGGACCCCAGTTGGGGAACTCATCAAATCATCGCAAAATCACAACTCTCTGAATTTGAGCTCAATCTCTGTAGGATGGGTGCAACAACGTGGGGTTTTGAAGGTTGAATAGGAGCTCTCCCAGGGGAACTTGAGGGTAATCATGATGATGATGATAATAATAATAGCCACTATTTACTGAGTGTTTACTCTTTCGTAGCCCTAATACATAACTCCTCGGATCAACTCTCATGGATTTGATCATTGGTGACCTTTGGTGTTAAGTTGCTGACTGCTCAGTCACAGAGGACACCACCTTGCTCATCCTGGGGAGTGGGAGGGCACATTTCACGATGTGCATGGGGGAGGAGGGAAACTGGAACATGCAAGCAGATGGCCAGGGGACCTTGAGGACATGGTCTACAGAAGGCCTTTAAGTATCTGGGAGCTGGGGTTCAAATGAGAAATCTTACTTGGTGAGAGTGGGCAGGGGTCGGCTTAGAATATTTTGTTTTGAGATAAAGAGCTACCGATCACACGGGGAGTATAAGCAAGGTTCAATGAGAAGTGATCAGGATGCTGGAGAGTTCAGCCCTGGGCGGGGAGCTCAAGTCAGGTTTCTAGCCCTCTTCCCTGTGCCAACCTATACCCTACACTGGGAAAGAAACAGACCTTAAAATTGTCCAGCTTGATGGCATCGCGGGGAAGGGACTAAGTCCAGATAATGTCCTCTGAGGCTGAGGCCTCGGGGGCAGGACACACCTCCTGCGGGCCTATTCAATAATCAGTTAAATCACCTGAAGCACACGCATTTCCGGGGACCGCTCCGGGCATCCTGGCTTGAGGGTAGAGTGGGCAGAGGTCCCTAAGGGAGAGGTGGGGCTCGGGCTGAATCCCTCGTTGGCGGCACCAGGGTCAAGTGGCTAACCTGGCAGCACAGTCACGGGGAGGCCCTCTCTCATTGGGCAGAAACTAAGTCCGAAGCCGCGCCCCTCCTGGGCGAGGAGGTTCCACCTCCTAGGTTCCTGTGATTCTCCTGCCTCAGCCCGAGTAGTGGGACATCCCACTTGCTCCCGCCATTCTGTTTACCACAGGTGACGACCGCCATGGCTGACAGGCAGGGAGGTCCCCCGAGGACCGAGCAAGCCTCGGTCTCCCAAAAAAAAAAAAGATACATTGAAGTAATTTAAAAACACTTAGGAAGATGTCATTTCTTCCTATCAAGGCGTCCTCCCTTTATGTTTTGTTATTATATAGGGAACGATAAAAAAATTTTTTTCTCAACCAATGTGGACCCGGTTGGCCTCGAACTCGTACCCTCGAACCCTCCCCTCCCTGAGGGCCCGAGGGCACGCGCAACCGGTCGGAGCCACAATAGCTCGGGGTGTCGGGGATCTCCTTTCTTCCTTTTGACCTTACGCAGGGTGATGGAGCCAATCAGGAGAGGCTCACCCCTGACGTCACCCAGTCCCCAGGGCCAGTGAGGGCCCTGCGTTCCGTGGCGCCCCCTGGAGGGAGGAAGGGGAACTGTATCTGAGAGAGAGCAGCCAATTGGGTCCGCTGACTCCGGCCGGGTTCCCGTGCCGCGTCCAACACCCCTCACTCCCTGTCTCACTCCCCCACGGAGACTCAATTTACTTTCC
The DNA here is from genome assembly GCF_000001405.40 of Homo sapiens. NCBI lineage: Eukaryota > Metazoa > Chordata > Mammalia > Primates > Hominidae > Homo > Homo sapiens. Next base: position 49,032,047 of record NC_000019.10, read on the forward strand.
ATGTCCACATCCCCAGTGCTTGCGGAAGATATCCCGCTAAGAGAGAGACATGTCAAAGGTAGGGTAGATCGACATTTCCAGGCACCAAAGATGGAGATGTTCCAGGAAAGACTGCAGGGCCCCTGGGCACCTTCCACCTGCTTCCAGGCCATCACTGGCATGAGAAGGGGCAGACCAGTGTGAGCTGTGGAAGGAGGCCTCTTTCTGGAGGAGCGTGACCCCCAGTAAGCTTCAGGTGGGGCAGTTCCTGAGGGTGGGGATCTAAAATGTTGGGGTATCTGAGATCCTCTGGGCTGTGGGGTGGGCTCTGAAAGGCAGGTGTCCGGGTGGTGGGTCCTGAATAGGAGATGCCACGAAGGGTCTCTGGGTCTTTGTGGGTGGTGTACCACGCGGGATGGGAAGGCCAGGACTCGGGGCTGCGGTCTCAGACCCGGGTGAAGCAGTGTCCTTGTCCCAGGGGCTGCTGCTGTTGCTGCTGCTGAGCATGGGCGGGACATGGGCATCCAAGGAGCCGCTTCGGCCACGGTGCCGCCCCATCAATGCCACCCTGGCTGTGGAGAAGGAGGGCTGCCCCGTGTGCATCACCGTCAACACCACCATCTGTGCCGGCTACTGCCCCACCATGGTGAGCTGCCCGGGGCCGGGGCAGGTGCTGCCACCTCAGGGCCAGACCCACAGAGGCAGCGGGGGAGGAAGGGTGGTCTGCCTCTCTGGTCAGGGGCTGCGGAATGGGGTGTGGGAGGGCAGGAACAGAGGGCTTCCTGGACCCCTGAGTCTGAGACCTGTGGGGGCAGCTGGGGAGCTCAGCTGAGGCGCTGGCCCCAGGCACATGCTCATTCTCCCACTCACACGGCTTCCAGACCCGCGTGCTGCAGGGGGTCCTGCCGGCCCTGCCTCAGGTGGTGTGCAACTACCGCGATGTGCGCTTCGAGTCCATCCGGCTCCCTGGCTGCCCGCGCGGCGTGAACCCCGTGGTCTCCTACGCCGTGGCTCTCAGCTGTCAATGTGCACTCTGCCGCCGCAGCACCACTGACTGCGGGGGTCCCAAGGACCACCCCTTGACCTGTGATGACCCCCGCTTCCAGGCCTCCTCTTCCTCAAAGGCCCCTCCCCCCAGCCTTCCAAGCCCATCCCGACTCCCGGGGCCCTCAGACACCCCGATCCTCCCACAATAAAGGCTTCTCAATCCGCACTCTGGCGGTGTCTTTCTGTGGGCTCAGGGCAACCACACACACAGGGTGGGTCCAGCTTCCAAACCATTTTATACAGAGTCACAGTACAGAACTCTGGTAGAAAACAGGGTGGACGGCTGGGCGTGGTGGCTCACGCCTGTAATCCCACCACTTTGGGAGGCCGAGGCAGGCGGATCATGAGGTCAGGAGATCGAGACCATCCTGGCTAACACGGTGAAACCCCGTCTCTACTAAAAATACGAAAAGTTATCCGGGCTTGGTGGCGGGCGCTTGCAGGAGAATGCAGTGAACCTGGGAGCGGGAGGTTGCAGTGAGCAGAGATCGCGCCACTGCACTCCAGCCTGCACGACAGAGCGAGACTCCATCTCAAAAAAAAAAAAAAAAGAAAGAAAGAAAGAAAAAGAAAAGAGGGTGGAGATGGGGGATGACATCCAGCTCAGGAGGTGTCCATGGTCTGGCCTTCCGTGGGGAGAAGGAAGGCCACACGATTGGTGTGGCCCAGGGGGCAGGGCCTCAGCATTCTAAGCCGAGCTCCCTCTTCCACCCTCTGAGGTTGGCACTGGCAGTCCAGGTGGGGGCTTGGGGACCTGAATGGGATGAATGGGCCAAGGGGGATGTCATCTCTTCCATTCTCCTTCATCCACTGCCTCTCCCTTCCCCTCCTCCCCCCCCTCCCACCCCCGGTCCATCTACCTCCCATCCCAGCCAGGAGCCGTCACCTAAGTAGAAAAGGGGCCTCTGGAAAGGGGGCGGGGCCTTGACTCTTGGGTACCCTGCGCTTGAAGAGGAACTCTGGGAAGGGGTTGTTCAGGGATTTGGCCCCTTCCCCACCTGGCTGTATAACCTTCCTGTTCTTTTCTTCCCCTAGCCGGTTGCCCCTCCCTGTCCTGAGATGTCAGGAAAGAGGGGGCCACCTGCGTCCTCCACAGTGGCCTCCGAAGCCTGGGGTTCCCAGCCCCAGAGCTCAGAGGTGAAGGAGGTGCTACAGCTCTGGTGACCACTGGTTGTTTCCCAGTCTTCTCCATGCCACCCTTTCCCAAAACAACAAAACAAACAAACAAAATTGGGCCTGGCGCAGTGGTTCATGCCTGTAATCCCAGCACTTTGGGAAGCCGAGACGGGCGGATCACAAAGTCAGGAGATCAAGACTATCCTGGCTAACATGGGGAAACTCCGTCTCTACTAAAAAATACAACAAATTAGCCAGGCGTCCTGGTGGGCGCCTGTAGTCCCAGCTACTTGGGAGGCCGAGGCAGGAGAATGGCAGGAACCCGGGAGGCGGATCTTGCAGTGAGCCGAGATCGCGCCACTGCAGTCCAGTCTCAACAACAGAGCGAGACTCCGTCTCAAAAAAAAAAAAAAAATTGATTGGAACATCCTCCAAGATGCAAGACTCTCAGTTCCTCAGAGTTCTACAGGAAGGATGGCAGAGTGCAGTTGCCCAGAGTTGAAGTCCCATCTCTGCCATTTGTTGGCTGTGTGACCAGGCACAAATCATTAATTTCTCTGAGCCTGTATTTTACCATCTGTTGCTATTGAGTAATAGTAGTGGACTATTTTCTATTTTTATTTTTATTTTATTTATTTTATTTTTTTTTGAGACGGAGTCTCGCCCTGTCACCCAGGCTGGAGTGCAGTGGCGTGATCTCGGCTCACTGCACCTATGCTTCCCGGGTTCAAGCGATTCTCCTGCCTCAGCTTCCTGAGTAGCTGGAACTACAGGCGCGCACCACCACACCCAGCTAATTTTTTTTTTTTTTTTTAGTAGAGACAGGGTTTCACCATGTTGGCCAGGCTGGTCTCGAAGTCCTGAACTCAGGTGATGCACCTGCCTCGGCCTCCCAAAGTGCTGGGATTGCAGGCATGAGCCACTGCGCCTGGACGAACGTTTTTAATTATATTATTATTATTATTATTATTATTATTATTACTAATTTTTGAGATGGAGCTTTGTTTTTGTTGCCCAGGCTGAAGTGCAATGGCGGGATCTTGGCTCACTGCAACCTCCGCCTCCTAGGATCAAGAGATTCTCCTGCCTAAGCCTCCCAAGTACCTGGGAGTATAGGCATGCACCACCACGCCCGACGATATTTTGTAATTTTAGTAGAGATGGGGTTTCTCCATGTTGGTCATGTTGGTCTGGAACCCCTCACCTCAGCTGATCCACCCACCGCAGCCTCCGACAATTACAGGCGTGAGCCACCACGCCCAGCCGTCCACCCTGTTTTCTACCAGAGTTCTGTACTGTGACTCTGTATAAAATAGTTTGGAAGCTGGACCCACCCTGTGTGTGTGATTGCCCTGAGCCCACAGAAAGACACCTCCAGAGTGCGGATTGAGAAGCCTTTATTGTGGGAGGATCGGGGTGTCCTAGGGCCCCGGGAGACGGGATGGACTTGGAAGGCTGGGGGGAGGGGCCTTTGAGGAAGAGGAGTCCTGGAAGCGGGGGTCATCACAGGTCAAGGGGTGGTCCTTGGGACCCCCGCAGTCAGTGGTGCTGCGGCGGCAGAGTGCACATTGACAGCTGAGAGCCACGGCGTAGGAGACCACGGGGTTCACGCCGCGCGGGCAGCCAGGGAGCCGGATGGACTCGAAGCGCACATCGCGGTAGTTGCACACCACCTGAGGCAGGGCCGGCAGGACCCCCTGCAGCACGCGGGTCTGGAAGCCGTGTGAGTGGGGGAATGAGCATGTGCCTGGGGCCAGCGCCTCAGCTGAGCTCCCCAGCTGCCCCCACAGGTCTCAGACTCAGGGGTCCAGGAAGCCCTCTGTTCCTGCCCTCCCACACCCCATTCCGCAGCCCCTGACCAGAGAGGCAGACCACCCTTCCTCCCCCGCTGCCTCTGTGGGTCTGGCCCTGAGGTGGCAGCACCTGCCCTGGCCCCGGGCAGCTCACCATGGTGGGGCAGTAGCCGGCACAGATGGTGGTGTTGACGGTGATGCACACGGGGCAGCCCTCCTTCTCCACAGCCAGGGTGGCATTGATGGGGCGGCACCGTGGCCGAAGCGGCTCCTTGGATGCCCATGTCCCGCCCATGCTCAGCAGCAGCAACAGCAGCAGCCTCTGGGGCAAGGACACTGCTTCACCCGGGTCTGAGACTGCAGCCCCCAGTCCTGGCCTTCCCATCCCGCATGGTACACCACCCACAAAGACCCAGAGACCCTTCCCGGCATCTTCTATTCAGGACCCACCACCCGGACACCTGCCTTTCAGAGCCCACCCCACAGCCCAGAGGACCTGAGATACCCCAACATTTCAGATCCGCACCCTCAGGAACTGACCCACCTGAAGCTTACTGGGGGTCACGCTCCTCCAGAAAGAGGCCTCCTTCCACAGCTCACACGGGTCTGCCCCTTCTCATGCCAGTGATGGCCTGGAAGGAGGTGGAAGGTGCCCAGGGGCCCTGCAGTCTTTCCTGGAACATCTCCATCTTTGGTGCCCGGAAATGTGGATCTACCCTACCTTTGACATGTCTCTCTCTTAGCGGGATATCTTCCGCAAGCACTGGGAATGTGGACATGGAAAGTAAATTGAGTCTCCGTGGGGGAGTGAGACAGGGAGTGAGGGGTGTTGGACGCGGCACGGGAACCTGGCCAGAGTCAGCGGACCCAATTGGCTGCTCTCTCTCAGATGCAGTTCCCCTTCCTCCCTCCAGGGGGCGCCACGGAACGCAGGGCCCTCACTGGCCCTGGGGACTGGGTGACGTCAGGGATGAGCCTCTTGTGATTGGCTCCATCACCCTGCGTAAGATCAAAGGGAAGAAAGGATGGGCCCGACAACCGGAGCCATTGTGGCTCCGGCCGATTGAGCCTGCCCTCGGGCTCTCAAGGCTAGGCGAGGGTGTGAGGGACTGGAGTTCGAGGTCAACCTGGGCCCCATTGGTAGGAAAAAAAAAAAAAATTTTTTTATCGTTCCCTATATAACAACAAAACATAAAGGGAGGACGCCTTGATAGGAAGAAATGACATCTTCCTAAGTGTTTTTAAATTACTTCAATGTATCTTTTTTTTTTTTTTTGGGATACCGAGCCTTGCTCGGTCCTCGGGGGACCTCCCTGCCTGTCAGCCATGGCGGTCGTCACCTGTGGTAAACAGAATGGCGGGAGCAAGTGGGATGTCCCACTACTCGGGCTGAGGCAGGAGAATCACAGGAACCTAGGAGGTGGAACCTCCTCGCCCAGGAGGGGCGCGGCTTCGGACTTAGTTTCTGCCCAATGAGAGAGGGCCTCCCCGTGACTGTGCTGCCAGGTTAGCCACTTGACCCTGGTGCCGCCAACGAGGGATTCAGCCCGAGCCCCACCTCTCCCTTAGGGACCTCTGCCCACTCTACCCTCAAGCCAGGATGCCCGGAGCGGTCCCCGGAAATGCGTGTGCTTCGGGTGATTTAACTGATTATTGAATAGGCCCGCAGGAGGTGTGTCCTGCCCCCGAGGCCGCAGCCTCGGAGGACATTATCTGGACTTAGTCCCTTCCCCGCGATGCCATCAAGCTGGACAATTTTAAGGTCTGTTTCTTTCCCAATGTAGGGTATAGGATGGCACAGGGAAGAGGGCTAGAAACCTGACTTGAGCTCCCCGCCCAGGGCTGAACTCTCCAGCATCCTGATCACTTCTCATTGAACCTTGCTTATACTCCCCGTGTGATCGGTAGCTCTTTATCTCAAAACAGAATATTCTAAGCCAACCCCTGCCTGCTCTCACCAAGTAAGATTTCTCATTTGAACCCCAGCTCCCAGATACTTAAAGGCCTTCTGTAGACCATGTCCTCAAGGTCCCCTGGCCATCTGCTTGCATGTTCCAGTTTCTCTCCTCCCCCATGCACATCGTGAAATGTGCCCTCCCACTCCCCAGGATGAGCAAGGTGGTGTCCTCTGTGACTGAGCAGTCAGCAACTTAACACCAAAGGTCACCAATGATCAAATCCATGAGAGTTGATCCGAGGAGTTATGTATTAGGGCTACGAAAGAGTAAACACTCAGTAAATAATGGCTATTATTATTATCATCATCATCATGATTACCCTCAAGTTCCCCCGGGAGAGTTCCTATTCAACCTTCAAAACCCCACATTGTTGCACCCATCCTACAGAGATTGAGCTCAAATTCAGACAGTTGAGATTTTGCGATGATTTGATGAGTTCCCCAACTGGGGTCCGTCCGTAGAGCAGCTGGGCCAACCCTGAGGTCTCTCAGCATCCAGCTCTGTTCTTTTTCTGCCTGACCAGTTCCTGGGTATAAGTCTCAGGCCCGGCCAGTCCGGCTGAGGAGTGTGCAGACACAGGCAGTGCCAATTTGAATCCATCGCCAGTCCACACGGCCCTGGGCATCAGTGGTCAATGCCCGCCCATAGGACTGCTTGGCCTTGCACTCAGACACCCAGTGCCCCCCGGTCCACACCCCGGCGGCAGGTCCTCCACCTACCCCCGGGCCACCTTCCTTAGATTTATCGGCCTCGAAGCGGGTAACAAAGAAGTGCTGGCGGAGGGAACTGCTGCCAGCTGCAGGCACCTCACCCAACACCTCCACCTCGAGCACACCCAAGTCCACAGCAGTCCAGGGGTCTGTCACCCAGACAGTGACTGCATCGCACACGGCCAGCTCACCCTGATGACTCACCGGTGAAGTATCGCTCACCCCACGCTGGCTGCGGTTGGCCCGGGCGCCTGCTGACTCCCGAAAGGCTCCAGTCTCCAGCAGGAAGACCAGAGGGGGCCCGGCAGCGGCACCCCTAGACAGGACCACTCGGGGGAAAAGAAGGTCCCACTCTGGAGGAGGAAAACGCGACAATGTCGAGGATGGGGTTAGGACTCCAATGACACACTGGGGAGGAGGAAAATGAGGGGGATGCGGAGGGAGCCTGGGGGAGCAGGAGCATCTCTCAGAGCATCTCTCAGAGCACATGGAGACAGGGAAAAGGAGGCTGGGATTAGGGAAGAAGATAAACACTTCAGTGGGGTCAGAAGTTGGGAACCCCAGGGGAGGCCTGCCTGCCAGGATTATGGGGAAGCCCTTGCTCTAGAAGTTTGGGGGACTCCATATAAAGGACTTGCATCACACCCAACTTGTAGATTAATAATAAATATTCAACAACTACAGGTCAGGCACTATGGCTCACACCTGTAGTCCCAGCACTTTGGGAGGCTGAGGCGGGTGTTTGACTTGAGGTCAGGAGTTTGAGAGCAGCCTGGCCAACACTGTGAAACAACATCTCTACTGATAATACCAAAATTAGCTGGGCGTGGTGCTGCGCTCCAGTAATCCCACCACTTTGGGAGGCCCAGGCGGGCGGATCATGTGGTCAGGGGATCGAGACCTTCCTGGCTAACACGGTGAAACCCCGTCTCTACTAAAAATACAAAAACTTATCTGGGCTTGGTCGCGGGCCCCTGTAGTCCAAGCTACTTGGAAGGCTGAGGCAGGAGAATGGAGTGAACCTAGGAGGGGGAGCTTGCAGTGAGCAGAGATCACGCCACTGCACTCCAGCCTCCACGACAGAGCGAGACTCCATCTCAAAAAAAAAAAAAAGAAAGAAAGAAAGAAAAAGAAAACAGGGTGGAGATGGAGGATGACCTCCAGCTCAGGAGGTGTCCATGGTCTGGCCTTCTGTGGGGGAAGGAAGGCCACATGATCGGTGTGGCCCAGGTGGCAGGGCCTCAGCCTTCTAAGCCGAGCTCCCTCTTCCTCCCTCTGACGTTGGCACTGGCAGTGCAGGTGGGGCGGGGTGGGGGGCGCGGCTTGGGGACCTGAATGGGATGAATGGGCCGAGGGGGATGTCATCTCTTCCATCCTCCTTCATCCACTGCCTCTCCCTTCCCCTCCTCCCCCCTCCCCTCCGTCCATCTGCCTCCCATCCCAGCTAGGACCTGGGTAGAAAAGGGGCCTCTGGAAAGGGGACGGGGCCTTGACTCTTGGGTACCCTGCACTTGAAGAGGAACTCTGGGAAGGGGTTGTTCAGAGATTTGGCCCCTTCCCCATCTGGCTGTATAACCTTCCTGTGCTTTTCTTCTGCTAGCCGGTTACCCCTCCCTCTCCTGAGATGTCAGGAAAGAGGGGGCCACCTGCGTCCTCCACAGTGGTCCCCGAAGCCTGGGGTTCCCAGCCCCAGAGCTCCGAGGTGGAGGGGGTGCTACAGCTCTGGTGACCACTGGTTGTTTCCCAGTCTTCTCCACGCCAACCTTTCCCAGAACCACAGGCTTCCAGAATGTTGTAGGGAAACTGCAAAATCCGCGCCTCCACCAGCCTCTCCCAGCGCCAGGTCAATTTCACACACAGGGAAACTGAAGCCTGCCTCAGAGGGGCAGCGTTTTACCTCCTTAGTGGCAGTTTTGAGGTGAATCGGGGTCTCCCTAGGATTCCAGGTTGTGCACTTTCTCTAAATTGTGGAATGTGGCCAGGCGTGGTGGCTTGAGTCTGTAGTCCCAGCTACTCAGGAGCCACAGCAGGAGGATGGCTTGAGCCCAGGAGTTCAAGTGCAGTGGGGAAACATAGGGAGACCTCGTCTTAAAGCAATTTGTTTGGGGCCAGGCGTGGTTTCTCAGGCCTATAATCCCAGCACTCTGGGAGGCCAGGGCAGGAGTATCACTGGAGGTTGGGAGTTTGAGACCAGTCTGGCCAATGTTGTGAAACTGCATCTCTACTAAAAATACAAAAATTAGCAGGGCACGGTGGCAGGCGCTTGTAATTCCAGTTACTCAGAAGGCTGAGGCAGGAGAGTCACTTGAACCCAGGAGGCAGGCGCTACAGTGCGCCGGGATTGTGCCACTCTACTCCAGCCTGGCCAGACAGAGTGAGGCTCTGTCTCAAAAAAAAAAAAGAAAAAAAAATTGGGCCGGGTGCAGTGGCTCATGCCTGTAATCCCAGCACTTTGGGAGGCCGAGGAAGGCAGATCACAGGGTCAGGAGATCAAGACCATCCTGGCTAACATGGGGAAACCCCGTCTCTACTAAAAAATACAAGAAATTAGCCAGGCATGGTGGCGGGCGCCTGTAGTCCCAGCTACTCGGGAGGCTGAGGCAGGAGAGTGGTGTGAACCTGGGAGGCGGAGCTTGCAGTGAGCCGAGATTGAGCCACTGCAGTCCAGCCTGGGTGACAAGTGAGACTCCCCCTGAAAAAAAAAAAAATTGATTGGAACATCCTCCAGGATGCAAGACTCTCGGTTCCTTAGAGTTCTACAGGAAGGATGGCAGAGTGCAGTCGCCCAGAGGTGAAGTCCCATCTCTGCCATTTGTTGGCTGTGTGACCGGGCACAAATCATTACTTTCTCTGATCCTGTATTTTACCATCTGTTGCTATTGAGTAATAGTAGTTGACTATTATGTATTTTTATTTATTTTTATTTTTATTTTTATTTTTGTTTGAGACAGAGTCTGGCCCTGTCACCCAGGCTGGAGTGCAGTGGTGCGCTCTTGGCTCACTGCATCTCTGCTTCCGGGGTTCAAGCGATTCTCCTGCCTCAGCCTCCTGAGTAGCTGGGAGTACAGGTGCCCACCACCACACCCAGCTAATTTTTGTATTTTTTTTAGTAGAGACAGGGATTCACCATGTTGGCCAGGCTGGTCTCAAAGTCCTGACCTCAAGTCATCCACCCGCCTCAGCCTCCCAAAGTGCTGGGATTACAGGTGTGGGCCATAATGCCTGACCTGTAGTTGTTGAATATTTACTATTAATCTACAAGTTGGGTGTTATGCAAGTCCTATATATGGAGTCCCCCAAACTTCTAGAGCAAGGGCTTCCCCATAATCCTGGCAGGCAGGCCTCCCCTGGGGTTCCCAACTTCTGACCCCACTGAAGTGTTTATCCTCTTCTCTAATCCCAGCCTCCTTTTCCCTGTCTCCATGTGCTCTGAGAGGTGCTCTGAGAGATGCTCCCGCTCCCCCAGACTCCCTCTACATCCCCCTCATTTTCTTCCTCTCCAGTGTGTCAATGGGGTCCTAACCCCACCCTCGACATTGTCGCCTTTTCCTGATCCAAAGTGGGACCTTCTTTTCCCCTGAGTGGTCCTGCCTAGGGGTGCCGCTGCCGGGCCCCCTCTGGTCTTCCTGCTGGAGACTGGGGCCTTTCGGGAGTCAGCAGGCGCCCGGGCCAACCGCAGCCAGCGAGGGGTGAGCAATACTTCACTGGCGAGTCATCAGGGTGAGGCTGGCCGTGTGTGATGCAGTCACTGGCTGGGTGACAGACCCCCGGACCGCTGTGGACTCAGGTGTGCTGGAGGTGGAGGTGTTGGGCGAGGTGCCTGCAGCTGGCGGCAGTTCCCTCTGCCAACACTTCTTTGTCACCTGCTTCGAGGCCAATAACTCTGAAGAAGGTGGCCCAGGGGTAGGTGGAGGGGCTGCCGCAGGGTGTGGACCGGGGGGCACTGGGTGTCTGAGTGCAAGGCCAAGCAGTCCTATGTGCGGGCATTGACCGCTGATGCCCAGGGCTGTGTGGACTGGTGATGGATTCAAATTGGCACTGCCTGTGTCTGCACACTCCTCAGCCGGACTGGCCGGGCCTGAGACTTATACCCAGGAACTGGTCAGGCAGAAAAAGAACAGAGCTGGATGCTGAGAGACCTCAGGGTTGGCCCAGCTGCTCTACGGACCCCAGTTTGGGAACTCATCAAATCATCACAAAATCACAACTCTCTGAATTTGAGCTCAATCTCTGCAGGATGGGTGCCACCACATGGGGTTTTGAAGGTTGAATAGGAGTTCTCCTGGGGGAACTTGAGGATAATCATGATGATGATGATAATAATAATAGGCACTATTTACTGAGTGTTTACTCTTTCTTAGCCATAATACATAACTCCTCGGATCAACTCTCATGGATTTGATCATTGGTGACCTTTGGTGTTAAGTTGCTGACTGCTCAGTCACAGAGGACACCACCTTCCTCATCCTGGGGAGTGGGAGGGCACATTTCACGATGTGCATGGGGGAGGAGAGAAACTGGAACATGCAAGCAGATGGCCAGGGGACCTTGAGAACATGGTCTACAGAAGGCCTTTCAGTATCTGGGAGCTGGGGTTCAAATGAGAAATCTTACTTGGTGAGAGTGGGCAGGGGTCGGCTTAGAATATTTTGTTTTGAGATAATGAGCTACCGATCACAGGGGGAGTTTAAGCAAGGTTCAATGAGAAGCGATCAAGATGCTGCACAGTTCAGCCCTGGGTGGGGAGCTCAAGTCAGGTTTCTAGCCCTCTTCCCTGTGCCAACCTATACCCTACATTGGGAAAGAAACAGACCTTAAAATTGTCCAGCTTGATGGCATCGCGGGGAAGGGACTAAGTCCAGATAATGTCCTCTGAGGCTTCGGCCCCGTGGGCAGGACACACCTCCTGCGGGCCTATTCAATAATCAGTTAAATCACCTGAAGCACACGCATTTCCGGGGACCGCTCCGGGCATCCTGGCTTGAGGGTAGAGTGGGCGGAGGTTCCTAAGGGAGAGGTGGGGCTCGGGCTGAATCCCTCGTTGGGGGGCATCTGGGTCAAGTGGCTTCCCTGGCAGCACAGTCACGGGGAGGCCCTCTCTCATTGGGCAGAAGCTAAGTCCGAAGCCGCGCCCCTCCTGGGAGGTTGGACTGTGGTGCAGGAAAGCCTCAAGTAGAGGAGGGTTGAGGCTTCAATCCAGCACTTTGCTCGGGTCACGGCCTCCTCCTGGCTCCCAGGACCCCACCATAGGCAGAGGCAGGCCTTCCTACACCCTACTCCCTGTGCCTCCAGGCTCGACTAGTCCCTAGCACTCGACGACTGAGTCTCTGAGATCACTTCACCGTGGTCTCCGCCTCACCCTTGGCGCTGGACCAGTGAGAGGAGAGGGCTGGGGCGCTCCGCTGAGCCACTCCTGCGCCCCCCTGGCCTTGTCTACCTCTTGCCCCCCGAAGGGTTAGTGTCGAGCTCACCCCAGCATCCTACAACCTCCTGGTGGCCTTGCCGCCCCCACAACCCCGAGGTATAAAGCCAGGTACACGAGGCAGGGGACGCACCAAGGATGGAGATGTTCCAGGTAAGACTGCAGGGCCCCTGGGCACCTTCCACCTCCTTCCAGGCAATCACTGGCATGAGAAGGGGCAGACCAGTGTGAGCTGTGGAAGGAGGCCTCTTTCTGGAGGAGCGTGACCCCCAGTAAGCTTCAGGTGGGGCAGTTCCTAAGGGTGGGGATCTGAAATTTTGGGGCATCTCAGGTCCTCTGGGCTGTGGGGTGGGCTCTGAAAGGCAGGTGTCCGGGTGGTGGGTCCTGAATAGGAGATGCCGGGAAGGGTCTCTGGGTCTTTGTGGGTGGTGTACCACGCGGGATGGGAAGGCCAGGACTCGGGGCTGCGGTCTCAGACCCGGGTGAAGCAGTGTCCTTGTCCCAGGGGCTGCTGCTGTTGCTGCTGCTGAGCATGGGCGGGACATGGGCATCCAAGGAGCCGCTTCGGCCACGGTGCCGCCCCATCAATGCCACCCTGGCTGTGGAGAAGGAGGGCTGCCCCGTGTGCATCACCGTCAACACCACCATCTGTGCCGGCTACTGCCCCACCATGGTGAGCTGCCCGGGGCCCGGGCAGGTGCTGCCACCTCAGGGCCAGACCCACAGAGGCAGCGGGGGAGGAAGGGTGGTCTGCCTCTCTGGTCAGGGGCTGCGGAATGGGGTGTGGGAGGGCAGGAACAGAGGGCTTCCCGGACCCCTGAGTCTGAGACCTGTGGGGGCAACTGGGGAGCTCAGCTGAGGCGCTGGCCCCAGGCACATGCTCATTCCCCCACTCACACGGCTTCCAGACCCGCGTGCTGCAGGGGGTCCTGCCGGCCCTGCCTCAGGTGGTGTGCAACTACCGCGATGTGCGCTTCGAGTCCATCCGGCTCCCTGGCTGCCCGCGCGGCGTGAACCCCGTGGTCTCCTACGCCGTGGCTCTCAGCTGTCAATGTGCACTCTGCCGCCGCAGCACCACTGACTGCGGGGGTCCCAAGGACCACCCCTTGACCTGTGATGACCCCCGCTTCCAGGACTCCTCTTCCTCAAAGGCCCCTCCCCCCAGCCTTCCAAGTCCATCCCGACTCCCGGGGCCCTCGGACACCCCGATCCTCCCACAATAAAGGCTTCTCAATCCGCACTCTGGAGGTGTCTTTCTGTGGGCTCAGGGCAATCACACACACACAGGATGGGTCCAGCTTCCAAACCATTTTATACAGAGTCACAGTACAGAACTCTGGTAGAAAACAGGGTGGACGGCTAGGCGCGGTGGCTCACGCCTGTAATTGTCGGAGGCTGTGGTGGGTGGATCAGCTGAGGTGAGGGGTTCCAGACCAGCCTGACCAACATGGAGAAACCCCATCTCTACTAAAAATAGAAAACATCGTCGAGCGTGGTGGTGCATGCCTATACTCCCAGGTACTTGGGAGGCTAAGGCAGGAGAATCTCTTGATCCTAGGAGGCGGAGGTTGCAGTGAGCCAAGATCCCGCCATTGCACTTCAGCCTGGGCAACAAAAACAAAGCTCCATCTCAAAAAGTAATAATAATAATAATAATAAAATAAAAATTAAAAACGTTCGTCCAGGCGCAGTGGCTCATGCCTGCAATCCCAGCACTTTGGGAGGCTGAGGCGGGTGCATCACCTGAGTTCAGGACTTTGAGACCAGCCTGGCCAACATGGTGAAACCCTGTCTCTACTAAAAAAAAAAAAAAATTAGCTGGGTGTGGTGGTGCGCGCCTGTAGTTCCAGCTACTCAGGAAGCTGAGGAAGGAGAATGACTTGAACCCCGGAAGCATAGGTGCAGTGAGCTGAGATCACGCCACTGCACTCCAGCCTGGGTGACAGGGTGAGACTCCGTCTCAAAAAAAATAAATAAATAAAATAAAATAAAAATAAAAATAGAAAATAGTCCACTACTATTACTCAATAGCAACAGATGGTAAAATACAGGCTCAGAGAAATTAATGATTTGTGCCTGGTCACACAGCCAACAAATGGCAGAGATGGGACTTCAACTCTGGGCAACTGCACTCTGCCATCCTTCCTGTAGAACTCTGAGGAACTGAGAGTCTTGCATCTTGGAGGATGTTCCAATCAATTTTTTTTTTTTTGAGACGGAGTCTCGCTCTGTTGTTGAGACTGGACTGCAGTGGCGCGATCTCGGCTCACTGCAAGATCCGCCTCCCAGGTTCCTGCCATTCTCCTGCCTCGGCCTCCCAAGTAGCTGGGACTACAGGCGCCCACCAGGACGCCTCGCTAATTTGTTGTATTTTTTAGTAGAGACGGGGTTTCCCCGTGTTAGCCAGGATAGTCTTGATCTCCTGACTTTGTGATCCGCCCGTCTCGGCTTCCCAAAGTGCTGGGATTACAGGCATGAACCACTGCGCCAGGCCCAATTTTGTTTGTTTTGTTTTGTTTTGTTGTTTTTGGAAAGGGTGGCATGGAGAAGACTGGGAAACAACCAGTGGTCACCAGAGCTGTAGCACCTCCTTCACCTCTGAGCTCTGCTGGGAACCCCAGGCTTCGGGGGCCACTGTGGAGGACACAGGTGGCCCCCTCTTTCCTGACATCGCAGGAGAGGGAGCAGCAACCGGTTAGGGGAAGAAAAGCACAGGAAGGTTATACAGCCAGGTGGGGAAGAGGCCAACTCCCTGAAAAAACCCCTTCCCAGAGTTCCTCTTCAAGCGCAGGGTACCCAAGAGTCAAGGCCCCGCCCCCTTTCCAGAGGCCCCTTTTCTACTTAGGTGATGGCTCCTGGCTGGGATGGGAGGTAGATGGACCGGGGGTGGGAGGGGTGGAGGAGGGGAAGGGAGAGGCAGTGGATGAAGGAGAATGGAAGAGATGACATCCCCCTTGGCCCATTCATCCCATTCAGATCCCCAAGCCCCCACCTGGACTGCCAGTGCCAACCTCAGAGGGTGGAAGAGGGAGCTCGGCTTAGAATGCTGAGGCCCTGCTCCCTGGGCCACACCAATCGTGTGGCCTTCCTTCTCCCCACGGAAGGCCAGACCATGGACACCTCCTGAGCTGGATGTCATCCCCCATCTCCACCCTCTTTTCTTTTTCTTTCTTTCTTTCTTTTTTTTTTTTTTTTGAGATGGAGTCTCGCTCTGTCGTGCAGGCTGGAGTGCAGTGGCGCGATCTCTGCTCACTGCAACCTCCCGCTCCCAGGTTCACTGCATTCTCCTGCAAGCGCCCACCACCAAGCCCGGATAACTTTTCGTATTTTTAGTAGAGACGGGGTTTCACCGTGTTAGCCAGGATGGTCTCGATCTCCTGACCTCATGATCCGCCTGCCTCGGCCTCCCAAAGTGGTGGGATTACAGGCGTGAGCCACCACGCCCAGCCGTCCACCCTGTTTTCTACCAGAGTTCTGTACTGTGACTCTGTATAAAATGGTTTGGAAGCTGGACCCATCCTGTGTGTGTGTGGTTGCCCTGAGCCCACAGAAAGACACCTCCAGAGTGCGGATTGAGAAGCCTTTATTGTGGGAGGATCGGGGTGTCCGAGGGCCCCGGGAGTCGGGATGGACTTGGAAGGCTGGGGGGAGGGGCCTTTGAGGAAGAGGAGTCCTGGAAGCGGGGGTCATCACAGGTCAAGGGGTGGTCCTTGGGACCCCCGCAGTCAGTGGTGCTGCGGCGGCAGAGTGCACATTGACAGCTGAGAGCCACGGCGTAGGAGACCACGGGGTTCACGCCGCGCGGGCAGCCAGGGAGCCGGATGGACTCGAAGCGCACATCGCGGTAGTTGCACACCACCTGAGGCAGGGCCGGCAGGACCCCCTGCAGCACGCGGGTCTGGAAGCCGTGTGAGTGGGAGAATGAGCATGTGCCTGGGGCCAGCGCCTCAGCTGAGCTCCCCAGCTGCCCCCACAGGTCTCAGACTCAGGGGTCCGGGAAGCCCTCTGTTCCTGCCCTCCCACACCCCATTCCGCAGCCCCTGACCAGAGAGGCAGACCACCCTTCCTCCCCCGCTGCCTCTGTGGGTCTGGCCCTGAGGTGGCAGCACCTGCCCCGGCCCCGGGCAGCTCACCATGGTGGGGCAGTAGCCGGCACAGATGGTGGTGTTGACGGTGATGCACACGGGGCAGCCCTCCTTCTCCACAGCCAGGGTGGCATTGATGGGGCGGCACCGTGGCCGAAGCGGCTCCTTGGATGCCCATGTCCCGCCCATGCTCAGCAGCAGCAACAGCAGCAGCCCCTGGGACAAGGACACTGCTTCACCCGGGTCTGAGACCGCAGCCCCGAGTCCTGGCCTTCCCATCCCACGTGGTACACCACCCACAAAGACCCAGAGACCCTTCCCGGCATCTCCTATTCAGGACCCACCACCCGGACACCTGCCTTTCAGAGCCCACCCCACAGCCCAGAGGACCTGAGATACCCCAACATTTCAGATCCCCACCTTCAGGAAATGCCCCACCTGAAGCTTACTGGGGGTCACGCTCCTCCAGAAAGAGGCCTCCTTCCACAGCTCACACTGGTCTGCCCCTTCTCATGCCAGTGATTGCCTGGAAGGAGGTGGAAGGTGCCCAGGGGCCCTGCAGTCTTACCTGGAACATCTCCATCCTTGGTGTGTCCCCTGCCTCGTGTACCTGGCTTTAAACCTCGGGGTTGTGGGGGCGGCAAGGCCACCAGGAGGTTGTAGGATGCTGGAGTGAGCTCGACACTAACCCTTCGGGGGGCAAGAGGTAGACAAGGCCAGGGGGGCGCAGGAGTGGCTCAGCGGAGCGCCCCAGCCCTCTCCTCTCACTGGTCCAGCGCCAAGGGTGAGGCGGAGACCACGGTGAAGTGACCTCAGAGACTCAGTCGTCGAGTGCTAGGGACTAGTCGAGCCTGGAGGCACAGGGAGTAGGGTGTAGGAAGGCCTGCCTCTGCCTATGGTGGGGTCCTGGGAGCCAGGAGGAGGCCGTGACCCGAGAAAGGTGCTGGACTGAAGCCTCAACCCTCCTCTACTTGAGGCTTTCCTGCACCACAGTCCAACCTCCCAGGAGGGGCGCGGCTTCGGACTTAGCTTCTGCCCAATGAGAGAGGGTCTCCCCGTGACTGTGCTGCCAGGGAAGCCACTTGACCCTGGTGCCCCCAAGGAGGGATTCAGCCCGAGCCCCACCTCTCCCTTAGGGACCTCCGCCCACTCTACCCTCAAGCCAGGATGCCCGGAGCTGTCCCCGGAAATGCGTGTGCTTCAGGTGATTTAACTGATTATTGAATAGGCCCGCAGGAGGTATGTCCTGCCCACGGGGCCGAAGCCTCGGAGGACATTATCTGGACTTAGTCCCTTCCCCGCGATGCCATCAAGCTGGACAATTTTAAGGTCTGTTTCTTTCCCAATGTAGGGTATAGGTTGGCACAGCAAAGAGGGCTAGAAACCTGACTTGCGCTCCCCACCCAGGGCTGAACTGTGCAGCATCTTGATCGCTTCTCATTGAACCTTGCTTATACTCCCCCTGTGATCGGTAGCTCATTATCTCAAAACAGAATATTCTAAGCCAACCCCTGCCTGCTCTCACCAAGTAAGATTTCTCATTTGAACCCCAGCTCCCAGATACTTAAAGGCCTTCTGTAGACCATGTCCTCAAGGTCCCCTGGCCATCTGCTTGCATGCTCCAGTTTCTCTCCACCCCCATCCACATCGTGAAATGTGCCCTCCCACTCCCCAGGATGAGCAAGGTGGTGTCCTCTGTGACTGAGCAGTCAGCAACTTAACACCAAAGGTCACCAATGATCAAATCCATGAGAGTTGATCTGAGGAGTTATGTATTAGGGCTACGAAAGAGTAAACACTCAGTAAATAGTGGCTATTATTATCATCATCATCATCATGATTACTCTCAATTTCCCCCTGGAGAACTCCTATTCAACCTTCAAAACCCCACGTGGTGGCACCCATCCTGCAGAGACTGAGCTCAAATTCAGAGAGTTGTGATTTTGTGATGATTTGATGAGTTCCCAAACTGGGGTCCGTAGAGCAGCTGGGCCAACCCTGAGGTCTCTCAGCATCCAGCTCTGTTCTTTTTCTGCCTGACCAGTTCCTGGGTATAAGTCTCAGGCCCGGCCAGTCCGGCTGAGGAGTGTGCAGACACAGGCAGTGCCAATTTGAATCCATCGCCAGTCCACACGGCCCTGGGCATCAGCGGTCAATGCCCGCACATAGGACTGCTTGGCCTTGCACTCAGACACCCAGTGCCCCCCGGTCCACACCCTGGCGGCAGCCCCCTCCACCTACCCCACGGCTACCTTCCTCAGAGTTATCGGCCTCGAAGCGGTGACAAAGAAGTGCTGGCAGAGGGAACTGCCGCCAGCTGCAGGCACCTCGCCCAACACCTCCACCTCGAGCACACCCAAGTCCACAGCGGTCCCGGGATCTGTCACCCAGACACTGACTGCATCACACACGGCCAGCCTCACCCTGATGACTCGCCGGTGAAGCATCGCTCGCCTCACGCTGGCTGCGGTTGGCCCGGGCGCCTGCTGACTCCCAAAAGGCCCCAGTCTGCAGCAGGAAGACCAGAGGGGGCCCGGCAGCGGCACCCCTAGACAGGACCACTCAGGGGAAAAGAAGGTCCTACTTTGGATCAGGAAAAGGTGACAGTGCCGAGGGTGGGGTTAGGACCCCATTGACACACTGGGGAGGAAGAAAATGAGGGGGATGCAGAGGGAGCCTGGGGGAGCGGGAGCATCTCTCAGAGCACCTCTCAGCACACGGAGACAGGGAAAAGGAGGCTGGGATTAGAGAAGAGGATAAACACTTCAGTGGGGTCAGAAGTTGGAAACCCCAGGGGAGGCCTGCCTGCCAGGATTATGGGGAAGCCCTTGCTCTAGAAGTTTGGGGGACTCCATATAAAGGACTTGCATCACACCCAACTTGTAGATTAATAATAAATATTCAACAACTACAGGTCAGGCACTATGGCTCACACCTGTAGTCCCAGCACTTTGGGAGGCTGAGGCGGGTGGATGACTTGAGGTCAGGAGTTCGAGAGCAGCCTGGCCAACACTGTGAAACAACATCTCTACTGATAATACCAAAATTAGCCAGGCCTGGTGCTGCACGCCTGTGATCTCAGCTACTCGGGAGGCTGAGGCAGGAGAATCGCTTGAACCCGGGAGGGCTGAGATTGCAGTGAGCCAAGATCGTGTCACTGCACTTCGGCCTGGACAACACAGTGAGACTCTCTCTCAAAAAAAATAAATAAATAAGGCCGGGCATGGTGGCTCACACTTGTAATCCCAGCATTGTCGGAGGCTGCAGTGGGTGGATCAGCTGAGGTGAGGAGTTCCAGACCAGCCTGACCAACATAGAGAAACCGCACCTCTACTAAAAATACAAAATATCCTCCGGCGTGGTGCTGCATGCTTATAATCCCAGCCACTTGGGAGGCTGAGGCAGGAGAATCGCTTAATCCCAGGAGGCGGAGTTTGAAGTGAGCCAAGATCGCGCCATTGCACTTCAGCTTGGGCAACAAAAACAAAGCTCCATCTTAAAAAAATAATAATAATAATCATAAAATAAAGATAAAAATTGTTCGGCCGGGGACAGTGGCTCTTGCCTGCAATCCCAGCACTATGGGACGCCGAGGCGGGTGCGTCACCTGAGGTCAGGACTTTGGGACTAGCCTGGCCAACGTGGCGAAACGCTGTGTCTACTAAAAAAATTACAAAAATTAGCTGGGTGTGGTGGTGCACACCTGTAGTCCCAGCTACTCGGGAGTCTGAGGCAGGTGAATTGCTTGAACCCGGGAAGCATAGGTGCAGTGAGCCAAGAGCGCGCCACTGCACTCCAGACTGGGTGACAGGGCGAGACTCCGTCTCAAAAAAAAAAAAAAAAAAAAAGATGAAATAAAAATAAAAATAGAAAATAGCCAACTACAATTACTCAATAGCAACAGAGGGTAAAATACAGGCTCAGAGAAATTAATGCTTTTTGCCTGGTCACATAGGCAGCAAATGACAGAGATGGGACTTCACCTCTGGGCAACTGCATTCTGCCATCCTTCCCGTAGAACTCTGAGGAACCGAGAGTCTTGCATCTTGGAGGATGTTCCAACCAATTTTTTTTTTTTTTTTTTGAGATGGAGTCTCACTCTCTCACCCAGACTGGACTGCAGTGGCTCGATCTCGGCTCACTGCAAGCTCTGCCTCCCGGGTTCAAGCCATTCTCCTGCCTTAGCCTCCCGAGTAGCTGGGACTGCAGGGGCCTGCCACCACGTCTGGCTAATTTATTGTATTTTTTAGTAGAGACGGGGTTTCCCCGTGTTAGCCAGGATGGTCTTGATCTGCTGACCTTGTGATCTGCCCACCTCGGCCTCCCAAAGTGCTGGGATAACAGGCATGAGCCACTGCGCCCGGCCCAATTTTTTTTTGTTTGTTTTGTTTTGTTGTTTTTTTTTTTTTTTTTGAAACAGAGTCTCACTCTGTCTGGCCAGGCTGGAGTACAGTGGC
This sequence comes from Homo sapiens, assembly GCF_000001405.40. Taxonomy (NCBI): domain Eukaryota; kingdom Metazoa; phylum Chordata; class Mammalia; order Primates; family Hominidae; genus Homo; species Homo sapiens. The sequence continues at coordinate 49,052,614 of NC_000019.10, forward strand.
ACAATCCCGGCTCACTGTAACGCCTGTCTCCTGGTTTCAAGCGATTCTCCTGCCTCAGCCTTCTGAGTAACTGGAATTAAAAGCACCTGCCACCGTGCCCAGCTAATTTTTGTATTTTTAGTAGAGATGCGGTTTCACGACATTGGCCAGACTGTTCTCAAACTCCCAACCTCCAGTGATACTCCTGCCCTGGCCTCCCAGAGTGCTGGGATTATAGGCCTGAGACACCACGCCTGGCCCCAAACAAATTGCTTTAAGACGAGGTCTCCCTATGTTTCCCCACTGCACTTGAACTCCTGGGCTCAAGCCATCCTCCTGCTGTGGCTCCTGAGTAGCTGGGACTACAGACTCAAGCCACCATGCCTGGCCACATTCCACAATTTAGAGAAAGTCCACAACCTGGAATCCTAGGGAGACCCTGATTCACCTCAAAACTGCCACTAAGGAGGTAAAACGCTGCCCCTCTGAGGCAGGCTTCAGTTTCCCTGTGTGTGAAATTGACCTGGCGCTGGGAGAGGCTGGTGGAGGCGCGGATTTTGCAGTTTCCCTACAACATTCTGGAAGCCTGTGGTTCTGGGAAAGGTTGGCGTGGAGAAGACTGGGAAACAACCAGTGGTCACCAGAGCTGTAGCAACTCTTCCACCTCGGAGCTCTGGGGCTGGGAACCCCAGGCTTCGGGGACCACTGTGGAGGACGCAGGTGGCCCCCTCTTTCCTGACATCTCAGGAGAGGGAGGGGTAACCGGCTAGGGGAAGAAAAGCACAGGAAGGTTATACAGCCAGATGGGGAAGGGGCCAAATCCCTGAACAACCCCCTCCCAGAGTTCCTCTTCAAGTGCAGGGTACCCAAGAGTCAAGGCCCCGCCCCCTTTCCAGAGGCCCCTTTTCTACTTAGGTGATGGCTCCTGGCTGGGATGGGAGGCAGATGGACGGAGGGGAGGGGGGAGGAGGGGAAGGGAGAGGCAGTGGATGAAGGAGAATGGAAGAGATGACATCCCCCTCGGCCCCTTCATCCCATTCAAGTCCCCAAGCCGCTCCCCCCCCACACCTGCACTGCCAGTGCCAACGTCAGAGGGAGGAAGACGGAGCTCGGCTTAGGAGGCTGAGGCCCTGCCCCCTGGGCCACACCAATCATGTGGCCTTCCTTCTCCCCACAGAAGGCCAGACCATGGACACCTCCTGAGCTGGATGTCGTCCCCCATCTTCACTCTCTTTTCTTTTTCTTTCTTTCCTTCTTTCTTTCTTTCTTTTTTTTTTTTTTTGAGATGGAGTCTCGCTCCGTCATGCAGGCTGGAGTGCAGTGGTGTGATCTCGGCTCACTGCAAGCTCCCCCTCCCAGGTTCACTCCATTCTCCTGCCACAGCCTCCCAAGTAGCTTGGACTGCAAGCGCCCACCACCAAGCCGGGATAAGTTTTCGTATTTTTAGTAGAGATGGGGTTTCACCGTGTTAGCCAGGATGGTCTCGATCTCCTGACCTCATGATCAGCCTGCCTCGGCCTCCCAAAGTGGTGGGATTACAGGCGTGAGCCACCGCGCCCCGCCGTCCACCCTGTTTTCTACCAGAGTTCTGATACTGTGACTTTGTATAAAATGGTTTGGAAGCTGGACCCACCCTGTGTGTGTGTGGTTGCCCTGAGCCCACAGAAAGACACCGCCAGAGTGCGGATTGAGAAGCCTTTATTGTGGGAGGATCGGGGTGTCTGAGGGCCCCGGGAGTCGGGATGGACTTGGAAGGCTGGGGGGAGGGGCCTTTGAGGAAGAGGAGGCCTGGAAGCGGGGGTCATCACAGGTCAAGGGGTGGTCCTTGGGACCCCCGCAGTCAGTGGTGCTGCGGCGGCAGAGTGCACATTGACAGCTGAGAGCCACGGCGTAGGAGACCACGGGGTTCACGCCGCGCGGGCAGCCAGGGAGCCGGATGGACTCGAAGCGCACATCGCGGTAGTTGCACACCACCTGAGGCAGGGCCGGCAGGACCCCCTGCAGCACGCGGGTCTGGAAGCCGTGTGAGTGGGAGAATGAGCATGTGCCTGGGGCCAGCGCCTCAGCTGAGCTCCCCAGCTGCCCCCACAGGTCTCAGACTCAGGGGTCCAGGAAGCCCTCTGTTCCTGCCCTCCCACACCCCATTCCGCAGCCCCTGACCAGAGAGGCAGACCACCCTTCCTCCCCCGCTGCCTCTGTGGGTCTGGCCCTGAGGTGGCAGCACCTGCCCGGGCCCCGGGCAGCTCACCATGGTGGGGCAGTAGCCGGCACAGATGGTGGTGTTGACGGTGATGCACACGGGGCAGCCCTCCTTCTCCACAGCCAGGGTGGCATTGATGGGGCGGCACCGTGGCCGAAGCATCTCCCTGGATGCCCATGTCCCGCCCATGCTCAGCAGCAGCAACAGCAGCAGCCCCTGGGACAAGGACACTGCTTCACCCGGGCCTGAGACCACAGCCCTGAGCCCTGGCCTTCCCATCCCCCAGGGTACACCACCCACAAAGACCCAGAGACCCTTCCCGGCATCTCCTATTCAGGACCCACCACCCGGACACCTGCCTTTCAGAGCCCACCCCACAGCCCGAGGGACCTGAGATGCCCCAACATTTCAGATCCCCACCCTCAGGAACTGCCCCACGTGAAGCTTATTGGGGGTCACGCTCCTCCAGAAAGAGGCGTCCTTCCACAGCTCACACTGGTCTGCCCCTTCTCATGCCAGTGATGGCCTGGAAGGAGGTGGAAGGTGCCCAGGGGCCCTGCAGTCTTACCTGGAACATCTCCATCCTTGGTGCGTCCCCTGCCTGGTGTACCTGGCTTTATACCTCGGGTTTGTGGGGGCGTCAAGGCCACCAGGAGGTTGTAGGATGCTGGAGTGAGCTGGACACTAACCCTTCGGGGGGCGAGAAGTAGACAAGGCCAGGGAGGCACAGGAGTGGCTCAGCGGAGCACCCCAGTCCTCTCCCCTCAGTGGTCTAGCGCCAAGGATGAGGCGGAGACCACGGTGAAGTGACCTCTGAGACTCAGTCGTCGAGTGCTAGGGACTAGTCGAGGCTGGAGGCACAGAGAGTAGGGTGTAGGAAGGCCTGCCTCTGCCTATGGTGGGGTCTTGGGAACCAGGAGGAGGCCGTGACCCGAGAAAGGTGCTGGACTGAAGCCTCAACCCTCCTCTACTTGAGCCATTCCTGCACCACAGTCCAACCTAACAGGAGGGGCGCGGCTTCGGACTTAGCTTCTGCCCAGTGAGAGAGGGTCTCCCCGTGACTGTGCTGCCAGGGAAGCCACTTGACCCAGATGCCCCCCAACGAGGGATTCAGCCCGAGCCCCACCTCTCCCTTAGGAACCTCCGCCCACCCTACCCTCAAGCCAGGATGCCCGGAGCGGTCCCCGGAAATGCGTGTGCTTCAGGTGATTTAACTGATTATTGAATAGGCCCGCAGGAGGTGTGTCCTGCCCGCGGGGCCGCAGCCTCGGAGGACATTGTCTGGACTTAGTCCCTTCCCCGCGATCCAGCCGCAGCTGAGTGGGCGTGTCTGGGCTAGTCCTGTCCCCACACTGCGGATAGACTTAATGAGTGCGAGCCCACCTAGGTCCGACACCGCGTAGTGAGCGGCTGCCCAGAGCTCTGCTCCGCCCCCACGCCAGGGGGCGTGTCTGGGGTGGGGCTGGCCCGGCAGGCTCCCACTAGCCCCGGCTTACAGCGGCCTGAGCGGGAGTTCTCGGTGCTGTAGGCTTTCGGGACGCTGTGTATGCCCGGCAGGGGCTTCCAGTGGGGGCCACCCCAAGTCGCCTCCAGCGGGCGGAAGCGGTCGAGCCGGCGGAGCGGGTGCGGCGAGGAGCTGTAGGTTTCCTGAGCCGGAGACATGGCCCGCCGTGCGGCGCTCGAGGCGGCCTGGAAGAGCAGAGACAGGGCTGCCGCTGCGGGTCGTGACTCCAGAGTTGGGGCGTCTCTTCTAAGCTCCAGTAGGTCAGGTAGTCCTTGCGGGGGTATCCGGACGGCTCCGTCCTGTGGGAGCAGGGCGGGATGGTGAGGATACAGCTGGATCCTTGGGGACGAGTTTCAGACCTCGGGATCTAAGGAGTCTGCACATTCAAACTCCTGCATTTCCAGGCGAGCACCCCTTAGGAAGGACGCGACCGGGCACGCGTTGCCTGCGTTCCTGGGTCCTCGAGGTACTTAACGTCCTGGAAGCTGAGCTTTCGCATCCTAGGGAAGGAAACGGGGGCTTTCGCTTCCTTGCGAAGGAGCATGTGGGGGCTCAAGTACCGAAGGAGGCCCTGCCCTCAGATCCAGAATCCCCTCGAGCCGCTGTGCAGGCTTCCTGTCCCTACCGCGGTTCCTGGAGGTGACACTAAGGACTCCTGGGTGCTAAAAGAGGGAGGGGCTGGGGTCTGAACTGTGGTTGTTGCTGCTATAGGAGTCGAGACTGAGACCACCGGTCAGGGAATGGGAGCCAGCCCAGGGGCTCGGCGTGCACCGGCCATGGCGGGGGCTGTGCAGGAGGCGGTGCCGAGCGAGAGCCCGGCTTACTTGGGATAGAACCGAAAGTCCCGCGCCGAGGTGGTCAGATAGAGCTGGCGGCGGTTCAGGACGCCCCGGTCGGATACTGTGAAGGGTGGGCCAGACAGCGCGGGGTTCTTCGTGCAGGCGATTAGAGCCTGAGCAAGATTGGGGGAGGAGGCATACCCAAGACATAGATTTCATACCCCATCCCAAGTCCTGGGTCCCGAGTTCAGAATCCCTCTCCTTCGGCCTCGACAGCCATGACGGCCACGGCCCTCACACCCCGCCCCAGGGTCAGAGCCCTTCCTGCCACCCACGCCAGGGAACTTCAGCTTCCTTTCTCATACCCGAACCCTTCCCAGCCTCACCTCCCTAAATCCAAGCCCTCCTGCTGGTCAAGGAACTCAAATGCAGGCCCCCAGCCACCACAAAATCCCCCTGGTTCTGCCCCCGGTCTCAAGCCTTCTTGGTGTGGCCACTGGAGCTGAGCTGCATCTTGGGCAACAACTCCAGGTTACCTCTCCTAACTCCCACCCTACCACGTCTCAGAATATTCTAGTCTCCTCCCCACCCACAGCCCGCCGTCTAGCTCCGCAGCAGCTTAGGAGCCCTGAAGGCGAGTTTCCAGCCCCTGGTCCTTCTGGCCTGGCGTGGATGCCCAGCCCTTCCTCCCGCTCCTCTAACCTCCCGATCCCGCCCCAGATCCTTTAGCCACGCCCCAAAGCTGTGATTTCCTTCTGGCCCCGCCCCAGGCTCCCGGAGCTCCGCTGGTCTCGCCAGCGCCGGCTTCCACCCAGACACCTGGGAAGGCCCCCCGCGGTGGTGGTCCGAGAGTTGTGAGGGGCTGGGGCCCGACGTATTTGGGGGCGCGCGCGTCCGGGCCGGGAGAGCAAGTGTACTGCGCCCTCGTCTCGCTGCTCTGGTACTTTGTGGTCAGTAGGAGGGTTCAGCTGCGGTGTCTGAGCTGCGGAAAGGCAACCCAGAGACTCATGTGAAGGAGCAGGGGACTCAAATGCAGTCCCCCGCAGACTCCGGCGCTCCCCAAATCTTACCTTTTCTCCTGAATCCTTGATCCCCACAGTCCGCGTGGGGTCTGCAGGCTCTGGGGCTCTGGGCTGGGCGCAGGGCCCGCCATGGGTCTTGGGCACGTAGGCCGAGCCAGAGGTTGTCTCCCATCTGCTGAGGACCTCGTCGAAAGCCCAGATGCGAGAATCCTGCTTTGCAGTCGGAGGTAGAGGGTCCGCGACCGTGGACTGGAGAGAAGGCGCCGCACATCAGCTAGAAAGACTCAGGAGTCCCTATCACCCCCCACCCCAAACTCTGACCTCTTCCAGTCGGCCCCCAGCCCTTTCCTCTGCAGTCCCTGGCATCCAAATTCCCTGGCGCCTCCTCTCTCAGACCCAGGACTCCAGGACCCTCCTCCTTCAGAGAGGAGTCCAAGCTCCCAATCCCCTTTTCTCAGCCCCCATCTTTCTGGGTCCCCAGGCCCCGCAGGGCTTCAGCCTAGGGTCTGCCCACCTGCACCGTGGGCGGGGGGAAGGGTACGGGTGGGATAATGCCATGGGTAACGTAGCTGCTGGTGAGATGCCAGTTGGGCCAGGATTCAGGCATCTCGGTTGCAGAGATGAAAGACCACGGGGGGCCACAGCGCACAGCCAGGGTGCCACTGGCCATGGTTCCACCCCCTCCCTGTAGCCAAGCAGGAGCTGGTTTGTTGCTGTTGCCCCAGGTGACAGAACCCGCCCACCCCAATCCAGCCAATGAAAGGCCTGCAGGCACATGGATGGATGGAGTGATTAAGAGACCCAGAGACAGAGAGACAGGGACTCCAAGAGGGGCACAGAGAAACACGGAGTGGGGGATGGAGAGTCAGAAAGAGGCGGACAGAAGGGGATGGAGAAGTTCAGGATTTCAGAGACCCAGGGGGTGGGGGAGACAGAGACACAGAAAGAAGGACAGAGACCTGGGGGTGTCAGAGATACAGACAGAGACCCCTGCACTGCCCCCAGCACCTCAGGACATCCATGAGAAACACCCCCCTTTGCTCCAGGGTCCAGAACCTCCTGGCTGCTTCCTCCCTCTGCCAGGCCTGCCCACCTCGGGGTAACGATTTCCAGATGTCCCCGGGGCTCCCCAACCCTTCCCGCACGTGCTGAAGGAGTCAGCGCTGGTGTCAGCTGTCCTGCCTGCCTTTGATTTGGTTGAAAACTTCCACCTGGGTAGGCTGGGTGGGGAAAGAGAAAGGGATCTAGAGAGAAGTGCACCGGACCATAGCGAAAAAGATGGGCTTTGATGAGTGAGGAATAAATACAACAAGAAAGGGGAGAGACAGGGAGGAAGAAAGAGACCACGATGGAAAGGGAGCTATTAGTACTACCCAGAGGCGACAGACACTGGAAGTTAGAGACAGAGATGAAGGTGGCAAAAACGACCAAAGTCACAGATGGAAAACAAGGAGACGTAGAAACTGAGGCAGCCACGCCCCACCCTGCCCAGGGGCCTGGTCTGTATAGATGCGGGGAGAAGTTGCCTATGTCCTTTGCTCAAAGCTGGACCTGAGAGAGAGAGAGAGAGTTGGTGGGGCGATGGGTAACATGTGAAGGGCTATTGTGAAGGCCTGTGGTCTGTCCCTGGCTTCCCTTGTCACTTCTTCACTATAAACAGCTTTTGATCACCGGGCGCAGTGGCTCATGCCCGTAATCCCAGCACTTTGGGAGGCCGAGGCATGCGGATCACTTGAGGTCAGGAGTTTGAGACCAGCCCGGCCAACATGGCGAAACCCTGTCTCTACCAAAAAATACAAAAAGTAGCCGGGCGTGGTGGCGCACACCTGTAATCCCAACTAAGGCAGAAGAATCACTTCAACCCGGGAGGTGAAGGCTGCAGTGAGCTCAGATCACACCACTGCACTCCAGCCTGGGTGACAGAGCGAGACTCCATCTCAAAAAAAAAAAAAAAAAAAAAAAAAAAAAAAAAGCTTTTGGTCAAGGCCTCTGACTGCTCAACCCCCATTATCTCATCCTACCAGCCCATTCTGCAGACAAGGAAAACTGAGGCTACTTTCTGCAGCCATGCCCAGGATCCCACTTACCCCTCCTCCCCCATTCAGGCTTCTGGGGCCTTTCTGTTGGATTTTGCTGGCCCTACTCAACAGCTCTCAATGGACAGTGACCCCCTGATCCTAGCCAGGGGGCCGATGAGTTAGTCAGAAACTCATGCCCCACTCAAGCTGGACAAAATTTTTTTCTTTTTTTTGAAATGGAGTTTCGCTCTTTTTGCCAAGGCTGGAGTGCAATGGTACAGTCTTGGCTTACTGCAACCTCTGCCTCCTGAGTTCAAGCAATTCTCCTACCTCACCCTTCAGAGTAGCTTGGATTACAGGCATCCGCCACCACGACCAGCTAATTTCTTTATATAATTTTAGTAGAGTCGGGTTTTCACCATGTTGGCCAGGCTAGTCTCGAACTCCTGACCTCAGGTGATTCACCCACCTCGGCCTCCCAAAGTGCTGGGATTACAGGAATGAGCCATCGCACCTGGCCATCAAGCTGGAAAATTTTAAGGTCTGTTTCTTTCCCAATGTAGAGTAAAGGTTGGGACAGGGAAGAGGGCTAGAAACCTGACTTCAGCTCCCTGCCGAGGGCTGAACTCTCCAGCATCCTGATCACTTCTCATTCAACCTTGCTTGTACTCCTCTGTGATCGGTAGCTTATTACCTCAAAACAGAATATTCTAAGTCAACCTTTGCCCCCTCTTACCAAGTAAGATTTCCCATTTGAACCCCATCTCCCAGATACTTAAAGGCCTTCTGTGGGCCACGTTCTCAAGGTCCCCTGGCCATCTGCTTGCCTGTTCTAGTTTCTCTCCTCCTCCACCCACATCGTGAAATGTCCCCTCCCACTCCCCAGCAAGGTGGTGTCCTCTGAGACTGAGTAGTCAGCAACTTAACACCAAGGGCCACCAATGATCAAATCCATGAGAGTTGATCTGAGGAGTTATGTATTAGGGATAAGAAACAGTAAACACTCAGTAAATAGTGGCTATTATTATTATATCATCATCATTATTACCCTCAAGTTGCTCCAGGAGAACTCCTATTCAACCTCCAAAACCCCATGTGGTTTCACCCATCCTGCAGAGATTGAGCTCAAAATCAGAGAATTGTGATTTTGTGATTATTTGATGAGTTCCCAAACTGGGGTCCTTAGATCAGCTGGGCCATCCCTGAGGTCTCTCAGCATCCAGCTCTGTTATTTTCCTGGGCATGGGTCTCAGGCCCGGCCAGTCCGGCTGAGGAGTGTGCAGACGCAGGCAGTGTCAATTCGAATCCATCGCCAGCCCACACGGCCCTGGGCATCAGCGGTCAATGCCCGCACATAGGACTGCTTGGCCTTGCACTCAGATACCCAGTGCCTCCTGTCCACTCCCCGGCAGCCCCCTCCACCTGCCCCCGGGCCACCTTCCTCAGCGTTATCAGCCTTGCAGCGGGTTTCAAAGAAGTACTGGCGGAGGGGACTGCCGCCAGCTGCAGGCACCTCGCCCAACACCTCCACCTCGCGCCCACGCAAGTCCACAGCGGTCCGGCGGTCTGTCACCCAGCCACTGACTGCATCGCACACAGCCAGCTCACCCCGACGACTCGCTGGTGCAGTTTCGCTCACCCCACGCCGGCTGCGGTTGGCCGGGGCACCTGCTGACTCCCGAAAGGCCCCAGCCTCCAGCAGGAAGAGCAGAGGGGGCCCAGCAGGGGCACCCCTAGACAGGACTACTCGGGGGGAGAGAAGGTCCCACTCAGGGGCCAGAAAAGGGGGCAATGTTGAGGGTGGGGGTTGGGACTCAATTGGCACACTGGGGAGGAGGAAAAGGAGGAGGATGGGGAGGGAGCATGAGGGGAGAGGGAGCATCTCTCGGAGCACCTGGAGACAGAAAGAGGGAGGCTGGGATTAGAGAAGGGGGTAAAAACTTCAGTGGGGAAAGAAGTTGGGAACCCCAGGGGAGGCTTGCCTGCCAGGATTGTGGGGAAGCCCTTGTTCTAGAAGTTTGGGGGACCCTATATCTAGGGCTTGCGTAATGCGCAACTTGTAGATTAATAATAAATATTCAACTACTACAGGCCAGGCACTGTGCCCCACACCTCTAATCCCAGCACTCTGGGAGGCTGAGGCAGGTGGATGACTTGAGGTCAGGAGTTCCAGAGCAGCCTGGCCAACATGGTGAAACCTCATCTCTACCAAAAATACCAAAATTAACCGGGCATAGTGCTGCACGCCTGTAATCCCAGCTACTCAGTAGGCTGAGGCAGGAGAATCACTTGAACCCAGGAGGCCGAGGTTGCAGTGAGCAGAGAGTGCACCACTCCCCTGCCACCTGGGCGACAAGAGTGAGACTCTGTCTCAAAAGTAAAAATAAGGCCAGGCATGGTGGCTCACACCTGTAATCCCGGCACTTTGGGAGGCCGAGATGGGCGGCTCACCTGAGGTGAGGAGTTCCAGACCAGCTTGGTCAACATGGTGAAACCCCTTCTCTACTAAAAATACAGAATTACCCGGGTGTGGTGGCGCATGTCTGTAATCCCAGTTACTTGGGAGGCTGAGGCAGGGCAATCACTTGAACCCAGGAGGTGGAGGTTGTGGTGGGCTGAGATTGAACCATTGCACTCCAGCCTGGGCAACAAGAGCGAAACTCCGTCTTAAAAAACAATAATAATAATAAAATAAAAATAAAAATAATTCAACTACTATTACTTAACAGTAACAGATGTTGAAATACAGGCTCAGAGAAGTTAATGATTTGTGCCCGGTCACACAGCCAGCAAATGGCAGAGATGGGACTTCACCTCTGGGCAACTGCACTCTGCCGTCCTTCCTGTGCAACTCTGAGGAACCGACAGTCTTGCATCTTGGAGGATGTTCCAAACAATTTTTTTTTTTTGAGACAGAATCTCACTCTGTTGGCCAGGCTGGAGTACAGTGGCACAATCCTGGCTCACTGCAATGTCTGCCTCCTGGGTTCAAGTGATTCTCCTGCCTCAGCCTTCTGAGTAGGTGGGATTACAAGCACCTGCCACTGTGCCCAGCTAATTTTTGTATTTTTAATAGAGATGGGGTTTCACCATGTTGGCCAGACTGGTCTTGAACTCCCAACCTCAAGCAATAGTCGTGTCCTGGCCTCCCAAAGTGCTGGGATTACAAGCATAAGCCACCATGCCTGGTCCCAAACAAAATTTTTTTTTTTTTTTTTTTGAGATGGAATCTCCCTCTGTCGCCCAGGCTGGAGTGCAGTGGCACGATCTTGGCTCACTGCAAGCTCCGCCTCCCAAGTTCATGGCATTCTCCTGCCTCAGCCTCCTGAGTAGCTGGGACTACAGACTCAAGCCACCACGCCTGGCCACATTCCACAATTTAGAGAAAGGTCACAACCTGGAATCCTAGGGAGACCCCAGTTCACCTCAAAACTGCCACTAAGGAGGTAAAACGCTGCCCCTCTGAGGCAGGCTTCAGTTTCCCTGTGTGTGAAATTGACCTGGCGCTGGGAGAGGCTGGTGGAGGCGCGGATTTTGCAGTTTCCCTACAACATTCTGGAAGCCTGTGGTTCTGGGAAAGGGTGGCGTGGAGAAGACTGGGAAACAGTCAGTAGTTACCAGACCTGTCAGCACCTCCTCCGCCTCGGAGCTCTGGGGCTGGGAGTCCCCAGGCTTCGGGGGGCCCCTGTGGAGGACACAGGTGGCCCCCTCCTTCCTGACATCTCAGGAGAGGGAGGGGGCAACCACCTAGGGGAAGAAAAGAATAGACAGGTTATAGAGGCAGGTGGGGAAGGGGCCAAATCCCTGAACAACCCCTTCCCAGAGTTCCTCTTCAAGTGCAGGGTACCCAAGAGTCAAGGCCCCGCCCCCTTTCCAGAGGCCCCTTTTCTACCCAGGTGATGGCTCCTGGCTGGGATGGGAAGCAGATGGAGGGAGGGGAAGGGAGAATAGGGGAAGGGAGAGGCAGTGGATGAAGGAGGCTGGAAGAGATTACATCCCCCTCGGCCCATTCATCTCCCAGATGGGGCGGAACTGGCCTGGACACCCGGGTCCCTGAGGGCCCACACTCAAGAAGCCCTGGTTCCCCAAGCTGCTTCCTGGAATGTTCCCTCCTCACAGGACAGGCCAGGGCCCGCCCAAGACTTCTGCACATACCTGGAGTGGCTGCCTGCCCTGGCTCCTCGGTACAGGAAAGGGGAAGGGTGGAGAGTGAAAGGAGCCCAGGCTGACCCAACCAGGACCGCCTTCTCCCTCAGACCGAGTAGTGCAGACCCCAGGGCCTCCACCTTCAGACCCAGGAGTTCAGATCCCCAGCGCCCTCCTCCCTCAGACCCAGGAGTAGTCCAGGCCCCCAGCGCCCTCCTCTCTCAGACCCAGAAGTCCAGGCCCCCAGCACCCTTCTCCCTCAGACCCAGGAGGAGTCCAGGCCCAGGCCCCCAGCACCCTTCTCCCTCAGACCCTGGAGTCCAGGTCCCCAGCGCCCTCCTCCTTCAGACCCAGGAGTCCATGCCCCCAGCGCCCTTCTCCCTCAGACCCAGGAATCCAGGCCCCCAGTGCCCTCCTCTCTCAGACCCAGGAGTTCTGGAATTCAGGCCCCTCCTTCTCGGATACTAAGAAATGCAGACTCCGGGTTCCTCATCCTCCAGATTTGGGTTGGGGGTTCCGGACTCCGAGACCCCTCAGGGGAAACCGGCTGCATATCTGGGACACTTCCCTCTTGCCTCAGTTTCCTCCGCCAAGCCCCGCCCCGGTCGGCCCCGCCCCCGTCCCTCCCCACCCGAGGGCAGGGCGACCAGGACGCCGGAATCCCGAGGGAGGAGGAGTGGAGATCTTACCTGGGGCGCCCTCTTCGGCTCCCGCGGCTGCCCTCCGCCCGGCAGCAGCTCCTCCTCCTGCTCGCTGGCTGCAGGGACGCTCGCTGGCCCGCCGGGTGCTAGCTGCTCACGCTCCGCAGGGCCCGGGTCGGGGGCGGGGGCGGGGCGGCGCCGGGCGGCAGAGGAGGGGCCGGGGGATCCTGCCTTGCACTCGCGTGCCGGGACCTTGGAAGCCAGGCCTGGCTCGTTCAACGCGGCCGCCTTGGTCACAGGAGTCCCAGTTTCCAGCTGCCTCCTCCTTTGGACCTAGCAGTCCAGGCCCCCAGCCCCTCCTCCCTTCAGACCCAGGAGTCCAGGCATCCGGCCCCTCCTCCCTCAGACCCAGGACTTGCGACCCCAGCCACCTCTCCCCCCAGCCCCAGGCGCCTGAGTACTAAGCCCACAGTTCCCCCCACCACCTCCCAACCCCGCCCCGTCTCAGACTCAGGAGTCCAGCCCCCAGCCTCCTCCTCCATTAGCCCCAGGAGTCTGGGCCTGAGATTCCTTTGCCGTCTTTTGCCAATTGCGTGTCAATCCCGGGGCAGATTCCCACCCTCTGCTCTCCTCCCCACTTCCCAGGAGCTCCACGCCAGACATTAACCAGCTGGGCTTGGGCAGTGATAAGGCCCCAGGCCCGGGGAGACAGTGGATGTGGGGGCTCCCGCATACTCCTCTCCCCTGGAATTTCCTGGCTGGGGACCGGGGAGAAGGTCTTGTCCTGAGCTCAGATAAGAGACGTGCAAGGTATCATAGGACCAGAGATAGACAGATGTGTCTTAAGAACAATCAGCTACCTTGAGAAATGGTGCGCGGTGACATGAAGGGAGAGATAGGGAGAAGACATGGAAAAGTGGGGAGAGACCAAAAGAAAGAGGGGGACCGAGACTAGAGAGAGTGGGGGAGGGCAGGAGCCCAGAGAGAAGACAGAGGCCCAGAGAGCGTGAGGGCAGACCCCCCCACCCCCCCGAGAAGGGGACAGAGCCCCTGAGAGACCCTGAGAAAGACAGGGATGGGACCGGAGCCGGAGTGTCTCAGGACAGTCATGAGGGCAGCGGGGCTCCTCACCCCACCACACCTCTACCCTGAGACTCCGCTCCCCTCCGCCTGCGCTATTTTCAGAAGGAAAACTGACACCTGCCTCGAGGGTCATCCCACACCCCCTCAGCCTAAATATAGCATGGCAAGGTGGCAGGAGGGTGTCCCCGGTTAGGGTGTTTCCTGCTCCTCACCATCCCAGCCAAGGCAACACACAAGGCCGCTCCAGTTATTTATTGGGGGTGGGGGGAAGGGCCACTTCCCAGGCTTTGGGTGTGCATTCAGGTCACCTCTCCGGCTTCTCCACCCTTCCCCTGTTCCTAAACAGCCAATACATCCTGCCGCATAGCAGGAGGACTCTAGCTTCTAGCTTCTAGCTTCTAGTCCTGGAGGGGATAGTAGGGATGAGGTTTCCAAACAGAGTGACTGGGAAACAGTCTCTGTCCCCCTATCTCCAGGTCTCTGTTCCCCTCCCTCTGGATTTCTGTCTCCCTCCAACTCTGGGTCTGTCCTTCTCTCTCTGAGTCTCTGTCCCCCTCTCTCTCTGGGTCTCTGTCCCTCTCTCTCTGGGTCTCTGTCCCCCTCTCTCTCTGGGTCTCTGTCCCCTTCTGTCTGTGGGTCTCTGTCCCTCTCTCTCTGGGTCTCTGTCCCCCTCTCTCTCTGGGTCTCTGTCCCCTTCACTCTCTGGGTCTCTGTCTCTCTCTCTGTCTCTGGATCTCTGTCCCCCCTCTCTCTGGGTCTCTGTTCCCCCCCAGGTCTCTGTCCCCCCTTCTCTCTGGGTCTCTGTCCCCCTCTTTCTAGGTCCCAGTTTTCTTCTCTCTGGATATCTGTCCACCCTCTCTGGGTCCCAGTCTCCTTCTTGCTGAGCCTCTTGCATCCTCTCTCTTGGGGTCACTGTCTGCTTCTCTTTCCCCTCGTGGGGGTCTCTGTTCCCGCTCCCGGCCATCTGCCCTCTTCCCCCTTGCCCTTGGATTTCTCTCTTTTGCTCTGTGCCTCTCCTCCCTCCTGGCCTCAGTTCCTGTCTGTGTCTCCTCTTTAGGTCTCTGTGCTGGAGTCCAACCTGTCTCTTGTCACTGTGAGGTCCGTCTCCATTCTGTCCCTAAATCTGGCTTTCTCTCCATTTCAGAGAGAAGTGACTACCTAAAGCTTCTATTAATTTCAACCATTATCAAACTCCTCTCACCATCTGTACCTTCTCTTTAGCTGTATGAAAAGGTGCTCAGATGAAACCAGGGGTTTCCACACTGAATTCCTGAGCTGCATTTTGAGTTGCCAAGAGGAGGCGTGTTCTCCTCCAACCAGTTCCCTTCCCATGCTTCCCACTGGTGTCTCTAAGGAAGATTTATTTGACCCAAAAAAGGGGTGGGTATGGCTAAAAATAACAACAACAGTCTGTAAACCACTGGATAGGTTTTAATAAATTAACCCAAGTAAAGTACTTTGATACCAAAGGAAGCCCTATATGTGTTAGTGATTTCAGCCTTCTTCCTCTAAATGCCCTTTGAGTTCTGAAAGATTTCTGAAAATGTTCGGCCTTGTGACCTTGGGTAACACCTGCTGCTCTGAGCCTCAGTTTCCCCGTCTGTAAGAAATGAGGCTACGGGACTCAGGAGGACCCGTGTGTCCCAGCAGGCTGATGGGGACATGTGAAGCAGACAGACAGCCTGCCTGGCCCCTGGGGACAAGCTGTGAGACCTTGGGAAGCCACTCCCCTGCTCTGAGACTCAGGTTTCTCCCCTGGAAAACAGAGTGAGGCCCCCAGCCTGTCTGACAGCCTTCCTGAGCTGCAGGGAGGGTAGGTGACAGGCCTGGTTCAGGATTGTTCTGTGATTCTATGGAATAGACTGTACATCACTCTTGGGTTCAGGGGCACCAACTTTTTCTGGCTTTTTCTTTTCTTTTCTTTTTTTTTTTGAGACAGAGTGTTGCTCTGCTGCCCAGGCTGGAGTGCAGTGGCGCAATCTCGGCTCACTGCAAGCTCCGCCTCCCAGGTTCATGCCATTCTCCTGCCTCAGCCTCCCGAGTAGCTGGGACTACAGGTGCCCGCCACCGCACCCGGCTAATTTTTTTGTATTTTTAGTAGAGACGGGGTTTCACCGTGTTAGCCAGGATGGTCTGGATCTCCTGACCTCGTAATTTGCCCACCTCGGCCTCCCAAAGTGCTGGGGTTACAGGCATGAGCCACCGCGCCCGGCCTTTTCTGCCTTTTTCTATTGTGGTTCTCTTTCCCTGAGACTCTGTTGTTCTGTCTCCAACTCTGGGTGTCTGACGCTGCCCTCTGGGTCTCTGTCCCTCCCTCCCCCACTGGCTCTTTTTGTTTGTTTGTTGAGACGGGGGCTCCCTCTGTTGCCCAGGCTGGAGTGCAGTGGTGCAATCATGGCTCAATGCAGCCTCTACCTCTCAGGGTCAAGGGATCTTTCTGCCTCAGCTTCCTGAGTAGCTGGGATCACAGGCATGTGCCACCACACTCAGCTAATTTTTGTATTTTTTGTAGAGATGGGGTCTCACCATGTTGCCCAGGCTGGTCTTGAACTCCTGGCCTCAATCAATCCCCCTTCCTCGGTCTCCCAGAGTGCTGAGATTACAGGCATGGGCCACTTCGCCCGGCTTCTATCCCCTGCTCTTGGTCTCTGTCTCCCCACTCTGGATTTCTGTTCCTCTCTTCTGCGTCTCTGCCATACCCCACCCTCCAGGTCATTGTCTCCCTCTCCCTGAGTCTCTGTTTCTCTCCCTTTGGGTCTCTGTCTCTCTGGGTTTCCACCTCTTCCTTTTTCTGGGTCTCTTTCTCTATCCTTTTGGCTCTGTCCCTCTATCATGTCTGGACAGAGTACAGTTTTCTCCCCCTCTCCCCTTTCCCTTGTGGCTCTGACCTCCATGTCTGAGCATAAAACTGTAGGGGAGAATGGGAGTGAACAGCACAATGAAGTGGATGTGGGGTAAACAGGAGGAGCATCCACCTCTTCCTAATTTACCCAGTCGCCTCTGGATGAACACCCAATCCCATGGATACAGAATCCAGTCCCGCCCCCTACAGCGAGCTGGGGAGCCAGCTCGGCACACCTCCCAGAGCCCTCGCCACTGCATGCTCCCAGATACATGATGCTTCCCCACTGCTATTTCCTTTGGGTCCTGGTGCTACCACTAAATGCAAAACAGCCCGATGTGGCCCTATGGAACTCGTTCGCACAGTCCAACTCAACCCAACTTCCTGTAGGACTCACATAGTGACACAACTCAATGGAACTCAATTCAGCATGGCCCTATGAGACTCAAACAGTGGCATGACCCAACTGAACTGGCCTTACAAGGCTCATATGGTTGTACAATTCAACACAACTCAACTCGCTGTGGCCACGAAAAATGTCCAGCCACACACCTCTACACAGTTAAGCCCAACAGAACCCTACAAGATTCATTTGGTCATACAAACTTAACCCAATGTGACCTAGAAAGCTCAAATTCTACCACTGGACTCTTCACATTTCTACATGACTCGCAAGTTCACAGAACCTAAAATAACATGCCCCTGGAAGAATCACAGAGCTACACAATTTCCACCATGTCTCAACGAAACTTAACACCACACACATTCGATCTCAACAATGCCATGGGGGACCATCTAACTTGACCCAACATGGCCCTAGGGGACCCACCAAACCACAGAATCCTACACAATGCAGCTGGACCACACTATCCCAGACTCACAACCCAACCAAACCCAACACTGACCTAGGAAACTCACAAAATGATACGACCAAACCTATCTCAACACTACCCCAAAAGGCTCCATGAGCTTTGCACAACTCAGAGTAATATGAACCAATTGAGTCTTCATTAACACAACACAACCCATTGCCATTCGCTGCTGCTTCAGGAGGTACCCACAGGAGCTACCAAACCACACAACCCAAGACCCAACAAGACTCAGTGTTTCCCCACTCGTTACGACTTAACCTAGCTCTTCCTAAACCCAATCCCCTCCCCCCAGCCTTGCCCTCCACCCTGCCCTCCCTCCCTCCCTCTAGGGAGGTGTGAGGTCCTGCAGACCTCAACTGTTCCTCACACTTCGGTGACCAGGTGTTTCCCTGGGGGTGCCCAGAGTGGAGGTGGTAGCTCAGGTACCTCCCCGTCCACCAGCCCCCCATTGGCCTTGCCCTCCAGTGGGCCACAAGGCTGCATGTCCACATGGCTGAACATCCCAGCCTCTTCGCCCTCTGTCTCCCGGTGATAAAAGTAGCTGAAATTGGAGACAATGACGGGCACTGGCAGGGAAATAGTCAGCACGCCCGCAATGGCACACAGAGAGCCCACTATCTTGCCACCCACAGTGACGGGTGCCATGTCTCCATAGCCAACTGTAGTCATGGTGACTACCGCCCACCAGAAGGACTCAGGGATGCTAGTGAAATGGGAGTCCACCCGGTCAACTTCGGCAAAGTAGACGGCGCTGGAAAAGAGGACCACACCGATGAAGAGGAAAAAGATGAGGAGGCCCAGCTCACGCATGGAGGCCCGAAGCGTCTGGCCCAAGATTTGCAGGCCCTTTGAGTGCCGGGACAGCTTGAAGATGCGGAAGACACGCACCAATCGGATGACTCTCAGGATGGCCAGTGACATGGCCTGCTGGCCCACCCCTCGCTGCCGGGCCAGCTCGGTGC
This sequence comes from Homo sapiens, assembly GCF_000001405.40. Taxonomy (NCBI): domain Eukaryota; kingdom Metazoa; phylum Chordata; class Mammalia; order Primates; family Hominidae; genus Homo; species Homo sapiens. The sequence goes on from NC_000019.10 coordinate 49,070,662, forward strand.
CCAGTGCCACAAAGTAGGGAAGGATAGCCACAAAATCGATGAGGTTCATCACGTTCTTGAAGAAGATAGCCTTGCTTGGACAGACCAGGAGGCGTACCAGCAGCTCAAAGGAGAACCAACAAATACACAGCGTCTCCACCACGAAGAACGGGTCATTGAAGGGCAGGCGGGGTGGATTTCCAGGCATTTGGCTGGAGCCATTCAGCGGAGCGGGGAACTGCAGGGAGGAAAGTGTTCAGGGAGGGTCAGGCTGGGGCTAGGACACGGGGACAGCCTTAATCATCATTTAAATACCCAGCTCCTCTTTACACATTGGTCAGTAGCCGCTGCGCCAAGGCCCTCCGTGACCTGGTTATCCCAGACTTCCTCCCAGGATCCCAGGGATCATCCCTGGGCCGCTGACTTTCTGGTTGCCTGACCTGGTGGGTGGCTGGAGACGTGGTCCCTGCCCCTTCATGCGTGGGAACTCATGTTTGAGTAGGGTGCAACCTCTTCTCTCTCAAAGTCCCGCCTCCAGTGTTGATTTTCTAGATGGGGAGCATCCCTGCCCTGGCCCCACCACCTTGTGCCTAGCTTTTCCTTGCCCTCCACAGTCCCAGCCCAGAGTATAATGCGGCTGGGCGCGGTGGCTCACGTCTGTAATCCCAGCACTTTGGGAAGCCGAGGCGGGCGGATCACGAGGTCAGGAAATAGAGACCATCCTGGCCAACACGGTGAAACCCCATCTCTACTAAAAATACAAAAATTAGCCGGGCGTGGTGGCCTGCACCTGTAATCCCAGCTACTTGGGAGGCTAAGGCAGGAGAATCGCTTGAACCCGGGAGGCAGACCTTGCAGTGAGCCGAGATAGCGCCATTGCACTCCAGCCTGGGCGACAGAGCAAGACTCTGTCTCACAGGAAATAAAAAAAAAAAGACCTTCTCTGCAAGCCGAGCCCTAGGCCCCCTCCTCTGGCCCCTCAACCTGGCTTTCTTTCCATAGATTCCTCCTACTGTCGCCCCTCGGGCTCCAGCACCCTCAGCTGGAGTTATTCAGGGCCTGGCTTTCACCACCCAGCCGCACAGACTCCGGAGTTTTCAGGCTCTCCTTGGCCCCCCTCAGCTGTGATTTTTAAGGTTCCTGTCCTCCTACCCCTTGCATCAAGGGCCCTGCCCTCTTCACGCCGGGTTTCTCACTGACCTCAACCCCACCTTCTGATGGGGCAGGTCCTCCGACCCGGATCCTCAGGCCCCGCCTCCCGCCCACCCTGTCTTCGGCTGGCCCACCCCTCGCAGCCCCTGGCCCCGCCTTATGATTGGCCAGGTCCCCTCTGGACCCCGCCCATCTCCTCCCAAACCCCGCCCGTCTCCACCCACGCCCCGCCTCTCACCGGGCCGGCTGCGGCTGCAGCAGCAAGCCCCGTGCCGTCGCGGTCGTCGCGGAAGTCAGGCAGCGTCTCGAGGCAGAAGACGACGATGGAGACGAGGATGACCAGCACGGAGACTACGGCGAGCACGCGCGCGGCCTGAGAGCTCTCGGGAAACTCGAAAAGCAGCCACAGCTGGCGGGCGAAGGCGCGGCGGGGCAGGGGGCGCTCGGGCGGCACCGGGCAGCCCTCGTCCTCGCGCAGGCGTGCCAGGGCCGCCGCGCCCAGCCCGTAGAAGGCCACCTCTTCCAGGAAGACGTCGAGCGGCACGTGCGCCGGCCGCCGCAGCCGCCCACCGGACTGGTAGTAGTAGAGCACGGCGTCGAAGCTGGGCCGGTGCCGGTCGAAGAAATACTCGCGGCGCGCGTCGTCGTAGAAGCGGCCGCGGCGCGCTGGGTCCCCTAGCAGAGTGTCCGGGAAGCGGCCCAGCGTGCGCGCCCGCGTCTCGAAGCGCAGCCCGGCCACGTTGAGCACCAGCCGCTCGCAGCAGCCGCACGGCGGCGGGCACCGCGGCTCCATGGCGCGCGCAGCCCCGGCGACCCGCGAACCGACGTGTGGCCCCGACGCCCGGCCCCGGTGCGGCCCCGCCTCGGCCGCCTCGGCCGCCGCCGCCGCCGCCCCAGCCCGGTGTCCGGTGTCCGGTGTCCGCGCGTAAAAATAGCCCGGCAGGGCGGCTAGGGCGCGAGGGAGGGGGCACTGTGACCCCGGCGGGGCGGAGGGCGACAGGGCGACCGCGCGCCCTCTGCCGGGACGCCCGCCCTGCCCTGCCCCGCCGCCGCCGCCGCCCGCGCCTGCTCTGCGCCTTTCCCGTCCCGGGGTCCCCTTTCTCTCCGTCCTTCTGCCGCCGGGATCCTGTCCTGCGTCTCTCCAAGTTTCCGTGTGCGTGTGTTTCGTCAGAATCAGGCTTCAGTTGCAGTCGCCTCTTTTCTTTTCTCTTTCTTCTTTCTTTCTGTCTTTTTTTTTTTTTTTTTTTTTGAGACACAGTTTCCCTCTGTCGCCCGGGCTGGAGTGCAGTGGCGCGATCTCGGCTCACTGCAACAACCTCCACCTCCCGGGATCAAGCGATTCTCGTGCCTCAGCCTCCCTAGTAGCTGGAATTACAGGCGCCACCAAGCCCAGCTAATTTTTTTTCTTTTTTCTTTTTTAGTTGAGAAGGGGTTTCACCATGTTGGCCAGGCAGGTCTGGTACTCCCGACCTCAAGTGATCTGCCCTCCTTGGCCTCCCGAATTGCTGGGGTTACAAGCGTGAGCCACGGCGCCCGGCCTGGAGTCGCCCTGTTTGCACCTTTGTCTCTCACTCTCTTGTGTGTCTGTGTCCGGCTGTCCCCTCTGGGTCTCTGTCTCTTTTGGGATGTATCTCTGAGTATCTCTATGGGTCATTTATTTCTGAGATTCGTCGTTCTGGGGGCCTCTGTATGGGTCCCTCTGCCAGCCTCTACGTCTCGGTCTCCGCCTTTATTTTGACTCTTGGTCTGTCTCCGTTTATCTCTTGTCTCTCTTGGTCTCTTTGTCTCTCCTCTCTAGGTCTCTTTTTGCTCATTATCTCTTAGCCCTCCATGTCTCTGTCTCAGGGTTCCTCGGCCGCTCCCCTTTGGGTCTCCCCTTGGGGTCTCTAGAGGACTTAGGGTCTCCGGAGTCATATCTCTTGATCTCTCCCTGACCATCACTCCATGTGGGTGCTGCCACAGTCCCGGTGGCTGTCCCATCCTAGGGTCACTCTGGCAGCTGCAAACCACTGAGCATGTGCACACACGCCCCATTCTCTCCCCAGAGTTCGCTCCAGAGTCTCCACCTGGATTCTTCGCAAGACTTTCTGAGACCTAGCAGGACCTGAGCTGCGGCTATGACTCTGGCAAAAGGAGTCTGGTCTTGCCGGAACGGGCGGGGGTTGGGGGTGTGGGCCGGGGAGATGCCACAGGGTCATTTTCAGGAACTGAAGGGCGCAGAGACAAGACGGTGGCCTTCTAGCCACTGGTGTCCGGTGACACTGCATAAAAATAGCTCCATCAGATGGGCTTGGGGGAAGTGGAGGGGTTTGATCACTGAGACTCCCAGGAAAGAAGTCCTGGTCGCCCTCTGCTGGGGGTGTGGAGAGAGGTAGGTACTAAGGGTTCGAACGCCCTGCTAATCCTGGCACTCTTTCTCTTCCTGTCTTCCTTCCTTCCATTCCTTCTCTCTTCTTTTCTTCTTTCTTTCTTTCTTTTTTTTTTTTTCTTGAGAGGAGTTTCCCTCTTGTTGTCCAGGCTAGAGTGTGGGGACGTGATCTCAGCTCACTGCAACCTCCGCCTGCCAGTTTCAAGCGATTCTCCTGCCTCAGTCTCCTGAGTAGCTGGGACTCCAGGCACCCGTCACCACACCCACCTAATTTTTGTATTTTTAGTAGAGACAGGGTTTCACCATGTTGGCCAGGCTGGTCTCGAACTCCTGACCTCGTGACCGCCTGCCTTGGCCTCCCAAAGTTCTGGGATTACAGACGTGAGCCACTGCACCCGGCCTTTTCTTTCTTTTTCTTTTTCTTGAGACGGAGTCTTGCAGTCGCCCAGGCTAGAGTGCAGTGTTGCGATCTTGGCTCACTGCAACCTCCGCCTCCTGAATTCAAGCAATTCTCCTGCCTTAGCCTCTGGAGTAGCTGGGATTACAGGCGCCCACCACACGCGGCTAATTGTTTGTGGGCGGCAAGCCACCCAGGTGCCGAGGCAAGAGACCGAGGGCACGAGCTGTTCCAGTATAATAAAATATATAAAATAAGAATAGTTATAGTAGATATAGATCATAGATATGATTATATATGAATATCATTAATCATTAGTTTGTAGCAATTACTCTTTATTCCAATATTATAATAATCCTCGCTCTACAATCATAACCTAGGAAAAACCAGGCCATACAGAGATAGGAGCTGAGGGGACATAGCGAGAAGTGACCAGAAGACAAGAGTGCGAGCCTTCTGTTATGCCTGGACAGGGCCACCAGAGGGCTCCTTGGTCTAGCGGTAACACCAGCGTCTGGGAACACGCCCGTTGCCAAGTGGACCATGGTCTAGTGGTAGCCTCAGTGCCAAGGAAAACCACCCGCTACTTAGCAGACCAGGAAAGGGAGTCTCTCTTTCCCTGGGGGAGTTTAGAGAAGACTCTACCCCTCCACCTCTTGTGGAGGGCCTGACATCAGTCAGGCTCACCCGCAGTTACCCAGAGGCCTAACCATCTCCCTGTGATGCTGTGCTTCAGCTCCTAGTCCGCTTTCATGTTCCATCCTGTACACCTGGCTCTGCCTTCTAGATAGCAGTAGCAAATTAGTGAAAGTACTAAAAGTCTCTGATATGCAGAAATAATGGCGTAAGCTGTCTCTCTTTCTCCTCTCTCTCTGCCTCGGCTGCCAGGCAGGGAAGGGCTCCCTGTCCAGTGGATACGTGACCCAGGGGACCTTACCTATCCTTGGAGATGTCTCACACTCCTCACCCTGCCTCTTTGTCTTATATCCAATAAATATCAGCACAGCCAGGCATTCGGGGCCACTACCGGTCTCTGTGTCTTGGTGGTGGTGGTTCCCCGGGCCCAGCTGTCTTTTCTTTTATCTCTTTGTCTTGTGTCTTTATTTCCACAATCTCTCGTCTCTGCAAACGGAGAAAAACCCACCGACCCTGTGGGGCTGGACCCTACAATTGTTGTATTTTTAGTAGAGACAAGGTTTTGCCATGTTGGCCAGGCTGGTCTTGAACTCCTGACTTCAGGTGATCTGCCCGCCTCGGCCTCCCAAAGTGCTGGGATTACAGGCATGAGCCACCTCACCCGGCCCTTTTCTTTTCTTTCTTTCTCTCTCTCTTTCTTTCTTTCTTTATTTTTTGAGACAGGGTCTCAGTCTGTTGCCCAGGCTGGAGTCTAGTGGCACAATCTTGGCTCACTGCAGCCTCGACTTTCTGGGCTCAAACGATCCTCCCACTTCTTTTTTTTTTTTTTTTTTTTGAGACGGAGTTTCGCTCTTGTCACCCAGGCTGGAGTGCAATGGTGCAATCTCGGTTTACCACAGCCTCCGCCTCCCAGGTTCAAGTGATTCTCCTGCCTCAGCCTCTCAAGTAGCTGGGATTGCAGGCATGTGTCACCATGCCCAGCTAATTTTGTATTTTTAGTAGAGACTAAAATACATGTTCTCCATGTTGATCAGTCTGGTCTCGAACTCCTGACCTCAGGTGATACGCCCACCTTGGCCTCCCAAAGTGCTGAGATTACAGGCATGAGCCACCCCACCTGGCCCCTCCCACCTCTTCTAAGTAACTGGGACTATAGGCGTGAGCCACCATGCATGGCTATTTTTTGTAATTTTTGTAGAGACAGGGTCTTGCTATGTTGCCCACGCTGCTCTTCTACTCCTGAGCCCAAGCAATCCACCGTACTAGGCCTCTCCAAGTGCTAGGATTACAGGTGTAAGCCACTGCACCCACCCTGTCTGGGATTCTATGTCCCCTGGACTTCTATGTCCCTCTCTCTAGGTCTCTATCTTCCCTCTGTCTGGGTCTGTGTCCATTTATTTCACGGTCTTTGGCCTTCTCTATCTCTCTCTGTCCACCATCTTTCTGGTCTCTGTCTCCTATTTTCTCCCATTCTCGTTTTTTTTTTTTTTTTTTTTTTTTTTTTTGAGTCACAGTCTCGCTCTTGTTGCCCAGGCTGGAGTGCAGTGGCACGATCTCAGCTCACTGCAAGCTCCACCTCCCAGGTTCATGCCATTCTCCTGCCACAGCCTCCCGAGTGGCTGGGACTACAGGCGCCCGCCACTACGCCTGGCTAATTTTTTGTATTTTTAGTAGAGACGGGGTTTCACCGTGTTAGCCAGGATGGTCTCAATCTCCTGACCTCGTGATCCACCCACCTTGGCCTCCCAAAGTGCTGGGATTACAGGCGTGAGCCACCATGCCCAGCCTTTTTTTTTTTTTTTTTTTTTTTTTTTGAGATGGAGCCTTGCTCTGTCGCCCAGGCTGGAGTGCAGTGGTGTGATCTCGGCTCACTGCAACCTCCACCTCCTGGGTTCAAGTGATTCTCCTGCCTCAGCCTCCTGAGTAGCTGGGATTACAGGTGTGCGCAACCACACCAGGCTAATTTTTGTATTTTTAGTAGAGATGGGGTTTCACCATGTTGGCCAGGCTGGTCTCGAACTTCTGACCTCATGATCCGCCCACCTCGGCCTCCCAAAGTGCTGGGATCACAAGCGTGAGCCACCACACCCAACCTAATTTTTGTATTTTTAGTAGAGATGAGGTTTCACCATGTTGGCTAGGCTGGTCTCGAACTCCTGACCTTAAGTGATCCACTTGACTTGGCCTCCCAAAGTGCTGAGATTATAGGCGTGCACCACCGCACCCAGCCAAGGTGCCATTTTTTTGCTCAGGAAGTTAGAACAAAACTTAAAAGGTGGGTCAGGCACAGTGGCTCACTCCTATAATCCCATCACTTTGGGAGGCCGAGGTGGCTGGATTGCCTGAGGTCAGGAGTTCAAGACAAACCTAGTAAACATGGTGAAACCCCATTTCTACTAAAAATACAAAAATAAGCTGGGCCGGGTGGCTCGCGCCTGTAATCCCAGCTACTCTGGAGGCTGAGGTAGGAGAATCACTTGAACCTGGGAGGTGGAGGTTGCAGTGACCTGAGATGGCACCACTGCACTCCAGCCTGGGCAACAGAGTGAGACTCTGTCTCAAAAACAAAACAAAACAAAAAGCCAGGTGTGGTCATGCACATCAGTAATCCAGCTACTTGGGAGGCTGAGGTGGAAGGGTCATTTGAGCCAAGGAAGTCAAAGCTGCAGTGAGCTATGATCACACCACTGCACTCCAGCCTGGGTGACAAAGCAAGACCCTGTCTCAAAAAAATAAAAGATAAAAAATTAAGGCTGATGAGTTAGGGATATTATCTTGGATCATTTGGGTAGGCCCACTAATCATAAGGGTCTTTAAAAGAGGGACGTGGCTGGGTGCAGTGGCTCACTCCTGTAATCCCAGCACTTTGGGAGCCTGAGGCAGGTGGATCACCTGAGGCCAGGAGTTCAAGACCAGACCGGCCAACATGGCAAAACCCCATCCCTACTAAAAATAACAAAAATTAGCTGGACATGGTGGTGGGCGCCTGTAATCCCAGCGACTGGGGAGGCTGAGGCAGGAGAATCACTTGAACCCAGAAGGTGGAGGCTGCAGTGCACTGAGATTGAGCCACCGCACTCCAGCCTGGGCAACAGAGTGAGACTCTGTCTCACAAATAAAAAATCAAAAAAAAAGAGGGATGCAGGAAGGTCTGATTCATGGAAGATGTGAGGATGGACATAGAGGTCAGAGAAGAGAGGATGCCATGGTGCTGGCTTTGAAGTTTGAAGACGGAGGAACGGCCATGAGCCAAGGAATGGGGGCGGCTTCCCGAAGCTTGAAAAGGCAAGGAAACAGACTCTCCCCTAGAGCCTCCAGAGGAAACAGAGCCCTGTTTTCGACGTCTAACCTCTAGAATTGCATTCTAATAAACTTGTGTTGTTTTAAGCCACTAAGTTCGTGGTAAGTTGTTGTAGCGGCAACAAGAAAATAATACAGTCAGACTCTCCAATTCCTCAGAGTCATTCTCTGAGGTTATGGTAGCATTTGTTTTATTTTATTTTATTTTATTTATTTATTTATTTTTGAGACGGAGTCTCGCTCTGTCGCCCAGGCTGGAGTGCAGTGGCGGGATCTCGGCTCACTGCAAGCTCCGCCTCCCGGGTTCACGCCATTCTCCTGCCTCAGCCTCCCAAGTAGCTGGGACTACAGGCGCCCGCCACTACGCCCGGCTAATTTTTTTGTATTTTTAGTAGAGACGGGGTTTCACCGTTTTAGCCGGGATGGTCTCGATCTCCTGACCTCGTGATCCGCCCGCCTCGGCCTCCCAAAGTGCTGGGATTACAGGCGTGAGCCACCGCGCCCGGCCTATTTTATTTATTTTTTGAGACAGAATCTCACTCTGTTGCCCAGGCTGGAGTGCAGTGGTGCGATCTCGGTTCACTGCAACCTCCGCCTCCTGGGTTCAAGCAAGTCTTCTGCTTCAGCCTCCTGAGTAGTTGAGATTACAGGTGTGCGCCACCATGCCCGGCTAATTTTCTTTAAAATTTTTGGTAGAGATAAGGTCTCACTATGTTGTCCAGGCCGATCTTAAATTCCTGGGCTCAAACAATCCTCTGGCCTCAGCCTCCCAAAGCGCTAGGATTACATGTGTGAGCCACTGGCCCTGCTCTGCCTTTTTTTTTTTTTTTTTTTTTTTTTTTTGAGATGGAGTCTCACTCTGTCACCCAGTCTGGAGTGCAGTGGCCCAATCTTGGCTCACTGCAACTTCCACCTCCACAGACGCGTGCCACCACGCCCGGCTAAAATTTTTTTTGTATTTTAAGTAGAGATGGGGTTTCACTGTGTTATCCAGGCTGGTCTCAATTTCCTGACCTTGTGATCCACCTGGCTTGGCCTCCCAAAGTTCTGGGATTACAGGCATGAGCCACCGTGCCCGGGCTAATTTTTGGTCTCAATATGTTGGCCAGGCTGGTCTCGAACTCCTGACCTGAGGTAATCCTCCCACATCAGCCTTCCAAAGCGCTGGGATTACAAGTGCGAGCTATTGTGTTGGGCCTGTTTTGTTTCATTTTCACTTTGAACTATTTGTAGCCTTACAGAAGAGTTGCAAAGATTGTACAGACATTTAAAAAATATCCATCACCCAGGTTCCCCAAATGTTAGAATGTTGCATTGCTTTGGCAACGTTTGTTAAAGCTCAGACATTGGCCGGAGCAGTGCCTCGCGCCTGTAGTCCTAGCACTTTGGGAGGCTAGAGGGGACGGATCACCTGAGGTCAGGAGTTTGAGACCAGCCTGGCCAACATGGTGAAACCCCGACTCTACTAAAAGTACAAAAATTAGCTGGGCGTGGTGGCGGGTGCCTGTAGTCCCAGCTACTCGGGAGGCTGAGGCAGGAGAATGGCTTGAACCCGGGAGGTGGAAGTTGCAGTGAGCCAAGATCGCACCACTGCACTCCAGCCTGGGTGAGAGAGCCAGACTCTGTCTCAAAACCAAGACATTGAGGTGGCACAATACTTTTGACAAAATGAAAGAGTTCATTCAGGTTTTCTATATTTCCACTAATGTCTTTTTCCCACGCCAGGCTGCAGTCGGGGTTACTATGTTGCATTTGGTTGTCATACCTCCTTAGTCTTCTGCAATCTGTGATAGTTTGTTACTTTTTCCTTGTCTTTCATGATCTGGAAACTAGAAGAATACTAGTCAGTTGTTTTGTAGACTGTCTCTCAATTTGTGTTCCTCTGATCTGTTATCTTGCTTGGATTGAGGTTATACTTTTTGTTGGGTGGGGGTAGAGAGAATGCCACAGAGAGGCATTGCTCTTCTCATTATATCATACTGGGGGGTGTATGATGTCCATATGCCATATCACTGGTGATGTTAACATTTTTTTTCTTGAGACAAGGTCTCACTCTGTTGCCCAGGCTGGAGTGCAGTGTTGTAATCATAGTTCACTGCAGCCTTGACCTCCCAGGCTCAAACAGATCCTCCCACTTCAGCCTCTCAAGTAGCTGGGACTACAGACCTGAGCCACCACACCCGAATAATTTAAATCTATCTTTCTTTCTCTTTCTTTTCTTCTATTTCTTTTTGTTGTTGTTGTTGTTTTTGACGTAGTTTGGCTCTTGTTGCCCAGGCTGGAGTACAATGGCGCGATCTTGGCGATTCTCCTGCCTCAGCCTCCTGAGCAGCTGGGATTACAGGTGTGTGCCACCACACCTGGCTGATTTTTGTATTTTTAGTAGAGATAGGGTTTCACTGTGTTGGCCAGGCTGGTCTTGAACTCCTGATCTCAGGTGATCCACCCACCTCGGCCTTCCAAAGTGCTGGGATTACAGGCGTAAGCCACCGTGCCTGGCAAGTTTTCATTCTTAAAAAGGGATGTTCTGGACCAGGTGCGGTGGCTCACGCCTGTAATCCCAGCACTTTGGGAGGCCAAGACAGGCGGATCACGAGGTCAGGAGATCAAGACCATCTTGGCTAACACAGTGAAGCCCCGTCTCTACTAAAAATACAAAAAATTAGCCGAGTGTGGTGGCAGGCGCCTGTAGTCCCAGCTACCCAGGAGGCTGTGGCAGGAGAATGACATGAACCTGGGAGGCGGAGCTTGCAGTGAATCGAGATTGCGCCACTGCACTCCAGCCTGGGTGGCAGAGCAAGACTCTGTCTTAAATAAATAAATAAATAAAGAGAGGCAGCCAGGCTCTGTGGCACATGCCTGTAGTCCCAGCTACTTGGAGGCTGAGGCAGAAGGATTGTTTGAGCCCAGGAAGTTCTGGGCTGTAGTGTGTTATGCTGATTAGGTGTCCATACTAAGTTTGGCTTCAATATGGTAACCTCCCATGCGTGGGAGACTACCAGGTTGCCTAGCAGGGGTTGAACTGACCTAGGCTGGAAATGGATCAGGTCAAAACTCCCATGTTGATCAGGAGTGGGATCATGCCTATGAATAGCCACTGCACATGAGCCTGAGTGACACAGTGAGACCCTGTCTCTGAAAAATCAATCAATAAATAGGAAGCACAGCATAAAAGTTTAGAAAAGTCACAACCTGGCAATGTGGTAGAGAAGGGAAGAGCATTTTTTAGGAGAGAAATAGAAGCAGGCTGTATTGCCTTGCTGGAGAGGTTGCGTGACTAAAAGGAAGCCAAGTGCTAACATCCAAGACAATGGGAAAAAGGCCTTGAAGGCATTTCAGGAGTCTTCAAAACAGCCTCCCCCATCACAGGCTCTGAGGCATATAAGGAAAGAGTGGTTTACTGGGCCAGATCCAGGGCCCTGTCTCCTGCTCAGCCTGGGGACACTGCTCCCCTGCATCCCTGCTGTTCGATCACCAGCCATGACACACAGGGTCCCAAGTACAGCTTGGGCCACCACTCCAGAGGGTGCAAGCCATAAACTTTGGCAGCTTTCATGTGGGATTAAGCCTGCAGGTGCACAGAATGCAAGAGTGAAGGAAGCTTAGCAGCTCCCACCTGGATTTCAGAGGATGTGTAGGAAAGCCTGGGTGTCCAGGCAGAAGTCGGCTGCATGGTTGGAGTCCCTACAGAGAGCCTCTACTAGGACAGTGCCAAGGGGGAAAGGTGGGGTTGGAGGCCTAACATAGAGTCCCCACCAGGGCGCTGCCTAGTGGAGCTGTGAGAAGGGGACCCCTCCTCTCTAGATCCCAGAGTGACAGGTCTGCCAGCAGATTGCACCCTGAGCCTACAACAGCTGCAGGCACTAAACTCCAACCTGTGTGAGGAGACATTGGGGCTGGACTTTGCTGCCCAAGACTTTGGGAGCCCACTCCTTGCACCAGTGTGCCTTGGATGCAGAACATGGAATCAGGGATTATTTTGGAGCTTTAAAGTTTTTTTTTGTTTTTGTTTTTGTTTTGAGACAGAGTCTTTCTCTGTTGCTCAGGCTGGAGTGTAGTGGTGCAATCTTGGCTCACGACAACCTTCGCCTCCCGAGTTCAAGCAATTCTTCTGTCTCAGCCTCCTGAGTAGCTGGGATTACAGGCACCTGCCACCACACCTGGCTAATTTTTGTATTTTTAGTAGAGATGAGGTTTCACCATCTTGGCCAGGCTGGTCTTGAACTCCTGACCTCGTGATCCATCCACCTCGGCCTCCCAAAGTGCTGAGATGACAGGTGTGAGCCACTGTGCCAGGCTAGAGCTTTAAAGTTTAATGTCTTCTCTGCTGTGTTTCAGACTTCTGTTAAGCCTATTGTCCCTTTCCTTTGGCAGATTTCTCCCTTTTATTTTATTATTATTATTATTTTATTTTTATTGTTGTTGTTTTGAGACAAAGTCTCGCTCTGTTGCCACGCTGGAGTATAGTGGCACGATCCTGGCTCACCGCAACCTCTGCTTCCTGGGTTCAAGCAATTCTCCTGCCTCAGCCTCCCAAGTAGCTGGGACAACAGGCACGTGCCACCATACCCAGCTAATTTTTGTATTTTTAGTAGAGACAGGGTTTCACCATGTTGGCCAGGATGGTCTCGATCTCTTGACCTCATGATCTGCCTGCCTCAGCCTCCCAAAGTGCCAGGATTACAGGTGTGAGCCACCGTGCCCAGCCATCATTATTATTTTTTGAGATAGAGTCTTGCTCTGTCCAGGCTGGAGTGCAGTTGCACAGTCTCAGCTCACTGCAACCTCCACCTCCCAGATTCAAGCGATTCTCCTGCCTTAGCCTTCAAAGTAGCTGGGATTACAGGTGCATGCCACCATGTCCAGCTAATTTTTGTATTTTTAGTAGAGAAGGGGTTTCGCCATGTTGCCCAGGCTGGTCTTGAACTCCTGATCTCAGGGATCCTCCTACCTTGGCCTCCCAAAGTGCTGGGATTACAGGTGTGAGCCACCACACCCGGCCTATTTTATTTGTTTTTTTGAGACAGATTCTCACTCTGTTGCCCAGGCTGGAGTGCAGTCGTGCAATCTCTGCCTCCCGGGTTCAAGCAATTCTCCTGCCTCAGCTTCCCAGGTAGCTGGAATTACAGGTGCGTGCCACCACTCCCAGCTAATTTTTGTATTTTTAGTAGAGATGGGATTTCACCATGTTGGCCAGGCTGGTCTCGAACTCCTGACCTCAGGTGATCCGCCCACCTCGGCCTCCCAAAGTGCTGGGATTACAGGTGTGAGCCACCACACCCAGCCCTTTTCTTTCTTTTTTTTTTTTTTTTTTTGAGACGGAGTCTCGCTCTGTCGCCCAGGCTGGAGTCTAGTGGCACAATCTTGGCTCACTGCAGCCTCAACTTTCTCGGCTCAAACGATCCTCCCACTTCTTTTTTTTATTTGAGACGGAGTTTTGCTCTTGTCTCCCAGGCTGGAGTGCAATGGTGCCATCTTGGCTCACCACAACCTCTGCCTCCCAGGTTCAAGTGATTCTCCTGCCTCAGCCTCTCAAGTAGCTGGGATTATAGGCATGTGCCACCATGCCCAGCTAATTTTGTATTTTTAGTAGAGACGGGGTTTCTCCATGTTGATCAGTCTGGTCTCGAACTATTGACCTCAGGTGATCTGCCCGCCTTGGCCTCCCAAAGTGCTGGGATTACAGGCGTGAGCACTGCACTCGGCCTTTTTCTTGAAACATAAAATTAGTCATTTTAATTTGCAATAATTTCTGTAGTTATTAAACAGGCTATTGAATCCATCCACAAAACTTAAGATACAATACTTAAGAACAGGGCTCTAAATAACAAGTGCCAGCTCTCTGATCTCATGGCCAACAACCTGAGATTCCTGCCATCTGGTCTCAGTTCAGGACCTTTGCACTTACTGTTAAACACCGCCCCCCCGGCCCCACCCCAGATCTCGCTTCTATCTGTCCTTTATTCAAATGTTACCTCTTCAGAGGGGCCTTCCATTATCACCCTTTCTAAAACAGCCTCGCTCTCACTTCCCATCCCTTTATTCTGCTCCATCGTTCTTCATTATGCTGGCCACTATCTCAAATTATCTTTTATTATTTATTTATTTATTTACTTTTGAGACGGAGTCGCTCTGTCGCCCAGGCTGGAGTGCAATGGCACGACCTCGGCTCACTGCAACCTCCGCCTCCCGAGTTCAAGCGATTCTCCCGCCTCAGCCTCCAGAGTAACCGGGCTTACAGGCGCGCACGGCCACGCCCGGCTAATTTTTGTATTTTTAGTAGAGACGGGCTTTCACCATGTTGGTCAGGTTGGTCTCACACTCCTGACCTCAGGTGATCTGCCCGCCTCAGCCTCCCAAAAGTTCTGGGATTACAGGCGTGATCCACCGCGCCTGGCCTCAAATTATCTTTATTCAGTTAAATGCTTTTATTGTCTCTCCCAGTACAATGTAAGCCCTAGCAGCAGAAGACTTTGCTTTAATCACGTGCTGTACCCCCAAAGCCCAGACAGTGCCTAGCACACACGAGATGCTCGATGAATAGTTATTGATTGAATAGATTAGACATCAACGCAATCAGGCTGTTCACCTAGGGACTCTTTGCTAGGCGGCGGAGAGGTACGTTACAGTTCTCTACGCAAAACGCATGCGCGAAAGATCCGGGAAGTGTGATCGGAAAGGGGCGGAGCATCAGGGAGAGTCTCGCGGACATAGGCGGTTCGGCGCGGAAAGCGGGAGGTGGAGGGGCGGCTTGGGGCAAGCGCGCGCGCGCAGTGCAGAAGCCAGCCCCCCGCGGCTGAGGTACTCAAGGTGCCCAAAGGCGGGGTAGTGACCTCGCGCGTGCGCTGTGCCCGCGGCAGCGCCGGGTCCTAGTGTGTGGGTTGTTGTTGGCACCGCACGGCGCGTGCGCAGTGAGGACGGCGGAGGGATTTGCGGCCGGGACCCACCCCCTGCTCCAGTCGCTATCGGAGGCCGCGCGGGTGGCTGAGCAGCGGCCTGGTGCGCTCGCTTAGCGGGCGACGGAATCAGACGGACGTGGACGCCCCCGGAGTGGAAGCCGAAGCAGGAGTTGTTGTTGCTGAGGGGCTGCCGCAGCCGCCGCGAGCCTCCGGACAGACGCCAGAGCGAGGAGGGCGCTACGCGGTGAGTGAGTGTGACTGAGTGGCCCGACGGGGTGCGGGGCCGCTACCCAGAAGCCCCAGCGGTGGGCCCGGTCCTCTTCCCCGCGGCCAGGCCCCTTTCCCGCGTCCCCGCCACAGGTCCCTTCTGCATCCCTTTCCCGGACCCCGAAATCTCTGGGCACCCACGCCCGCTTCCCACAGCGCCCTCGTGGTTCCCTACCCACAGGCCCTTGCGGTGTGTGGCCTTTTTTCTTTTTCGTTTGTCTATGTTGTCCTGGACCCTTACCCATAATTCCTTTCGCTTTTTGCGGGGTCCAGGTCTGTTACCCACAAGCACTTGGTTTTGGGGCTTCGCTCCTTATGTTTCTCTTTCTTTGCTTGGAAACTTCCGATCCCCAGGACCCTGCAAACTGCATCTCGTAATTTGCCCTCCACGGCACGGGACGAGCAGCCACAGCTGCTCTGGGCCTCCCTCCTCGGGTCCTTGATTTCCCCAGAAATTCCCAGGGAACCTCTCCGCCCCACAGCTCGTGTCAGAGGACTCTGAGACTTCACTCTTCAGGAACCCTTTTCCAGCCGTTATTTTTGTTTTCTTTACCGGCCTTTCACCTCCACCCCCACCAAGACGTACCCTTTTCTCCGCAACACAGGACTGTTCTCTGCCCTTACAGAGCCTGTTTTAATTCCGAGACTTTTCTCCTGTCTTTCTTATTTTGAGAGTCAAGGAGTAACAGGGGCTTTCTCTGTGCAGACCCGATCTAACCTAAGGCTGTCCTGCTTCTGCTCTCAGACTTGGCAAGATGACCCAGTTCCTGCCGCCCAACCTTCTGGCCCTCTTTGCCCCCCGTGACCCTATTCCATACCTGCCACCCCTGGAGAAACTGCCACATGAAAAACACCACAATCAACCTTATTGTGGCATTGCGCCGTACATTCGAGAGTTTGAGGTGAGTTCACTGAGCAGGCCAGGAATGGTTTGGGTTCTGGGGAGCAACGGGTTGGATTTGCGAGTCCAGCTTCTGGCCATTTTGCCAGCTGCGTGATTTAAGCGAGGGGCTTAACCTTTGTGATCCTCAGTTTCTCTGTTTTAAATGGGGTTGGAGCCGGGTGTCGGGTGTGGTCGAGTGCGTCTGTAGTCTCAGCTACTCAGGAGGCTGAGGTGGGAGGATTGCTTGAGCCCAGGAGTCGGAGGCTGGAGTGCTTTGTGATTGTGCCACTATACTCCGGCCTGGGTGACAGAGCAGGACTTCGTCTCTCAAAAAAAAAATTTTTTTTTTAAGTGGGGTTGTGGCCCGGTACGGTGGCTCACGCCTGTAATCCCAGTACTTTGGGAGACCGAGGCAGGCGGATCACTTGAGGTGAGGAGTTGAAGACCAGCCTGGCCAACATGGTGAAACCACGTCTCTGCTAAAAATAACAAAAATTAGCCGGACATGGTGCCTGTAATTCCAGCTACTTGGGAGGCTGAGGCACGGGAATCACTTGAACCCAGGAGGCGGAGGTTGCAATGAGCCGAGATCGCGCCACTGCACTCCATCCTGAGCAACAGAACAAGACTGTCTCAAAAAAAAAAAAAAAAAAAAAGTGGGGTTGATAGTACACCTTTTGTAGAATTTTTGTGAAAATTCAGTGAGTAGTGGTTGAGGATTCATGCCTAACCCACACCATTTATCAGCTCTGACTTTGGGCAAATGTTGTATCCTCTTAATGCATTGGTTTCTTTATCTTTAGCAAGGGGATAGTGGTAGCACCCTTATAATGTTGGTGGAGAATTAAATGGCAAACTGTATGTCAGGGGGCTTGGCACCAAGCAGTCAGCACATGTCAGCCTTTGTTACTCTGTTTACTACTTTTATTGTTAATAAGATGATGTTCATAAAGGCTTAGCACCCAGTATTGAGTATTGGAGGGCTTAAAACTGCAGATGGGGATCTTAGCTCTGCACCTTTGGGATAAATAGGAATGAATGACTTAGGCTCCTGGACCTCTGTGTTTTTATTTGTGAAATGGGATGACAAGGGTCATCTCTTAGGTGCATCAGAGCACACCTGAGAAAAGCTGGCACACAGTCGGAAGTTACAAGAAGAACGTTCTAGCATTGGGTAGGTAAGGGCAGCTGGAGGCGAGGGAGTTGCAGAGCAGAATTTCGTAGATAACAGAAAGGTATGTCTTCAGTGGGATTTGCCACCCTTGGTGAACCCGCACTTGAGAGATATTACTGGCCAATTAACTTAATGGGCACAGGCGGGTGGTAGGTGCCCTTTGATGATGCAGGTCATGTGCCAGTTACCATTTATTTATTTATGAGACAGTTTTGCTCTGTTGCCCAGGCTGGAGTGCAGTGGCGTGATTTTAGCCAACTGCAGCCTCCGGTTCAAGCAGTTCTCCTGCCTCAGCCTCTCAAGTAGCTGGGATTACAGGCATGCACCACCACGCCTGGCTAATTTTGTATTTTTAGTAGAGATGGGGTTTCACCATGTAGGCCAGGCTGGTTTCGAACCCCTAACCTCAGGTGATCCACCCCCCTTGGCCTCCCAGAGTGCTGGGATTACAGGTGTGAGCCACCATGCCTGGGAGCCAGGTACTTTTTTTTTTTTTTTTTTTTTGACTTGGAGTCTCGCTCTGTTGCCTAGGCTGGAGTGCAGTGGCGTGATCTCGGCTCACTGCAAGCTCCGCCTCCCGGGTTCATGCCATTCTCCTGCCTCAGCCTCCCGAGTAGCTGGGACTACAGGTGCCCGCCACCACGCCTGGCTAATTTTTTGTATTTTTAGAGATGGGGTTTCACCGTGTTAGCCAGGATGGTCTTGATCTCCTGACCTTGTGATCTGCCCACTTTGGCCTTCCAAAGTGCTGGGATTACAGACGTGAGCCACCGCACCCGACCTTTTTTTTTTTTTTTTGAGATGGAGTATCGCTCTGTTGCCCAGGCTGGAGTGCAGTGGCGTGATCTAGGCTCACTGCAACTTCCACCTCCCGGGTTCAAAGGATTCTCCTGCCTCAGCCTCCTGAGTAGCTGGGATTACAGGCACGCGCTACCATGCCTGGCTAATTTTTGTATTTTTTGTAAAGACGGGGTTTCACCATGTTGGTCAGGATGGTCTCAAACTCCTGACCTTGTGATCTGTCTGCCTTGGCCTCCCAAAGTGCTGGGATTACAGGCATGAGCCACTGCACCCTACCAGCCAGTTCCTATTTAATGTGTGGTTGATGAGACCTTTAAGAGCTGCCTTGGCCCTCAGAGGGTGTGCAGTTGTGGGCTTTGGAGCCCTGTTCTGTCAGCTTATGTTGCTTTAGGCCTGGTCATCCTCACTGGCACTCATAAGCAGGGCCCTGCCATCACTCCACTCCCATCACATCCTCTGGCACTTTGTTCAATGTGAGTGATACTTGGAGCTGTGAGAAGCAATGTCTTTCCTAAATATGGAAGACAGGGTGTTTCCTAAATACTATAAAGCTAGATGTCACCTGTACCAGTGCTTTTCAAACTGTCTTTGGTGAAGGACAGATACTGTTTCCAATCTGTTTGCTTTTGATAAATATGATAGAATTACTTTTTAAAGAAAGATCTACAGTCAGGAGTTCAAGACCAGCCAGGCCAACATGGTGAAACCCTGTCTCTACTAAAAATGCAAAAACTAGCCAACATGCTGTCGTGTGCCTGTAATCCCAGGTACTCACTCAGGAGGCTTAGGCAGGAGAACCGCTTGAACGATTCTAGTCAGTTGCTGGGTTCCTTTTAGAGAGACGGGCACAGGGGGGAAAGCAGGGCTTAGAATCGCTTGAACCTGGGAAGCGGAGGTTGCAGTGAGCCCAGATCGCGCCATTGCACACCAGCCTGGGCAACAGACCACAACTTCGTCTCAGAAAAAAAAAAGACCTACAGAATAAAAGACCAAATTTGTATTAAGAGTCAGTGGACATCAAATTGTGAAATTACTGTAGAAGTTCCTGAACACTTAGTCCTGGTTTCTGTACTTATCACAGTCCAGCAACAGTTTAGATAGTACTGGTCCATGGACCATGCTTAGTTTTTGAGACAGGATTTTTTTTTTTTTTTTTTTTTTTTGAGACGGAATCTTGCTCTGTTGTGCAGGCTGGAGTGCAGTGGTGCGATCTCGGCTCACTGCAACCTCCGCCTCCTGGGTTCATGCCATTCTCCTGCCTCAGCCTCCCGAGTAGCTGGGACTACAGGCGCCCACCACCACGCCCGGCTAATTTTTTGTATTTTTAGTAGAGGTGGGGTTTCACCATGTTAGTCAGGATGGTCTCGGATCTCCTGACCTCATGATCCGCCTGCCTCGGCCTCCCAAAGTGCTGGGATTACAGGCGTGTGCACTGCACCCGGCCTTTACACCTGGCTAATTTTTAAATTTTTTGTGGAGATGGTGTTTCACTGTGTTGTCCCAGGCTGGTCTGAAACCCCTAGGCTCAAGCATTCTCCCTGTGTCATCATCCCAAAGTGCTGCGATTACAAGTGGAAGCCACTGTGCGTGGCTGCAGACCTTGCTTTGATCTGTGCCACTCCCCTCCCTCCACTGTGTCAGGGGAAGTGTGCGTGGATGTTTATTTTTGTAGGGGGTGGGGGTGGGAGGGTTAACCTGTTTATTTCCTTGGTGAGTGTCCCTTGCCATTTCCCCCAGTCCTTCCCACCCTGTCACCTCTCTTCTTGTTCCCAGGACCCTCGAGATGCCCCTCCTCCAACTCGTGCTGAAACCCGAGAGGAGCGCATGGAGAGGAAAGTATGTCATTTTTGCTTCCTGACCCCCTGTTTTACCACTGTCTCCAGATGATCCTTGACACTAGGGCACTTCTATCTGCATTCACTTCTCCACCTCCCCTTTCTCCTGACAGAGACGGGAAAAGATTGAGCGGCGACAGCAAGAAGTGGAGACAGAGCTTAAAATGTGTAAGTCTCTCATCCACCATTTGGCTCTCTCCTCTCCCAAACCCTCTGTATTCTTCCCAGGTCATACCCAGGACCCTGCTGTCTCCCTAAGGCCTGTGTTGTGGGGAACAGGGTTGTTAGTTCATTTGTTTAGCCCCTGCCACTTCACAAGCACTGTTTTTGGTTTAGGCTTTTCAGCAGCAGAACATAGGGTAAAAGTTGGCAGGAAGGGAGACCCCTGGTACCTTGGGCTCCTCCTGCATGGGAGGACAGTTAAGGGGCTCCCACAACCCAGCTGGGTGTCACAGGCTGAAGTGGTGGGTTGTGGGATAGTGGTCTGTCCTGGCTCTAACCTTAGGTCCCCAACCCTTGGGCTGAGGATGTTCCATCCCCTCCACATAGAGGAGGAATTGGAGTACAAGACAGGTGTGTTGTTGCCATTAACCAAACTCATAAGAGGGTCAGATGTCAACCTCCAGTGGCTCTTTATTCTGAAAGTGAAAACTGTACAGTCACAGGCAGCATAGCAGTGTTTCACTCAGCAGGGGACCGTGGATGTGATGGTGATCCTATAAGATTATATCATATTTTGCCAGGCACTGTGGCTCACGCTGTAATCCCAGTACTTTGGGAGGCCGAGGCAGGCGGATCATGAGGTCAGGAGTTCGAGACCAGCCTGGCCAGCGTGGTGAAATCCTGTCTCTACTAAAAGTACAAAAATTAGCTGGGCGTGGTGGCGAGCGTCTGTAATCCCAGCTACTCGGGAGACTGAGGCAGGAGAATCTCCTGAACCCAGAAGGCGGAGGTTGCAGTGAGCCGGGATCGCGTCGGCTCACTGCAACCCAGCCTGGGCAACAAGCAAAAATCTGTCTTAAAAAAAAAAAAGATTATACCGTCTATTTACTGTACCCTTTCTATGCTTTGATAACGTTTAGATGCACAAATACTTACTATTGTGTTAGGATTGCTGTAGTATTTGGTGTAGTAACACGCTTGGCCTCGGAGCAGTGGGACGCACCCTCTAGCCCAGGAGTGTTAGGTATGCTGTCTAGGCTCGTGGAAGTGCCATCTCATGTTGGCATATCGACATCATCATCAAACGACGCACTTCTCAGAACATGACTCTAGTGAGAAGACAGGTTTTCCTCCTATACCTGTGAACTTTGATGAATCCCTTTCCTCCAAATCCTGGAGTGCAGGATTTCCTCACGGTGCTTACGCAGAAGCGTGACAGAGACATCTGGCGGTGCACTCTTTGGACATTGGCTGTCGGAACGCTGTCTTGATGTCCTGCCTCAGAGGCATCTCAGACTCAGTGTCCAAACCACAGGGGTTTTCCCTCGCCACCAACCTGGTTTCCTTTGGGTGTTTTCTCTGGGACATAGACATTCAGCTGTGCCGGTCATGACCTCATTTTTTGCCATGCAGTTTGTTTCTAACACCTTTTCTAACCTTTTGCTCAGCCTCTCACCAAGACCTATTTGTGTTATTTTCTAAATGTCACAAATCTGACCCTTCTTTTCATGTCCATCATCACCACCCAGGTCACCTCTTGCCTAGACAACACAGTCACAGTCTTAACTAGTTTACCTATGTCTTTTTGTTTGTTTGTTTGTTTGTTTGTTTTTTGGAGGCAGCCTCGCTCTGTCGCCAGGCTGGAGTGCAGTGGTGCAATCTTGGCTCACTGCACCCTCCGCCTCCCAGGTTCAAGTGATTCTCCTGCTTCAGCCTCCCAAGTAGCTGGGACTACAGGCGTGCGTCACCACGCCCAGCTAATTTTTGTATTTTTAGTAGAGGCGGGGTTTCAGCATGTTGACCAGGATCGTCTAGATCTCTTGACCTTGTGATCTGCCCACCTTGGCCTCCCAAAGTGCTGGGATTATAGGCATGAGCCACCGTGCCTGGTCACCCCCCTCCTTTTTTTTTTGAGACGGAGTCACGCTCTCTCAATCAGGCTGGAGTGCAGTGGTACTATCTTAGCTCACTGCAACTTCCGCCTCCTGGGTTCAAGTGATTCTCCTGCCTCAGCCTTCTGAGCAGCTGGGACTACAGGCGTGCGCCACCATGCCCAGGTAATTTTTGTAATTTTAGTAGAGATGGGGTTTCACCATGTTGGCCAGGCTGGCCTCGAACTCCTGACCTCAGGTGATCCACCTGCTTCAGCCTCCCAAAGTGCTGGGATTACAGGCATGAGCCACCGCAGCCGGCCTAGTTTGTCTATATCTTAACCAACCACATCCACTGTGGGTCTTCTTTTTTTTCTTTTTTGGAAAAACTTTAAAACTGAGACGGGGTCTCACTATGTTGCCCAGGCTGGTCTTGAATTCCTGGGCTCAAGTGATCCTCTTGCCTCAGCCTCCCTCAGTGCTGGATTACAGGTGTCAGCCATTGTGCTCAGCCTCTTTTTTTTTTGTTGTGTTTTGTTTTGTTCTTAGGGACAGGGTCGTGCTGTGTTGCCCAGGCTTTACTGCCGTGGTGCAGTCATAGCTCACTGCAACCTTGAATTCCTGGCCTCAGGTGATCTGTCTGCCTCGGCCCCCAGAGTGTTGGGATTTCAGGTGTGAGCCACCATGCCCAGCCAAAAGTGTTTTTCATTTTTTGTTTTTTGTTTTTTAGATGGAGTTTTGCTGTTATTGCCCAGGCTGGAGTGTAGTGGTACGATCTAGGGTCACTGCAACCTCTGCCTCCCCGGTTCAAGCGATTTCCCTGCCTCCTGAGTAGCTGGGATTACAGGCATGCACCACCATGCCTGGCTAATTTTGTATTTTTAGAGACAGGGTTTCTCCATGTTGGTCAGGCTGTTCTCGAACTCCCGACCTCAGGTGATCTGCCCGCCTCGGTCTCCCAAAGTGCTGGGATTACAGGGCGTAGCCACCACACCCGGCCAGAAATGCTTTTTAAAAACGGTTCCACCCGGGCGTGGTGGCTCACGCCTGTAATCCTTCAAGGCAGGTGGGTCACCTGAGGTTGGGAGTTCGAGACCAGCCTGGCCAACATGGTGAAACCCTGTTTCTGCTAAGAATACAAAAATTAGCCCGGCGTGGTGATGTGTACCTGTAATCCCAGCTACTCGGGAGGCTGAGGCAAGAGAATCCTTTGAACCTGGGAGGCGGAGGTTGCAGTGAGCCGAGATCACGCCATTGCACTCCAGCCTGGGTGACAGAACAAGATTCCATCTCAAAAAAAAAAAAAACAAAAAAAAAAACAGTTCCAGGCCAGGCACGGAGGCTCATGCCTGTTGTCCAGCACTTTGGGAGGCTGAGGCAGGCAGATCACATGAGGTCAGGAGTTCAAGACCAGCCTGGCCAACATGGTGAAACCCCATCTCTACTAAAAATACCAAAACAAAAACAAAAACAAAAACAAAACAAAACCTAGCCAGGCATTGTAGTGGGCTCCTGTAATCCCAGCTACTCGGGAGGCTGAGGCTGGAGAATTGCTTGAACCCGGGAGGCGGAGTTTGCAGTGAGCAGAGATAGCGCCATTACACTCCAGCCCGGGCAATAAGAGCAAGACTCCTTCTCAAAAAACAAACAAGTAAGTTCCAATTGGGCGAACAAAAAAGTTCCAATTGAGGAATTTGAACACTGGATCATAGATGAGGTTAAGGAATTAGTAAATGTTAACTCTAAGATGTAATAGTGGCACTGTGGTTATGATGTTTAAAAGCCTTTGTTAGAGACCAAAATGGTGTGCTATCTGGAATTTCATTTAAAATAATCCAGCCGGTCGTGGTGGTTCACGCCTGTAATCCCAGCACTCTGGGAGGCTGAGGTGGGAGGATTACTTGAGTGATCCAGGTTCGAGTGGTGAATATGGTGAAACCCTGTCTCAACTGAAAATATAAAAATTATCTGGGTGTGGTAGCAGGGGCCTCTAATTGCAACTACTTGGGAGGCTGAGGCAGGAGAATCACTTGAACTCAGGAGGCAGAGGTTGGGGTGAGCTGAGGTCATGCCACTGCACTCCAGCCGGGGTGACAGAGCAAGACTCCGTCTCAAAAAAATGCAGTGGGCTGTGGGAGGATAGGGATGAAACAAGTCCGTCCACGTGTTGATAATGGAAGCGGGCTCATGGGAGTTCGTTATACTGCTCTGCCTCCATTAAATGCTTGAACTTCTCCATAATAGAAAAGAAATAAAAGAATGGATCAAGTTCAGTAGGGTTTCTGTGCCCTTGAGAGCCTCCACTCATAGCTATAGAAGCTTGCTGTGCCTTGTCACAATGAACAGCTCCCGTCAAGGGGACGGTGCCTCCTTGCTGAGCGCTTGTACTTGGTGTTACTGACTTTCTCACAGCTTCCAAGTGCAGCAGGGGTTGCTACTCCCATTTTTAAGATAAAGAAATGGAGGCTTGTTGAGGCAAGCACGCTTCCAAAGAGTGAGAGTTCCAAGATGGGACCTCGAGTACCTCAAAGCCTAATTCCCAACTCCACGACCCACTTCCGTTGAGTCTCTGCTCTGGGCTGCTACTTAGATGAGCCCTCAACCAGTGATGTCCTGAGGGAGAGCTGCCGTCAGGGCGCTGCACGCATACGCTGGCTGTGGGGCGCTGCCCGGCATTGGGTCTGTGCTACCTTCTTTGAGCTTTTGTTCTCTATCTTCAGGACTTGGGGGTACCATTGCTTTGCTGCATTTGCTTTTTACCTTTAGTCACATTTGTGGCCCCCCCACCCCGGGTAAGCAAGTGCTCCAGGGAACTCACACAGTGTGCTGGGGTGGTTTCCCTCTGGCTGCCCTTCAGGAAGCTCAGCTGTTGTTTGGCCTTCGTCCACTCCCCAGCCCTGCAGCATTCATTGGTCCCACTGTCATGCTCCACAGTAACTGTTAGAATGCCTGCTGTCTGGCGTTGCCGGGTGTGTTTCCTTGCTGCTGTGACAGCTTTCAGCTCTTCATTAAATGTTAGCATCTTGTGAGGCTTTTTCTAACCTGCCTTGTAAAGTCACCCGTTTCTATTCTCTGTCGTCATCTGATGTGATCATAGGATCTCCTTATTTACCTCTTTCATTAGCATATGAACCCCATGAGGGTAGACACCTTTTTTTTTTTTTTTTTGGAGACAGTCTCACTCTGTTGCACAGGATAGACTGTAGTGGCACGATCTCGGTTTACTGCAACCTTCATCGCCTCCCTGGTTCAAGCGATTCTCTTGTCTTAGTCTCCTGAGTAGCTGGACCACACCCAGCTAATTTTTTGTGTATTTTTAGTAGGGATGAGGTTTCGCTGTGTTGATCAGGCTGGTCTTCTTGAACTCTTGGTCACAAGTGATCCGCCTGCCTTGGCCTCCCAAAGTGCTGGCATTACAGCTGTGAGCCACTGCGCCCAGCACCTTTTTTTGTCTTGTTTACTGCGAAATCCCCAACAACTATAGCATTTCCAGGCACATAGTAGATGCTTAAGAATTACTTACTTACAAGAGCACAAACATCGGCGAATAAAAAGAATTACCTATTGAATGAATGAGAGTTAGCTGGTGCAAAAAAAAAAAAAAAAAAAGCCAGTGCAGATTGAGAGACCTGGCCATAGAAAATTACAACGCTCAGGGATAAGGTATGGCAAGGAACGTTTTTTGTTTTTTGTTTTTTTTTTCGCTTTATTGCCGAGGCTGGAGTTCAGTGGTATGATCTCGGCTCACTGCAATCTCCACCTCCCAGATTCAAGCAATTCTCCTGCGTCAGCCTCCCGAGTAGCTGGGACTATAGGCGCACACCACCATGCCCTGGTAATTTTGTATTTTTAGTAGAGACGGGGTTTCGCCATGTTTGCCAGGCTGGTCTCAAACACCTGACCTCAGGTGATCCGTCCGCCTTAGCCTCCCAAATTGCTGGGATTACAGGTGTGAGCCACTGTGCCCAGCCTGGCAAGGAACTTGAGGAGTGGGTGGAGAGAACGCTGAGATGGAGTTGTTTTCAGACGTTTCCATTTGTCCCAGATAGCGATTCCCTTAAATTGTGGCTTAGGCTTCTGTTTTCTAAAATATTCTTAGGCCAGGTGCGGTGGCTCACGCCTGTAATGCCAGCACTTTGGGAGGCCGAGGCAGGCAGATCACCTGAGGTCAGGAGTTCGAAACCAGCCTGGCCAACATAGTGAAACCCCGTCTCTACTAAAAATACAAAAGATTAGCTGGGTGTGGTGGTGTGTGTTTGTAATCCCAGCTACTTGGGAGGCTGAGGCAGGAGAATCGCTTGAACCCGGGAGGCGGAGGTTGCAGTAAGCCGAGATCTCGCCATCCATTGCACTGACCTTGGGCAACAAGAGTGACACTCCATCTCAAAAAAAGTACATTCCTTAAAGTCATCTTGACCTTAGTTTATACTTGTAGTTAAATTCTCTCATAAGAAACAAATCTGGCGGGACGCGGTGGTTCATGCCTGTAATCCCAGCACTTTGGGAGGCCGAGGAGGGCGGATCACCTGAGGTCAGGAGTTCGAGACCAGCCTGGCCAACATGGCGAAACCCCATCTCTACTAACAATACAAAAATTAGCTGGATGTGGTGGTGCACGCCTGTAATCCCAGCTGCTTGAGAAGCTGAGGCAGGAGAATTGCTTGAACCTCGGAGGCAGAGGTTGCAGTGAGACGAGATTGCGCCATTGCACTTTAAGCCTGGGCAACAGAGCAAGACTCTGTTTAAAAAAAAAAAAAATCTGAGACTTTATTTCTCTAGCTTCTGGCAACACCCACACTGTCTTCCTGAAAAGGTAGCACCCGAGGGTTCGGGGAAGGAGCCTGGTAGTTCAAGTGCCCGGGGTGAGAGGTGAAGTCTGCCTTGGCCCTTCGCCACTTTAACACCTCCCTTTTTCTGTGTCTCGAGTTTGTTCTGTTTTACTTCCATTTGCAAAATAGTAATAAATAAATATCAGTGTCCAGCACTGTGTCTGGGCCATAGTACGTGTTCAGTAAATTATATGTCTAATGTTCCATTATTGGAACGCTAAGCATGTGGGAGTTATTTATATCCTACTGCTCGGGTCATCACCAGGGTCTGATTTTTCACACGTGTCTGCAATTCAAAAAATTGCAACCTCTGGCATAAATGGGTTAATGTTATTCCTTTTCTCATGCTCTCCCAGAATGTGACAGGGCTTCCGAGGGAAACACTATACCATGGAAGAACCGGCAGAGTGTCCTTAAGGCCCCGGCAGGAGTCAGGGTCATTATGTGCTGGAGCCACCATATTTGGTGAAAAGGACTTATTCCCAGGCCTGACCCAGCAGGATCACCTATGAAATTGGTTTCTTAGGAGATTCCTGGCTCTTTTCTTTGGAGATTGTTATTCCTTAGTAGCCAGGTAGAACAGTTTGCCTCACAGTAGTGAGGCTGGAGTGAGAATCTGATCTGACGCTAGTCAGTTCCTGGGTTCCTTTTTAGAGACACAGGGCACAGACAGGAAAGCAGAGCTTACTTAGTGTTTGCTTTCCTGGCTCTCATTCTTAGCCTTGGGGCAGCTTGGTCTCAGGTTTTCCTGTGGGCTGTAGTTGCAGTCTGTGTCCAGTAGGTGGCAGTGTGGCCCTGCCTACAGGAGGGAGCTCAGAACCTGGGGGCATCAGCTGCATCTCCAGGGAGGCCCAGTTGGGCTATTACTGTTTGGATCACCTTGCATCTGGGAGCGATAGGGCCCTTAGGGTTTATGTAGGTCTGAAATGGCAGTTGGGCCTGCCCACATCCTGTCAGCTTGAAGTCAGCCTTACCTCCTCTCCTCAGCAGCCTGGATTATCTCTCAGCCACTCTGATAAAGCCCACTGTGCCTCAGAGAAACAGGTTCAGAGAGGGGCGTCCCTGAGGTTGCCAGGTCACCACCCATGTTCCTCCAGTTAGGGGCCTCTCCCAATGCCACCGTTTTCTTCTTGGCCTCTGCCCATCGTATTTGTTTTGCTACCTGAGACCATGGACACCTTCAACTTATAAAATTCCTTTCTTCCTGCACAGGGG
The DNA here is from genome assembly GCF_000001405.40 of Homo sapiens. NCBI lineage: Eukaryota > Metazoa > Chordata > Mammalia > Primates > Hominidae > Homo > Homo sapiens. Next base: position 49,098,430 of record NC_000019.10, read on the forward strand.
ACCCTCACAATGATCCCAATGCTCAGGGGGATGCCTTCAAGACTCTCTTCGTGGCGAGAGTGGTAAGTCCCCAGCTCCTAGCTCCTGGAACCCCACGCTGCTGAGAGCCTGGGTCTGGCACAAAGGTCAAATAGGCTAGGTACAGGGGAATGTTCCAGGGGCTGTGGGACAGCTCTGTTCTCCCATTTAACGTCATATCCATCTCCTTGTAGAATTATGACACAACAGAATCCAAGCTCCGGAGAGAGTTTGAGGTGTACGGACCTATCAAAAGAGTAAGTGGAGTGGGTCAGGGTGTTTGAATTGGGGGTGCATGGAGGAGGGGCTGTATCCTGAGAGGGAGGGAGAGAGGTCCCAGCCCTGAGCATGGCTCACACCATTTCAGGGCCTGGATTTATGCATCCTGACTGTATCTCCATGCAGCAGACCTTGGGCAGCAGAAGTAAAATGAGAAGTAATGACTGCTGGTGGTTGGTTGAGAGCAGGGGTTGGCAAACTACAGACTTAAAGTTTTCCTGCTGCTCAGCCAGGCAGGTCTGTTTGTTTACACATTGTCTTTGGCTGCTACTGTTGTAAGGCAGGGTTGGATTGTTGCAACAGTATACGGCCGTCCAAGCTGGAAATATCTACTCTCTGGGTCTTGGCAGAATACCTATGCTGAGTCCCGTTTTAGAGGAAGGCTTTGTTTTACCAATCTTCTTTTAAGTCACTGAAGTGCTCTGTGTCTGATTTCCTTTATCTAACATGGGAGACGCATGCCTTCACTGGGCAGTAGTGAGGGCTTGAGGCCATCCTACACACAAACTGATGTTAGCCATGTCTCTTCTCCCTGCTCTGTTTCTGATACGTCTTTTAAAAATATTTATACATGTCAGGCCGGGTGCAATGGCTCACACCTGTAATCTCAGCTCTTAAGGAGGCAGAGGCGGGAGGATAGCTTAAACCCAGGAGTTCGAGACCTGCCTGGGCAATATAGCAAGACCCCGTTCTCCACACAAAGGAAAAAAAAAGTATTGTTGGGCCAGGCACGGTGGCTCACGCCTGTAATCCCAGCACTTTGGGAGGCCGAGGTGGGCGGATAACCTGAGGTCAGGAGTTCGAGACCAGTCTGACCAACATGGTGAAACCTGGTCTGTACAAAAAAAAAAAAAATACAAAAATTAGCTGGGCATGATAGCGGGCGCCCGTAATCCCAGCTACTGAGGAGGCTGAGGCAGGAGAATTGCTTGAACCCAGGAGGCGGAGGTTGCAGTGAGCCGAGATCACACCACTGTACTCCAGCCTGGGCAACAGAGTGGGACTCCATCTTAAAAAAAAAAAAAAGTATTGTAGGCTGGGCGTGGTAGCTCACGCCTGTAATCCCACATGTTGGGAGGGCGAGGCAGGCAGATCACCTGAGGTCAGGAGGCAAGACCAGCCTGGCCAACATGGCGAAACCCCGTCTCTACAAAAATACAAAAGATTAGCCGAGTGTGGTGTCTCGTGCCTGTGTGTGTGTGTGTATGTGCATGTGTATATATGTGTACACACACACACACACGTTGTTCTGCCTTGCACAGCCCAGTGACAACCTTGGCCCCACCCTTGTCCCTCTGATCCATTCAAGTCAGGAATCTTGGTTGTGTTTTGGAGGCTGTGGGGTCCCAGGTTCATCCATGATACAGGTTGGTCGCCAACTGGTAGTGATGTGAATGGCGAACTAGCCATCCTTTAGGGACCAGCTCAAATGCTGTTACCTCCCAGAAATCTTCCCTGGTTCATTCTGGCCACCTCTGTCTCAACAGCCCTGCCTTGCCCGTTGTTCTCCCTGACATGGTCCCCAAGGGGTCTTTCTGACATCCAGAGCTGACCCCATCTCTGCTGACAGCATCCCATGGGTCCCTAGCATGTTAGGACAGGTCCAGCTGCCACCATCTGGCCTTCCAGGGCTCTTCCCCAAGCTGTGTGGCCTCATGGACCTCCACCCCACCCCATCTCCTCCCTTCTCTTGCTGCCATCCTCGGGATGGGACGCATCCCTCATCGTGCCACGTTCTCTCAAGCCTCCCTGGCTGTGCACGTGTCCTTTCTTTTTCCCTTAGAACTTCCCTGTCCTTGGCCAGGCACAGTGGCTCACGCCCGTAATCCCAGCACTTTGGGAGGCCGAGAAGGGCAGATCATGAGGTCAGGATTTCAAGACCAGCCTGGCCAACATGGTGAAACCCCATCTCTACTAAAGATACAAAAAATTACCCAGGTGTGGTGGCGCACGCCTGTAATCCCAGCTACTTGGGAGGCTGAGGCAGGAGAATCGCTTGAACCCGGGAGGTGCAGGTTGCAGTGAGCTGAGATTGAGCCATTGCACTCTAGCCTGGGCAACAGAGCAAGACTCTGTCTCCAAAAAAAAAAAAAAAAAAAAGAATTCCCGTCCCATTGGCATTCACAACTCCCTCCTGTTTCCCTAATTCCATTTGTGTCCTCCTGACTCCACGTAGACCACCCACATTGGCCCTTCCTTGCTCAACACCCTTCCCAGCTCCTCAGCGACCACACTTCTCGGCCTGGCATTGGGGCGCTTGATGACCCCGGGCCTGCCCACCTTTGTGGCTTCATCTCCTGGGACTCTCTGTCATCAGTACATGAGCCAGCCCTGCCGAAGCGCATCCCCAGCCTCCTGCCCTCCTGCCCCCGGGCCCTTGGACCTCTGGAGTTACTGCTATTCCACCTGACAGGCTGACACCTCACTGTCTTCCTTCATCTCTCTTCTTTCTTTAGGTCTTAGCTTAAGTGTCATTTTCTCCAGGAAGCCGCCTCTGTGTCCTCTGCTCCTGCCATTAGAACATAAGTCACTCAGGGCTCTTGAAGGACAGAGAGGGTCTGAGGCCTCATCCGGCCCAGGGCCTGGTGTGCAGGCTGTTGTGGGGTTGGTGGGGCGGAGCCGCCCTGTGGCAGGACTCACCCCTGTCCCCATGTGCCCCACAGATACACATGGTCTACAGTAAGCGGTCAGGAAAGCCCCGTGGCTATGCCTTCATCGAGTACGAACACGAGCGAGACATGCACTGTGAGTACCTCCCGCCGAGCCCTGCCCTCTGACCTGCTCTCACTTCTCTGCTGCCCCAGCCCCTCCCAGTCTGTCCCCTCCCCCACCCTGCCACACCTGACATTAGCGATGTCTCTTCTCCTCCTCCCTCTGTTTCTGATGTATCTTTTTTTTTTTTATATACGTGTTTTTTAAAAAACAAAAACCAAATCCCCCACAACGTGTGTGTGTGTGTGAACCTGGGGAGGTAAGTGTCACACGTTGAACCTCAGGGGCAAAGAGGGAACTGGGTGGGGGGCTGGGGCCAGCTGGAGGTGGGGGGAGGGGTCGGATTTTGGGGGAACCTCCCCCATTCCCCCCACTGAAGTTGGGGGTGGCCAGGTTGCAATGAGGACTGGCCTTTGAACCTGCCCTCTCTTCCCCCCCCAGTAGAACTGGGGCTGGGCCACCCGACCCTCCGCTTCCCCAACCCTGGCCCCCCACCCTGTTCCTCAGCGGGCAGTGGGGTGATAGGCATGTTGAGCGCCTGCCCCTACAGTTCCAAAGCCCCCTTTGAGGCTGCCGCGGCGTCCACATGGGCAGGGATGGGTGGGGGAGGGTGGGCAGGGCTGCGGCGTGTCCAGGGGCCGCCGTATTAATTGACTGTTCTTATTGTCACTGCAGCCACCACGCAGCTGGCTTGCAGCTGATGCTTACGCTCCCCTTACAACACCTCAGTGTATGGTTGGTATAAGGGTTTGTATCATGGGTAAGATCACTCAGCACCGCACACCAGCCCAGCTTAGCCAGGCAGCTCAGGAGCAGCGAGGCGCCCCTCCTCCCACCCCAGTCGCCCCCGTAGCCTCCCCGCACCCATGGCCCTTTCCTTGTTTGGGTGCCCTTTGTCCCTCCTGCCCCGATCCGTATGCTCTCTGAGAATCTTGCTGATCCCAGGAGGGGAAGGATGAACCTGGTGGGAAAGGCGGCGGCCTCTCCGCTTGGGTTCCACCCAGCCTCTGATGACCCGGCTTCGTGATGTCAGCGGCGAGGTGGCAGGAACACCGAGGGCAGGGCTCCAGGCCAGGGCTCCACTGGAGCCCTTCAGCCTTCCCTCCCTGCCCCCGTGCTTTCTATGGGGCTGCTACTGTGCTGGCCCTGGAGAGTCTTTTTGGCTGCTAGTTTTGGGGTGCTCTGCCCCCTTTCTGTCTTCCTTACTGTGGTTGAGGCCTCCCGAGGGGGCTGGCTGTGGTGTCCAGCAGCTCTCCAGAGGTGGTCAGGAGCTCCCTAAAGTGCATGGAATTGGGGCTTGGGGTGTGGGAGGGACCAAGGGGTAGGCTGCTAGCAGCTGAAGGTGTCGTAGGTTTTTACTAAAGAACCTTCCACTGTCTAGAGACTTGAGAGAGGGAAAGAGAGAGAGAGGCCTAGACGAACACAATCACATGTTTTCTTTGCTGTTCCTCCCGGGATGGGCCTGTTTTGGGGTTTGGGACTCTGAACCCGAGCGGGGTTCCTTCGCTTGACTTTGATCCTGGTCCTTAAATGCCTTTCCCCACTCCCCTCCCGTGGGTTCAGGGGCCAAGCGGCCCCTCCTCAGAGCACGGGCAGCACCGTCTCCTGGACCCCTGTGTGCCAGCCTCTGCAGACGCAGCTGGTGGGAGGGAGCATGGATTTGGAGGTGGAGAAGTCACTCCTGGTCCTCGGAGGGGGTGGGCTGTGTGCCTAGTTCAGTGTGACTCGGGGATTGGTGAGGGCGGACAGGTTTCTGAGGCCTCCCTAGCCTTCTTTGTAAATTCACACGAGATAGTCCAGGGCTTTCCAGCGCCCAGCTTGGATGATAATCCTCGTCTCCCCCACTCTAAGGCCTCCTTGAGATTTCTTTGGGGTCTACCACGTCCTCTGCCTGTCTCCAGGTGGTACAGGAGATGTGGTTCCTCTCCCTCTCCTGGCTCCCTAGAACCCCCCACTTCCCCTCCCTGTAGCTTTAGCTGACCCCGTGGTGGTGGGTGTGGGGTCTGTGCGCGTGCTCAGGTAAGCTTGGGGGCTCCAGGTAAGCGGTCCCGTGTCCCCCCCCCGGGAAGCCCGCCTCCTCGCCAGGCCCCCAGGAGTTGCCGAGCCCCCCCCATCCCGCTCGGTTTGGACACCCGCAAGGCCGGCATCGGTAAATGGCACCTTTTTCTCTTCCTCTGGTTGTTATTTGGGGGGGAGCGGGCTGGGGCGGGGCAGGGTATTACGGTTGGTTGAGGACAGCCCCCTAGGCCAGGGCTGGGTGGGGGAACGGGGACTTTTTGGCCTTCATGACAGCCCCACGTTGATCACAGGCCAGGGCCTCAGGCTTGCCTTCTGCTACGCGCTGCCCGAGAGCAGCAGTGAGCCTCTCCCCCGTCTCCCCTCTACGACTCCCCTTTCCTGGCAGGCTCAGGCTGGGGTGCGCTCCCAGCACGTGTTGAGCCGGGGGTGTGGAGGGCGAGATGGGGCAGGGCTGGGGGGAGGCAGAGTCAGTCGTCTCAGGTAAGGCAGGGATTTTCAGTAGCACCGCACGGCTCCCCATGCTTCCTCCACTGCCCCTCTCCCCTGCTGCAGGGGCCCCGCCAGGCCCCCTGGGAGTGTATAACCCGCCTCTCTGCTCCCTGCCATTTCCTGAAGATTTCTCCCACCCCCTTCTGGTTCATTTTCTGTTCTGATGTCTGTTCCCCCCACACTCACCCCCCTCCAAAAAAAACAAAAACAGAAAAAACCGGTGTGGTCTGGGGTGCGGAGCGTCCCAGCTGGGCCTCCTGCCCCGGCTTGGTGTCTCAGGGTGCATGCTTGGGGTTGTGGAGGAGCCCCCTCCCCCACAGCAGAGTCCAGCGTGGAGTTAACCTTCAGTTTCTTTGCAGCGATTTTGGCCGCCCTGGCGGGAGGGGGCTGTTCCATCATGTGGGAGAGGAAGGGCCGGGGAGCCTAGGGGGTGGCGGGTGAGGGTGGACGTCTCCCCCGACCAGGAGTGGTTGGGGCGCTGAGAGGAAGCAGACGCTGAGATGGAGCAGGCCCTTCACCGGTTTGGGAGAGGGTTGGTCTGGCTGTCAGTTGCCTGGCTGTCTGTTGGGCGTGTGCGTGTGCGTGATGATGGGGACACGGGGCGGGGATTCTGTAGAGCTGGGCCTGTCCTGACTAGAGGACCCTCTGGGGACTCCTCTCCCCTCCCCCTCCCCACATCTGTTACAGCCGCTTACAAACACGCAGATGGCAAGAAGATTGATGGCAGGAGGGTCCTTGTGGACGTGGAGAGGGGCCGAACCGTGAAGGGCTGGAGGCCCCGGCGGCTAGGTGAGCACATCCTGCCTTCGACGGGCTCTCGGGGGCCCTGGGCCTGGTGGCCTTGTTCTCCCTTCTCTGCTGCTTTCTGCTTCTCTGTCTCCTGCCGGCCCACCTCTCCCATCGCGTCCTCATCTCCGGCTTCTCTCTCTTGTGGCCATCACATTTCTGACAGCTGCCTGCCTCCTCGTTCTGGGTTACTGTGAGGAGCAGGGGCACCAGCCTGGAGAGGCCTGAGCCCACATGCTGGCGTCCGCCCTTGCTAGCTGGGGGTCCCCTTTTCCTGCCTCATTGTACTCCTCTTAGTGGAAATAACCCCGAGTTCACTGAGCTCAGTGTACTGGGCGCCCAGCTTGGCAGTGACGCATGCTGGGGTTGTAAATGTCACTCGCTCATCTGCTTCTGCTGCTTGCTGTTGCTCTTGTTCACTCTTTTACTGATTCAGCAAGTACCTATTGGATCACCAGCTGTGTGCCGGGCTTCTAGTTGAGCAACACAGAGGCAGCCTCTGCCCTCTGAGCCTCCTGCATTCGGTCTCCTCATTGTCATTTGCTGTCTCAGGCAAGGTCAGTTTGGCTGCAAGTATCAGAAATAAACTTGAGCTTCCTGAAACATAAAGGGCCCTGTTGATGTAGAATCATGGGCATCCTTTGGAGTTCGGAGGTATGTGATGTCCGTGGACCTGAGAACCTGGTAGCTGACGCTGTTAAGAGCTGGGGCAACCAGGCCAGGCGTGGTGGCTCGCCTGTAATCCCAGCACTTTGGGAGGCCGAGGCGGGTGGATCATGAGGTCAGGAGTTCGAGACCAGCCTGGCCAAGATGTTGAAACCGCATCTCTACTAAAAATACAAAAATTAACTGGGCGTGGTGGCGGGTGCCTGTAATCCCATCTACTCGGGAGGCTGAGGCAGAGAATTGCTTAAACCTGGGAGGCAGAGGTTGCAGTGAGCCAAGATAGAGTCACTGCATTCCATCCAGCCTGGGTGCCAGAGCAAGACTCTGTCTCAAAAAAAAAAACAAAAAACAAAAAAACTGGGGCGACCCACCTGTGATGTGTGACAGCCCACAGCTTGCTTCTGCCTCGTTTGCCTCCATGCAGCTAGGTCGGTCCCATGCCTCTTTGCACTGGCCCAGCGCAGCAGGCCACAGGCCCCAGCTTTACACTCAGTCCTGGATGAGTCTCTTGTTTCGGGGTGGGCACATTTGATTGACTCAGTGTTGGGCCTGGGGTCCTGTTGCTCAGGCATGCTTATTGAGGACTGAATCCTGCAAAGCTGAGTGACAGTTGTCAGAGAAGATGATGGTCCCTGGGCAGACACCCAGGCAGTAGTAGCCACTTGGGGCTCCTGTCCTGCCTCCCAGCCCTGTGTCCTGGCTCTGGACTCGCCTGTGCTAGGGAGACCACGCTCTCAGCTGCTGAGCCTCGGAGCTTACCAGGCATGTTCTTACCTTACTCTGGTCTCTCTGGGGTGGAGTGGGTTCTTATAGCTCTGCTGTTTCCTGTTGGGGCGGGAAAATGCTAGAATCTCAGTCTTTCCAGAATCTCAGAATCTTCTAGTTCAATTGCCATTCAAACTTTTTGTTGGTGTTAGCCAATAACATCTTGACTCGGTGCACCCGCAGAAATACTGTAACCTAAAGTTTGAGGAAACAGTTTTTTCTATGTAGTAAGTATATAGTTGTATTCTGCTGTTTTGTTTCTTAAGATGTTGGTTGCAACCCATCAGATTGATGATGGGACTCATTTCTGGGTCATGACCTGAATATAGGAAAGGCTAGTCTAGCTGCCCTGTGCCTGTGACATGGCAGGTGCCTGGTCCGCTGCCTGCTTCTATAAGAATGTCTCCCTGCAGCCTCTTTTCTATACAGAACTCAGCCCTGCCTCACGGAAGCTTTTCCAGGCAGTGCGAGATAGAGGAGCGCTTGAGAAGGCAGGTTTTGCAGCAGACGGCAGTGACAGCCCAGTTCTGCACCTTCTTTGCTGAGTCACTGTGGGCCAGTGACTTGATCTGAGATTGTTTCCCCATCAGAACCATGAGGTTATCATCTGTGCCTTGGGGCTGTTCATCTATCTATTCACTTGACACACACACATCCACCTTTCTATACCAGCTGCAGCGCCACCTGCTGGTACCGTGAGCAAGAGCTGGGCATGCCCACGGTTCCGGTGCCCTGCAGTCTGGTGGGAGAGGCAGGTAGGGGTCGACTCAGGTAGCAAACCTGAAACTCCAGGGGAAGGAAGCGTTTCTGCAACTGTGAGTACATAGGACTGTGAGGAGAGACTTCCCGAGAAAGGATGTTCGGGCTAGCGTTAAGGGTGAGCGTGAGTTCACCAGAGAAGGAAGGGGAGACCAGTCCAGGGCAAGGAGAATGCACAGACACTGGCAGGAAGGTGAGCGTGGGGACACTGGGAAAGGCCTGGGACACGCAGCCAAGAGCCGCGGCTCAGACGCTAGCAGGGCCCGCTCTTGCTGCCTCTACCACCAGTTGACGAGGAGTTTGGACCTTAGGCTGGGGGACGCCAGCAAAGGCTTCTAAGCAGATCACATTTTTGGGTGGAAAGATCATTGGCTTCGGGTTTCTGTGAGGGCGAGGATGATTGGAAGGGAGGGTTTTGAGGAGGCTGTGAAGTGCGCTATGGTTAAGATGATGCGCTTTGGGGCCAGACATGGGTTCCAGTAACGGCTGTTGCCTAGCGAACGCTTTGTGTGAGTTAATTAGAGAAGACGTGGCTGTCTTGTGATGGGAGTGCGCGGGATGAACTGCACGGGGGGACCCGGCCCTGTGAACACTAAGCCAGGGGCTGCCTTCCTGCCCTTTGCTCTTGGAGTCGGCTCATTTCTGCTCCTCCGGGCCCTGTCCCTGCCCAGATTCACCCTCTGTCCGTCTGCCCTGCCCCAGGAGGAGGCCTCGGTGGTACCAGAAGAGGAGGGGCTGATGTGAACATCCGGCATTCAGGCCGCGATGACACCTCCCGCTACGATGAGAGGTAAGATTGGGCGACCGGTGTCCTGGGGTGGGGGGCGGTCACGGGGGGAGCCCAGCCACACAGGTCTGCCCACCTCATCCAGGCCCGGCCCCTCCCCGCTTCCGCACAGGGACCGGGACCGGGACCGTGAGCGGGAGCGCAGAGAGCGGAGCCGGGAGCGAGACAAGGAGCGAGAACGGCGACGCTCCCGCTCCCGGGACCGGCGGAGGCGCTCACGGAGTCGCGACAAGGAGGAGCGGAGGCGCTCCAGGGAGCGGAGCAAGGACAAGGACCGGGACCGGAAGCGGCGAAGCAGCCGGAGTCGGGAGCGGGCCCGGCGGGAGCGGGAGCGCAAGGAGGAGCTGCGTGGCGGCGGTGGCGACATGGCGGAGCCCTCCGAGGCGGGTGACGCGCCCCCTGATGATGGGCCTCCAGGGGAGCTCGGGCCTGACGGCCCTGACGGTCCAGAGGAAAAGGGCCGGGATCGTGACCGGGAGCGACGGCGGAGCCACCGGAGCGAGCGCGAGCGGCGCCGGGACCGGGATCGTGACCGTGACCGTGACCGCGAGCACAAACGGGGGGAGCGGGGCAGTGAGCGGGGCAGGGATGAGGCCCGAGGTGGGGGCGGTGGCCAGGACAACGGGCTGGAGGGTCTGGGCAACGACAGCCGAGACATGTACATGGAGTCTGAGGGCGGCGACGGCTACCTGGCTCCGGAGAATGGGTATTTGATGGAGGCTGCGCCGGAGTGAAGAGGTCGTCCTCTCCATCTGCTGTGTTTGGACGCGTTCCTGCCCAGCCCCTTGCTGTCATCCCCTCCCCCAACCTTGGCCACTTGAGTTTGTCCTCCAAGGGTAGGTGTCTCATTTGTTCTGGCCCCTTGGATTTAAAAATAAAATTAATTTCCTGTTGATAGTGGGCACCTCGGTTTCTTCCTCACTGCTCTGTTTTCCCCAGAAGGTTGTTCCTGACTTGATAGCCCTGCTTGGTTTGGTTTCCAGGGTGTACTTAAAACTTGAGCGTTAGGACATGAGGCTGGCTCTGCCCAGTAGCCAGAGCTGTTGAAAGTGGGGTGAGGCGGCCTCTCGGGCTCCTTGTCTCCCTTGTGTTTTTCACCCTTTTTTCTTTTTCATCTCTGCCACACATTCCTCAGGGCTGACCATACCCCTGTCTTGGTGGGGGGCTGGGAATTAGGAGGGGGCTTGATTACTCAGGGGAAGCCGCAGTTTTGAATATGCAAGGGAAGCTACCATCTGCAAGGGAGAGCGGCACACAGGGTGAGGAAAGGCAGAATACACTGGGCACGGGTGAGACGGGGCAGAGCAGGAAGGGTGGACCCACATCATAATAAGTAGTGACAGAGGAGCAACGAGCAGAAACACAGAAGAGGTTCCACCAGCAATTGAGATTTCAAGCAGATTCCTGGACAAAAGATTAAAGACATTGGTGGTGAGAACACTTCAGTCTGGTGAGTGCAGGGAAGGAAGCCTGTCAGCCTTGCAGAACCCTAGAGGGCCAAGGCTGCAGCTCCAGGAGAGCAAGGGTGGGAGGCCAGAGGGAGAGCGGGGTACAGAACAGTTGGCCTCCCTGTTGGCACTCAGGATGCCTGGGAGCTGGGCCGGGGGTGCCTAGGCAAACCTGCTTGTGTTCAGACCTGCTTGTGTCTTGTAGAAGCGTCTCAGCCTGAAGGCAAACTTGGCCTGATAACTCAGAGGGTCTGTGACTGACACGCAGGATTTCAGTCTGCTTTTTAATGGCTTCAGTTTAACCAACGGAGGATACCCAGACATTTGAGGAAAAACAGACCACAAGATAAATAGAAAAACTGACCCTGGAAGAAATGACTTAGGAATAAAAGAACTTCATACCTCTAGTTACTATATTTCATAGATATCCCAGATACTGCAACTATAAGACTTCTAGTATTGGCTACAAGAAGCCCATTTTGGACTAACATGGCACAGACTGGTTACATAAAGGCTGGACAATAGGCAAAAACTTAGAAAAGGCGCCAGAAAGTGGCCAGCTTTGATGAGGCTTGAGGGGGTGTGATCCGTTAAGAGAACACACAGGTGTGTTTCGCACTTACCCTTGCCTTTTCCTTGAGGATGTTTTGCCATTTAGCATGAGGAAGTCAGGCGGGACTGACTTCCACTGGGCCAAGTTCACAGAGGTTCAGCCAGGCAGCTGGGACTTGACGAAACAGGAGAGGAGGGCACTGACCTCCCAAATCTACGTGCACCCTCCCTTAGAGGCATCTGCCAACTCAAGCTGCTCACTATCTGCAAGACCCCCCCCCCCAAGAAACTCATCAGAATGCAGTAACTGGGAGGCTAAGGAACTGGTGGCCTGGAGACTGCAGCAGCCATGCTGTTCTAGGGGAGACAGGTTGGGGTTCAAGGCCCACCATGGATTGGCTCTGCTTGAGATGGCCAGGGTGCCTCAATGTCAGAGTAACGCCATAACAGAAGAAATCAGACTAAGAGGCTGGGCATGGTGGCTCATGCTTGTAATCCCAGCACTTCGGGAAGCAGAGGTGGGTGGATTACTTGAGGTCAGGAGTTCAAGACTAGCCTGGCCAACATGGCAAAACCCTGTCTCTACCAAAAATACAAAAATTACCCTGAGGCCAGGTGCGGTGGCTCATGCCTGTAATCCCAGCTCTTTGGGAGGCTGAGGTGGGCAGACCACCTGAGGTCAGGAGTTTGAGACCATCCTGGCCAACATGGCAAAACCCAATCTCTACTAAAAAATACAAAGCATTAGCCAGGCATGGTAGTGAGCACCTGTAATCCCAGGTACTCGGGAGGCTGAGGCAGAATTGCTTGAACCTGGGAGGTGGAGGTTGCAGTGAGCCGAGATGGTGCCATTGCACTCCAGCCCGGGCAACAGAGTGAGACTCCATCTCAAAAAGAATAAATAAATAATCAATCAGGCTAAGAAAGCCTAAAACCAGACTTTTTCAGGATTTAGGCAGTCTGCTAGTCAGAAGAAAACTCTGGAAGAAGATAACGTTCCGAGTCTCCACATGTACTATTTTTAGTACCCATTACTCAGCATCTACTCAATAGTTACCAGCCTTGCTAGAAAGGACTTAATTTGCTGAAAACCAAGAGGGAAACAAAATAGACAATAGAAAGAGACCCAGGCAGGGGTGATTCAGATGTTGGAGTTATCATAACTATGATATATTCACAAAATAAGGAAAAGATGGAGAATGTTGAGATATCTGGAATCTAGCTACTTGAGAGGCAGAGGTAGGAGGATTCTTTAAGCCAAGGAGTTTGAGATTCAGTGAGCTATGATCACACCACTGCACTCCAGCCTGGGTGACAGGAAGACCCTGCCTCAAAAAAAAAAAAAAAATCTGGAATCTAACAAAAAGTTAAATGGCAATTCTAGAACTAGAAAACACAAGTGAAATTAAGAATTAAGTAGGTGGTGGCCAGGCATGGTGGCTCTGTAAACTCAACACTTTGGGAAGCCAAGGTGGGAGGATCACTTGAGCCCAGGAGATGGAGACCAGCCTGGGCAACATCGCAAAAGCCTGGTCTCTACAAAAAATACAAAAATTAGCCAAACGTGGTGGCGTGCGCCTATGGTCCCAGATAGGAGGCTGAGGTGGAAGGATTACCTGAGCCCAGGGAGGTAAAGGCTGCAGTGAGCCATGATTGCACAACTGCTCTTCAGCCTGGGCAACAAAGTGAGACCCTGTAACGACAACAACAACAAAACACACACACACACACACACACACACACACATATATATGTATATATAGAGAGAGAAATAGCATGTTACTTAGACACAGAAGCAGCTCTCAGACTAAACATCTGTAAGTTCCCTCTCACAGTGAGTAGAGTTAGGAGAGGTAGAGGCTGGTGCTTTTCACTATTATTAGCCTGTCTGTGTTATTTGATTTTGTTTTTAATCCCATAAAGACATTACTTTTTGCTAAAGAGAGAGCTACAGTGAAGGAGACAGCCAGACAAACCTGCTCTAGTCCTCCCACTTGGAACAAGCACTTTTCTGGACTCCATATCGCCACCCAGCAGAACCAGAAGAGCAGCCAACTTTCTCCAAAGTCTTGTCCACATCTCCTCGGCCTCTCTAGAGCATGATACCACTGACCACTTCCTTTTTTTATTTTTTATTTATTTATTTAATTTTCCAAGATGGAGTTTCGCTCTTATTTCCCAGGCTGGAGTGTAATGGCACGATCTCGGCTCACTACAACCTCCACCTCCTGGGTTCAAGCTATTCTCCTGCCTCAGCCTCCCAAATAGCTGGGATTACAGGCACCCGCCACCACGCCCAGCTAATTTTTTGTATTTTTAGGAGAGATGGGGTTTCATGAAGTTGGCCAGGCTGGTCTCAAACTCCTGACCTCAGGTGATCCGCCCGCCTCAGCCTCCCAAAATGCTTACAGGCGTGACCACCACACCTGGCCTCACTTTTTTTGTTTGTTTGTTTGTTTGAGACGGAGTTTCGCTGTTTTTCCCAAAGCTGGAATGCAATGGCATGATCTCCGCTCACCGCAACCTCCGCCTCTTGGGTTCAAGCAGTTCTCCTGCCTCAGCCTCCCCAGTAGTTGGGATTACAGGCATGCACCACCATGCCTGGCTACTTTTGTATTTTTAGTACAGACAGGGTTTCTCCATGTGGTCAGGCTGGTCTCCTGACCTCAGGCGATCCACCCGCCTCGGCCCCCCAAAGTGCTGGGATTCCAGGCGTGAGCCACCATGCCCAGCCACACTTCTTTTTAAAAACACTCGCAGCCAGACACAGCGGTTCGTGCCTGTAAACTCAGCACTTTGGGAGGCCAAGGCAGGGGGATTGTTTGAGCCCAGGAGTTCAAGACCAGCCTGAGCAACAAAGACCCCTCCATCTAAAACAAACAAAAAAAGAAGATAAAATTTAAAAACCCCTCTTCTCATGGTTTCTCCCACCTGGGTTTCTGCCTACATTTCAGGCCATTCTCTGCTGTCCTCCTGACTTTTAAGTGTTAGAGAGGTCTGGGGACCAGTTCTAGGCCGTCTTAATATTCGCTTGCCCCTGACATTCTTATCCACTCCGGTGGTTTTATTTACCACCTATGCCCCAATATTCAAACATGCCTGCAGACCAGGTTGCTCTTTTGAGCCCTAGACCTAGATCGATAGTTTCTCCCCATGGATTCTGCATAGGCTCCTCAAATTCAAAATATCCAGTATCGGCCAGGCAAGGTGGCTCGCGCCTGTAATCCCAGCACTTTGGGAGGCTGAGGCAGGTGGATCACTTGAGGTCAGGAGTTCGAGACCAGCCTGGCCATCATGGTGAAACCCCATCTCTATGAAAAATACAAAAATTTGGCAGGTGTGGAGGTGCACACCTGTACTCTCAGCTACTCAGGAGGCTGAGGCAGGAGAATTGCTTGCACCCGGGAGGCAGAGGTTGCAATGAGCCGAGATCACGCCACTGCACTCGAGACTGGGCAACAGAGGGAAGACTGTGTCTCAAAAACAAAATATCCAGTATCCCTCTTTCAGTGTAGACCATCTTAAAAATGGCACCAAAGCACCTTAATACTGTCTTCTCCTGCACCTCCCAATCCCCTTATATAGCCAAGCACCAAGGCTTGTCTAGACATTTCCCACATCTGCCCACCCATCTTCTGTGCTTTGGCCCTGGTGCTAGCTGCCACCTGGATGGCTGTGGTAGCCTCGTAAGTTGCCCCGCTGCTTCTCCTCTTGTTCTTGTCCAAACCAGTCTCCACAGTGGCTACAGTGATTTTTTTTTTTTCAATAGATACGAGGTCTCACTATATTGCCTATGCTGGTCTTGAACTCCTGGGCTCAAGTAGTCTTGCTGCAGCCTCCCAAAGCGCTAGGATTACAGGTGTGAGCCACCGTGCCCGGCCCCAGTGATCTTAAAATACAAATTTGAGGCCCAACCTGGGCGACAGAGCGAGGCTCCGTCTCAAAAATAATAATAATAATAATATAATAATAATACAAATTTGAGTGTCATATTTTTCTCTTAGGAGTTTGCATGAAGCCCCAAATCCTCAAGGCGCATATGCCAACGCAGGAGCCCAGGCATAAACTATCCTGCCGACCTTTTCACCTCATCATCAACCAATCCTAACTCTGCTTCCAGCCACGTGGGCTCTTTCTGGGTGGTGGGGGTGACCCAAGCTCCACCTCTTGTTCATCTTACCTCCCAGGACTGTATGTCAATGTCCCTCCTCTAGGATTTCCTTCGTTTTCTAGATCATCACCTCCCCACTCTCAGCTCTCATCACAGCCGTAGTTGGTCGTCTACCTCCCCTATAGACTGGAAGCTTCGTTCGGGCCGTGGGCTTGGCTGTCCTGCTCACCACGGTGTCCATGACTTGGGCTCAGATGTTTCACAAGAGTTTGTTGAATGAATGTGGGGAAAGGATGGACAGGGGATAGACGGGTGTGGAGGGCAGGCAGACACGGATCCTGAAAGGTACACACAGACCGAACCTGCAGTGGGAGGGGTCGCCAACAGGACCGACTGGCCGGGGCGGAGGGCAGGGCGCGGCTGGCGCGCGGCAGGTGGTCGGAGCAGTCGGGCGAGGGAGAGCTGGGCGCTCTCCAGGCTGCGCCTCCGCAGGGGGCGCCCGTGGCCCGGGGCGTGGCCTCGCGCAGCCCCGCCCTCCTCGCCGGCGCCAGGGCAGGCGGGCGGCTGGCAGCTGTGGCGCCGACATGGCTGCGCTGGTGGAGCCGCTGGGGCTGGAGCGGGGTAAGCGTGCGCCAGGGGGCCCTGCCCACCCGGGCCGCGGCCTACATACCCAGCCCCCGGTCCCCGCCCTTCCCGGGTCAGGCCAGTGCGGGTGGGCCAGCGGACCCGGAGGGGGTGGGCGGGGCGGGCGCCGGGGCCGGGCGGTCGCTAGGTGTGGGAGGCTCCCTGGGCGCGGGCCGGGACGCTGGGCGCCCGCCTTACAACCCGGCCTGTGGAGGGGTCCCGGGGCCGCAGGGCCGCTGGTGGCAGTCTCTCCTGCGCCACCCTGGACTCTGCGGGGTGTCCGACTAGGCTTCGGCCGTCCTCCCCGGACTGTGCGCTCGGCCTCACTCCGCCGCTCTCCTTGCTTCTCTGCGTCTCGGGGTCTCTGACACTCGGGGTTTCTGCGCCCCGCCCCCGCCCCGCAGACGTGTCCCGGGCGGTTGAGCTCCTCGAGCGGCTCCAGCGCAGCGGGGAGCTGCCGCCGCAGAAGCTGCAGGCCCTCCAGCGAGTTCTGCAGAGCCGCTTCTGCTCCGCTATCCGAGAGGTGAGGGGCGCGCGGCGCAGGGGCGCGAGCTGGTGGCCGTCGTCCTCCTCCTCCTCCTCCTGCTTGTCCCGAGCCCGGAGACTACGCCTCCCGGCAGCTCCCGAGGCGGCCCGCCTTGGGGTGCCAACGCTTCAGCTCAGGGGTTCTTCGGGAGTTGTAGTTTTCTCGGCCTTCTGTTGCGGGGGCGGGGCGGATCCTTGCGTGGTAGCGGGAGAGGGTCTAGAGGCCTGAACTCCTGCGTCTAGGGCTGGAGGAGCTGGCGACTCCCTGATGCCGCTGCCTCCTCACCCAGGTGTATGAGCAGCTTTATGACACGCTGGACATCACCGGCAGCGCCGAGATCCGAGCCCATGCCACAGCCAAGGTGGGCCCCGCACCCCATTGCTCCTGGTGTCTATTTAACTGCCTAGTCGAACTCAATATCTCCTTCATGCCAGTCATTTCTGTTTCCTCCCTCATGATTTTTGCTAAATCTATGTGCCACCTTACTATTAGTAAATAATCGCACATTTTTAACTTAAATGTCATACTAAGGCATCTTTAGCAACTGCAAATGGAAACAGTATGGCATGGTTGGTAGAAGATAACCTTCAACATCTGTACAGTGCAAACCAGGAAACTCATGGCGCTCTGACCTCTCACTGCACAATAGTTAGATGCTGCTACCTCTTGCTGCTGTCCGGAGGCTCAGATCTCCCTCCAGGCCTGGCTTTCCTCTGTTTAAAAGTAAGATTGAGGCCAGGCACGGTGGCTCACGCCTGTAATCCCAACACTTTGGGAGGCCGAGGCAGGTGGATCAGTTGAGGTCAGGAGTTCGAGACCAGCCTGGCCAACATGGTGAAACCCCGTCTCCACAGAAATACAAAAAAAAAAAAAAAGAAAGAAAAAGCCGAGCGTGGTGGCGAGT